>NC_000012.12:96835128-97460128 GCF_000001405.40 Homo sapiens
GGCCCTGGAGTGGGTTACTCCTCTTTGCAGCAGGTAGTCCCAACATCTCTGCAGGTCTCTGAAGCTCTCAGCAGAGAAGAGGCCCTAGAGTGGGTAGCTTCTCTCTGCTGTTGGTAATCCTGACGTCTCCTGCTATCAGCAGAGAGGGTAGCTCCTCTCTGCACCTGGTTGTCCGATCGTCTACTCTGCCCTGGCTGAACTCAGGGCTTTTATGGGCCTCAGAGGGAAGGAATGCATGCCAGTTGGTCCATAGGTGGCCAAGGGTGGGCCCGGAAAAGGCACCATAAGTCCCCACTCTGGTCAATGGTACTGGCAACCCAGCCCCCAGCCTTCAGGCCCTCCCTGGCCTGAAAGTGGGACCTTGCCAGGGACCTGCCCCCTTCTGCCCAGGAACCTGTCTGCCTCCTGCTGCCATTCATTACATGCAGGCTTGGCCCCGACTTTGCTCTGTGATTGGAGCAGGTGCCAACAGCAAGGAGAAGCCAGGCAGTGGGAGCAGGCACTTCCAAGACTTCCCGGGCCCCCAAGAATGTAGGGATACCTGAGTTTACAGCTGCAGTTTGGGCAGCTGCAGGTGTGCTAGTAGGGTGGAGGTTGGAGTGGGGATCCTGCCTGTTCCATGAAGTGGGAGGCCCAGGTCTACAGCCCTGGTTTGGGCAGCTGCAGCTATCCCTGGGAGTGTGGGGCTCCCACTAGCTCCATGGAGTGTGCAGCCCCAGCCATGCCTTCCTGCTGCAGCTGGTGTGATGGCAGTGGTAGGCGATCTGGAGTGGCTGCTGCCATCATTAGGAGAGCAGCAGTCATAAAGGAAAAGAACTAGGACAGGTAGAAATTACCTGTCTAGGGGAGAGAAGGACAAAGGATGGAGCAGAGCCCTAAGTGACATGGTAGGGAACAGAAAGATAGCCACAGCACAAGTAGGATAGTTGACTGGAAGCAGAGGAAAAACACCTCTTTTTTTAGGTCTCTGAATGGCAGATCAAGGTGGAAAAAGATGTAAGTTTGTAACAAAAGGGCAGGAGAAGCTGGGGAGTTCACCCAGTGGTTTTAAGTTATTCAGTGAACTAAAGGCAAGTTTATCTACTGTTGAAGTCAGGCAGCGGGCTGAGGGAATGGTCTTCAGAGAGATAAAGATCTTGAATTTCATAGTCATTGAGTGTGATGGGTGAGGAAGCTGATCCAGGGAAAACATAAGGATTGAGGGCCACACTGAAATGTAAAAGTCATAAATTGGTTGGGGCACTAGGCTTCCTGGCTTTTGATCTTTCTTTAACTACACTTAGCTTTCTCAGTGTAGGAATGGAGTTGAAAATGCCAATAGAACATGTTATTTTATTGGGCAGGTGCAAGAGGAGAGCAGAGGCACGTGGAGGTGAGATTACTAGCAGGACAGCTGACAGCACCAAAGAGGCTGAGGTGGAAAGGAGCAGCTAAGAATCTATGCTGTAATAAAAAATGCCTCTCCTTTACTCTGAAAAACATCACTACAGCGTAATATCTCCATTTTTTCTCAAGCTCCTGTTGAACATAAATTAGTCTATGCAATATGTTTTCTTTTTGAATTTAATCTAAAAATCCTTAATAATGGTTAAATTCTATTGATTTACACTACATTATCAAGTACATTATTAATGTGCATTCCATTTTATATGGTTGAATTTAGTACGTTTATAGTTTCTTATTTCTGATTTTTTAAATTATGTTTTTTGTTTTGTTTTTTACAGACAAGATCTCTGTCATCCAGACTATAGTGCAGTGGTGTGATTATAGCTCCCTTTAACTTTAAACTCCTAGGCTCAAGCAATTCTCCTGCCTCAGTCTTCTGATTAGCTAGGACTATAGGCACATGCCACCATGCCCAGCTATTTTATTTTATAGCAATGAGGTCCCATCGTGTTGCCCAGGCTGGTCTCCCACTCTTGGTCTCAAATGATCCTCCCATCTTGTTCCCCCAAAGCACTGGGATTACAGGTATGAGCCACTGTGCCAGCCCAAAAGTATAATTTTTGATATGTTTATGATCAGATATTGATAACCACATGCTGGTTACTGAAATAATTCTTATTCTAGTAAGTTAACATACTTTATTTAGGCATTTGCACCTTTAATTTTGTGTCTCATATATTGATTCTATCATGTGACTACCTATATCTTATCACCCCTCATAGCCCCTATGACTCCTGCCTGTCAGCTGCAGTGATTGCTCTGCAATGCTAGCATCTTATCTGGTACTGAGTTATCATGTAAAAATGAGTAATAACACATCCAGTCTATTTCAACCTAACTCAAACAGTTTTCTTTTCATCAATTTCCTCTCCAGCCCATGGTTTATAACTTTGTACTTAATAGTTTTTATCAAAATAAATGTGTTATTATGATGTGCTTGCATATTTGTCTCCTGTATAAGTGCAGGTTGGGTCTTATACAATAAGATTGAGTCTTGCTATGTTTTATTCTCAGTACTTTGCCCAGTGTTTAGTCCCCAACAAATGTTCAAAAAAAGTTTGTTAAATGCAGGAATGACTCATGATACATCTTCTAGAGATAGCCCTGGGCTGCAGTTCTAGTCCTGCCATTAACAGTGATTTCGAGGCCATTGATTTCAGTTATTTGTACAGTAAACATTTGTGAAGTGCCACCTTTGTACCAGCCATTGGGCTAGGTCCTGGGGTACAGAAGTAAAAGCCAGAGTTCCTGCTTTCAAGAGGGCCCACAGATTAGTGGGGGAGACAGACAATGACAGAAGCAATTACAGTACATGGTTGGGAAAAGAGGCCTGAGAATTAAGCAGCACTCCATGGTTCTTCTAGCATTCTCTCACCATTTCTCTGAAGGTGATACACTTCTGATATCTTTTTAGAAGGGTTCACTAGTTCCCTCTATGAAGTTAAGTTAGTGGGTGCTCTTATGGCCCATAATTACAAATTTTAATTGCTTTGGAAAATGATTGGAAAGTAATAGAATATCCTTAGAAAGATACACACATGATCAGAGCATTTATGAAAGCATTTTCCGCTGATTAGGAAGACCTTTGGAAGACGAAGCAGAAAATAAGCCTTAGCTTTGGCAGTAGGCTCAGTAGGGTATAATTTATGGTTTTGCTCAGGGGGATGAAGAGAATGAGACAAATCCTAAAAGCCCTTGATGCAAAGACAAAGTAAGAGAGAAGTTAGAAAAAAAAAAAGTCAACTCAGTTTACAAGCTGCAGCTAAGTACAAGGCACTGGGCTGGACTCACTGGAGGAATCAGAGATGGTGTATTAGTCCATTTTGATACTGCTATAAAGAACTGCCCGAGACTGGGTAATTTATAAAGAAAAAAGGTTTAATTGACTCACAGTTCCACATGGCTGGGGAGGCCTCAAGAAACAATCATGGCAGAAGGGGAAGCAGGCATGTCTTACATGTGGCAGGAGAGAGAGAGAAAAAAAAGTGAGGGGGGAAGAGCTGCTTATAAAACCGTGACATCTCATGAGAACTCACTCACTATCACAAGAAGGGCATGAGGGAAACAGCCCCTATGATCCTATCACCTCCCACTAGATTCCTCCCTCAATGCCTAGGGATTATGATTCAAGATGAGATTTGGGTGGGAACACAAAGCTAACCATATCAGATGGGAAAGACAGAGTCCTTGACCCAAAAAGGCTGACAGTCTAGAAGGAAGGGATGTGTCTTTTGCTTACATACAAAGACAATGGTTTTGTGTTTAAAATGGATGATTGTTTTGCACAAAGATGGGGAGAATGAAGTGGGCCAGGTGACAAGACTTGCCCAAAGCCACACAGCTGGTAACTGTCATAGCCGAGTCGGGCAGACTCCAGAGCCTGTTGTTAACCATTGTCAGTATGTTAAGATGGCTCTGTTGAGCCTTTTCAGTCTGAAGATTCTTGCTCATTCAAATGGAGGGGCTAGATTAATATGTCCCTGAGAGAGAGTTAGAACCCGGATTTGTGAAGCAGTATGTGTAGTGGTTAGTGGACAGACTCTGGAGAGTCTAGTTGCCTGGCTCCAAATCCCAGCTCAGCTCTATTTTCTAGTCATATAATCTTAGGCAACTTGTTTAATCTCAATGCTTTGATCTCTCTGTTTGTAAAATAAGAATGAAAATAGTACTTACTTTACAAGGTCATTGTGTGGATTAAATGAGTTAATCCATGTAAAACTCTTAGAACAGTGCCTGCCACAATGTAAGCAAAATAGTTAGTTACTATTACTCTCATTTAAGAGCTATCCGATTTCACTTGGAATGAGACCCTTACAAGTAGATTTAATTCCCTAAGGAGGGGCTGTAGCAGAAGAACAACACGAAGTGTAGAAGGAAGCCTCTGAGTATACTCATGAAAGAGGGCTGCAATAATGCAAGTGCAAGGAATGGCTGCATACATCGCTTTCAACCACGCATCTTCCCATTCCCATCTGTCCCTGTTACTTTAGTTATGTAACAAAGCACCCCAAACTTAGTGGCATAAAACAACCACCATTTTATTAGGTCAAAGATTCTGTGGGTTACTTATTGGGAAGGGCATAGTGGAGTAAGTTATTTCTGCTCCAAGATACCTGGGACATGAGGTGGTTTGGCTGAGAAAACTAGAAAGTTGGGGATGATTCAACTGCTGGGGGCTGGAATTGCTGAAGGCTCATTTAGTCTGGTGCTTGATGCTGGTTGTCAGCCATCAGCTGTTGGTTGTTGGCTGGGGGCTGAGAACAGACTTGGGCCATGGTCTGGAACATAACTTGTGACCTCTCTCTGTGGCTGGTTGGGCCTCCTCACAACATGGTAGTAGGGTTTCAAGAGTGAGCCTCACAAGAGAACGAAGTAGATGCTCTATCACCATCCATGCCCTAGCCTTAAAATCACATAATGACTCTTCCTCAGTAGTGCAGAATCCACTCTGATTCAAGGTTGGACGTAGACTCTACTCCTTCACTGGAGGGCTTGAAGTCAACTTTTAAGAAGGGAATGTGGTTTGGGAACTATTGTTGCAGCCATTTGGGGAAAATGCCATCTACCATGACATCCAATAAAACTAGGTATTTTCCTCCTCTGAGCAGAGGCTGTTCTTAGGAACCTGCTTAGGCAATTTTTTAGTGTGTTTAGACCCACACGGTAGAGGATAAACTAGGTGGATTCTCAAAGCAACCTTTGAAATAATCTATGCAGTTTTTCTGGGTACTGGATGGGACTTGCTTGCATGTACCCTATTGATGTGGAAGAGCTTCCACTTCACTTTTTTTAGCATGTAAAATCCTAGAGGATGGTGCTAGGCTATTTAATATCCATTGGCAAATTTTATTACATTACTGTATGATCCTTGATTTCTTTGAAACAAGATTTCCCAAATGGTAGTAATGACAGTACTCTCTAAACTGTCATTTACAAGATTCTACATATTCTGTAGTAGGTATTTACTAATTATTTAAAAATTAATTATACTAATATACTTCCTTTGGTTAAGTTGAGAGCTACAGACTTTCTTTCTTTTCTCTGTTTCTTTCTTTTTTTTTTTTTTTACAAACCAAGACATGTCTGAATAAATTTTATGGGCATCTATAATTACATCTTTCTTCTGTGAGACATTATCATTCTGTCCTCAAGTGAAGAGTATCCTTTGTATGTAAGTTCATGAGACATCCACTTAATATTCTTATAGTCTTTTGAAGACAATGCCAGATGACATCCATTCCACACTACTTTTAAAACACAGCACTGACTTTGATTCCATCCACTTACTGTTCACTTCTAACTGTCAAATTTGGCTAAGGGAAAAAGAAAGCCCTTAAGAAAAGGCCAGGCTATTAATGTGCTCTTCAAAATGCTAAGAAAAGGCTAAGCTGTTTATAGCATTTCCAAAACTCTCATCTCTCAGAGATTTGCCAGCAAAGGTGTCAAGGTGAAATATGCTGTCCTTCATCAAGGAACCTGAAGCCTTTGTGTTATCCGTGCTCAAAGTAGCAGTTCCACTTTTGTTAGATGTGCAATTTGGGGGTATAATACTTGGATATAATTTAAACTGAGATATCATGATGAACCTGATACTGTGTATTTACTGTGAACGTGATGAGAAGTATATGCACTCCTTGATAAACCAAGTCTGGCCTCATTCTGGATACAACTGCACTTTCCTGAAGTTTAGTCATTTTGTGTATGTTCACAGCAGGTGAGAGACAGGGGAATCATTAGCAAATCTGTTCATTGCTTTCTATTTTGCTGGAAATCAAGTTCAATGTTTAGTTTCCTTTCCTTCATTCAGTTTACCAAAAAGTTTCACCTTGGTTAGAAAACTAGACCTTTAGCAATGGAATTATATTTTCATCTTAGGAGGATGTTTAATTTTTGCCTCATAGAGCTGAGTCAATTGGCAAACCTTTGGAAAGTCTCCTGACAGATGTTTTTAAATTTAAATAAATAAAGAAGAAGCAGGTGTGAATTTACCCATTTCCCTTGTTGACTTTGGGCATTAGCCATTTGAGATTTTTGCATCTATTCCACCTATATCTTAAGCTGCTAATGCCATTATGTCCTTTTCTCAACCACTTGTGGTAGCATAATATGTTAGGAAGAGCACTTAGCACACGTTCTAGTCCCAGTTTCGCCCTTGCGAACAAGTCATTAGTCCTGAAAGACCTCAGGTCAACTAGATTCGTCGAAGGTCTCTGAAGCAATGTATCTTGGTTGACAAAAACATAGTTTGATTCTTGGTTCCGCCACCTATTGGTTGTATGACCTTGGACAAGTTATTTCCCTAGGCGTCACTTCCTTATCTATAAATTGGTGAAAGCTATTTCTCCGATAGGATTACATTAGAAGCAATATTTAACACATTTAGTATAGTGCCAGTACAATGCCAGTGGTAAGCATTCAATACATTGTGGTCATCTTTATTTTTCCAGCCTTAAAATAATGTGAAATGAATCATTTGTTCATTTGACCTTTAACAACTCCCTTCATTAGTAACTCTTACTTAGCCTATCTAAATGTTTGTAAATTTCAAAGAGTAAATGACCATTTTAATATGTATCTTTTTTTGGTAAGTATTTGTGGCAGATAATATATATATTCTTGATATTATTTCTCAACCATCCTTTTTAAATTAAACTATTTATTTTGAGATAATTGTAGAGATTCACATGCAGTCACAAGAAATAATACAGTTACTGTGTATCCTTTACTCAGTTTCTTCCAATGGTAACATCTTGCAAAACTGCTGCATATCACACCCAAATATTGACAGTGATACAATCAGGATAGAGAACATTTCCATCACAGCAAGGATCCCCTCTGTTGTCCTTTAGTAATTCCACCCCCTCCTTAACTCCTGGCAACCACCAATCTGTTCTCCATATTGGCAGTTTTGTCATTTCAAGAATGTTGCATAAAAGGAATTTTATAGTATGTAACATTTTGAGATTGGCCTTTTTCATTCAGCTAAATTCTGTGGAGAGCCATTAAACTATCCTTTTGATGAACAAAAAAAAATTAAGAATATTATCACATTTTATTTTGGCAACAGAATTATCATTAGCCCAAAGTGCTTTGTGCGGTATCTAGCACACAGTAAATAGTGAATGTTCAGTGGCACTCAGCGAAAGTGCTCCTCTTCTGCCTACTACTACCCTTCCTCCTTTTTCCTCTTCTCTCCTTCCTACTACTTTTTTCTTGCCCTTTGCTTCTCTACATCATCTTATTAATATTAACTGACAAAGGCTAATTGTTTGAGTTAGAAATACTAAAAAGAGTTAAATGAAATAATTTATGTGCAATTTCTTTGTAAGTTATAGATTTTACTAGAGTTGCTATAAGAAATTGCCAGTTACTATTGGCTGCCTTATAAGAACAGTTTGCAGCTGCTAGTGATGTATACTGATGTGAATAAAGAAGTCAGCATGAGCAGGATTTCTTTCCACTGGACCCACAAGGTCTGTCCTCTGGTTTGCTACTGCAGTGGGAGCTGCTAACAAAGCCTGTCATGCTTTGATTCTAGGCAACGAAGTCCCAGGAACAAAATGCAGACTTTAGTTCATATTCTTTATAAAGCCTTTGTTCTAAAAAAGAGCCTCCCATTCCTAGTTGCTAGAAGTTAGGCCCAGTGAGCTCCTTCATAAAAAAGCATCAAGAAATGCCAAGTATTGTTAGGAGTCTGGCTTTTTCATTTCTATATCGCAGGTCAAAAACCCACAGGCAGAGTCCACAGAGCCCTTCAGGAGGGAACCCAGTTATAAGGTTGCCAGTAATACCATTTCTTGCTATAACTTTGCTGCTGAGATTCCAATCCCTGACGTTTAAATGGAACTAAACCTTTACTGTAATGGAATTTCCCCCTTTTCAGAAATACAGTGAGGATAGAACAAGCTTGCCAGTGCATAAGTTGTAGTTGGGATAGAGTAGGTTCTGCTGTGCTAACAAATAAGCACCAAATCTCAGTGGCAATAAAGGGTTGTTTCTTTCTCATGCAAAGTCCAGTGAGAGTTGGGCGACTCTCCTTCAACTTGTAACTGCTGTCTGCACTGCATGACCTCTAAGGAAACCACTGCAGGAGAAAAGAGGGGTAGAGGATTTTACAGGATATTTTTACATAGAGTGACCATACATCCCAGTTTGCCGGGCACAATCACAATTTACATGTGTCGAGTTACAGTTGTGATTCATAAATACATAAATTCCTTTTACTCTGTAAAAAATCCTAATTTGGACAATAAATTAGGGTGAACATTTCTAAGAGGCTGCCTGGAGTAGCTGTCAGAATTTTTGCTTATACCCTATCAGTCTCAATCTAACACACAAGGATGTGATTAGAGCATTGTAAAGGTGCAAGTATATACTTTAGTGAACCTAATAATTTTTGGCACAATAGGCATTTGCAGGCATGCCATGAATTTTTAAATAGAAATAATTCAATAACTTCAACTACCAAAGCTCTTTGGAGCAAATGTGATACAAATATTATATTTTTATTGACTAAACCATTGCATTTCAGACATGTTGTGGTAGGTTGAACAATGGCGCTCCACAGTGGTCCACATCCTAACCCCCAGAATCTGTTACCTTATATGCCAAAAGGGACTTTGCAGATGTGATTAAGTTAAGGATGGGGAGAGGGGCAGATGATCCAGGTGATCTCTAAATGTCATCACAAGTATCCTTATGAGAGGGAGCTAGAGGGAGATTTGACACCAGAAGAGGAGACGGCCATGTGATGACGGAAGCAGAGACAGGAGTGATGAGCCATGAAGGTGAAGAAAGGGGTGCAAGTCAAGAAATACAGGCAGCCTCTAGAAGCTGAAAAAGGCAAATAAATAGATTCTCCCCTTAGAGCCTCCAGAAGGAACCAGCCCGGCTGACACCTTGACTTTAGCCCAGGGAAATGATTTCAGATTTCCAACCTACAGGGCTATAAGAGAATAAATTCATGTTGTAAGCCACTAAATTTGTGGTAAATTTGTTACAGCAGCAGTAAGAAATGAATACATAAGTACATTCTGAAGTTAAGCCTGTGGCTTCAAATTCCTTTTTCTAGTTAAGATAGATACTATTATCATCCTTTTTTTACATGTGAGAAACTGAGGCCTGAAGAGTTGCCCAAAGTCTCTCAGCTAGTTAGTGTCAGAGCCAGGATCCACACCTGGGCACTCCCCCAGCTCCCAACTATACTCTAAGCTCCTTCTCACCGTGTCTGTCAACCACTGGCAAGTCCAAGGTTCTGTATGAAACGCCCCTGCTCTGTGCAGCCTCTCCCTCTCCCACCTGACTCAGTTTCCTGCTCCTTCCCTTGGCTCAGTGCTCTCTGGACACCCATGCTTTTCTAGCTTCAACTTTTGGAAGTGTTATGGAAAGTTCTAGAGCTTCCATACAGAACTTCTCAAGTAAAGTTAGAATTCAGGTAGAATTATTGAATTTCTTCATATTTAAGTTTACAGGAAGATATTATTTTTGAATCTAATTTTTACTCCTCTTTAATCTCTAGTTTTTCTTACATTCTAGAGCATGGAGTATTCCTAAGGGTAATCAAGTAATAGATTAATGTAAGTGATGCTGGAAATGTATTAGGCTTATTTTACCATGACCCAGAAAAGAAACATCTGGAAATTTGGTATGAGTTCTTAGTTATTACTTTAAATCTCTCACAGCTTGTATTGGTTATATAGTAGTATGCATGTAGCCATATTGCTATTTGTTTATTGGTAGTATAACCACTAAATTAAATCTTCATGCCTGTCGTGGCTCCTGCATTGAGCCACCCAAACCTCCCCTTCAGGATTGAAAACTTCGTTTTCTCAGCTCTGGGAATGTGATGGCTGACAGCCCTCAACTCTCAACCCTCTCTAGCAACTTCTTTCAACTGAAGGACATGAACTCTTTCTGGAGGGAAGCCCACATCCAATTACTGGTTGATGTGGGAGTACAAAGACCCAACCCCACCACCACCACAATTCAGGACCACTCTGAAGGGCCACCCCAGCCTCAAAATTCCCCCATGGGGTTGGCAGAGCCCTTTACTGTGACTGCATTGCAGCCCAGCTTCTCCCTCTGCCTAACTGCTTCCTTCCCTTTCCCCATGGCTTGTGATCTCAAGGGTATTCCCTAATCCTAATAAACTTTCTGACAGCTAAGTTCCATGTCAGAGTCGGCTTCCCAACAATGAACTCAAAAAATAGAAAATGAAGATCCCTGACTGGTGATGAATACATAATCTCTATTTATTGGAATTAGAAGAGTCTAAAGGAACTAAGAAACATGCTTCCTGGCTTAAGGTTTCTCTTTAATGTAGAAGGAAGGAGAAACATACACGTGTCACCCACTTAGGATTAAAAATACATTATACAACATGACCCATAGTTCAGTCACATTCTCTTTTGACCTCCATCATAACAGTTAATTTATGAACGAAATAAAACTCCATAAGCCAGACCCTGGTCTATATCCAGTCAATAAACTCAGGCTTCGTTTCTCACAGAAACTATTTTCTCAGAGTATAAAAATGAGGTCTTAGCAAAGTTTTAAAACCATTCCCTGAAAATAAAGGTAAAGATATAATTAATCACATCTAATCACAGAGAATGAGGAATAGACATTTAGTTTTTTAACACATTGAATGTAGCCATTTCTCTTAAATACTTCGTCCAGGAAACCACTTCCTTCCACTTTTCCTTCCAGCCCCCAGTTATGAGCCCTGAACCACTGGCCCTGAACTTGCATCAGGCCTCTACACCCTGTGCAGGTTATTGTAGAGTTGTTGGTTGTGTAACTCATGCTTCCTGCTCTAATTGGAGCTTTTGATAGTTTAGAGGGAGTGTTCCCTGTTTGGGACCCTTTATTAGCTCTTTACAGGTTGAAAAATTCTTTCCTGGGGAAAGAGAGCTGCTGTTCTTTCTACACAGTAGGGTGTCAGATTTCAAAGGCTTTTTTCTCTAGGCCTTGGAGTCTTGAGCAGTCAGAGTAAGTCTGAATATGTACGGCCTAAACTTTCACTATTTTCTTAAGGGTCTCCTTTGGTCGTATAGAATGGTTTTCTTAAATAGTTCCCTATAAAGAGCATATGCCCATGGTGGAGGTGATACTGTCAACTCTATCACTTTTCATCAAGTGGTGCCTTGGCTGAGCCTGGAATAGGGTATGAAGGGCTGTGCGTGCAGACTGGGTGCCAAGGAGGGAAAGGCACCAGTGACCCCAAAGGTATTCTCTAGCTGAGCACTGTCCTGGTTTGCATAATACCAGGTATGACAGTTGTGCAGCTTTTCCTGACACCAAGCAATTCTATGATTTTCTGACACCAACTGGGTGTCCAATGATTCCATTCAATTCTGATACTAACTACCCAGAGTTTGCACAGACCCCACAGTTAAGGGCTCAGTCCTGTGAGACTTCCCTCACTTCAGATGCCAGCTGCAAATGGGGTTCCCAGAATGCCCACACTTCTGCCCAACTAGATATTTAGGAGTTGCCAGGACCCTCCCCTCAGATTCAGTAATATGATAGAACAGCTGACAGAACACAGGAAGTGCTTTATTTATGATAACCAATTTATAAAGGATACAGGAACCCCAGATAAAAGAGATGCATAGGGCAGAGCACAGGGAAGGGGCAAGAAGCAGCCATGCCCTCTCCCAGTGAGCCGCCCTCCCTCCCAGCACTCTCCTGGTGAGCTGCCCTCCCTCCCAGCACTCTCCTGGTGAGCTGCCCTCCCTCCCAGCACTCTCCTGGTGAGCTCCCCTCCCTCCCTGTGCTCTACTTGTGCACCATCCCGGAAGCTCCCCAGAACCCATCCTTATGCGTTTTTATGGAAGTTTTATTACATGGGTATGATTGATTAAATCATCAGCTATTGGTGATTGGGTTTAATCACTCCCCCTACCCCTTAGTATATAAAAGATGGTCAGTTCCAACTGTTTTAGGAGCTCTGTGCCAGGAACCCAGGACAAAGACCAAATGTTTATTTTTTATTGTACCACAACTCTAAACAATAAACATAACTTGAAATTGATTTTTAAACATATATTTCAGTGGCTGCAGTTTCCTGCAATATATCCTGTCTCATGGAGGTGCTTCTTATGCATTCCAATAAAGAGGCCACTGTTCAAAACATCCACTTAGATGTGAGAAGGGAGACAGAACCCCTCATGTTGTTGAAATGTTTTGGATTTGGCTGAAATGTTTGGTTGTCTGTGCATGTGGGATGATGTGTCTAAGCAAGAACTGTCCTTTATTAATAGGTACATTCTGCTCTAGAGCTCAAGGAAATGCCAGGCACAGCTGTGGCTCTGTCGTTGTAAAGTGACAATGACAATGGTAGTGATGGTGATGGTGATTCAAGAATAATCTATTCTTCTATTCTTAGACAATGTAACATTTGAACCAATTCTCTGCACAAATGCTTTCTCTCCTACATCTTCTAATTTCCAATTTTCTTATTCTCTGCAAAATGCCTTTTACAATAATGTTATTTTTGTTTTGTTTCGTTTTGTTTTTGAGACGGTGTCTTGCTCTGTTGCCCAGGCTGTAGTACAATGGCACAATCTTGGCTCACTGTGACCTCTACCTCCCAGGTTTGAGTGATTCTCCTGCCTTAGCCTCCCGAGTAGTTGGCATTACAGGCATGCACCACCACACCTGACTAATTTTTGTATTTTTAGTAGAGACGGTTTCACCATGTTGGCCAGACTGGTCTTGAACTCCTTACCTCAAATGATCCGCCTGCCTCAGCCTTCCAAAATGCGTTACAGGCGTGAGCCACCGTGCCCAACCAAAATAATGTTATTTATTTAATATTTAATATTAAAAGATTTCTACTGGCTGGGTGCAGTGGCTCACGCCTGTAATCCCAGCACTTTGGGAGGCCAAGGCAGGTGGATCACGAGGTCAAGAGATCGAGACCATCCTGGCCAACATGGTGAAACCCCATCTCTACTAAAAATACAAAAATTAGCTGGGTGTGGTGGCATGTGCCTGTAGTCCCAGCTGCTTGGGAGGTTGTGGCAGGAAGAATCACTTGAACCTGGGAGGTGGAGGTTGCAGTGATCTGAGATCGCACCACTGCACTCCAGCCTGGCAACAGAACGAGACTCCGTCTCAAGAAAGAAAAAAAAAGATTTCTACTGTCTCACCAATATAACCATTTGATCTCATATTATGTTTAAAAAACCCCTTTTTTGTCATATTTAAAGTTTTATTAACACAAAAGTTAGGGTGATGAAAAGATAATCTCTTTCTTCACAAAGTGTGAAATTTCTATGGTTTGGCAGAGCTGTGGAAAAGCCCTGTTACCTTCCTGAGAGTTGGATGCTATTCCTGTTAGATTGGGGAGAATATTATCTATTATTGCTGGTATTGGGATTTTCTTAATCATATAAAGTACAGTGAAAGCAAATATATCTAGGTCCCTCTCATCTGGAACCTTTATGAGATGGATCACCAGTCATTCATGATATTGATTCTTAAGTAAGCTCGTGTCATATTATCCTTTCTACTTTAGAATGCATGTTTTTCCCCAGTCTAGAAAAAAATCCAATAAATCATTAACTTCAGAGAAAAGTGATGTATTAAGAAAAAATAGAAAATATGGTGGAGAAACTCATATGTGAGAATGCTGGATGAAAATACTATTTGCTTTAAGCTATTAAAGTTTTTTTTCATGGCTCTTGCTCCCTGTGCTTTAAGGTTTTTGAAAGGAGGCAAAGTTAAATCCATCCATATCACAAGTCTCTCAATTGTTCAATATCCCACTTATCAATTAAAAGAATAGGCATGCCTAATTGATTAGTAAGCATTTGGCTCCTCCACCTCTATTCTTTTGGTCATGGAACGCTTAGAATTGATGAAAACGTAACTGACAGTGTGCAGAGAGAAGGAAGAGGCCTCAGAGTAGGTGCTCAACAAAATCTAATTGGATTGAGAAAAATCGTAGATTCTTTGAAGACTACATGATTTTCCTTTTGATTAAGGAAAATTGTTGGAACACAAAAGCACAAGTAATAAAATCTTTATTATGATAGAATGTAGTAATCATGCAGAAACTCATATAAAATAAAGCATTGGCAAATAACCTTTAACTCTGTAATGGCTTTCAAAACTTTCCCAGACAAGTTCAATTCAGGCCAGATTTTAATGAACCCCCTGCAGTATGCCCCCACTTGATTAATTTCCTTTCCCTTCTTCTTACTATTTCAGACTTTCATCCTCTCTAGGCAGACAAAATCATCACCATTTCTTTCAAATAGCTCCTTCAAGTGTAACCTAGTTGAACTAACTAATTCACAGTCTTTTATCTGCCAGTCTGTTTTATTCCCTCATCTCCACAAAGCCTTTCCTGACCTAGGGAATGGAACCTTGGTACCCTTTCCCGGGCAATTTGGACTCAAAGATATTTACAACAAGCAAGCAAACATAAAAGATCTCTAATTCCCTTTGGCAGCCCTAGAGTCGTCTGTAAAATTTCCAAAAGCTGAGCTGGAAAAACATGCCAAGAGAGCACAGCCGGGCACGGTGGCTCACGCCTGTAATCCCAGCACTTTGGGAGGCCGAGGCGGGCAGATCACTTGAGGTGAGGAGTTCAAGACTAGCCTGTCCAACATGGTGAAACCCTGTCTCTACTAAAAAAAAAAAAAAAAAAAAAAGTAGCCGGGCATGAGGCTGAGGCAGGACAATGGCCTCCCAGGAGGTGGAGGTTGCAGTGAGAGATCACACCATTGCACTCCAGAGAGTGAGACTCTGTCTTAAAAAAAAAAAATAGCACTGAGCCAAGGGCGGAGCAGGAGTCTGATTCAGGGGAGTGGGAGAGGCTGCACGAAGCAGGAGCGTTTCATGGAGAGCCTTGGACTTGCCAATGGTTGACAGACATCGCGGGAGGGAACTCAGAGCATAGTTGTCAGGTAGGGGAGTGGCAGTGCTGCAGATTGGAGAGGGACATGTTCTGAGAGCCTGTCTTCCTAGGTGTGGATCCTGGCTCTGATACTAAATAGCTGAGAGACCTTGGGCAAGTCCCTTAAAGTCTCTAGGTCTCATGGGTGTGTATATTAGTTCATTCTCACACTGCTATAAAGATACTATCTGAAACTGGGTAATTTGTAAAGAAAGGAGGTTTAATTGACTCACAGTTCTGCATGGCAGGAAACTTACAATCATGGTGCAAGGCAAAGGGGAATCAAGCAAGAGAGAGAGCATGGCAGCAGGCAAGAGAGAGAGCAAGCAGGGGAAATGCCAGACACTTATCGAGCAATCAGATCTCTTGAGAACTCCCTCGCTATCAGGAGAACAGCATGGAGGAAACCACCCCCGTGATCCAATCACCTCCCACCAGTTCCCTTCCTTGACAGGTGGTGATTACAATTTGAGATGAGATTTGGGTGGGGACACAGAGCCAAACCATATCAGTGTAAAAACCATATCACTTTGTAAAAAGTTATGTGGGCTCACTTTAATACAGGTCCTGAAAGAAATACTTTACCTTTTAATGCTATCATTTTATTTGAAATTATGTAAATTTTATTTTTTTTTTAGAATCTTGAACTCTCTGGGGAGAAGGTATAACTCTGACTTTCTAAAGCACATTCACGTTCACTTAATATTTATGACATTGATGTGCTTTGACTATGAAATAAATTTACATTTTCACCTAACTTAACATTTTAAAAACTTGTCTTCATGATTTCGAAGGTAGTGGCTTTTTAATTTTTAATATTTAGTAAAATGTTTGCTTCATAAATGTATCCTGACCATATTTAGGTGGTTTCCTAATTCTAATTCTATTCCTAATTTAAGTAGCAGTTTTTCCAAATAATAAAGCTCATTATCTCCTCTGTGAATCCAGATTATTTTGAAAGTTTTAGCTCTTGTAATAAGGCAAGAGAATAAAATCTGTAAACATAAATATTAAGAAATAACAGGCAAACTTATATTTATTTGTAAATACTATCATTTTAAAACCCAAACCCAAGCGTTTTTAGAAATGATTAGAACTAAGAGAATCTGATAAAGTGGCTGGATATAAAAATTAATAATTTCTTTCTTCTAGGAATAATAATTTAAAATGGAAATTTTTAAAATAGTGGCAAAATTATAAAATGCCTAGGAATAAATTTAACAAAAATAGTACAGGATATAAGTAAAGATAAGGATGTAGTTTTAATAACAGACAACTTTTCTATACTATTCATTTAAAAAACCTTCCTGTCTCCTGAATTGTAAAATCAACTAGTCATATGTTAATAATACCCTATCATCACTTCTAATTAACATTGTATGGGAGTTCTTAGCCTGTGAAATAAAGGAAGAATTTTTAACAGGTGTAAGTATGGGAAAGAAAGAAAGAAAGCTTTCATTATTCACAGACATAGAAAACCCAAAATAGTCTTCAGAAAAACTCTTAGAATGAATAAGTGAATTTAGCAAAGTTGCTGTCTGTACTATCACTGGAAATATAAATTTTGTTTCTATATAACAGAAGCAATAATCAGAAATTTTAAAAAATTAAACTCTCATTTATAGTAGTACCAGAAAATTCACATGGACATACAAAGGACCTAGAATAGCTAAGACCATCTAAAAGGAACAAAGTGGAGGGACTTAAACTTCTACCTATCAAATCTCATTAAAGAGCTACAATAACACTGCATGAGATTGCTGTAAGTATAGATAAATAGAGTTAGAGAGGATAGGTAGGTAGGTGGGTAGGTAGATAGTCTCTATATATTTATAGAATAGAAATGCTCTCTCTTCATCTATCTGGACTCTCCGTTGTATTTCTATATAATAAGTCCAGGAAGAGATCCATACATATACAATCCCATGATTTATGACAGAGGTAACTCATCTTTTCAATAAATGAGTTGGGTCAATTGGATATCTAAAAATAATGCACCTCAACCCTTACTTTACAGAATATACAAAGTGAATTCCAAATTGATTGTGGCAATAAATGTGGAAGATAAAACAATAAAGCTAGAGGAAATAATAAGAGATTATCTTCATGACCTTGGTGTTAGCAAAGCTTTCATAAATAGGATGCACTTTTGAAAGTACCAATCATAAAGAAAAGACTGATGGATTGGACTATATTTTAAGATACCATAAAGAGGGCAAAATGGCAAGCCACAGAGTGGGAGAAATTTTTATATATACCCCAACAAAGGACCTGTTTCTAGATTATATTAAGAATTCCTGTATATATGAATGAGAAAAAGACACCTCAATATAAATTGGACCAAAGACCTGTACTTCAACAGAGTCCTATACTTAAGTTCAGTGTTACTAGTTTTCAGGGATGTGACATTAAAAACATAGTATGGTGGTATATGACACATGCAAAACATACCGGAACAGCCACTGTTTTAAACAGAAATTGTCAGAGTTTGTGAAGATGTGGAATAACTGGAGCTGGTGGAAAATATAAATTAGAAAATTGTTGAGGTACATTATTTTTAGATATCCAATTATTTTTAGATATCAGCTTAAAGAGGAATATACATGTACCTGGTGTATATGCCTAATAGAAATGTGACATATATGCATCAAAAGATATTTTTATTCATAACACCAAAAAATTGGAAGTAACTCAACTGGCCATCAACTGGAAAAATGAATAAATTGTATTACATTCATACAATGAAAACTACGTATCAATAAGAATGAACAAACTATTGCTTCATTCAACAACATGGATGAAACTCAAAAAAGCCAGACAGGAAAGATTACATATTGCAAGATTCTATTCATATGCAGTAAAAACAAATACATATATATACACACCTGGTCAGTGACTAGGAGGGAGCACCAGGGAGACTCCTTGAGTGCTGACCATGTTCTATTTCTTGACCTGGGTGATGATTACATGAATATATTCATTTTGAAAGAAAGTGTATATGCAAGTTGCACATTTATGACTTCTCCTTTTCTGTCTACATGTTATAATTCAATCAGAAGAATTTTTACTTAAAAGAATTTTTACTTTTTACTTAAAAGAATTGTGTTTGGCAAGAGGAAAATATAGAGCACTGTATTTTAGCATGATAGAAATAACTAAAGTTTGAAGCATCTGACTTGTCTACCAACAGGCTTAAAATGCCTGGAATGTCTAGAAAGGAAGGCATAATAACACAAGGGTCGGTTCTGACATTTTAGGGTAGTTTGTGTTCTCCTGAGAACCAACAAGGATTAATAACTCCTGGGTGACAACTGCTTTATTTTATCTTTCTAATCTGTTGCTTTCACTCGTGGCCTCCATAAATAAACTAAGCAATTAATCTTCATCCTTTGACAAATGACCACTTGTCTCTGGAGGCTCAATGACAAGGTCAGAGACCAAAATGCTCTATTTGTATCTAGTATATAAATTATGTCGTGAAGATAACCCTAATGTTAAGTAAAATTAACGTAGCCACTTTATTTTTTTTAAAAAGCCATTCCTATCTTTAACATGGAAAGTATTCCACAATGAAAGCAATAGAGCACAAAAGAAAATACAAATATATTAATGCTAATTATTATTTCTTTGTTTCCTACCTTGATTATCTGCTAAAAGGATTAAGTCAGACATGAGATAATTCATTACTATAAAATAGGTGGACTATTTAGTGCAGTTAAGTAGCAAAGAGATACAACCATAATAATCATGGTAAACACATATAATTTCAACATATTAATAAACCGGTTAACATTAGCTTGCCAAAATGTTTCTTGTATTTTTCTGAATAAAAAATAGTAGCGAAATAGCAAAACAACAACAACAACAACAAAGATGTGTAACATTCTCTAATATATTACCTTGAGTGTAGGGAAACCCTCATATATTGCTGGTTGAAATGATAATTGCCCCAACATATTTGGAAAGTAATTCTGGCAATAAATGTTAAGGTGTAAAAGGTAAATGGCATATGACTAAAAAACAACTTTAGAGAATCAATAGTACAAAAATTGAAAGCACTTGTGTACAAAAATATATATAAATAAGCAAGCATGTATAAAAACTAGAAAAAAACTCTATAGGGAATGATTGTATAAATCAGGATACAGCCAGTCCATGAAGTGTTAGGTAGCCATTTAAAAGGATGTGTTCAATAATGATAATCATATGTAGCCTTTATTGAGTCATCATTGTATGCCAGGTACCATTCTATGTTTTATTTGAATAAACTCATTTAATCCTTGTAACAAGATGATATAGGAACTATTATAATGTCTTTTTTTTAACTTTTATTTTAGGTTCGGAATACATGTGAAGGTTTGTTACATAGGTAAACTCATGTCTTGGGGCTTTGTTGTACAGATTATTTTATCACTGAGGAATTAAGCCTGTATTAGTATGTTCTAAATAAAGACATATCTAAGACTGGATAATTTGTAAAGGAAAGAGGTTTAATTGAATCACAGTTCTGCAGAACCAGGGAGGCCACAGGAGATTTACAATCATGGCAGAAGGGGCAGCAAACATGTCCTTCTTCACATGGGGGCAGCAAGGAGAAGTGTGCAGTGAAGTTGGGGAAAAGGCCCTGATAAAACCATCAGATCTCACGAGAACTCACTCACTATTACGAGAACAGTATGATGGTAACTGCCCCCATGATTAGATTACCTCCCACCAGGTCCCTCTCATGACACATGGGGAATATGGGAACTATAGTTCAAGATGAGATTTGGGTGGGGACACAGCCAAACCATTTCATTCTGCCCCTGGCCCCTCCCAAATCTCATGTCCTCACAATTCAAAACACAATCAGGCCATCTAACAGTCCCCCAAAGTCTTAATTCATTCCAGCATTAACTCAAAAGTCCAACTCCAAAGTCTCATCTGAGACAAGGCAAGTCCCTTCCACCTATAAACCTGTAAAATCAAAAGAAGGTTAGTTACTTCCTAGATACAATGGGGGTACAGACACTGGATAAATACACCCATTCCAAATGGGAGAAATTGGCCAAAATAAAGGGGCTACAGGCCCCATGCAAGTCCAAAATCCAAAAGGGCAGTCATTAAACCTTAAAGTTCCAAAATGATCTCCTTTGACTCCATGTCACACACCCAGGGCTTGCTGATGCAAGAGGTGGGCCCCCACAGCCTTGGGCAGCTCTGCCCCTGTGCGTTTGCAGGGTATAGCCCCCCTCTTGGGTGCTTTCATGGGCTGGTGTTGAGTGTCTGTGGCTTTTCCAGGTGCACAGTGCAAGCCGTCAGTGGATCTACCCTTCTGGAGTCTGGAGGATGGTGGCCCTCTTCTCACAGTTCCACTAGGCAGTGCCCCAGTGGGACTCTGTATGGGAGCTCTGACCCTACATTTCTTTTCTGTACTGCCCTAGCAGAGGTTCTCCGTGAGGGCCCTGTCTGCAACATACTTCTGCCTAGACATCCAGGCATTTCCATATATCCTCTGAAATCTAGGTGGAGGTTCCCAAACCTCAATTCTTTAGTTCTGTGCACCCACAGGCTCAACACCATGTGGAAACTGCCAAGGCTTGGGGCTTTCACTCTCTGATGCCATGGCCTGAGCTGTACCGTGGCCCCTTTTAGCCATGGCTGGAGCAACTGGGAGGCAGGACCCCAAGTCCCTAGGCTGCACACAGGAGGGGCCATCCTGGACCCGGCCCCTGAAGCCATTTTTCCCTCCTAGACCCTGGGCCTGCCCCGAAGGTCTCTGACTTGCCCTGGAGCATAAATTGTGATGTTTTCTCCATTGTCTTGGTGATTAACATTTGGCTCCTTTTTACTTATGCAAATTTATGCAGGAGGCTTGAATTTCTCCCCAGAAAATGAATTTTTCTTTTCTATTGCATTGTCAGGCTGCAAATTTTCCAAACTTTTATGCTCTGCTTCCTCTTGAACACTTTGCTGCTTAGAAATTTCTTTTGCCAGATACCCTTAATTATCTCTCTGAAGTTCAGAGTTCCACAGATCTCTAGGGAGGGCAGGGGCAAAAGGCCGCCAGTCTCTTTGCTAAAGCATAACAAGAGTCACCTTTGCTCCAGTTCCCAACAAGTCCCTCATCTCCATCTGAGACCACCTCATCCTGGACTTTATTGTCCATATCACTATCAGCATTTTGGTCAAAGCCATTCAACAAGTCTCTAGGAACTTCCAAACTTTCTCACATCTTCCTGTCTCCTGAGCCCTCTAAGTCTCTAGGAAGTTCCTAACTTTTCCATATTTTCCTGTCCTCTTCTGAGCCCTCCAAACTGTCCCAACCTCTGCCTGTTACTCACTTCCAAAGTCATTTCCACATTTTCAGGTATCTTTACAACAGTACCCCACTTCTGTTACCAACTTACTGTATTAGTCTGTTCTCACACTGCTAATAAAGACATACCTGATACTGGGTAATTTGTAAAGAAAAGAGGTTTAATATACTCACAGTTCTGCAGGACTGGGGAGGCCTCAGGAAACTTACAATCATGGTGCGAGGGGAAGCAAACACATCCTTCTGCACATGGCAGCAGCAAGGAGAAGTGCAGAGTGAGGTGAGGGAAAAGCCCCTTATAAAACCATCAGATCTCATGAGAACTCACTATCACAAGAACAGCATGGAGGTAGCTGTCCCCATGATTCAATTACCTCCCACCGGGTCCCTCCCGTGACACATGGGGATTATGGGAACTACAGTTCAAGATGAGATTTGAGTGGGGACACAGCCAAACCTTATCAAACCTAGTACCCAATAGTTATCTTTTCTGTTCCTCTGCCTCCTCCCACCTTCTACCCTCAAGTAGACCCTGGTGTCTGTTGTTTCCTTCTTTGTGCCCATAAGTTCTCATAATTTAGCTTCCACTTGTAAGTGAAAATGTGGTATTTGGTTTTCTGTTCCTGCGTTAGTTTGCTGAGGATAATAGCCTCTAGCTTCATCCATGTTCCACAAAAGACATGATCACGTTCTTCTTTTATGGCTGCATAGTATTCCATGGCGTATATGTACCACATTTTCTTTATCCAATCTGTCATTGATGGGCATTTAGGTTGATTCCATGTTGATATGATTTGGCTCTGTATCTCTACCCAAATCTCATCTCAAATTGTAATTCCCATGTGTCAAGGAGGGACCTGGTGGGAGGTGATTGGATAATGGGAGTGGTTTCCCCCATGCTGTTCTTGTGATAGTGAGTTCTCATGAGATCTGATAGTTTAAAAGTGGCTCTTCCTCCTTTGTTCTCTCTTTTCTCCCACCCCGCGAAGAGGGTGCTTGCTTTCCCTTTGCTTTCTGCCATAATTACAAGTTTCCTGAGTCCTCGCCAGCCATGTGGAACTGTGAGTCAATTAAACCTCTTTTCTTATAAATCATCCAGTCTCAGGCAGGTCTTTATAGCTGTATGAAAACGGATCAATATACACGTCTTTGCTATTGTGAATAGTGTTGCAATGAACATTTGTGTGCACATGTCTGAAGTCTTAATGGTAGAATGATTTGTATTTCTCTGGGTATATAACCAGTAATGGGATTACTGGGTCTAATGATAGTTCCACTTTTAGCTCTTTGAGGAATCACCATACTGCTTTCCACAATGGTTGAACTAAGTTACACTCCCACCAACAGTGTATAATGTTCCCTTTTTCTCTGCAACCTTACTAGCATCTGTTATTTTTTGACTGTTTAATATAACAGGTGTGAGATGGTATCTCATTGTGGTTTTGATTTGCATTTCTCTAATGATCAGTGATATTGAGCTTTTACTATATTCTTCTTGGGTGCATGTATGTCTTCTTTTGAAGTGTCTGTTCATATCCTTTGCCCGTTTTTTAGTGGGATTGTTTTTCTCTTGTAAATTTGGTTTCAGTTCCTCATAGATGCTGGATATTAGAGATTCATCAGATGCATAGTTTGTAAATATTGTCTCCCATTCTCTAGGTTGTCTGTTTACTCTTATAGTTTCTTTTGCTATGCAGAAGCTCTTAAGTTTAATTAGATCCCACTTGCCAATTTTTGCTTTTGTTGTGATTGTTTTTAGTGTCTTTGTCATGAGACCTTTGCTCATTCCCATGTCCAGCTTTGTATTGCCTAGGTTATCTTTCAGGGTTTGTATAGTGTTGAAAAGGCAATACTGTTTGCAATTGCCACAAAAAGAATAAAATACCTAGGAATACAGCTAATCATGGAGGTGAAAGATCCCTGCAATGAGAATTATGGAACACTGCTCAAAGAAATCAGGGAAGACACAAACAAATGGAAAAGCATCCCATGCTCATTGAAATGAAGAATCAATATCATTAAAATGGCCATACTGTCCAGAGCAATTTACAGATTCAACACTATTCTTATCAAACTACCAACAACATTCTTCACAGAACTAGAAAAAACTGTTTTAAAATTAATGGAACTAAAATTATGGAACCAAAAGACAGCCTAAATAGCCAAGGCAATCTTAAGCAAAAAGAACAAAACTAGAGGCATTATGTTACTTGACTTCAAACTACACTACGGGACTACAGTAACCACAACAGCATGGCACTGGTACAAAAACAGGCACATAGACCAATGGAACAGAATAGAGAACCCAGAAATGTTGCCACATACCTATGACCATCTGATTTTCAACAGAGGTGACAAAAAAAAGCAATGGGGAAAAGGCTTCCTCTTCAATAAATGGTGCTGGGGTAGCTGGCTAGCCATAAGCAGAAGACTGAAGCTGGACCCCTTATTTATACCATATACAAAAATCAATTCAAAATAGATAATTTCTAGCTTATGCATGTGGAAATTAAAGTTCAAACAGATCAAACATTTTACCCAGTTTCACATAGCTGGTAAGTGGTGAGGTCTGAATTTGAAACAAGCAGTCCTACTCCAGAATGCACTTTTTGTTTGTTTGTTTGTTTGTTTTGTTTTTTGTTTTTTTTTTGAGATGGAGTTTCACCCGGGCTGGAGAGCAATGGCATGATCTTGGCTTGCTGCAGCCTCTGCCTCCTGGGCTCAAGCAATTCTCCTGCCTCAGCCTTTCGAGTAGCTGGGATTATGGGCACCCACCACCATGCCTGGTTAATTTTTTGTATTTTTAGTAGAGACGGGGTTTCACTGTGTTGGCCAGGCTGGTCTTGAACTCCTGACCTTGTGATCCTCCCACCTTGGCCTCCCAAAGTGTTGGGATTACAGGCGTGAGCCACCACACCTGACCCCAGGATGCACACTCTTAACACTGTGTAGTTATTCTGTCTCCCTGAATTGATTAAGGAGGGATTTGTCTTACATATTGCTAATTGAAAAAGCCAATAATGGCAACCTAATAATTCCATTTTTTTAAAAAAAAGAAAAAAACCATCTGGAAGGATACTCTCCAATCTGGAAACATTGATTATATTAGGATTGATCAAGGAAGGGAGAGATTATTAATTTTTTATTTATTCACCTCTCTATTGTTTGCAGTTATAGAAAACACTGGAATACTTTATCATTTTTTTAATCCAAGAAAGTGACAAAAAAGTTAACAAAAACCAGCCTCCAAATACAATATTCACATTTAGGTTCATTATGCTTTTTTAAGAATAAAATGAATGACTGGCTTATTTAACAAGTAGACAAGAAATTAATAAAAACTTGTTCTCTAATTTTTTTTTTTTTTTTTTTTTTTTTAACCAGGATTCAGACCCACAAGGCTGTAACTCATTGTGGTCATTCTACACAAGTATATACCTAGATTGGCATGAAGTGGGTCCCCAGCAAACATTTGTTTTCTTTCCGTCATTTTTGTTCTCTCTTCCCTGTCCTTCCCCCAATCAATAACCAGTTCTATGACCACAAAAGCCGTCTTTATTTTCCATTTTTCAGCCTGCCCAGGATGACTTTGGCTGTACTAGCTCTCGCTCGTGATAACACGGTGCCTCTTTTAGATACACTGATCTCCAAACATAGCTTCCTGGTGCATCCTTCTTCACTGTGTCAAGACTTATGCTCCAAATGAGAGAGGGAGATTTGCCAACTGGTCAATCTGTTATGCAGGAAAGCGTTTTATTAGGAGAAGGGCCAAAAGTCTTACATTTAGAACCATGTACAATGATTACCTAAATACAAATAGTCCATGTTTTTAGAAGTGTTTGCTGTTTAATAGGATGTAGAATGATATGTGTGCCATTTCAGCAGTTTAGAGGTATGAAACTTTGTGCCTTACCTGAGACACACAAGTTAGCTATCTTTCATATAAAATTATTAGAAATTGCTATTTGGGTATTTTGAGAACTTTGTCAACAGTTTGAAACAATGCATTTCATGAACACTTTTATGTTTTTCCTCAGGTCCCATTTGATATCTCACTGCCGTCTATATTCAATCTTGAGAGACTTTTTGATCTGGCTAATGGTTGCATTTTATCAGGAGGAAGCCTTTTCAACTGGATAGTGTCAATTATTCCCTGAATATCCTATACACGGTAACCTTATACAGGATTTAATTGTTGTTGTTTCTCTTCATTTGAGCTAAGTTTTTGGAACGGTCCTCTTATAACAACAAACATAAAATTGTTTTTTTACACAAGCTAAATTTCTTTAAAATTATTATTTTGAGGAATGTCTTAAATTGTACCTGAATTAAATGACGGTGCTGCTGCTTATTAAAACTATCTTACAGAGCTATTCATAGAAAACAAGTTTATGTGCAGTGCAACTGTTTTCACATTTGGAGTCATTTATGTTTAGGTTGTTTTTGGACAGGTCCATAAAGCAAGATTGGATTAAACCAGTGGTTCTCAATTGGGAGTGATTTTGTCCATTAGGTGACATTTGACAGTGTCTGGAGACGTATTTGGTTGTTATCACGGGTAGAGTACTAGTGGCATCCAGTGAGTAAACATCCTACAAGGCACAAGACGGCTCCCACAACAAAGAATTATCAAGCCCAAAATGTCACTAACGCTAGTCTTGAAAAACCCTCAATTAAACCCCGACATGTGGTAATTTCAACTTTGGAAATTCTCTAAATGGCTTGGGAAAAAATCTGTAGCAAATGAGACCTTCCATATTTTATACTTCTGAGAGGCAATATTGCATAGAATTTTAGAGTGCCAGCTTTAGAATTGTATAGACCTGGGTTTAAATAGTAACTTTGCCATTTGCTAGCTTTGCTACTTTGGAGAATTAACTTAAATTCTGTAAGCTTTTATTTCTTCATCTGTAAAATGGGGATGTTGGTATCTATCTCATAGGATTGCTGTGTGTATTAATTAGGTGAGTTGAATTAATAAGGTGCTTAGCACAATGCCTGATGTAATAATAGAGTGCTGGGAGCATTGTTTCCCTGCCAAATTGGAAAAGGACCGTGCATTTCTGACTCATTTTGTCTAGTGTCTAAAAATGCCACATGTGAATACTTCCCAGATGCTAGTCAGTGAATGAATACTCATGGTTTAAAAAAATAACAACACAAATGTGTTTTTCTAAAGCTAAATTGGTTTAATGTATCATCCTCTATTCTGAATTTCCTACTAGTATTAAAAAGGCCTTTTTAAAAAAAAATGAAACAACGGTAATAGTAGCTGGCAGTTGACATTTTAAAATAGTCTCCTTTGATAATATAAGAAAAAGTAGAAATTTTATGTTACTACCTAAGCTTTTAAATGTAGACATCTATGAAGTTCTAAAGTCTGGGAAAAGCGAAGGTAGAATTGTTCTAGAATATATGTAGAGGAAACAAGCCTTTAGCAAAGCATTTAAGGATAAGAAGATTTTGGTAGTTGAAAATTTGTTAAAAAATTTTGCTAGAAGGGGGCACACTGAAGGAGAACAGAGGCATAAAAACAAAAATACATATGGTTTATAGTCAAAGGACTTGACTGTGACCTACCTGGAGTGTGCACAGTCATGATGGAAAACAAACTGTAAGGAGGAACTAGAATGAAGACTTCAGGATTGAATCAGTAGATAATAGGGTGCCATTACAAGTGACTGAGGAGAGAAGTGACAAGTTCCTGACACTAGTACGCATTTAATAAATATTGGAAGAATGAAAGGAATGAGTGGAATGAATGATGGCCTGGCCTCCAGGGCAGATAAGAATGCAAGATATAATGAAAGGGAAAGAAACAAAAGACAAGAAGACTGATAGGAAACCATCTTTTAATGAAAGAGAAAAAGAACCAAATATTTACTCATGAATTCAAAGGGAAAAATTGTTGCATGATGTCTATACCCTCATATGAAATAAAGTTTGATTCAAACAGAAAAGCTATTTGGATGGTAATGGCTCTTATGTGAAGATGGCTTCTGAGTCCTTTGGTCTGAGGCTGGGGTTTACACGTTTCTTTGCTGAGTTGGAGATCACTTTGAAGGGTTTGCATTTCTCAATGGTGAGAGTTTAATTTATTATGCAAAGCTAGTTATCAAGGTCAAGAAAGGTGCAACAAAGTACCTACACATTTAATACAGGTGTGGAAACAGCATGACTCATAACCAAGACCATTTACCTCAACCTCATGTTAATTTCCCATGAATATAAATGCCCATCTTCTGGTTTTTGTCACTAGTAAGTTTTTACTAGTTAGATACTTTCTGTTTTTCTTTACTTTAGTGAATGTAAGTGCTTGTACTATTTTTATAGAACCCTAGAACAATACCTGGCACATAGGTCTATATTTGTTGGATGGATGGATGGATGGATGGATGGATGGATGGATGGATGGATATAATCCAGGAAAGATGGCACTATGGAGTTCTAAAAAAAGGAGGGAGGCAGAGGTATCACCAACACTCCACCATCATTACCGCTAACATTATTGCCTACCCTTTCTGGAGCATTTACCTGACAGGCACATATTTGTAAGTGCTTCAGTGCATTTTCTCCCTCCTGTCTTCACAAGAATTATGACCACGATGCACATAGTATTACTGACCCCATATTATAGACGAGGAAACAAAAACATAAGGCAGTTAAATAACTTGGCTAACAATCACAGTTAGTCGGAAGTAGAGCCAGGATTTAAATCCTCCCGGAAGAATCTGAGCTCTTCATCGCTAAGCTGGCCTCCTCTGCCCTTCTACCCACTCCATGGCTCTGGGAAATTGGATAGTAAAGGGAGAGGAAGACATAGTTGAGGTTCAAGCTAAAACTGGGACACCTGTCATCTGCCCTGGGGGCCGATTTTAAAAAATGACTTGCAGATCTGAATGGATGCCCCAATAATCCATGGAAGGGGGTCCCCCATGTTATCAGTTATTTGTGCTAATATACTGGTTTCCTCTGGGGAAGGCAGAGCTCTTCCAACTATTGCAGATAACATTTCAGCACTTTTTTTTTTTTACTTTTTCTTCACTTTCAGTTCTTACAGATGCTGTTATTCTTGAGTGTTGTTTTGCCTGAGAGAAATACTGTCTAAAACTGCACCAGACCATACAGTAACAGTTTCCCCGTTTTAAACCATCATTCCAAAATTCCCCATCTTTTCTAAAATAGGAGCAACACTCACTGGTTAAAGCTGTAACTTTCTGTGCAAGGCGGTAAGGAAATGATGATGAACTGGGCTGAAGTACAAACAAAAAGAAAATTCAAAATCTACAGGATGAAAGATGTGTTTATTTCCAGAAATGTCTTTCAGAGTTTTTTTAAAGACCAAATTACACAATTTGCAGCTGGTTTTTAAAAATATACAGTATCTGCAAATGCTTTATAGCAGACACCTGCAATGTTTTCTATTTGTTTTAATTATAACAGAGAATGACAGGAGGCAAACTGAAAGGGGGAGAAGAAGGGGAACAGACACAGGCGAGGGAAGTCAGGAAAGAGCGAAGAGAAGCCCATGCCAGCAGCTAAGTGATAGGTAATAAAACTGCAGCACTTCCCATATCTTTCTCCATATCAACCTCCAAGAGATTGCTTTAGAAATTGACCACTGGCCAGCTATTCAGAGGCTTAAATGCAGTGGTCTTGGTTCACTTCACGCATAGGCACTTTACACAGTCCCCAGCTCAGCCAACGTGTTCGTCACAGAACTGCAGGAGGGAAGTGGTAAATTTCTGGAGAGTAGAAATGTACTCTCCAGAAACTTGGTTTCTGCCTGCAGTCTGCATTGCCCCTTCCTGCCCCTTTTGAGCAACATCATGCAAATCCCTCCATCCAGTTCAAATGACCATGCAGAAGGGTGTCTGCCTCCGAGGACTCCTAGAGTACTTCCAGGTGCCCTGCTCATTTGGCTCTTAACAGTGTCCTTGGACACATAGTTTTGTATTGTATTTTCATATAACAGCCTTAGACAGTAGCTCAAGAGTGTCGTAAGTGTGTGAGCCTGCTCCACATTACTTTAGGTTACATTCAGTTTGAGACTGGGTACATTGTTTTTCCTAATGCATCATGGAACTTATAGGATGCCCATAAAACCTGAAAACTTAAATGAAATATACATGTCTTCCAACACATCTTCATCCATAAAAAAGATTTAAATATTATTATTTATTTAATATTATCTATGTGTGCATAGGCTTGAACAAGCCCCTAATGGGGTTAGGGGAGAAAACAGTGAACCCAGAAGTCCACTGCTTAACTACTCTTTGCCATTTTCTCTCATTTGAAATGTTATGGTATATTCTACAAAATGAGCTCCCACCCATTTGCCCAACAAGACTTGTGCAAATTTCTGATGCATTGATTATAATAGTAAAAACAAAGGAAAACCTATGAAATATCCATCAGGTGGAATGGATAAAGAAATAGTGGCATAGTCATACAAGAGAATATTTTATAGAAGTTACAAATAAGTAAATAATGAATAACTAAACAACATTCGTAAATGGATTAATAACAGAGATATATATCAATCTGGATTCATCTCAAAAGCAGGTTTAGCAAAAGAAAATCAAGTGTTGCAGGATATATGTAAGAAGATACCATTGTATACTATTTGTATAAAGCTTAAACACAGGCAAAACAACATAATACAGTATTTATGGATGAGTACATATATACTAAAAATATTTTTAACACAAGTTCATTAATGATTGACACCAAATTCAGGTTTGTGGTCACCTCTTGGATAAAGGAGGGAGGATGAAATCTAGGGAAAATGCTCAGGAGGTTTCATTTGTCTTTGTAAAATTTTCTGTCTTAAGCTGAATGTTTGTTATATTAGTCTCTACTTCTTTTGCATACATAATGTGTTTCATAAATTAAAAACACATCGATTCCCTTCCTCATCTTGTTGGTTGGCAAGCTTTGTATAGTTATTGGCTCGCCTATCAGTAAATAACTAATAAATTGAACTATGATTCTCATCTCATTATATGACTGGAACTGAGTAGTTCACATCTGGTTTCATTATTTTGGGTTTTAATGACAACTAAAAATCATTTTGAAACTAATGTTAAACTATATACATATGCCCAATTTTAGAAAACTCAATCTATGAAACTATTAAATTTCAATATAAGATAGTAGAGCCTTAATAAATGTTTAATTAAATTGAGTCAGATTCCCTGTTCAATTCCTATCCATTGTAAGTTCCTCACTATAATTTAAATTATTTGATTTTCCAAAATTAGATATATGCAGAACTTTTTACATGACTGTTATGCAAAATGAGATTTACTTGTAAAATCCATCTATCATCCATAATTTTGATGTTAAAAAATATATTAAGAAAGAAGTTTCTCTTTACTAACACTCATTTTCTATTTCTACTTTCCACTTCAGTAGAGCCTTATGAATTGCAACTTTGACTCTAAAATTTCTATAGCAACAGATATTTTTTGTCATAAGTACAGGCATGATTAAGAAGAAGGTTTCAGTGACAGCAGTTTTCTTCATAATTAAATTCATTAGTTAAAAAGCTGGGTTAAGAGGGATGGGAATTTTTTTACAACGAGTAATAATTTGTAACATAACCTGTAATATATAAACCCTGTAAAATAACCATTTTCAACTATTCAAAATTAATTGCAAATGAATTGCTTTTGTTCCTGTTTGATATTTAAGATAACTTTCATACATTTTGTATTTAACAGCTTAGAATGGAATAGGTCTAAAACCAGATTCTGCCCAAGTACAAACCACCCTGAACCATCCCTTTAAATTGTACATGATGTGAAAACTGAGTAGATTTCTAAGAAATTCAAAGATTTCTAAGTAGTTTCACAACTTGCCTAATTTAATTTTTCCCCACAAGATTCACAAGAATTTATTGGACTGATTTCTTTTCTTATCATTATAAATGCAATTCGGAACTAATGTAGAAAATCTACAAAATACTGAAAGGTGAAAATAAGTTACCCAGAAGTCAACCACTGTAAAATAACCATTGTTAATATTTAACTACATTTTCTATAGCCTATCTAATTATTTTCCCTAATAGCCAGAAATAAAACAAAACAATGTTCAGAAAAGTATTGAGATTCAAGTCAACTGTTTATATTCCCTAAGTGTAACATAGACAGGCCTTTTCAGAGCTTATTGGCTGGGAAAATGCTCAAGTTGAAAATGTTTAGGCCTGCTGGGGTTTGGATGAAATGCAGTTAGAATGATCAAGATGTAATTAGGGCCAAAGGAATTGTCCAGAGTTTGTTTTCCTAGTAATAAAGTATATGTAATGATCCATAGGAGGGAAAAAAATTAAATCTTCATTTTGTCCTTTGGAGGCTGGTCATTTAATCTCTTTTTCATAGACACATTAGTATTTCTCTGACAAACTGAGCTCATTCATTCAAGCATACATTTGTTCATTTGATAGATCTTATTCATTAGTCTGGTCCTCTGCTTCCTGGCAAAAATGTCCTTTCTCTTTATTTAAAAAAAAATTATCAAATTCTAGTACTATGCCAGGAACTGTGAACACAAGCAGTGACACTTAGGCAGTCCTTTCCTTCAAAAAGCTCACATCTGATCCAGCGATCTAACTACTGGCTATATATCCAAAGGAAATGAAATCAACATGTCTAAGAGATATCTGCCCTCCTGTGTTCATTGCAGCATTACTCTCAATAGCCAGGATATGGAATCAACGTAAGTCTCCATCAGTGAATGAATGGCTAAATAAAATGTGGGATGTGCGTGTATATGTAATGAAATATTATTCCGCCTTAAAAAGTAAGGAAATTATGTCATTTGCCACAGCGTGGATGAACCTGGAGGACATTATGCTAAGTTAAATAAGTCAGGCACAGAAAGACAAATACTGCATGATCTCACTTATATATGGAATCTAAAAAAGTTAAACTCGTAGAAGCAGAGAGTAGTTACCAGGGACTAGAGGAGGGGCTGTTGAGGAGATGTTGGTCAAAAATACAAAATTTCAAGTTAACAAGAAGAATGTATTCAAGAGTTCTATTGCACAAAATAATGACTATGGTTGGTAACAATGTGTTGTACGCTCAAAAATTGCTGAGAGAAGATCTTAACTGTTCTCACCACAAAAAATAAGTATGTGAGGAAATGCATATATTAATTGTCTCGATTTACCTATTCTATAATAATAATCAATGTATATATATTTCAGAATAACATGTTTGTACATGATAAATATATACAATTTTTATTCATCAATTTAAAAAAAAGACTCATACCTAATGGCCTCAAGTCTTCATTCCGGACTCAACCCAGACGTCTCCTCCACCATGGAACCTGTCCGTACCACTTCCTCCCTGGTGTCTCCATGTAACACATAGGTGCTCTTATCACACTCATTCTATTTTGCACGTGCTTGTTTACATAGCTGTCCTCTCCTTGAGGTCAGGGACCAAAGTAGGTAGATTTCAAGGAAACAAATAAATTTATGTTCCCACTTTGTACAAAAATTTATTCTTAGGTTTAGATTTATGTTTATTTGACTCCTACTGAGGTTGAATGTTTTTCACATTTTTTGGTCCACTGTATATTTTTCTGTTGTCATGCTTCTTCAGGATCTTTGCTCAATTTTTTACTTGTATGTTCATCTTTTTTTTTTTTTTTGAGATTTCCAAGATCCCTCAATAACAGGAATACAAACTGTTTTTATATATTTTTGTGAATTTTTTTTTACATTCTCGTTTTCCTTTCCATTTTTGTTTATGGTTCAGTGGTTCTTATTTTTTAAATTGTGGCAGTCTAATCTAGACCATTTAGTTATTCGTATTTGAACTTGCTCAAAAAAATGTAAGGTAGCTTATAAGTATGCATTCAAAATAATGGTAAGATTAATTAAAACCAGACAAGAACAATTAGGCAAGGAAGACATGGTAGAAAAGTAAGATGGAGCCAGGAGTTGAGCCCTTTTTTTTCTTTTAATTTTTTTAACGTGCCATTCATCCTTTGCATTCACTGGGAGTCAACCATAGATTGGCTGTATGCTTTCCTGCAGCACTTGTTAACAAGTAAATACAGTGCTTTACAAGATAGATCAACAGCATTTTAAGGGAAAAACGGACTACATACTTAGGAGATGCATTGCTGTTACTGATCCTGGTACTCATTCCAGCAAATAAGTTTTCCTGTGAATCCTGATAATAACATCCCATTAAAAAACTGTCTTCAATAGCAGCCCACAGGAAAATAAAACACATTTTATAGATCATTTCAAGGACTGTAGACTTTTCTTTCAAGGATTTGTCATTTATTTTATTTTTGCAAAACAATATCCATTTCTGACTAATTAGTTTAAAACAATTTGGGAGACATGTAGCAAGGGAGGGATATCAAGGAAAGGAATGTTTTTATTGACCTTAGAAACAGTTTAATTTTTGTTCGAGGAAAAATAATGTGTTTTTTTTTCTTAGAACAATGTTGCTGGTTAAAAATATTTTTCAAATATATTTTGGGTTGTATGGAAAAAACACACCAAAACGGCTATTTCTCAAGACTTCAAAGGCTGATTCTTTGAACTGCTTGAAATAAGTTGGTTGATCAATCTTGACATTGCATCCAGAATGAACACAATATACAAGTAGTGCTTCAGCAATTCAGGTAACCACAAGTACATAGTTCCGCTTGAGGTGCTGGAAGTCAAATTCAAAAGTAGAGAAAAGAGAAACAGTTCTGCAGGAGCTGAGTCGATATGGGAATACTATTTGATGTATATATTTCTGGATTGGTGATTGAGGAAAATTAATTTCTCTGACATGAAAATTAATACTTTTAGTTGAGTTGGAATTATAATTTTTGTAAGAAAATAGATTATTATGGGCCGGGTGCAGTGGCTCATACCTGTAATCCCAGCACTTTGGGAGGCTGAGGCGGGTGGATCACCTGAGGTCGGGAGTTGGAAACCAGCCTGACCAACATGGCGAAACCCTGTCTCTACTAAAAATACAAAATTTGCTGGGTGTGGTGGTGCATGCCTGTAATCCCAGCTACTTGGGAGGCTGAGGCAGGAGAATCGCTTGAACCTGGGAGGCAGAGGTTGCAGAGAGCCGAGATTGGGCCATTGTACTCCAGCCTGGGCAACAAGAGCAAAACTCCGTCAAAAAAAAAAAAAAAAAAAAAAGGAAGGAAGGAAGGTTATTACATTTAGGCCGGGCATGGTGGCTCACGCCTTTAATCCCAGCACTTTTGGATGCCGAGGTGGGCGGATCACAAGGTCAAGAGATTGAGACCATCTGGCCAACATGGTGAAACCCCATCTCTACTAAAAATACAAAAATTAGTTGGGTGTGGTGGTGCATGCCTGTAGTCGCAGCTACTCTGGAGGCTGAGACAGGAGAATCTCTTGAACCTGGGAGGTGGAAGTTGCAGTGAGCCGAGATCGCACCACCGCACTCCAGCCTGGCGACAGAGTGAGACTCCATCTCAAAGAAAAAAAAAAAAGAAAACAGATTATTACATTTAAAGGAACTATAAAAGTTACTTAGTTGAATTCTCTACTACAAGCTTAAGTCTCCTCTAAGTTGTTTCCATCAAGGAACAACTACCCTATGTTTGAATAGCAGCGTAGCATCATGGATGAGGGAGTCAGCTATGACATCGGATAGTCCTGGCTTTCCTTTTACCACCTGCATGAATTTGGCCAAGTTCCTTAACTTCTCTGTACTTCAGTTTTCTCGTCTGTAAATTTAGGATACATAAAGCACCTAGAACAATGTCCAACACATACTGGATGCTCAATAACAGGTAGCTCTTACCATTATTACATTCTTATATTATTACATACATCTTCGGGGGAAGTTCGTTTCTGTCTAGAAGGATCAGAGGTTATTTATTGTTTTGTTTTGGTTTGGTTTGGTTTTTTTATGGTAATGATAGGAGTTCATTTCTGGTGATAGCAGAGTGGCTTTTATTGAACTACCATTTGCCAATAACAATTTTGAACTCTGGATCAAAAAACAGTGCAAACAATCATAAAATCAGAATTAAAATGATGTTTGAAGTCCCTGGGGAATGACTAAAAATAGGCAGAAACCAAAGGAATGGTAATCCTTGAAATATGGAAACAAACTAGGTGAGGTCCACATTTAAACAGCCTATTCTCTGAGGACACACCTCATCTTGCAAAATACGTAAGGGACAGAGTGCAATCAGGAAGAGGCTGAATGACTGAACTGAGGATTCAGAAGTCAGGGTGTGGGTCTGCCAGAGTAGTTAGAAATTAAGGAGGGAATGTTTCAACAAGGAGGGAGACAGTGTGGGGAGCCCTAAAATCTGTGCACAAATTCTCCTAAAACTGTTGGCTGACTACCAACAACACATGGACATGATGAGACTCCAGAGAATCCAATGGAAAGTTATAGCTGAAAGGCTCAAAGAACAAAGCCTCAGAGATTTCAACAGCTGCATGGTACTGGAGAGACAAATTTTGTAATTCAAGTCCAGTCAAGGAAAAGGGACTTAATAAATTATTTGTGCTTTTCATTAAAACCCTAGGAGGGAAATACCTTAAGAATAAGGATTTTAGAACCAAGGACTACAAATGAGGCCTAACAGCAAAGCAAAAATAGGCCCACCCATCAAACCTCCATAAGATAAAAGTGGTTGTCAGTAATTTAACTGTATGCTAGAACAAAACTCAACGACGTTGCCCACAATGTACAGTAAATAATTAAAAATTACTTTATATACAAAGAAGCAGGAAAATATCATCCACAATCTAGGAAAAAAACAGTCAACACATTTCCAGAAGTTCCAGGTATTAGAATTAGCAGATGGAGACTTTAAAATAACTATAATATACATGTAAAATAATCTATTGAAAAAGATTGCTATAATGGATAAAGAGATGGGGGATATCAGGATACATATGGAAATGGAAAAAGAACCAAATGGAAATCCTTAAACTGGAAAAATAGATCTGAAATTTAAAAATTCATTGAATGGACTTAGCAAATTAGGTGCTACAGAATTTTTTTTAAAAAATAGTACACTTCTGGACAGATCAGTAGAAATTATCTAAGCACTGAGAAAAAAATGATTTTCAAAAATTTCAGAGCTATGATGGCCTATTCATGTTTCGACATGTGTGAAACTGAAGTCTAAGATAGGAAGGGAAGTTAGGAAAGAGCCCCAGATAGGAAGAAATTGAAATCCTAGATAGGAAGGAAAGAGTCCTTTGAAAAAAGGATGGCAAAATTTTTTCAGATTTGATTTAAAATATTAACCACCTTTGGATTTAGGAAGTTCAATGAACTCCAAGCATGATAAATAAAAAGAAAACCACACCCAAGCAAATCATAGTCACAGTTCTGAAAATCAAAAATAGGAAAAACATATTAAAATCAACCAGAAGAAAAAACACAAAGTCCTAAGGAAGAGGGCAATAAGAGTAAAGGCTGACTTCTCATCAGAAACATTGGAGACCAAGTGATAATGGGTTGCCTTCTTAAAAGTGCTGAAAGAAAAAAAAAGTCAACCTATTAATCTAGATGACTTACACTAGACTTACATTTAACCATATTATTAACTATATTAAGTGTAAATGGACCAAAACTTTCATTTGAAAACAGAGATTGTTCTATTTTAAATAAAAGACACCAACAGATTGAAAATAGAAGGATGGAGAAGTGGAGACCATGTAAACACTGAACATAAGAAAGCTGGTGTCGCTATATTGTCATTAAGGTATATTTCAAAAATGGATACTGCCAGAGGTGAAATAAAACATTTTATAATGATGAAAGCATCATTTCATTAAGATGACATAGTTCTAAATGTGTTTCCATTTAATGATGAGACATTTTATTTTTTAACATCTAGTACAGTAATTCCCTTTAAGGACAGAGGTGCCTTGATTAGAAAGGTATTTTGATAAGTCTGTTGGAGTAGGTGGTCTCTATGAGCCATTGATGTGGGGTAGCTTTGATGCTTCAGAGGAGCAGGTAGAATTACTTGAGACAGGAGATAGGGTCACAAATCTTCCCAGTTTTTCCAGAACTGAGATTGACTTTCAGTGCAAAATCTGGGACTATCCCCAAACTAAGACAGCTCCAGGCAAACTGGAATGGCTGCCTATCCTACAAAGAGAGGAATTTATTTACTTTGAAAATTGGAGAAATAAAAGAGAAAGAGAAGAAAAGAATAGATAGCCATCAGATGACAGAAGGTTGTACAGTGGATTAAGTGACCCATTACAGTGATCCCTCAAACATTAAGTAAAATTACTAAACTCACAAAAATGATGGTTGTAAAATGTGTTTGAATGTTTGAGAAGCTAGTGATGAGGTAGAATGGTTGAAAAGTTGCATGCATCATAAACATGGTATTTCTGGAACAAGGATCATGAGAACATAAGTTTTGGGGAATTTGTAGGAATCATGGGAATAGTTTTAGACTTTCATAGGTTATGAAATGGGAGGTTTGAGTCAAGCTTGGGGATAATAAGGGAAAAAGAGCTGAGATTATATCTGAATCTTACAACTGTATTAGTTAAGAATCATTTGGTTTTGGATAATAGAAAATCTACCTTTAACTGGGTCATACACTAAAGGAAATTTATTTGTTCATGTAACTGAAGATTCCGGAGGTAAGGTGAGCTTCTGGCTCGACTCAATCCAGAGGTTCATGATTCACATCTCAGCTGTCATTCATTTCTCAGCAGTTATCTCAGCAGTCCCCTTCCTTGTGACATTTTGTCTTCAGTCTAGTTTTCCTGTTGGCAGCAACAGTGGCCATAGCAGTTCCAAGACACATTCTCACACAATACATGGGTCTTCAAACTTTTTCTATAAAGGGCAAGATAGTAAATCTAGCTTTGTGTCTCTATTGCAAATAGTCAACTCTGCCATTACAGTGCAAAAGCAGCCATACACAAAGTATAAACAAAAGGCATAGATGTGTTCCAATAAAACTTTAAAAAATCAATTTGAATTTCTTATAATTTTCATGTGCCATGAAATATTATTATTTGTATTTTTCTCCCTACCATAAAAATATGAAATTATTCTTATTCTTAGCTCAGGAACTGCACAAAAACCAGGCAGTGGTCCAGATTTTACCTGGGGGCTATGATTTGCTGACCCAAGACTTCAAAGATTACCTGACTAGAGTGTTAATCAAAAAATTTGGTTCTCCGTAGCATATGTTCTCTTTTGTCTTCTCCATACTCTCACTCAAGATAACCCTATCCAGTACCATTTATATGCCAAAATCCTCCAGTATTTTATCTCCAACCCAGAGTGCTCTCCTATCTCCAGATTCCTGTAGCCACCTGCCTACTTAACATCTCCATTTAGAAGTTTAATCGAATTTTAAACTTAACATGATCAAAATCCTCTAGGGAACTCTGCTTCCTTAAAATGGGTCCAGCTCCAAGCAGTCAACAGGGGCACATTGACACTCCCGTGGAATTGATCTCAATTCCACAGGATGGTATTTCAATGTTTTTTACATTTCTAATATGCATATAGTGTCAAAAGACAAAATTCCAACAAAGTTAGTTATAGATCGAATTTGCTTTTATTTGCAATTCATGAATCAGGGACAGCCTGCATTCTGCAGAATAGAATGAGAGCTCCTGCTGGACAATGGCACAACAGTGAGTTTTGTAAGGTAGGAACAAGGAAACAGAAGAATAGAAAATAAAACCTGATTGGTTAATATCAGGTTGCTTTTTTGTAAGAGTTAAAACAGAGGGACTTCCTTATTACACTCACTCAGGTAAACTGGAATCTTCTGTTTTCAGGAACAATTGTTCTGTTCTGTTTTGGGATCTCTGCTTTTTTTTATTTTTATTTTATTTTTTTTTTTTTTTGAGACGGAGTCTCGCTCTGTCGCCCAGGCTGGAGTGCAGTGGCGCGATCTCGGCTCACTGCAAGCTCCGCCTCCCGGGTTCACGCCATTCTCCTGCCTCAGCCTCCCGAGTAGCTGGGACTACAGGCGCCCGCCACTACGCCCGGCTAACTTTTTGTATTTTTAGTAGAGACGGGGTTTCACCTTGGTCTCGATCTCCTGACCTCGTGATCCGCCCGCCTCGGCCTCCCAAAGTGCTGGGATTACAGGCGTGAGCCACCGCGCCCGGCCGGGATCTCTGCTTTTTTAAAGTTTTGGTTTGATGATGTGGCATTCAGCGTTAGTGACTCCATTATGGTTTGGTCAGGTCTGTTGAGGACTAGCGCAGGAGCATAATTTTTGGTTAACAGGTGAGGTGAAATGAAGTATGCACTTTCTGAAATGAGGAAAATTATATGAAATTCAAGGTATTACTCTTTTTTCCTCCTCTAGGGATGATAAAACTGAGAAATAAATCAAGAGTATGACAACAGACTGAGGAATTTTTCAGCAATATCTGTCAGCCTTTGGAAATTTGGTGAGAAGAAGTAGTCATGATTCAATGTCTTGCTTGCACAGAAGCCTCTAGTTCAAACTTGGATCTTGCCCCATCTGATTTCTTATGATATATACAAATACTCTAGATATTGCTTTGAGATTTCGCTGTTGATCAACTGGCCTGCTGCAGCTTCATAGGTGTTTCAGCTCCCAGTAGGGCAGTTTAACTCCTATCTTCTCTGTGAGTTCCAGGTCTGTATATCTCCTCAGCTCGCTCTCATTTGTCCAGCTTATCTATTTCTTTATCAAGTTGCTTTGGCTTCCCCACTCTCTCCTGCGTTTTGAAAAGAATTAATTCTCAAGTAGATTAAAACTACATTCTGGTAAAAATGAGCATGCATGTGTATTTAGTCCTTCATTTATTCAATATGCATTTTTGGAGCTTTGCTCTATATTAGACATAGTTCCAGGCTCTAAAAACACAAAGATCCATGAGCTGTGGCCCATCCCTTAAGATGCTGATAGTATATTAAAGGCAACAAAATGTAAACTTACAATTCACAATACAACAATGCAGATAGATGTTAACATGAAGCCTCCACAAAATGTTTTAGGAAGACAGGGAAATAGCAAGGATTCACAGAGGAGATGATGCAGTAACTATATTGGGGTGGTGGGGGGCGGGGGCGGCGGGAAGAGGGAAAGAAGACAAAAACAAAAATCCCTAGTCCAAAATATTGTTAGTTGAGCCACGAGATGATTACTTCCAGGAAGAAATATTGAGAAGATGTATTGGGTAGATGAAATACCTAATGAGACCATAAATGACGAGAATTGCCTCTTATAGCATTTGAGAAGATAATTTTTATCAGATAATGAAATTGTTTTCAGTCTTCAGAATGAAAATGAATCCCTTGCTAATGCAGATCATGCTAATAAAGGAAGTAAAAGAGAATCTTAGAATTATACTTGGCTCATGATAGGCAGAAACCAACCTAAATAGCCTAGGAAAAAAGAGAAAGATAATAAAGTAATCAAAATAATTGCTTACTAGGGAATGTGAAAGATCTGCAATGTTAAATTATAAATGTACATTTGCATGAAAAATGAGGTGACCTTAAGGAAAAGATTAGAAACCCACACTCATGCGAGTTAGAAGCAATGCTTTTCATTAGCGAAGCTGAGGATTAATTAAATCCAGGGAAATTCTTTGAAATCCACAAGTGTGAGTTACATTTGAATACAATACAACGGGTGTATTGGTATCATAATTAATGATTAGCATAGACTTCTTGATTAAATGTATGTGGAATAGTTCAAATGGCAAATGTGAAATAAAGAGGACAAAAACGTGTTACTTAAAACCAAAATTGTCTTAGCATGGTCTGCTTTCAAAAGTGTGGGAGTGGAAAAGTTAGTTTATCTAGTGGGTAAACAAATATATTGTTCCCCTTCCCCTTTGAGGTCTCCTAAAGACCCATTCTAAGCATAATGGGGACACCGTGTCCCCTCACCAACCTCTCCAGGAAGCTAGGGAGGATGAAGGACAGGAGCGGCTTATCCATTATTTTTCCATTATCTCTGAATGTTTTGCTTCAGCTGAGGGATTTTAGAGACTGGTAGCAGAGAAAGGAGAAAGAAGCTGAAGTTGCAAAGCTTCTAACAGTTCTTAGTGCTGCTCAAGGGTGAAGCTTCGGACAAAATGGTCATTATTGACAGAGCACCTTATGTATAGATACGTAGAAGCCCTGAGCAAGTGGGAGGTGGTTTCTAAATTGTTTTATAGGACAAGGTAAAGGGAAATTAATTTCTTGGGGAGACTCATGGAGAAGGCCAATGGAAAAAGGAAGAGCCTGGAGGGAAAATAGATGAGAAGCAACTGAGAGGCATAAAGCCCCCTTCCTCTGCTACACGCAGATGCCTTCTGTGAGAAACAGACACATGGCTGGTCCATGTTTAGGGTGAGTCAGGGAAGAGCCTGAGCGAGGAAGGATGACCCATAAACTGAACCAATTGAGAGTCATAGAGGCTCTGAGTCAAAGGTGATATAAAAATGCTAAGCCACATTTCAATCCCAGAGTGTCAGAATTACACAGGGCATGCAGTAGGCAGAAATCAACCTGCAGAGTCTGGCGGGGAGGGCAGGTGACAGTGATCCTGCTGTGTGTTGGATGGAACTGCAACCAAGTCTACTCCTTAATGATGGGTTCACTCACCTAATATTGCATACTGAAATACGGTTTTTAGTTTTGGCTTGGCTGTTACTTTAGTGTGACATATAGATTTTAAATATGAGTTTGGTTATGCTGCACAAGGACCATTTAGAGATGCTGTTCTCAGTCAAATTTAAAAGATGTCTATAAATTTTACAAAGCAAACACCAAAGTACCTTATCAAAACTCTACAACTTCAAAAGATTCTATTCTGAAAATCTTTGCAGAAGACAGGAATAGAAACATATGTAATTTTTTAAATGTGTTTTTTAAATGCAATGGGAAGTTATTTTCTGACAGCTAGAATGGAAATTTGCATAGTGATTTCATTTGTTTAAATATTTTGTTTTCCCTTATCCCTCTAACCTGTTATTTTACTCCAGCCACTACCTTTGGATGAGCTCTGTCCAATCTCCCTTCTTTACTGTGGGTATTTTCTTGCCAGGATCCCCATAATGTTTTCCAGTCACTTTCAATATATGGACAAGTCCCATTTTGGGAGTTAGGTTTACTTCCAAGTATTATGAGGTCTACTCCAGTATAAATCAAAATTTCAATCTTACATCCAATTCAAAGATTTTTTTTTTCGCATTTGTGAGGCCCAGGAGGACACAAGCCACATGAGATAAGGGTAAAAGTCTCACATGACTTATGCCCTTAGAGCTTGCTTGTGCCCTCTGAGTGGCCCCCAGATGTGGATCCCTCCCATGGCCCCTCCCTGGTCTTCATCGCAGTCCTAGGTGCCCCCCAACCAATGGTCCTGGGAGAGCCAGGGAGAATCTTTGGGTCCATCCGGAACTATGCTGGGACGTGGGCATGTCTCCTGAAAGGAACAGTGCACTTCCAGCTGACCTCCTGCAATCCCTGCTCAGCTTCTACATCCCTGCCCTGTGATACACCCACAGCCTTTTACTGTGGGGTCCCCTAGTTCCAGAAGGCTGCCCTCTTGAGTGGGATTCCTTCAAGATGCTCAGAGCTGGTGTCCCTTCTGTGGCATCCTATCCCACCAAACACCGAGTGTGCAGGTTGCCCACACCACTGCCTTCTATCCTTGCCTTGGGCAGCCTTCCACCTTCAGAATTCTGCAGGCAGGAAGCACACACTCCATGTTCACATACAGCCCCAACCTCAAGAGATAAAAAATCCTTCTTCCCAACATCTCTGCCCACACCTGATGGCCCCAGATGAAGCTGACAAGTGATTACAGTCTTTCCCTGTTGCCAGCACTCTGGTCTCTACTGTGCTACCCTCTAGAGCCCTCAGTTTTGCAAAGAGAACACTCTTCTCCATCACCCCCAACCCAAGGAGAGAGAAGAGAAGAACAAAAAGCCATAGCACTCCACTCCCAACAAATTCCCTTGTTAAATGAGCTCTCATTTGCTTGCATAGGATGTGTGGGGTGGCAGGAATGAGTGAGGTGGGAGAGCAAGTATGCCATTTTTTGGCAAGTCTTGGAAGGGGGTGATGGGAAGCTCTTTTTCTGCATTCTTTAGAGTGGGAATGGAATAGAATGTGATTAACCACTAGTCTTATCTTTGGGGCTTAGCAAAAATTCTGAGAATACAGAAATTCCATTGCACATGTTTTTGTAATCTTATACCTCATAGCCTCTAAATGTGACTCATTTTAAAGACAGTGAATGTTAGGTATAAAACAGTTTGCAGATCATTGCACAGCCTTTAAAGTGTGAGCGGCAGAGACCAGAGATTCTGCCTCTTATCTGTTCAACTCTGTTTGATGTACCCCTTCTGAGGACCAAGAACAAGATAGATATGGCCCTTGCCCCCTTAGAGCTTATACTACCGGGAATGACTGCTAATAAATACACAATTACAATAAAGTATAATAATGCTTTGATAGAAGAATCACAGCACAAACCAGGAGCCCCTAACTTAGGATGAAAGATTAGTATGCATGAGGGCAGGCTTCCTAGAGGAGTCGCCTTGACTCTTGTGTCAAATACAGATCCTGGTTTGTCACCTCAGGTTCTCTCAGTCTTTACCCTGGACTGTGCTGCCAATGCGAGGGACCCACCACTCAGTGGCCCTGAGAGTGCCAGGCCCTCCCTCTTGGCCTCTGCCACTCACCTAGAGATTGCAGCTGTTTGTGGTGACCAGGAAATGCACCACTCAGATCTCAGGCTGAGCGGAATGGAAGTGACATGACTCCAGCTTCTGCATTCTGAAACCCCACTGTGTTAGTGCTGATGCCTGCCTCCCCAGTCTGTGCCCAGCCAGGGACTAAGTGGTTCAGGGATAGCAAAGCAGGCCCATATCTGTGAGATGTGGGACCCTTCTGCGGGGTGACTTGGGCACTGTGCTTCCCCATCAGCCTAGTGCCCCAGGGAACTTCCTTCCCTGTCTCTATCATGGTTTGACATTCCCTGCTTTCTCAAGTTCCTTCCCCTTTCTCCCGTGCAGTTGTTTCACCAAGTAAATCTCTCGGATATCTAATCCAGATTTTTTTTTTTTTTTGAGATGGGGTCTTGCTTTGTTACCCAGGCTGGAGTGCAGTGGCGTGATCACGGCTCATGGCAGTCTGGAACTCCTGGGCTCAACTGATCCTCCCACCTCAGCCTCTCAAGTACCTGGGACTACAGGCATTCACCATCATGCCAGGCTAATTTTTTGTATTTTTTGTAGAGATAGAATTTTGCTATGTTGCCCAGGCTGGTCTCGAACACCTGGGCTCAAATCAGTCTGCCCTCCTCGGCTCCTAAAGTGCTGGGATTATAGGTGCAAGCCACAACACCAGGCCTCTAATCCAGTCTTGATGTCTGCTTCTCAGAGGATCCAAACCAACACATTTTACCACTCACTTTGGGAACGCTTGTAGGGAAAGGAAAAAACAGAAACATTTCTTCTATCCTCCTATGTTCTCCAAGGGCTCGGGCCCTGCAAATTAGACAGACAAAAGACAGAATAACAAGAGAAAAATAACAAAGTTTATTAATGAATGTAGAGTGAATACATACAGGAGAAACACAGTGATGAGTCACTGACAGATTGTGGAGGCCAAAACAACTCCGTCTTGGATGCTAATCTGCCATGTTCACTTCTGATTAATTCCAGTTCCTCGAAGGCCTCTAAGATTTCTAGTTTATCTATTGTTCCTTGTGTTACTTTGCCCTTAGGTCAGACAACCTTGATATTATCAGACTTCAATTGTCCCACACATCCCTTCAGAGTCACCCCTTTCCTATGCTCTATAAGCCCCAGGTTTGGGAGGTGATGGCACAGGGATCCACCATCTTGTCTTGAAGCCGGCCAAGACACAGACATGGCTTCTGTTCATAAGTCATTAATAAATGTTTCTTTCTGAGAAAACGGATAGGTCAGCCTCTTTGGGTGGCCTCTCAACTTCCTTGGACTTTGGAGGCATGATTGTATAGGTCTGCCCCCCACAGAACAGATGTGGTTAGAATGTGGGTATATATAGCATCTTAATGAAGAACAATAAATCTGTAGAGAGGTGACAAGACAAAGGAAAAGATTTTAGGCTTCCAAGGGTGGCAAACTGTGGGAAGATAAATATACGGGGAAAACTCATGGAGCAACATTTGTTTGTGTGGGGCCATCTCTCAGCACTGACTTTCCATCTTCTTCTTGGACATAAAACTTTCACGAGAGAGATTTATGGCAGCTCCTCATTTCTCAGAAATTTCTACTTTCAGTCAAATAAAGGAAGCTCTGGGAAGGCGTCTTTCTGTATCTGTTGAATATCAAATATCTTCAGCTCAAAATAATCCTTATGCCAAGGTGCTAATTTTGATTCCTTACACGCTACACTGTTGGGTGTAGGATCTGGTATCCTGAGAGGCTGCAGGAAGGATCAGATGGCATGACCTTGAGGAGTAAAGGATTTAACTCCACATGGATGAATTCTGTCCAGTGGGAAACAAGAGACCGGAAGGATCAGGGCAAATAGATTCCATTTCTCCATTCCTCCCATTCTGAGGCATGGTTTCTCTGTACAGTTACCCTGAAAAGTTCTGAGTACCCAACATCTGATGAGAAAACTTATGTATCTCTTCAAGGCTCGTCATGAAGCAGTGGCAAGTGTGGTAACACATTTCACATCCTTTCTTGCTTCTCTCAATTTTTCCTCACACTTGCTTGCCCTCGGATTACATACACCTGCCCCCTTCATAAAGCACCACACTGATTTCCTGCCTTAGGCTCTGTTGTCTAGGAAACTTGGGCTAAAACAACCAATTTTTAAACTAACACCAGATACATAAATAAGAAATAACCTGTGAAACTGGAGGAAAATATCCTAAGCCTGCAGAATAGTATATCTGGAGACCTAAAGGCAAAGTGGAGTGTGGGTTTTTATATTAGTCTGTTCAGGTTGCTATGACAAAATACCATAAACTGGGTAGCTTGTAAACAACAGATATTGATTTCTCACAGTTCTGAAGGCTGGGAAGTCCAAGATCAAAGTGCCAGCAGATTCAGTGTCTGGTAAGAGCCTGTTTCCTGGTTCATAGATGGGACCTTTTAGCAGTGTCCTCACTTGGTGGAAGGGACTACTTAGCTCTCTAGGGTCTCTTTTTTAAGGGCATTAATCCAATCATGTTGGCTCTACCCTTATGACTTAATCACTTCCCATGAGCCCCACCTCCTAGTGCCATTGCCTTGGGGGTTAGGATTTCAGCATACGAATTTTGGAAGAACATAAACACTTAGTTCATTGCACTGGAACTTCAAGAAATGGGAAGTTCACTTTGGCTAGAGAATAAACCTAGGGTGGTAGTGTAGGGGTTTGGAGAGAAGAGGGTAGAGGTACATCTGCTCACAAAGTACTGAGGAGGCCATGAGAAGGAGGCTTGGAAGCTAGAGAAGGATTTGAAGCCAAAGACTGACAAGGTCAGATTTGCGTTTAAGATCACAGTGGCTGCAATAGGGAGGTTGGACTGAAAGTGAGCAGGGAAGATGTAGTAATCTTTGCAAATGCACACTAGGGTTGTGGTATTGGTGTTAATTATTATGATAGAATGGAAGTAGACTATTATACATTAGCTATACCAATTTTAGTTAAGTAGTCCAATCGTATTATTTCTTACTACCAATTCAAGTATAATTCTCTTTAAAGTTACTATGAGACTGACTCAAAATTACAACAAAAGGCTAATCTTGGTGTTAATAAATATTTAAATGGAATTTATTGGCAGTCTTTCTAACCCAATAGCGGTGTTAAGAATTATCTGAAATGTTGAAATAGGCAAAATGGATTACTGGAAATCTTTTCAGTTTAGTACTTGGCGTTGTCTAACTTGCTGAGGGAAGGATGTACTAGTGAGTGTTGTCCACAGAAACAGAACCAATAAGATGTGAGTGTGTATACAGTCATGCAATGCTTAGTACATCCTGAGAAATGCATCATTAGCCAATTCCATCACTGAGGGTATGTAGACAAACCTAGATGGTATAGCCTACTACACACCTAGGCTATGTGGTATAGCCTATTGCTCTGAGGCTGCAAACCTGCACAGCATGTTGCTGTACTGAATACTGTAGGCAATTGTAACACAATGGTAAGTACTTGTGTATCTAAATGTATATATACATAGAAAATGTACAGTAAAAATCTGATATAAAAGATAAAAAATGGTATGCCTGTTATAGGGCACTTACCATGAACAGAACTTGCACGACTAGAGCTTGCTCTGGATGAGTCACTGAGTGAGTGGGAAGTGAATGTGAAGGCCTGGGACATTACTGTACGCTACTATAGACTTTATCAACACTGTACACTAAGGCTACACTAAGTTTATAAAAAAAAATTTTCTTTCTTCAATAATAAAGTAACCTTAGCTGACTAATTTTTGTACTTTTTAGACTTCTTTTTTTTTAACTTTTTGGCTCTTTTGTAATAACACATAGCTTAAAACAGATACATTATACAGCTGTGCAAAAAATATTTTCTTTCCTTGTATCCTTATCCTATAAGCTTTTATTTTTAAGTTTTTCTTTTACTTTTTAAACTCTTTTGTTTAAAACTAAGGCACAAACATATACATTATTCTAGGCCTACACAGGGTCAGGATCATCAATATCACTGTCTTCCAACTCCTCCTCTTGTTCTCCTGAAAGATCTTCAGGGGCAATAACATGCATTGAGCTGTTATCTCCTATGATAATAACACTTTCTTCTGGAATACCTCCTGAAGTGCCTGCCAGAGGCTGTTTTACAGTTAACTTTTCTTTTTCAGTAAAAGGAGTGCACTGTAAAATAACAATAAAAAGTACACCATAGTAAATATATAAACTAGTAACATATTCATTATCATTATCAAGTGTTATGCACGGTATAGAATTACATGTGCTTTTATACAACTGGCAGTGCAGTAGATTTGTTTACACCAGCATCACCACATCACCACAAACATGTGAGTAATGTGTTGCCCTATGATGTTACAATGGCTACAATATCACTAAGGGATAGGAATTTTTCAGCTCCCTTATAATCTTATGGAAACTTCATTGTGTATGCAGTTCATCATTGACCAAAATGTTGTTATATCGTTCATAACTGTGTGGGTGCGTGTGTGCGTGTTTATATATATATGTGTGTGTGTGTGTGTATACACACATATATGTGTGTATATATATGTGTGTGTGTATATATATATATACACACACACATATGTGTGTGTATATATATGTGTGTGTATATATATATACACACACACATATATATACATACACACACACACACACACACACACACACACACGAGAGGCTGAGAGAGAGAAAATTAGCTCATGCAATTGTGAGGACTGATGAAACTGAAATCTACAAAGCAGGTTGGAAGTCCAGAGACCCAGGGAAGAGTTCACACTGCAGCTCAAACCCAAAGGCAATCTGGAGGCAGAATTCCCTCTTCCCTGGGCAATCTCAGTCTTTTCTTTGATGGCCTTCAACCAATTAGATGAGATCCACTCATGTAGAAAAATCTGCTTCACTGAAAGACTTTTGATTTAATTGTTAATTTCATCTGAAAATACCTTCACAGCAACATCTACACTAATGTTTGACCAAATATCTTTGTACCAGAGCCTGGCCAAGTTGACACATAAAGTTAACCACTACAAGGGGGCTACCTGATTCCCAAACTTTCGTTTGACATTTTGTTTGCTATTGATTAGGAAATCTTACATCTCTTTAAGGACAGAGGTAAGCTTGTAAAAAAAACTGATGACAATTCAAGTGATTCTTTTTCAATAATGATATAAACAAATTTCTTCCCAAAGAGATGCAAGCGATGTGAATATAACCCAAAGGTTTTCATTTATTATAGGTTTTGTGTCTAACCTAGTATCATTATTCTAACACTTAAAAAATGCTGTTTCAATAAACCTTACCATTTATAAGTTCACTAATTAATGAGCCAAATAAAACTCTTAACCCATATTTATTTTATGTTTTAAAAAGTAGCATGTTTTTAACTTTTGAAAATTATACTTTGACAGGGAATAAACACACAGTAGGCAATATAGAAAAGAATGAGCATAATTATTCAATTTGTGGTTTTATTATTTAATTTAATCATGCATGTCGAGAGACTGTTACCATCTCATTTTCTTCATTGGTCTCTAATTGATATGGCTGTTGGAGTTAAGACATATACAATAAGCTCCCCAAATATCCTTTCTCCCCCATTCACTCTATTCTTTCCTCTGGGGACTCTTATTACATATATTTTGGATCTTCTCATTGTATTCTCTCTGTCTCTTAATCTTTTTTTTTGTTTTTTTAGACAGCATTTCACTCTGTCGCCCAGGCTAGTGTGCAGTGGGCGCAATCTCAGCTCACTGCAGCCTCTGACTCCCAGGGTAAAGTAATCCTCCTGCCTCAGCCTCCTGAGTAGCTGGGATTACAGGTGTGTGCCACCACGCCTGGATAGTTTTTGTATTTTTAGTGGAGTCAGGGTTTCACCATGTTGGCAGGGCTGGTCTCCAACTCCTGACCTCAGGTGATCCAGCTGCCTCAGCCTCTCAAAGTGCTGGGATTACAGGCATGAGCCACTGCACCAGCCCTCTGTTTCTTAATCTTTCTTTTATTTTCCATCCTTTTTTTCCCCTGTCAGGCTGCATTCTGGATAGTGACTTCTAACTTATCTTTCAGTTTGATGATTTTCTTTTTTATTCTATCAAATCTGCCATTTAATCTATTCATAGAATTTTTTGTTTCAAAGGCTTCACTTTTTATTTCTGGAATTTCTATTTCCTTCTCCACTAAATCTGCCCATTTTTTACTCACAGTGTCTTGTTGGGTGATTTGGATTATTTATTTTATGCTGCCAATCATTTAAAACGTACTAATTTTCTTTCCCTGTCATATTTTTCTATAATATGATACTTTTGGGATATTGATCTTGCTGTTTATTATGTCTGCTCAATCTGGTTTATGCTGAATTATTCTTCTCTTCCTCTTCTCCCTCCTCCTCCTCTTCCTTCTTCTTTTTCTTCCTTCCTTCCTCCTCCTCCTTCTCCCCTCCTTCCTTCTTTCCTTCCTCCCTCTTTCTTTCATTCATTCATTCTTTCTCTTTCTTTCTTCTTTCTTTCTCCTTTCTCTCCTTCTTTCTTCTTTATTTTTCTTCCCTTTCTTTCTTTCTTTCTTTTTTCTTTCTTTCTATGGAGGATCAAGTCTATCTATGTTAGTTTCCCATTGCTGTGGTCATAAATTAGCATGAACTATTTGGCTTCAAACACCACAAATTTGTTATCTAATGGTTCTATAGATCACAGATCCAAAATGTGTCTAATTGGGCTAAAACCAGGTATTGACAGGGCTGGTTCCTTCTGGATGCTCCAGGGGAGAATACATTTCCTTACATTTTCCAGCCTCTAGCTCTCATTCCCTAGCTGGTGACCTCATTGTCTTCAAAGCCAACAATCATGGTTTACATCAGAGTCACATCCCATGACTCTGACCTCTTTGGTCTTTCCCTGTCACTTTTGAGTACCCTTGTGATGACATTGGGACCACCAGAATAACCCAGAATAATCTCATTGTTATCTAGTCAACTGATTAGCAACCTTCATTCCATCTGTAATCTTAATTCCTTTTTGCCATGTGTGATACCATATTCACAGGTTCTAGGGATTGAGATTTGGATGTCTTTGGGGAGTCATTATTCTGCCCATCTTACAGCCTCTTGAGGATCTCAGCTTTATGCAAAGACCTCAATTCTAACTTGCAGCCTCTGTTGTACCAGGGCTCAAGGCACTAAAACCTAGGCCCTTAGGTTAACAAAACCAAAAGCTTCATCCAGTGAAGCTGCAGTACTAGCTCATAAGGTCACCACCTTGGATTTTATTTCTTCCTTTCTTTCATTGGGGATTTCTTTTTCTTTCTTACAAGCTCAGCTATAAGTTAAAGGAATATTTGTTATATTTCTCCAGTGTTTCTAGGAGTTCATAGTGTGCAAATGAGGGAATTAACTAGCCAACAATATAGCCAGAAAATACATCTCCAGTATGATCCCATTGGATCAACCAGGGTGCAAACAAGAGGCACATAAAGTGTATATTCAAATGCTTAAAAGTTACAAAGGAAGCTCTAATTATTTTTAACTAAAATGTATTCGGTCCTCCTCACTGGACAAATGCACTTCATAATGACCTGGGAGGCCAGATTATAATGTCAGATTCTCACATTCCTTGGTGTTCTGCAGAGGACTAGGCTACATGAGGAGAGACGGCCCCCAGTTGCGGCCTGTTTTCTTTCTCTTTTTACCACTGGCTCCTTCCAGCACTGTGAGGCCTACACATGCATGTGGACCTCCCACCATTCTCCCAATGTCAAACTCTGCCCAAACCCTTGGCAAACAGCCACCCTTGGCTACTCCTCAGGCCTCAGAGCTGTGTATACAAATAGCAAGTCTGGCCTCTGCAGGGAAAATCTAAGAATCCTGTGGCAGTCTGGGCAGGGAATTCCAGGAATTTAGGTACCTGAGTTTAAAAAAGGCAGAGTGTGGGCTCCAGGCAGGCCAGTCCCCTTAGACCTATGGACCTGGTTCTGTGGGGAGGAGAGCAGTGGCCAGAACACAGCCTTCTAAAGCACTGTGCCTCGGGCCAGACACTCTGTTATCTGGTTCTCAGGGTGGCCCCACAACCAACTGCCAAAATATTTCCGCTTCTGCTACCTGTACTGTAAGTTGGAACTTCCCTAAGTTATTTTTTACTTGAGCTATTGCTATAGCTTCCTAATTGATATCCTGGCCACCAGTGTCACTGCTGGTCATTAGAAACTGGTTCCAAATCCTAGCCTGACTACTTATTAGCAGTATAACTTTGAGCAAGTGACTTAACCTTTTTGGAACATTCACTTGCTCAGCAAAATTGCTCCTAAGTTTCAAACTCACAGAAACTATGAGAGATAAATGTTTATGGTTGTTTTGAGCCATTACAGTTTGGAGTAACTTGTTATACATAAATGAATAACTAATGTATTATCACCCCACCCCACTTTTGAAATCATGGTATAATACACATTATTCCAGAGGGGCTTTCTGAAACCTAATAGAATAGAAAACAATAGTAAAGGTCATTAACTAGAAATATTTTAAAGCATTCTACTTGTTCTATTGGTTCCTTAATAGTACAAGCACCAATTATTTTAAGACAATGACTGAAGAAACCTTACAGGCTAACTAAACTGGACACATGTCATGTCAGGTCCCTCTCTCATGGCATATGTGCAGATTCTACATGGAGGGGGACGCTGTGCTGTGTCCTCCACTCCAGCACTAAGCCCTTCTAACCCTACAGTAGTGTGGTTCCAACACTCCTTAAAGTCTATCACTAAGTCATAGAGACCTTACTCTTCTTGATATTTATTTGGTAACATTGAAGAATAGGCTGGTTTGGTTGGTCAAACATTATATTTAACACTTAACCAGCATTACTGGCTGGGTGCAGTGGCTCAAGCCTGTAATCCCAGAACTTTGGGAGGCTGAGGCAGGCAGATCACAAGGTCAGGAGTTCGAGACCAGCCTGTCCAACATGGTGAAACCCTGTCTCTACTAAAAATACAAAAATCAGCCGGCTACACTGGAGGCTGAGGCAGGAGAATTGCTTGAACCCGGAGGCAGAGGTTGCAGTGAGCCGAGATTGCAATGCTGCACTCCAGCCTGGGTGACAGAGCAAGACTCTGTCTCAAAAAATAATAATAAAATAAAAATAAAAATAAGTAATAAAATAAAAATATTTAACCAGGATTATGAAATTCAAACTGCCTATTGAACCTGGCTAACAACTAAGATAGACATGATCATAATTGTTGTTTACAATGTAGAGAATACTAATTTACTATATTTCTATTCTGAGTCACTAAAATCTGTTTCTAATTTCTTTAGTTTTGTCATTTATATCAGCGGGCCCCAGCGTTTTTGGCACCAGGGACCAGTTTCATGGAAGACTATTTTTCCATGGACCAGGGTGGGGATGGTCTCAGAATGAAACTGCTCCACCTCAGATCATCAGGCATTAGATCCTCATAAGGAGTGTGCAACCTGGATTCCTCGCATGCACAGTTCACAATTGGGTTCACGCTTCTCTGAGAATCTAATGCCATGGATCTGACAGGAAATGGAGCTCAGGTGGAAATGCTTGCTCCTCTTCCACTCACCTCCTACTGTGCAGCCTGGTTCCTAACAGGCCGTGGACCAATACCGGTCCACAGCCTGGGGGTTGGGAACCCTTGATTTATATGTTCTTTTGCTCACTCATTCAGAGTGTATTTATGAAGTATTTTCTATGTGCTAGTTCCAATAGACAGAACAGACTAAATAAGACATTTGCCCTAGAGTCTAATGAAAAAGAGAGAATTTATAGTCTAATAGAAGATAAGTCTAGGCACGGTGGCTCATGACTAATCCCAGCACTTTGGGAAGCTGAGGCAGGAGGATTGCTTGAGTCCAGGAGTTTGAGACAAGCCTGGGCAACATAGCGAGACCTTGTTCTATTAAAACTAAAAAATATATATTAAAACAGAAAGGTGCTTTTAGAAATATAAAACCTTTGCATGAAGGGGAAGCATGTATGTGTGCATGTGTGTATATACACACATAGGTCTATTCATCCTCCAGGTGAAGAGGGAGTGCTATAGTTTTTAAAAAGTACTGAAGTAGAACATGTGCAGAGAATTGCACAAATCCTGAGTGCATGGCTCAATGAATTTATTAGAATTGAAATCACTTAATAACCAGCACTCAGATAAAAAAACAGAATTTTACTAGCACTCAAGAATCCCTTTTCTTGTCTACACTTTGGCAGAGGGGAGGAAATATATCAAACAACTTTTTTTTTCTCTTTCAACAATCTGCTTAACGCATACCTTCCTGCATCGTGAGTCACTCAGACCATTGTTAGTCAGCCTTCAAAAATAGTTTCTCTGAGACAATTCTCTCCCTCCTCACAAGCTAAACAGTGATTAACGTCCAGGTGAACCAGAATAAAAATTTCCAGCTGTCAAATTAACAGCCAGAAAGCATTTTTTTTCTTCACAAAAGATGTGTCTAGACTCGTGAAAATTAGAAAGAAAAAATATTCATTAGTTCATCACGTAAAGGGTTATTCCCTCTAACATAATTCCTAGGTTTTCTCTAGTTTAAAATGAGTTTGACTGTTCTTATTTAAAGTCAAGTCATACACATAAAGCAAACCTAATGCGATCTTTATTACAGGAGTAGACAGGAAGCACACACCAAGCCAATTAGATACTGTAGTCCCATAATGTTGCATCAAAGCTGTGGCATGTTATTAGAGACCAAGTGATGTACAGCATCTTTTATTTTGTGTTTAGAAAGCATGGGACAGCTATCTGACCCAAGGGTGAACCAATGTGGATACCGACAGGCAAAGCATCCATTGAGGTATAGGAATCCAGAGGAATGGTGTTTAAGTCTCCTTGAGATGCTAAAGACACTTTTGCGCTAGGTTCTCCTTTAATCTTTCTGAGAATATCCTCACTACAGTTCAAACAGAATGAGTAAAAGTAAGCGTGGGGCTTCAATAGGCAAAGAACTCAGACTGGGACCCCACAGATCATCTATTTGATGCTGTTTTTCTGTAGAATTAGAAAGGGTGAAGAAAGCTTGAATCACAGCATTTGTGTTGCCAATTTCAATAAAGTTTCCATTGTTTCACAACTTTCTCCAAAGAATCTGAAACCTATTTCTACATAAGCATAACTAGGAGCTTTTTTAGTAAAAATCATGCGTTGTTTTGTTTTCTCTAACTATGGCATCTCCCACAGCACTTGGGACAGTGTAATTGATTAATAAATATTTCATAATTGAATGAATGACTTTGTGGAACTTTCTCCTAAAAATGATGAGGAGCCATTGAAGCATGTTCATGAGAGGAGTGACATGACCAGATTTCGTCTATAGGCAACTCCTTCTGGCAATAGTATGGAGCATATATTAGAGGGACAGACCAGGAGGTATTACTGGGAGGTAATAGTCCTACTCCAGACTAGAATAAGTGATAGCCTGAACTAAGGTTGAGCGGGTTAAGGTGAAAAGTAGAAACTGACTTGAAGGATACTTAAAAAGTAAAATCTATGTGATCTAGTCATTGATGGAATGTGGAGGGAGAGAGAAAATACTAGAGGAGGACTCTAAAAATGATCCTTGAGATTCTGGTATGGTCTTTTGAATGAATGATGGGACAGATGGTTGAGGTGAAAAATACAGTAGTGGGAGGAACAGATTAGGTATCAAACACAGTGAGTTTACAGTAGCTTCTTTAGGTTTGAGGTGCCTGTGGGGTGTCTGATTTAGAGTCAATAGAGTGGAAACAGTTATTAAAGCCATGGGTTTTGATGGTTTTTTTCGCAGAAAAAAAAGGCATAGCATGAAAATCCAGAGGGCTAAAGGCAGAACCACAGGGAATACAGACATTTAGAGGTTGAGCAAAGGACAAAAATACTGACACAAGGAGCAGGATTGCCCACAAATGACCCTGGGTATTTATTCTAGGATACCTGGATACCAAGCTAGCTGGGATCAGGGACCCATGTACCCCTACTCCCAGAAGGGGAACTGAACCTAAGCTTTTCTCTGCTTGACAGGGGAAGCTGCAGCATTCAGAGACCCTAAGCTCCCCAGATACTGCGCTGCTGGTGTACCGCTAAACTAACTAAACATATGTATTAAGATGTATGCATTTCCTACAAGCCACACATAAGAAAGGCAGAATTTCTTCTCCCTTATGATAATTTAACTTTGTTTTTGGCATCAGATAAGATTATCAACTGACTCATTTTTTAAAAGAATAAAAGAATTTTTTTTTTAAAAAATAAAAGAATAAATAAAAACAGGAGCCTTGTAAAGGTATTCACTTTGGGAGGCTGTACATCTATCCTAGCAGGGATGTTACTGAACAAGACATTTTGGAAGATTCTCTTTTGAATTTGCCTCAGCTTGAAAGGGTAAAAATTCATATTTTTAAGGACAAATTTAAGTTTTGGAAACAATCCAAGTTGTTGTTTGTAGTAAAGTTTTTTGGAAAAAGTAAATGACAATAACAAAACACAATCATGTCATGCTATAATGAAATGGATTCTTTTTCCTCTTTAGGACCCTAATGATCTGCTCCATTTTCCTGCCTTTCTCTCATTCCCTCCCTTTCTTTCCAGGAGCTCTTGCATAGTTCAGCCAGACTAATCTTCATGAAGCATAATTCCAATCTTGTCACTGTCTTTTTCAAAACTTGTCAGTGACTTCTGTGTACTCACATAAAAATGTCTAAACCCTTTGGTCTGGAAGTCTAGGTTCTTTCCAGTCTTACTGAAACTTGTTACTTGTTCTCCCTTTCAGCCCAATAAACTGAACTCTTTTCAGCCCAATAAACTGAACAGAATGTTTTCTGTTCATTCTCTATGCTTTTTTATGGGGTTTGGCTGTGTCCCCACACAAGTCTCAACTTGAATTATAACTCTCAGAATTCCCATGTGTTGTGGGAGGGACCCAGTGGGGAGGTAATTTAGTCATGAGGGCCGGTCTTTCCCGTGCTATTCTCATGATAGTGAACAAGTCTCACGAGATCTGATGGGTTTATCAGGGGTTTCTGCTTTTGCATCTTTCTCTTTTTCTCTTGCTACTGCCACATAAGAAGTGCCTTTCTCCTCCTGCCATGATTCTGAGGCCTCCCCAGCCATGTGGAACTGTAAGTCCAATTAAACCTCTTTTTCTTCCCAGTCTCGGGTATCTCTTTGTAAGCAGCATGAAAACACACTAATAAAATAAATTGGTACAAGTAGAGTGGGGTGTTGCTGAAAAGATACTCAAAAATGTGGAAGCGACTTTGGAACTGGGTAATAGGCAGAGGTTGGAACAGTTTGGAGGGCTCAGAAGAAGACAGAAAAATGTGGAAAGTTTGGAACTCCCTAGAGACTTGTTGAATGGCTTTGCCTAAAATGCTGATAGCAATATGGACAATAAAGTCTAGGCTCAGGTGGTCTCAGATGGAGATGAGGAACTTTTTGGGAACTGGAGTAAAGGTAACTCTTTTTATGTTTTAGCATAGAGACTGGCAGCATTTTGCCCCTGCCCTCCCTAGAGATCTGTGGAACTTTGAACTTGAGAAAGATGATTTAGGGTATCTGGTGGAAGAAATTTCTAAGCAGCAAAGCATTCAAGAAGTGACTTGGGCTCTGTTAAAGGCATTCAGTTTTATAAGGGAAGCAGAGCATAAAAGTTTGGAAAATTTGCAGCCTGACTATGCAATAGAAAGGGAAAACCCATTTTCTGGGGAGAAATTCAAGCCAGCTGCAGAAATTTGCATAAGTAGCAAGGACCCTTATGTTAATCTCCAAGATCTTTGGGAAGATGTCTTCAGGCCATGTCAGAAACCTTCACAGCAGGGCCTACCATCACAGGCCCGGAGGCCCAGGAGGAAAAAGTGGTTTCATAGGCTGGGCCCAGGGTCTCTGTGCTGTATGCAGCCTAGGGACGTGGTGCCCTGTGTCCCAGCCATTCTAGCCATGGCTCAAAGGTGCCAACATACAGCTTGGGCTGTGGCTTCAGAGGGTGAAAGCCCCAAGCCTTGGCAGCTTTCATGTGGTGTTGAGCCTGTGGGTGCACAGAAGTCAAGAATTGAGGTTTGGGAACCTCCACCTAGATTTCAAAAGATGCATGGAAACACCTCGATGCCCAGGCAAAAGTTTGCTGCAAGGGTGGGGCCCTCATGGAGAACCTCTGCTAGGGCAGTGTGTAAGGGAAATGTGGGGTTGGAGCCCCCATGCAGAGTCCCTACTTGGGCACTGCTTAGTGGAGCTGTGAGAAGAGGGCCATCATCCTCCAGACCTCAGAATGGTAGATCCACTGACAGCTTGCACTGTGCACCTGGAAAAGCCACAGACACTCAATGCCAGCCTGTGAAAGCAACTGGGAGGGAGGCTGTACCCTGCAAAGCCACAGGGGTGGAGCTGCCCAAGACACCGGGAGCCCACCTCTTGCATTAGTATGACCTGGATGTGAGACCTGGAGTCAAAGGAGATCATTTTGGAGCTATAAAATTTGACTGCCCTGCTGGATTTTGGACTTGCATGGGCCCTGTAACCCCTTTGTTTTGGCCAATTTATCCTATTTGGAATGGCTGTATTTACCTAATACCAGGACCCCTATTGTATCTAGGAAGTAACTAGCTTGCTTTTGATTTTACAGGCTCATAGGCAGAAGGTACTTGCCTTGTCTCAGATGAAACTTTGGACCATGGACTTTTGGGTTAATGCTGAATTGAGTTAAGACTTTGGGGGACTGTTGGGAAGGCATGATTGGTTTTGAAATGTGAGGACATGAGATCTGGAGGGGCCAGGATGGAATGATATGGTTTGGCTGTGTCCCCACCCAAATCTTAACTTGAATTGTATCTCCCAGAATTCCCACATGTTGTGGGAGGGAGCCAGGGGGAGGTAATTGAATCATAGGGTCTGGTCTTCCTTGAGCTATTCTCATGATACTGAATAAGTCTCACAAGATCTGATGGGTTTATCAGGGGTTTCCACTTTTGCTTCTTTCTTATTTTCTCTTGCCACTGCCATGTAAGAAGTGCCTTTCTCCTCCTGCCATGATTCTGAGGCCTCCCCAGCCATGCAAAACTGTAAGTCCAATTAAACCTCTTTTTGTTCCCAGTTTCAGGTATGTCTTTATCAGCAATGTGAAAATGGACTAACACAGTTTTTTATTTTTTTGTTTTCTCTCCATGTCCAATTTCTACCTTTCTTTTAAGACACTGAGTGAATGTCCTCAAGCCCATGTGTTAGCCTTCCCTGATTGCTGCAATCCTGTCCAATATCTTTGGCTTCTTCCACCCAAGATAAACCCATCACCCTCCTGCCATGGGAATGCCCAAACTGCTCATTTCGATTATGTAGGGTTTTGTGAGAATATGGTGTCAGTATTAATGCAATGTTTTAGTTATTAATAGCAATGATATATTTAATATAATACAAGGAATTTTTAGAAGTGGACAATAATAAGACACCTAACACCGGTTACATTGATTATAGTGTAGTCAAAAGAGCACACAATCTTTAGAATTTGACAAACTGTATTTGAATCCTAGCTCTACTGTTTATTAGCTGGTCTCTTTAGGCAGCTTGTTTAATATCTCTAAGAACCTACTCTTTCATCTGCAAAGTGAAAAATAACAACATCAGTTTCATAACTTTATTATGAGGATCAGAAGAAAGTCATGGAAAAGACTTTCTAATGATCTTAGAGAGAGGAAGCCCTCTATAAATGTGACAAGATCTGGAAGCCATAAAATATTGCTATTTTGACTGCATAAAATGTAAACATTTTTGCATGACAAAATAATGCCATAACCAAAGCCATAAGAGGGTAAAGTGGAAAAATTTTTGTAGCGTTTATGACACATAAATTATTTTCATTCTCCCATATATCAATGAAGAAAAAGACCAAATTATTGAAAAAATGGACAGAAGACATAAAATACTCCATAGAAAATGAAATACAAATAGCTTGTAAACATATAAAAAGATGCTCAACCTCGGGCCAGGTGCGGTGGCTCATGCCTGTAATCCCAGCATTTTTGGAGGCTGAGGCGGGCTGATCACGAGGTCAGGAGATCGAGACCATCCTGGCTAACATGGTGAAACCCTGTCGATACTAAAAGTACAAAAAAATTGGCTGGGCATGGTGGCGGGCGCCTGTAGTCCCAGCTAGCCGGGAGACTGAGGCTGAGGCAAGAGAATGGTGTGAACCTGGAAGGCGGAGCTTGCAGTCAGCCAAGATAATGTCACTGCACTCCGTCTCAAAAAAAAAAAAAAAAATGCTCAACCTCACTTGTAATATAACATAAATGCAAAGTAAAACTCAATAGTAGACTATTTTCACCTAACTGGTAAATGATAGGGGAAGTAAGCATATTATTAAGGGAAGTGTAAATTGGTACAACTTTTTCTGAAAAGCAATTTGGCAACAGCAATTTATTAAATAAAAATTTAACCATATACTACTCCTCTGAGAAATTTCCCATCTGGGAATGTATACGCCTATGCTCTCCAGTATAGTAGCCAGTGACCACATTTGGTTACTGATCACTTGAAATGTGGCATATCTGAAATGATACGTAATTTAAGTGTAAAATACACACCGAATTTTAAAGCCTTAGTATAAGTAAAATAATGTAAAATATTTCATTTTTTAATTGATTACATGTTGAAATGACATATTTTGGATATAATGGGTTAAATATACTGTTAAGATTAATTTTACTTATTTCTTTTACTTTAAAAAATGTGGCTGCTAGAACATTGAAACTTACATATGTTGTTCATATTATATTCCTTTTGAACCTTGTTAGCATATACAGTTCTACTTGCATGCATAAGAAATTATGTATGTATAAAGAATATCTGAAAAACATCTTTAATATTCACCGAGTCTTTGCTAAATAAAACATGATACATCCAGACAATAGAATATTATATGGACCGAAAAAAGAATCAGACCAAACTGCCCTAAGATGGGGAGCTTTCTGCTAGATATCACTAAGTAAAAAAAAAAAATAAAGCATGGAATAGATGCGTAGTGAGCTAATGTTGGTGTTCAGTGTATATTGAATGAATTTTGAATGAATTATGTAAATTGTACTTATGCATAGAATATTCCTGGAAGATGCACAAGAAATCATTTTTAGTTATTGTCCTAGAGAGAGGAAATTGTGGTTCACCATCAGGGGCTGGAGAAGATTTATTTTTAACTCTACTTTTTTGTATTGATTAAACGTTTTGCAACATGTATTCGTTACCTATTTAGAAAAAAACCTGTATTTACAAGTTTTCATTGTCTTTGAAGAAAACAATCCTTATAAAGAATTTCCCGAAGTCAGCTATGTGAAGGTGGGAGGCGGATGTAAAACCACAAGGCCCTACACAGTAGTAGGTTCCTAAGAAATACCTGTTTCTTTCCCTTCCCCACACTTTGGCTAAGAGCACAGATGTCATAATAGAATCTTTCCACATTTCAGAGATCCCTTAAGCATCCCTATCACGTTATGGCTCTAGAGATGTCAAATGTAAATGGGATGAGGCTACACTGATCCTGTGACATGCCCTGGAAGTTAGTTATTTCCCCCCAATAAATCCCAGAAACTTGCCTGCTTACTTTTATATATGTCTCATCAAAATGGAAGGTCAGCTTGTATAATGTATAACTTCCCAGTCAGTGTAATATTGTAGGCTGCCTGCAAATTTTATTACTATATTAAGGGCTGAAGCAAACTTTTCCAGTTATTACATCCTCGGCACTAAAATCTTCACTCTCCTTGTCAGTCTCTTGATTCTTTGGCAGTTAAAACACTCTCTTTTATTTCTGTATCGGAAACTCTATGTGCTTCCCTAACCTCTTTGTCTACTTCAATCACCTCTTCTCACTTTGATGAAGTTTGTTGATTGATTGCTTCTCATGGGTAGGACTGGCTTTCCGGCCCTTTGTTTAAATTTAAAACACTGGAGCCATCCTTCAGAAAATACACAGTGCTCAATCAATTGCATTTGCTCATAAAATGTCTTTTTTTTTTTTTTTAACAAAAGTCTCTTGATTCTGCTTCCTCATTTCCATTCCCATTGCCTCTGCCTGAGTCCAGGCCCTCTTCATCTTGTCTAGAATATGTCAATTATCTCTTAACTAGTCCATGTGCTTTCAGACTCCCCACTGGCAATCCATTTTCTACTTTACTGCTAAATTCTAAAAACAGATTCATGCCTCCATTCATTCATTCATCAGACATTCATTAAGTATCTCCTTTGTGTCGGGCATCATGCTAGGAACTGGGGACACAAAGACTAAATGTTCATAGGCAGACACTACGTTTCTGGAGCTTAGAGTTCAGTGCAGGAAGCCAACGAGTAGACACATGGTTTACAGTGTACAGGGGTGGGCACAGGATGCCCTGGCAGCATCCATCAGGGAAGGAAATTTCCCCAGGGCCCTTGCTATCTGGTCCAACTGTTAAGAGCCAGGAGGAGATGTTCTAAGCAGAGGGAGCAGCAAGGGCCAAGGCTAAGCAGGGTGGTACATGGTGTGTGTGGTGAGTGTGACTGGCCAGGGGGTCAGAGAAGATTTACAGGAGTCAGCACCAGGTAGTGGCAAAGGGCCTGGGGGCGGGGGGGGGGCATGCAAAGGAGTTCAGACTTTATTCTGAGGGCATACATTTTAAGAACAGCGGTCATGAGATTGGATTTGCATTTTATGGAGATCATTATGGTAGGAGTTTGGAGGAGAGCTGGAGGGATGAAAGACTGGAGACTGGAAAGAAGGTTAAGAAGTGGCTGTTTCAACTATCCGGTCATAAGGATAACCTAAATCAAGATAAGAGCAGTAGGGGTGCTGAGCAGCAGACAGATTTGAAAGATACTCAACAATAAAATGGACTTGGGTTAGTGATTGCCTCTTTAGATTTTTGTGAGAAGGAAGGAAGGGGAAAAAGTCAGAATGGACTCACAAATGTCTGGCTTGAGCCCTCGGGAGGCTATGAGAGGTTATGGAAAGGGAAATGGCTTGGCAGAGAGAAGATGGTAGCAGTTGAGTACATGGGTCTGCATTCAGGTGAGAGATTTGGATTGGAGACATTCATTCTTCATCCATTTACTCATTTAGTTAATAGGTGTTGAGTGCCTGCTACATGCTAGGCACTGTTCCAAGCACAGGGATAGTGGCAACCAAACAGGACAAAATTCCTGTTCTTGTGGCACCTTCATTCCAGTGAAGAAACTAAACAAATGATACAAGTAAATCAATGCATAATGTCCTGTAGATATGTGCTTTGAAGACAAATACATTAGGATAGGGCAAGGAAACAAAGTGTGGTGGGGTGTGAGGGATATTTTAGATAAGGGTGTCCATGGAAAAGCATCTTTCAAGAGGTGATATTTGAGCACAAACCTGAATGAAGTGCCAGAGGGAGCCATGGGAACGTTCAAGGGAAAAATATGCAAGGAAGAACCATATGGGACAGCAGGCTCCCTAAGCAATGGGTAGCAGAGGCTGTGGGAAAGAGGCGGAGGGGAAAGGGATGCAGATGTTCGCATAATAGGACCTCTAACAGTACCTGAAAACCTTGATTTCTTGAGTGTATATCATCTTGCTTCCTCTTGAAGCCAACCCTAGAACTAATTCCTTCCTCCACCATCACTCCCCAGCCTCTGATAAATATCATAGCACTGGCAACTTTGTATCACTAGTATTTGTTACCTTGGTACAATCTGAGCTTCTCCAAATTAGGGATGGGGTTCACCTTGGTCACTGCAATACTCAGCACAGTGTGTCAGGAGCCGGTCCACAAATGTGTGTTGACAGAACAATAATGACAAACAACAGGACACAGCGAAGGTAAAACGGATGTCTAGGGGAGTGGTAAGTGGTTGGTGATAAGTAGGAACAAGGGATTGCTTTTTTAAAAAACAACTTTATATTTTAAAGCCCTGTAGTTTTACGTATTTCTCTTTGACATCTTTTGGTATTCATTTCCATCTCTCTGACTAATAACTTAATTTGGGATTTTTTTTCAATTTTAGGCTTTATCTATTGACTTTCCATCATAGAAGATGAAGAATCAGTTCCCTCTGCACCCTCCTCCACCTGAACTACACACATATACACACTGCCCCTATCCCTATTATAGCTGTGTCATAATTTTGGTTAAATTAACACTGCATGTTCCCATTTTAATGACTACGTAAATAGTATTCATACCAGGTTATGTGGTATATTATGGTTGTTATTACCACTTTTCCTTTCTTGCACAACTTTTTGTTTCCCTAGTGGTGGTTTTATTTATTGATTGATTTTGTCGTTTGGTTTTCTAGTTTTCTGTGTCTAGTCATGAATTAAGCTCCAAATCTACTGTTTCCCGGTTCTGTAACCTCTTCTCAATACAATTAGACATGTGAGGGGTGTGTGTGTGTGTGTGTGTGTGTGTGTGTGTGTGTGACTCTTCTTCCTGATGATAGCACTACTGGAATCTTTCGACCTGCTGCTTGCCCTGGTTGCTCTTTGGGCCCCGTGCTCACCTGTCATCCTGGGATTTTTCTTTACCTTTCTGAGACTGGATGTCCTGTCTTCCTGTTTTGGTTTACTCCTTTGTTTCGGTGTATCAGTTCCTCAAGTAGCTTTTTTGCTTCTTTTCATTACAGATGTGGTCTCACCATGTTGCCCAGGCTGGTCTCAAATTCCTGGGCTCCAGCAATTCTCCCAGCTCAGCCTCCTGAGCGGTGGGGAGTACAGGTATGAGCCACCGCTCCTGGCCTCAAGTAGCTCCTTGATAAGGTGCACGGGAGGAAAAGTTGTTGAGACTTTATGTGTCTGAAAATGTTTTTATTCCTTCTTGACACTTGAATGATAAGACAGCTAGATAATTTTAGAGTAGTAATCATTTTTGCTCAGAAATATGGAAGTATTGTTCTATCGTCGTGTAAATTCTAGTGTTACTGTTAAGAATGGAAGTCATTCTTATTCTTTTTTTTCCTCATTAAACTTTGTTTTAATGGGTCTTAAAATTGTGACAGCTTTTTAGTCAAGTTGTTTCCATTAAAAATTACTGATTTTAAAAACTAATGTCTTAAAACTGCCACACACACAAAATAGAAGAAACAAAAAAACACACAAACCCAAACATGGTCCACAAAACAGTCTCCTTTCCTTCTGAAGGTTTTGCAATGCATTGTTATCATTAACCAGTCTTTTACTATTAAACTTAAATGGCCAATTGAAACAAACAGTTTTGACACTGTTCTTCCACCACTGATTAAGACTGGAGTGGCAGGTCTTAGGGATAATATTCTTTTATCTTTCTGAGGTTTCTGGGCAGACTTGGTAACCTTGCCAGCTCCAGCAACCTTCTGGTCCACTGTTTTTTTTTCCACTGTTTTTGTTTGTTTGTTTGTTTTGTTTTGTTTTGTTTTAGATGGTGTCTCGCTCTGTTGCCCAGGCTGGAGTGCAGTGGCACGATCTCCGCTCACTGCAAGCTCCACCTCCAGGGTTCACACCATTCTCCTGCCTCAGCCTCCTGAGTAGCTGGGACTACAGGCACCTGCCACCACACCCGGCTAATTTTTTTGTATTTTTAGTAGAGATGGGGTTTCACCGTGTTAGCCAGGATGGTCTCGATCTCCTGACCTCCTGATCCACCAGCCTCGGCCATCCAAAGTGCTGAGATTACAGGCATGAGCCACCGCGCCCGGCCTGGTCCACTGTTTTGATGACATCCACGGCAACTGTCTGTCTCATATCACAAACAGCAAAACGACCCAGAGGAGGATTGTCCAAGAACTTCTCAACACACATGGGCTTTCCAGGAGCCATATCAACAATGGCAACATCATCAGACTTCAAGAATTTAGGGCTATCTTCCAGCTTATTACCATAACAGCAATCAATCTTTTCCTTCAGCTCAGCAAACTTGCAAGCAATGTGAAATGTGTGACAATTCATTAGAGGGGCATGGTCAGCACCAATATGGCCTGGACAGCTCAGGATAATCACCTGAACAATGAAGCCAGCTGCTTCCACTGGTGGGTCATTTTTGCTGTCACTAGCAACTTTGCCACAACAAACATCTTTGACAGACACATTCTTGACATTGAAGCCCACATTGTCCCCAGGAAGAGCTTCACTCAAAGCTTTGTGGTACATTTCTTTTTTTCTTTTTTTGAGATGGAGTCTCACTCTGTTGCCCAGGCTGGAGTGCAGTGGTGCAATCTCGGCTCACTGCAACCTCTGCTTCCTGGGCTCAAGCGATCCTCCCACTTCAGCCTCCCAAGTAGCTTGGATTACAGGCATGCATCACCATGTCTGGCTAATTTTTGTATTTTTAGTAGAGTCAGGGTTTTACCATGTTGGCCAGGCTGGTCTCAAACTCCTGGCCTTATGTGATCTGCCCTCTTCGGCCTCCCAAGTGCTGGGATTACAGGTGTGAGTCACCACACCTGGCCCATGGTGCATTTCAACAGACTTTTACTTCAGTTATAATATTGACTGGAGCAAGAGTGACCACCATATTTGGTTTGAGAACACCAGTCTCCACTTGGCCTACAAGCATAGTACCACGACCATCAGTTTTGCAGACATCCTGGAGAGGTAGACACAAGGGCTTATTAGTTGGATGAGTTGGTGGTAGGATGCAGTCCAGAGTGTCAAGCAGCATGGTTCCACTGGCATTGCCATCTTTATGGGTGAATTCCATCCCTTGAACCAATGCATGTTAGCATGTGACTTGAGCGTGTTGTCACTATTTGAACCAGAAATTGGAACAAATGTTACTGTGTCCGGGTTGTAGCCAATTTGCTTAATATAAGTGCTATCGTTTTTTGCAATTTCCTCTTCTGGCCATAGGGTGGCTCAGTGGAATTCATTTTGTAAACACCAACAATTGGTTGCTTCATACCCAGTGTATAAGCAAGAGCACCATGATCATCGGTCTGCCCATTCTTGGAGATGCCTTCAAATTCACCAATGTCAGCAGCAACAATCAGGACAGGAAAGTCAGCCTGAGATGTGCCTGGATTCATGTTTATGATAAAATCTCTGTGTCCTGAGACATCAAATTTCCATGGGGAGGTATCAATAGTGATACCACGTTCAGTGTCAGCTTTCAGTTTATCCAAGACCCAGGCATGGGGAGGAGCCCTTTTCCATCTCAGCAGCTTCCTTCTCAGCAGATTTTTCGATGGTTCTTTTGTTGATGCTACCATATTTGTTGATCAGATGATCAGTGGTGGTGGACTTGACCAAATCTATGTGTCCAATGACGACAATGTTGATATGAGTCTTTTCCTTTCCCATTTTAGCCTTTAGGAGTGGTTTTCACGACACCTGTGTTCTGGCAGGAAACGCACTGTAAAAAAGCCATTCTGATATTTGAAACTTTAGTAACTTTTTTTTTTAGAATATTTAAGGCTTTTCAAGCCAGTGTTATTAAATTTGACAATTTTTGTTTTGTTATGTCTTTCTTTTTAAGACTTAACTTTGTTTTTCTCTCACAAGTGAAGAACATCACTTTATTTCTTTTTTTTTTTTTTTTTTTTTTTTTTGAGACGGAGTCTCGCTCTGTCGCCCAGGCTGGAGTGCAGTGGCGGGATCTCGGCTCACTGCAAGCTCTGCCTCCCGGGTTCACGCCATTCTCCTGCCTCAGCCTCCCAAGTAGCTGGGACTACAGGCGCCCGCCACTACGCCCGGCTAATTTTTTGTATTTTTAGTAGAGACGGGGTTTCACCGTTTTAGCCGGGATGGTCTCGATCTCCTGACCTCGTGATCCGCCCGCCTCGGCCTTCCAAAGTGCTGGGATTACAGGCGTGAGCCACCGCGCCCGGCCCACTTTATTTCTTAATAATTAGGAACTCTTTGTTCCTGAGATCTTTTTAAAAATAAAGTTATGGTGCATAATATACAAACAACAAATTGCATTATTTAAACCTGATATCTTAATAATATTGAGTCTTCTATCTCATGAACATGATACAGCTCTTCATTATTTAGGTCTTTAACTTCTCTCAGTAATGTTTTGTAGTTTTCAATGCACAATTATTGAACATATTTTAGTACATTTATGTGTAAATATGTCATACTTTTGGATGTTGTTAGAAATGAAATTGTAATTTTTACTTTTCTGATTGTTTATTGCTAGTTTATAGAATTCTATTTTTGTATATTGACCTTGCATAGGACTTGCTGAATTCACATAGCTCTAGGAGTTTTTTTCTGGATTCCTTATGATTTTACAGTACACAATCATTCTGTCTGCAATAAAGAGTTTTACTTCTTCCCTTCCACTCTGTATACTTGTTTTCTTCTTCTCCTCTCCCTTCTCCTCCTTTCTCCTCTTCCTATTTCCTCTTCTCTTTCTTTTCATCTTCTTGTCTTATTGCACTGCCTAGGGCCTCCAGAAGAATGTTGAATAGGACTACTAGTAAGACTGGGTGTTCTTGTGTTAATCTTAGGAGAAGACATTCAGTCTTTCATCATTAACTAAGGTGCTGTCTGTAGGCTTTTTGTAGACGCCCTTGAACCAGTTGAGGATGTTTCCTTCCTTTGTTTTTTTCAGTTTGTCAAGCATTTTAAATCATGGATAGATATTAAATTTAAAAAAAATGTTTTTGCTTCATCTATTGATATAATTATATGGGCTTTCTCCCTCATTTTGTTAATATGGTGAATTATGTTAATTGATTTTTGAGTGTTAAACCAATCTTGGATTTCTCGAAGAAATCTCACTTGATTATAATCCTTTTTATAAATTACTGGATTTACTTTGCATATATATGTGTATCTATATAATTTTGTCTCCATGCATAAGGGATATGAATTATGGATATTTCTTATAATGTCTTTTTCTGGTTTAGTATCAGAGTAATACTGCCTCTAAAAAATGGGTTTAGCAAATATTCTCTTCTTTTCTGTTTTCCTAAAATGTTGAATTATTTCTTCATGTGTTTGATAGAATTCAACAGTAAAGCCATCTGATCCTGGGGTTCCTTTGTGAGATGGCTTTCTTAATTTTGAATTCAATTTTTATGGTACATATAGGGCTATCATATTATCTATTGCTTCTTGTGTCAGTTTTAATACTTGTCTTTCAAGGTATTCATTTGTTTTAGTTGTGACCAAATTTATTGACATGGAGTTGTTTATCCTATTCCCTTATTTTTGTAAATATCCTTTGGATTTGTATTGATGGCTTCTCTTTCAATCTTGATATTGGTAATTTGTGTTTTCTCTTTCTTATTGGTAAGTCTAGCTAGAGATTTCTCAATTTTATTAATCATTTCAAAAATCAGCTTTTGGTTTCATTGATTTTTCTCTATTGTTCATCTTTGTTCAATTTCATTGTTCTGTACTGTAATCTTTGTGTTTAATTTGTTCTCTAAGTTTCTTAAGAGAGAGCATAGATCATTGATTTTGGACTTTTCTTTTTTTCAGAATATAAACACTGATTTCATAATATAAGCACTGATTTAGCTGTTTCCATGAATTTTTATTGTATTTTACTTATCACTCGGTTCAAATATTTTCTGTTATTATTAATATTTGTGATTTGATTTTTTCCTTCACCTATGGGTTATTAGAAGTAAGGTTGTTTTATTTCACGTTTGGGGCTTTTCTAGATGTGTTATTGTTTTTTATTTATATTTAATACTGTTGTGATCAGAGAGTATTGTCTGTAAGATTTATTCTGTTAAAAATCAATTGACTTGTTTTATAGCCCAATATATGCTCCATTTTCATGTGTATTTGAAAAGAATGTTTATCCTGCAGTAGTTGGCTATAGTGTTCTATAAATGTCAGTTAAAATAGTTGATAAGTGTACAGATCTTCCACATCTTTTCTGATTTGTTTTTCTTATCTGGATGTTCTATGAATTACTGAGAAAATTCTGTCAGTCTCCAACAATGACTATGGGTATGCTTTTTTCCTCCTTTAGCTTTGATACTTATTCTTCATATATTTCAAAATTCTCTTACGTTCACCTATACACTTAAAATTGATAATGGCTTGTGGTTATTTACCATTTTATCATTATGAAATATTTCTCTTTGTCTCTAGAAATATTCTTTGTTGTGATGGCTACTTTTGGAAATCTGTATATGTTTATATAATTCATATATTAGCAAGGCTTCTAACATTTGGCATCTATTGTTCGTTAAACTATTATACAGAACTGAGGAAACAGTGTATACATAGGCACAGAGGCACGGACAAAAATGACAGGACTGTTTCAGGGCCAGTAAGATTTGATGAGGCCGCAGCATCAGTGAGGACAGAGGAATGGAGGTTTCCATTTGGCCCTATACGCTGTGTTATGGCTCTTGACTGTATAGCATAAAGGTCTGGGACAGTCTTTGCAGTCTCATGGTCCCAGGTTTAACTTCTGAATCTACCATTTATTAAACTTGTAACCTTGGACAAGTTACTTAACCTCTATTTCCTCATATGTAAAATGGGGACAAATAATAGCACATACTTCATGTGTTTTTAGAAAGATGAAATTATATATATATTGCATACATACACATTACGTCTATATACACAAATACAGTGCTTAGTAAAGTGTTCAATAAATATCTATTTTTATATGTATAACTAGTATTATATCATATAATATGTATATATTATATTACATGTATTATTATATATATTTTCATATAGTCTAGTCTCAATTTTCCTGCTGGCTTCAATTTTCAGAGATTTAATTAATTGCCCTTTTTGTTTGAAGTTTTCTTTTCTCCATTTGCTCCCATTCTCCCTGCCCCCACTCCCTTACCGTACTTTCTTAGTTCCCAACTTTCTGGGCCTCCTCCCTGCCCAAATTGGATTTCATAGCCTCAAGAACTGCAGACTGTACAATTAAGGTAGTTGCTGCTTGCTATCTTTCTCCTTTTGCCACTCCCCCATGAACCTCAGTAACTTGGCTACGATTTCAATTTCTGCTCTGAAAAAATGCACTTATTAGAATTTTCCAATTATCTGCAATATGAATGCAGATAACTGGGGCTGATGTACCTAGTTCAGAAACACACCCCATGTAGTTGTGATGAAAGAATAACACTTTTTGCAGAAGAAATGCTCTATATTTATGATAAATATTCTTAGCAAAAATTGTCAGTAGAGCTATAAAAGGACCTTTGGAAGGGGCACTTGAAAACTCGGCTCAGCAACTTCCTTTTCCACCTTGAAGTATCCCCTTCAAAAGAATTCCCAAACAGATGATGTTTGATGTTCCGGACCTCGCAGCATGATGCGAAAGAAAGATCATGGGTTTTGAAGTAGGTTAGTGCAGACGCCTACTCTTTGGGTTATTTCTCAGCCTGAGCGCGTTTCCTGGCTTGTAAATCGCATGTAGGAATCCTTTCCTAAATCCACATCCACAATAGTTTCCCTTATTATGGGTCTTCGTGCATCTTATACCTTTCATTATCATAGTTTCACTTTCCATTTAAGCATCTAATAACGTCAGCTTCCTATAGTGCATTGTAAGCTCCACAAGGCCAAGGACCACGAGAATTCACTGTACCCCTGTATCCCCAGGCTAAACCATCACTGTACACTCAAGAGTCTAGCACAGTGCCTGGCACACAGTAAACAGCAAGTGAATGACAAGCAGTTGGCAGTGGCCGGAGCTCCGTCGCTGGGGCGTGGAGAGGGCCGCCCCGGCCCGCAGTTCCCGCCCTGACACTGGGATAACTTCCCCCGCGGCTGCCCAGCGCCGCCCTGACCAGACCCTCTGTACCCCGACTTCTGTCCGGCCAGAAGCCACAGCCGCACGCAGCGCCTCGCCCCGTGACGTCACTCGGGGCGGGACTTCCGGCCGCCGAAGTTTAACAGTCCAGGCGGGAGCCGGAAGCCCAGCGCGGAGCCGGCCGCGGCCCCCTGTTGTGTTGCTGCGGAGAGGTGAGGTTCCGGAGGCCCTGAGGTCAGCGGGCCCCCGCCCGCCGCGTCCGCGCACCCTCCCGATCCTAAGACCCGCTCCGTCCCCCTCAGAGGGCGGGGCGGCGGTCCTTGGGCTTTGCGCGCCCGGAGCGGTTGCTGGGCGGGGGCGCGGCGGCGCGCTGGGCTGGGAAGTGTCCGGGGAGGCGCGGGCCGGGGTCGCGCACCTCCCGGAGCCTTGTGGGGTGTGCTGCCTCCGAAAAGTTTGCCTCGTCTCCACAAGTCTGTCTCCTTTTTTGTCAACCTCAAGTACTTTTCTTTTGGCAGGTACTTGGATGCATTTTACAGGTTAGCCTCACTTGAGCTGTTGTCCTGCAAGTAAAGTGTATTTTTGGTGATTGAAAGTTGGAGAACTTTCATTTCAGCTGAGTGGTGTAGTTGAATTGGTTCCTGTAGCCGCTGTCCCTAAACCCAGGCCGACGTTACCGCCTTGTGTCCTGACTGCTAGCTTTCGACGGGACCGTCTTTGAGGGACTCATGTAAAGTCTCTCCCTTAATGCTCAGTTCTTAGAAGACCGAGGTAGGTGGGCAGATGGTCCTCTTCCCCGCCCCGCTTTAAGAGCCGAAAACAAACATTAAATCACCCGGCGAGTTGTGTTTCCTAAGTTGGAGCAGGTCGTTTGAACCCAGTTTTTCTGAGCCCAGGCCTCAGTGATCTACCCACTACACCCCGCAGCTCACCAGGCCTGGTTACGATGCAGTTAGACACAGCTTGCAGTTGTGGTTTACAGGGCTTAGAGCTCGCTTTTCCAGCAATTCATTAGTTGTTCCTTGACTTGGGAACCAAGGGGGCACGTGTTACACATGTTTAAGGCTCCAAATCCAAACATTGTGTTACATCTCTGCAGGTGACTTTAATGGCTTTTAGTAGCACTGTATCGGATGAATGGAGCATAAGGAAGCACATGAGTGAATTACATTAACTTTTTGTCTCGAGAATGAAACGTTTCTATAATTCTGTCTTTAACTTGTCCTCTGAAATGGCTTATACTAGACGTAGGTGTGCTGTTGTATTGGTGACTCGGGGACCTGCCTGTGACATCACTAATGCTGTGCAGTAGTCTTGCACTTTCCATACTAGGAAGGTGTGGGAGGTATAATTCTGTGCCCTCTCCCTTTCCTTTTCTCCCATGTACTTTTGAGCATCTTTTTTTCTCACTTATCGTTCATTACTACCTGTTGCTCTTTAAAGTGCCTGTCTAGAGCAGCTTCTTTGCCTTCTGTTTTCTAGACTTCCTTGGTTTGTGAAATCACCTTGTTAGAATTACGTGTTTCAGCTGTATGCTCTGAATAAATGATTGAAGGCATCGTAGTCCAAGTATTGGTATAGGGACTTAGTGGCGTCTCATTTGACCATATTGCTAATTTTAGAGTTTTGGAAAAACTGGTGTGACTGGATTCTGACCTGCAGAAATGCTAGTTTATCATACTTTTTTTAAAAATTAGGAAGTTACTTATTAGTAGTTATTTGTTGTGAAACTGCTGTGTGCCAGGAATGTTTCAAGACTCTGGTGTGGGGAGACAGACATTATAAGAACAAATAAAAATTTCAGATAGTGGCTGGGCACGGTGGCTCACGCCTGTGGTCCCAACACTTTGGGAGGCTGAGGCGGGCAGATCACCTGAGGTCAGGAGTTCGAGACCAGCCTGACCAACATGGAGAAACCCCGTCTCTACTAAAAATACAAAATTAGCCGGGTGTGGTGGTGCATGCCGGTAATCCCAGCTACTCGGGAGGCTGAGGCAGGAGAATCACTTGAACCTGGAAGGCGGAGGTTGTGGTGAGCCGAGATCACACCATTGCACTCCAGCCTGGACAACAAGAGTGAAACTCCGTCTCAAAAAAAAAAAAAAAAAATTCAGATATTAGGAAGTGCTATGAAAAAAATGAAATCAGGTATTGGGATATAGGGTAAACTGCTAAGTCCCTTACCAGGTAAGGAAGGGACTGCGTTAGCCAGGGTGGTCAGGAAAGGCCTTTCATAGGAGGAAACATTTGAGCTAAGACCTGAATGATGAGAAGGAGATGACCATGGGAATCTGGGGAGAACATCTTAGGCACAGGGAGCAGCAAATGAAAAGACACTGAGGTGAGAATGACTTTGCCTTTGCATGAGGCAGAGAGAAGGCCAGTGAAAAGAAAGAGGAGAGTTACATGGGGGCCAGGACATGTAAGGCAGGCTAAGGAGGCTGGATTTCATTATCATTACTGTGAGGAGCCATTGGAAGGGTCAGCTAAGAGAATGCGACCTGGCTTATGTTTTAGGAAAATCACTTCAACTGCTTTGGTGACTGCACTGTTTGGAACAAAAATGAATGAGTTAGAGCCACTTGTTTTAGATTAGATTTTGACCTTTTTTTGAGTATGTCTATTCTTAAATGTTTTTAAAATACATTGTTTTAAACTATTTGTAGGCGCAGTCATGCAGGAAAACCTCAGATTTGCTTCATCAGGAGATGATATTAAAATATGGGATGCTTCATCTATGACATTGGTGGATAAATTCAACCCACACACATCACCACATGGAATCAGCTCAATATGTTGGAGCAGCAATAGTATCCTTTAAAAAAAAAAAACACACACACACACACACAAACCGCTTATTAGGTTAAACAACCACTGTCAATGAAACTTTTGCATGTGCCTCATACTGAGTAATGTGTTTTGCATTGCTACCAAGGATAGATAACGTAAAATAGTAATTTACAAAACAATATATCATATGAATGCACTCTGATTTTATCTGTTGCGTTCATTTAAAAAAAATTTAGTTACAACCCACTTCATTTGAAAACACTGCTATTAAAAAAAGTATATTCTGTCTACACCATAGAATTAGTTATCAAAAATTTCTTATTGAACCAAATGGAATAAGGTTGGTAGTTGTGGAAATAATTCCAAAAGGTTTTGGAATGAGTTTTTGCATCTACATTTGGGTATTTGTGGATCTGAACTGAAAATTAAAGACAGAACTTGAAGGCAGAAGCAAGTTGGGGAGGAGATAAAAAATTGCCCAATATCTCCATCTTACTAATGTACTCTCCATATCTTCCTTCCTCTCTGTGTGTGTGATGAAAATTACATTTCCTAAACAGACATAGTAAAGTTACCTAGATTGAACTTTTCTAAGCTTTTTATGTTTCTGATTGACACCTTCCCTGTCTTGGTGAGCTCCTCAATGTGGATAAAATAAAATGAGGGAGTGAAGACTGTAAACTAGGGTTTCTGAACCCTGTGCTATTGACTTTTTGGGGCAGAAAATTTGTTGTGGACCTTTCCTGTATGTTGTACCACGTGGAGGTTTATTGGTCTTCACCCGTTAGGTACCAATAGCCTCTAGTTGTGACAACCCAAAACGTTTCCAGAATTGCCTGAATCACTCCCAGTAGAGAACCACTGCTGTGACCACAGTGCTCCTATCACCTTTTATGTGAAAATGTTTTATGTAATTGGTATGTTAGAAATTTTCTTTTGTGAAACTCATACGCTATTTCTTAACAAATTAAGATTTAACATTTATCTGATTTTTATCAACACCAAAGTATTCTACTTTCTGATAAAAAAATCAAAGCTTTAAAATGTGACTGGTTCAGGAACAAAAATATTAAAAGTTTTATATGACTTACTATTCTTGCATGTATATAACAAGAAGGACAAATTTTCTTACTGAATTAAATTTACCTCCTTATCATTCCTTGATTTTGCAGTAAAACAAATTACTTTGGTACTCTGTTAATCAAACTCATGGTGAAGTGACTACATTTTTGAAGGACTTTCCAGATGTGTAATAGGGAAAATATTTTAAAGAGAGCGACAAGTATATGAAGTTGCTGTTCTCTATTTTTAGATTTTCATTATGTTTAGAGCTTAATTTTCCCTCTTACTATATAAGAGAAAGGTAGCAATTTGTAGTAAGATTATTTTTTGGTTGACTTTTGTTTTAAGTTTTACTAGGAGTTGGCATTTACTGATGTGCTACTTAATAGTCTAACAACAAAACTGATGTAGCTATGAGATAGTGTTGTATGACTTTTGGAAATTGGTCTTACAGTTTTCTTGCATGAGCAGATGTGCACTGAAAGCCTTCATACAGTCTTATTCTTAATAAGGCTTTGATCACTTCCATGGAGGTTAATTACTGAAGAACAAGGAGTTCCCAGCCTTAGCAACTTGGGGTCCACATAGTATAGATTCCAAGAATGGGGTTAATGTGAGACACCAGAGAGATTAGTTTTTTGTTTCTTGTCCTTTAACTTACGTTCCTCACTTTCTCATGATTTCTAAAACTACAAGAGAAATAAAAAAGAACTAGATTACCCACCCACATTATGTTTCAGTCCTTTTTTTTCTATATTCTAAGGAGAAAAGTAGTGGTAAACAGGAAGAAGTCAAGGAAAGGGAAATGGTTTTTCTCGCTATGGTAATATCTAGGTAGGAATGATTTGATTTGCATCATGTATCATAATAAAATTACAGTCTATGCTCTGTTTACAAAATACCTGAAAGTTATACAGAACATTCAAAAGTTAATGCAGTTAGGGATTCTGAGTGTCTAATTAACCTTTCTCCATTGCTTTTACTCACAGATTTTAATTGCTAAAAAGCACAGATTTAAACTTCTGATATTTTAATTTGTTATGGCTCTCAAAATCAGACTCTTATTCTTAGTTATATTATTGTATTTAATCATTTTAGTTTTAAAATAGTTACTGTTTTGTGTTTACTGATTGTTCCATTTACAATTCGTGTAAAAGAAGGTAAATAAAATTACATTTTATTTAAAAATTAAAACTCATAACACAATTCCTATTTAACCATACATATTTATAAAATATTTGCAAGTTACTGTAATAGTCATTCTTAATTTAAGATTGAAACATTCTATCACAAAAATTCATGTTCTGGGAAAATATCAGGCCTTTTTTTTTTTTAAATAGAAAAATAGGAGACTAGTGTGGATGTTTGCTTCCTAGTTTAGATTGTTACCAAGCACTAGGTTAATAAATATCTTGAACAGTTTCTGTAGATGAAAAGGTTGATTGATATTTGCTGATGCTGCTTTTATCATGCTCTCATTCTTGAAGGATAAAATTAGCCCTTCTGGCCTACTCTTTGAAAACAGAGTAGTATTTCACGTGGGTTAAATAGCTTTTGAGTGATAGCAGAGCCAGAAAGAAGGCTAGTTCTTCCCTGCAGTAGTAGCAAAGAGAATTAGTCTTAGTAATTATTAATAGTAATGTGAGCCATTTTTGAAAGCTACTCTGTAAGCTATACTCATTGCTTGTCTTCTTAGTGTGTTAGCTTTTATAATCGCAATTCTTATAATAGTCTAGTGCTATAGATGTTCATGGATTGTTTGATGCTCCATAACTCCTCATTTAGATAACTTTTTAGTAACAGCATCTTCCAGTGGCGACAAAATAGTTGTCTCAAGTTGCAAATGTAAACCTGTTCCACTTTTAGAGCTTGCTGAAGGGGTAAGTGATTTTTTTTTTTTTTAAACTTTTAAAAATCTTAGTTTTGCTTGACTGGCAATTGCTTATTGTGGTGCTTGCGACTAAATATAAAGGTTTTTAAAAGCATTATTTTTAACTTAAGCTCAAAATAATATAGTAACACTTAAAAATGAGATATGTGTACTTACTAAAGTATTTTTAGGTAAAATAGTTTTGAATATAGGGGAACAATTGAAGACTTGAATTTTGTTGACTAGGCACTTCATTTCTCCATTTTCCCTCAGTGGGAGAGGATCTCTGTTGCTGCTATTTTAGGACGATATCCCACATAGGTTACTAGGTTGACCTGAGCATATAAACTCTAATGACACAGCACTGCTTTACTGATCTTGGGCTCAGGACCATCAGGAACAGACTCACAGCTGATGGTAGCTCTCTGCTTCAGATTCTGTCCACCTGTACTGAGGGGCCTGTCTGAGCCTCCCCCATACTCTCCTTAAACAGGTTGGCTTTGTCAAAATGAGCTTAGGTCCCAGGGCGTTTAAATGAAGCTCTCACTACGTACTGTTGCCTTATCCTTTTTTTTTTTTCTTTTGAGATGGAGTCTCGCTCTGTTGCCCAGGCTGGAGTGCAATGGTGCAATCTTAGCTCACTGCAACCTCCGCCTCCCCAGTTCAAGCGATTCTCCTGCCTCAGCCTCTCAAGTGGCAGGGATTACAGGTGCCCACCACCACGCCTGGCTAATTTTTGTATTTTTAGTAGAGACGGGGTTTCACCATGTTGGCCAGGCTGGTCTTGAACTCCTGACCTCATGATCCGCCCGCCTCAGCCTCCCAAAGTGCTGGGATTACAGGCATGAGCCACCACACCCAGCCTATCCTTTTGTTTTATAAGTTAATCCCTCTGATTAAGGATAATACTGGCTTCTTCATTTCTAGTCACACACTCTTTGAAAGCTATTTCTTTTTTAAATAAGATAAGATTTAAATAAAAAGATATGGTAGTTGATAGCTTTTTTTTTTAATTTCAAAGTTTTTCTAGCAGATCTTAAATTATTATGAATTGTCATAATTTTACACACTGGGATAGGTAAAGTAGCCCAATTAGAAAGAAAACAGCAGGACAACTGAATAAAAGCTCAACTAATTTAAAGAGGACTCATGATTTTTATCAATCCTCTCCTAAAGGTATCCAGTGGGATTGACCTGAACTTCAGTTCTAACCCACAGATGTTGGAGACTGGGACAGAGGGAACATGTGCTAACAGTAGAAATGGAGTTTGAGGCACTCTGTTTAACCTGACTTAAGCAGAATCAAGGCATAGAATGTCTCTGGTCGATAAAGGCAGACTGAAGTCTTCAAGAGCAGGCAAAACATCTTAACCATCTTTGGATCTTTGTATCCTAAGATGTTCAAAAAACTTGTTAATGTCAACATCAAAACAATTTCAACTTCTACTCTACCACTATATATATGTACTACTGTTATGCATTATGCCTTAGGATCAGTGAATCAGTATTTGGGAGCTTTTTTTTTAAAGTATAAAAATAACAGATGGTATTTACAAGTGTGACATAATTCTAAGAGTTTTGTGAATATTCCAAATTAGTTGCTATGATTCTTAGCCCTCTTTCCCATAGTTAACAAATTGTATCATAATGCTGTTGGATAAAAGTAAGATTAGTTGAGTTCAAATTTTCAATCTATTTTAATTTAGTTATGAAAATATTTGGAAACATTGGTTTTTTAGCTTTTACTAGTAATGTTTACAGAAACATATTAATGTGCTAATAACCTTTTTGTAACTTCCAAGTCCTCTTACTCGTGTATTATTTGAGGCATTAGACCTTTTCTACTTGAGAAAATAAATTATGATCTTACTGATTTTAAAATTTTAGAGTAGAACTTTAAGTTCATATTTATTTTCTTTGATTTTGTATTTCACCTCTTTAAAGTAGAATGTACCTTTGCCTTGCACCTTGAGCAGTTCAGGATTCCTGTAATAACCACACAATTTCCATTAATTATTTAAGTTCATTAGTTGCATTAATAATACATTATCATAAAAAAGACCTATCAACAGGGTTAGCCAGCTCTAAATATAATTTTTATTTTGAGCCCTTAAGAGTAATTGTAGTTGTTGTGATGATTGGAGTCCCAATATATTGATCTTCAATGGACACCATCTTTTTCTATTTTATTTAAAGGCTGTTTTGATAGTTCTTAGCAAACTGTCCTGATTTGCAGTGACAACCAGATTCTAAAGCTTCTTAGTCTCCCTCAACTAAAGTCAATTCCTAGAATGGTATCTGCAGGAGAATTACAGCAACTATACTGAAACATTGATGTTGTGTGCATCTTGCTATTTTTATATGTTAGTTGATACTCTTGGTCAAAATTTTAGAGCTAGAAGGAACCCTGGGGTCCACAGAAGTGAACACAAATCTATTTGATTTCCTTGAAGCATTTTTGACCCCCTTAAAAGCCGTTGGATCCATGTGGAAGAAAGACAGTAAGAGAGTGGCTCTTTAGTACAAGATTAGCATGTTTATAGTATTTGAACGTGCAATGGGGGAAGGGCTAGAGGAAGGGGATCATATGCACCCTTTAAAGAATCTCTTTTGAGCAGAGGATATTTCTGAGAAGCATGGATTCTCAAAGTAAGAACAGTAGATCTAGTCTTCACCTTTCGTTTCTCAAATGCAGAAGCATAGGCTCAGAAAGGTGAGATGATTTGCCTAAACCTACATAGCTTGCCTTTTAACTTTTCTTGAAGTCATGAAATGTCTCCTTTGAATTTGAAGAATCCAAGGATGCACTGTGGAAGTTCCAACTAATGTGACTTCGTAGTGCATCTAAAGGTTACTTAGGAAAAAAATGCAACACTGTTCTGTATAGCATAGTTACTGATGGCACCACCAAATTGGTGACACTCAAAGATACTCACTGAGAAGAACTTGACAACATCTGTATTTTAGCCATTCTATAAAGATGGAGCATGGATATGGGCCTTGTGCTAGTGAAACTGACATTCTGGCGGGGGACAGGCAGTAAACTAGTAAACAAAAAATACCCAGATATTGGTAAGTTATCATGCAGATAACTAAAATAAGATATTGTGATAGCAAGTTACATTAGGTAGCCAATGGAGGTCCCTTGAAGTGTGGTGGCACTTAAGTTGATATCTGTTGACCAGAAAGTCTTCCAAACAGGGTTCAGTGAATTTAGCTTTCTAGGCAAGGAGAATAGCTGTGTAGAAGCCTTGAGGCAAATATAGGGTTGTATATTTAAGGAATGGAAGGTCAGTATGGCTGGAGAATTAGTGGATGAGGAAGAAAATGGTAACAGATGAGGTAGGGCCCAAATAATAGGACTTTGAAAGCCAGGTAAATGTTTGGAGTTTATTCTTGGTGTGATTGGAAGCCGTTGAAGATTTATTATTATTATTATTATTATTATTATTATTTTTAAATTATACTTTAAGTTTTAGGGTACATGTGCACATTGTGCAGGTTAGTTACATACGTATACATGTGCCATGCTGGTGCGCTGCACCCACTAACTCGTCATCTAGCATTAGGTATATCTCCCAATGCTATCCCTCCCCCCTCCCCCCTCCCCACCACAGTCCCCAGAGTGTGATATTCCCCTTCCTGTGTCCATGTGATCTCATTGTTCAATTCCCACCTATGAGTGAGAATATGCGGTGTTTGGTTTTTTGTTCTTGCGATAGTTTACTGAGAATGATGGTTTCCAATTTCATCCATGTCCCTACAAAGGACATGAACTCATCATTTTTTATGGCTGCATAGTATTCCATGGTGTATATGTGCCACATTTTCTTAATCCAGTCTATCATTGTTGGACATTTGGGTTGGTTCCAAGTCTTTGCTATTGTGAGTAATGCCGCAATAAACATACGTGTGCATGTGTCTTTATAGCAGCATGATTTATAGTCATTTGGGTATGGAAGGAGACATGATCTGATTTACATTTTTAAAGTCCACCCTACTTATGAAGGATGGAATATAGGAGAGCAGGAGTGGAAACAGGGAAACCAGTTAGGAAGCTGCTGTCGTAGTTTGGTAAGGTTTGGGTTAGTGTTAGTAGTAGCTATAGATAAAGGGGAGCCCATGTGGGATTCATTCTTGGGTTGGAGTTTAGAGAGCTTACTGATAGATTGGAGGGGAGGGAGAACAAGAAATCAAGGGTTATTCTGGGTTTTTATCTTGAGAAACTGGATGGTGTCTTTACAGAGATGGGGAACAGTTGAAGTCAGGCTTTGATGACCTGATGTCTGAGACTTGGTCTCCTTAACGGAGATTTGCTGGAAGACTTAGGGCAAGTATCTTGACTTCTTTAAAAAAAAACTTATCCCATCGGTAAAATGAGGGCTGTACACTGGAAATTCTTTTAAAGTCTCTTCTATTTTTAGCATTTTTGAGCTGGGGATTGATTTTAATGTAGGATATTCTGTGGAAATACAAGAGCAGGCTTTATCAAGAGGAGATAGGATGGGCAAACAAGCCCTGATGGGAGACCAGGACTGCCAGTGTTTTCTAAGCTTCCTGTGTCGTCACCGGTCCACAGAAGTGAATGCAAATCTATTTGATTTCCTTGAAGCATTTTTGACCCCCTTAAAAGCTGTTGGATCCATGTGGAAGAAAGACGATGAGAGAGTGGCTCTTTAGTACAAGATTAGCATGTTTATAGTATTTAATTTAACCAATATTTATCATATGCTTACTAAGTGTTGGATGAGACCTGAAAGTCAGCTCTGGGCTCTGTTAAATTAAGGTAACTTTTTTTTTTTTTTTTAAATAGCAAAAGCAGACATGTGTCAATTTAAATTCTACATCTATGTATTTGGTAAGCGGAGGCCTAAATAACACTGTTAATATTTGGGATTTAAAATCAAAAAGAGTTCATCGATCTCTTAAGGTAAGCAATTTAAAAAAAATCTTCATGAAAAAATGGATATCTTAATGCATTTAGAGTACTTACCAAGCTTTTATTTTTGAGCTTTTATGATAAAAATAAGAGGCTTCAGAATTGAACTAAGATTTGTTAGGGAAAATAAAGGTGCTATTTAGCCAAAAACTTATTTTTATGTCTTTTTTCTTACATGTGTAGCATTAATGCATATGATCAACATTTACAACTTTTTTCTTGTTTTTTATTTAGTTCTACTCTTATTTGAATGAACCACTTCACTCATTTTTTCCTAAACTATGGTGTGTGGTCATCAGGGATCTTTCCTTAGGGCCAGGTGGAAAAAATGAGAGTTGTTTTGTGATGATAGTATTCAATACAGTAATCAGAGTTGGGTCAGCTTTTTAGTTATGTAGTATATTTGGCTGCTCTTGTTTGTGTTTTTTTTTTGTGTGTGTGTGTTTGTATTTTTAACTTGGTAATATTTTGTAAACTAATTTACTATTTACAATTAATGTTTCTTTAATAATTAGCTTTTTGTAGTTTCAGAAAATAAAAATATTCAGCACAAGAAAGTCTATGGTCTTTTTTTTGGAATTCTACTTTTCATTATATTGTCTTTTTAATATTTAGAAGTTGATCTTAAAATTAATTTTTGTCTTAAAAAAGTTTTAATATGAAAAATATAAACATATTTATATCTACACACATACACAGAGGAAGAACTTTCTTTAATCCATCTCCCATGTAAGCTTCACTTACCCCATCCCTGCATGGCAAAATTTGATGATTTTTTCCATTTTCAGCTTTCTCAATTACTCTGGATGGTTTTCTGTCTTTTCGGTGTGAAATTCGTAATGTTTAGCTCCCTCATTCATTCTGTTAATGAATATTTTGACTACTTGTGATAGTGGGAAATCTAATCTTTTACCTTTGGATCTCTACAGTCGTCTCCCTGGTGATTAACACAATTTCTGGCACTTAGTAGGTTCTTAGTAAATGTTTGCTGAATGACTTATTCTCCACAGTTGAAATTAGGAAGACACTTGCCTCTTTATAAAGTCATAGAAATTACATTGGACCCCATGTTCTTAATTTCCCAAATGGGAACGATACCCAGAACGTCTGCTCTTCCTTTTTTCTTTTCATCAAACATTTTTTCCTCAAGATAGCAAGTGTTCCTTGGTTTTGGGAAAGGAATAATAGGTAAAGAAATCTCTGAAAATACTTGAAGGACCACTTGAAAAAGTTGTAATATAAGTGGAATATCATAGCTATTATTCTTGCTGTTACATAAATAATTATTAGATACAGGGCTTAGTTTGTTTGTATTATTGAGATATGGCATCTTCCTGTTAAAAACTCTTCTCCCAATTTTGGTCACTTTTCTCTCCTGCTGGACATCTCTAATTTGATGTTGGAAAACATAGTCCTTGTGAACTCAGTTTGTTTAAAACCTGAAAGTTTTACTTCCTCAAAGTGTATTCCTAATTGGATTTGAGAGGCAGCCTGGTATAGTGGAAGGAAGAGAGGCTTTGGAGTTTGACATGGAATTGAGTCCTGGCCCTGTCACTTAGCAGTTACGTGAGCTTGCGCAGGTTTCTTAACCTCTCAGTGTCTCATGTACTTCATTTATAAAATGGGCAAAATGACCTTGCCCCTCAGGCTTTTCTAAGCATTAAATAATATATAAAGCTCCCAGCACTAGTAGGTTCTCAGCAAATGGAAGCAGTTTCTGTTATCTCACAGATGCCTTGCTCATTTGTTTTTCCCACTCCTCCATTTTGCAATGTCTGGTTTCTTTCCCCTTCCCATGATTTTTCTCTTTTCTCTAAGGTTGAACTCCAGCTTTATGTCTTCCATAAAGTTTCCTCTGCCAACTTCATTCACAGTAGCTCTTTCTCTTTCCTCTGACACTTTGCTTCCATCATTCATTTAGCATATTCTCTGCCATTTTCATGTTAAAGCAGAAACTCAAAATAGTCAACTTGCAATACCTGTTATTTGTCAGAGGAAGTGAATTCTTTAAGGAAGACATAATGCCATGTAGAAAATTACCTGTCCATAATCTCTCTCTCTCGTAAAGTGCCTGGACCATTTTTATCATTATTGAAAATAATTCTCTGTATATTTGAGGAAAATGTTAAAGCAAATATTAGATTGATAAATACATAATGTATGGTATTTACAGAAACATGAAAATGGGCTGTTCGAGGATTATGGGGCAGTGTACTTACTTTCATTTCTCTCTTTCAGGATCATAAAGATCAAGTAACTTGTGTAACATACAATTGGAATGATTGCTACATTGCTTCTGGATCTCTTAGTGGTGAAATTATTTTACACAGTGTAACCACTAATTTATCTAGTACTCCTTTTGGCCATGGTAGTAACCAGGTACAGTATGAGTTTATTCAGAGTAAAATTGGTAAGATAGATTTTGAATTGTATCTTACATAAGACTGTGAATTTAAGTTTTTGAAATGCTTGATTGAAAAACTTCAGCTATTTTTAAATGGTAGTGTTTTAAAATATTCAGATAGCAAGCTAATTCATACTAGATTATGGTGCTTATATAAATTTGATTATGTAATCAAATAGTCACATCCTTCTAGACTATAACTATATACAGCATAATAAAATACAAATAGTTGTTAATAGGTTAAATGTAAAAAATGGATATTAATCTTTCTACAGCATTACTGTTATAGAAATGTGTCACATAGCTCAGATTTTGTCAGCTGCAAGACAGATACACTCATAAATACTGTTTTGTGGACATGGAATGATTGAGTGTGTTTAGGCAGAGAGTAATTTAAGTTTTGCATTTTTGTTTTTGTAGATATATGATAAAGTATCGAAGCTTATATATTTCAGGTTAATATAAGAGTGTTTTGGGAAACTTTTTAAAAGGAAAATAAGTCAATTTTTTTCCTCTATAAAAAATGTTCAAAAGAATAAATTCAGTTTTTCAAGGAACCTAACTCTTGGTTGACTTTCCATAAGATTCGCCATAGAAATTTCCCATGAGGTGCAAGTTCTTTCAATTTTTACTTAATTGTAATCTCTTTGGCCATAACTATTATAAAATATGGGAGATCTTCACTTTTGGGAAGTAGTTTTTTTAAATTATTACTTGAATAGTATTTAGTGCTTAAAAAATTTAGTGGATATGAAAAGCATACAGGAAAAAGTCTTTTTTAAGTTTCATATATATTGGGGAATAATACAGATATATAAATGGTATTATGAGTAAGTGATATAAAACAGTCTTATGGTGATTCAGAACAGCTGAGAGAAGACTATCTGGGAATAAAATAGGGAAAATTGAAAGGGTTGGGGAGTTTCAGCTACGTCTAAGGCTTATTGATTTTGTTTTTACTATGACAATATAAACTGGCCTCTTTGCCAATTATTTGTTTCTAACTTGTATTGGGATTACTCTTTTTTTGCTTGTTTGTTTGGTTTTTTGAGGCGGAGTCTCGCTCAGCTGCCCAGGCTAGAGTATAGTGGCGCAATCTCAGCTCACTGCAACCACTGTCTCCCGGGTTCAAGCGATTCTCTTGTCTCAGTCTCCCAAGTAACTGGGATTACAGGCACCCACCATCATGCCCAGCTAATTTTTGTATTTTAGTAGAGATGGGGTTTCACCATGTTGGCCAGGCTGGTCTTGGACTCCTGACCTCAGGTGATCCACCTCCCTCGGCCTCCCAAAGTGTTAGGATTACAGGTATGAGCCACTGCACCCAGCCAGGGTTAGTCTTTTTCACGTGTCCACATTATTGGTGGAACCATGGCCTGTTTCTTTGTCCTCAGTCTATTTTCTAGTTTCTTGCCTTACATGGAGAAGATGTATAATAAATATTTGAATGTATGAATATTTTTAGAGATGACAAAGATTTTGTTAGGCAAATATAAAGCTTTAGAAGAGGGATTTTTTTTTTTCTTTCTTAGAGAGTCTTACTCTATTGCCTATGCTGGAGTGCAGGGGAATGATCATGGCTCACTGCAGCCCCAACTCCTGGGCTCAAGTGGGAGCCTGGCTAATTTTTTTTTTTTTTTTTAATATTAGAGACAGGGTCTCAGTATGTTGTCCAGGCAGGTCTTTAACTCCTGGCCTCAAGTGATCCTCCTGCCTCAGTCTCCCAAAGTGCTGGGATTACAGGCATGAGCCACCACACCCAGCTGGGAGAGGGATGTTTTACATGGAGGAAATCACATTAACAAAAATAAGGAGAAAGAAAATTGCATGGGCTTTATATAGGACCAATGTGAGAAAAGATTGGAAAAGGGTAAATATGAATATAGTATTGATGTAAGACTGAATGTCACACAAAAGACTTGTTTTGGGAGGTATTTAGGGAAATTAATCAGAGTTTTTAATTAGTTGAATGTCAGAATCATAGAATCCTTGAACATTAAAAATAGCCTTTAGAGGTAATCTCGCTTTCTGCATTTTATGGATGAAGATAAATGATTTGCCAAAGGGATGCTCTTTAGAATGTGCTAATATTGTCATAAAAGCAGGAACTTATTATATTTTGTTTTGGTGATTTCTTTTTTATTTATATTTTGATAAAGAGAGACATAAAGTCTAAGCCTATAAACTTTGGAACTATTGTGAAAAAAATCATTAATGTTCAAATATCTTTTTTAAGGACATAGAGTAACTTTCTTTTTTTGTGTGTGTTAGAAGCATGACAAATTTATAAATTTTGGACTGACTTTTCAATACCATAAAAATTAGACCAGATACTACTATGTATATTCTTATACTTCAATTTTTATGCTTATTGTATCTTGCTAGAGAGTTTTCTTATTAAAATCAGACATGAAGGAATATTCCTGAAAACATTAGGTTTGACTATACCTTTTGGCCTAATTTTGTGTAAAAGATTTAAATTTTTTAAAACAATTGAGGTGTAACTTACAATAAAGTGCAGTGCATATATCTTAAGTGTACAGCTTGTTGAATTTTTATGTATACGTAAATACATTGGTGTAACTACTAACAAAATCAAGATATAGAACATTGCCAGCACACCAGAGGACTTGATTTTGTCTTTTCCAGTCACTACCTCATATTTTATGAAAGGAATCATATGTGGGCCAGACGCGGTGGCTACCTGTAATCTCAGCACTTTGGGAGGCTGAGGCAGGCAGATCCCTTGAGCCCAGGAGTTCAAGACCACCTTGGGCAATGTGGCAAAACCTCATCTCTATTAAAAATATAAAGAAATTCACCAGGCATGGTGGTGCATGCCAGTAGTCCCAGCTGCTTGGGAGGCTGAGGCAGGATGATCACTTGAGCCTGGGAGGTTGAGGCTGCAGTGAGTTCTGATTGTGCCACTGCACTCCAGCCTCAGTGACAGAGTGAGACCCTGTCTCAAAAGAAAAAAAAAAGCAAGGAATCATATGTGTCTGGTTTCTTTTAGTCATCATTACATTTGCTTTGTTGCATGGAATAGTAGTTCATACTGTATTAATTCTGTGTAGTGTTTCCTTATATGAATGGGCCACCATTTATCCATTCTTTTGTTGATGAGCAGTGAATTGTCTTGTTTTAGCTGTTACAAGGTAGCTACTGTGAATATTTTTGTACAAGTCTTTTTTTAAGATACATGTTTTTATTTATTTTGAGTAAATACTTAGGAGTGGAATTGCAGGATTGTAGCATAGGCATACAGTTTTACTTTATGAAAAATTGCCAAAACATTTTCTAAAGTGAAATCCAGCTGGCTGTGAGATCCAGTTGCTCCACATTTTTGCTAATACTTGGCATTATCTGTCTTATTTTTGCCACTTTGATGGTTATGTAGTGCTGTCTCATGGTGGTTTTAATTTGCATTTGTCCATGTTGAATGATGTTAAGTATATTTTTATATGCCTCTTGTGAAGTGACTGTTCAAGTCTGTTGCCCATTTTTATGTTGGGTTATTCGTGTTTTTAAAATTTATTTATAATTTCTTATGTATTGCAGGTAGATTCATTTTGGGGATATGCATGTTGCAAATATCTTCCTTCAGCCATGGCTTGCTGTTTTACTCCTTAATACCTGTTTGTGTGTGTGTGTGTGTGTGTGTGTGTGTGTGTGTGTGTGTGAAACTGTATGCCTGTTTGCGTGTGTGTGTGTGTTTTAGTGAACAGAAGTTCTTAAATTTAATGAAGTCTCATATGTCAGTCTTTTCTTTTATGTTTGTTGCTTTTTGTGTTCTCTTGAAGAATCTTGCCTGCCCCAAGATTTTGAAGATACTATTCTGTGTTTTCTTTTAGAAGCTTTGTTGTTTTATCTTTCTTATTTATGTTTGTTATGATCCATTTCAAGTTAATTTTTGTGTATTGTGTGAAAGAGGGTCCTATAGATATCTAATTGTACCAATGTTATTTATTACAAAGACCAACCTATCCCCACTGAATTACATTAATGCCTTCTTGCAAAACTGGTAACTGTATATGTTAGTTGTAGTCGTTCTATTTTGTTCCGTTGGTCTAGTTTGACTGTTACTAGTTTTGCTTATTGTAGCTTTATGGTAGATCGTGATATTTTTAAGTTCACTTTGACTACTATGGGCCTTTTGCATTTCTAGCTGAATTTTAGAATCAGCTTGCCCATTTCTAACAAAAAATCTGCTTCATTTTGATTAAGATTATATTGGATCTATGGACCAATTTAGGAACAACTACTATCTTAACAATATTGATTCTTTCATGAACATGGTATAACTATCTATTTATCTAAGCCTTTAATTTTTCTTAGCAGTGCTTTGTTTTTACTGTAGAGGGCTTGCATATCTTTTAGTAGATTTATTACCATGCATTTGATTTTTTGATGATACATTTCTAATTGCATTTTTTGTTAAATTTTATTTTCCTATTCTTTGTGGCTTGTAGAGAGAAACACAGTTCATATTTGTCTTTTGTCATTTTATCCAAAAATTCTGCTAAATTCACTTAATAGTTTGGACAGTCTTGATTCTTTTGAAAGAATTTGTAGTATTTACAGTTTATAGACTATCATGGCTGTCATCTGTGAATGATAAGTTTTTATTTCTTATTTCCTAATCTTTATATATGTTATTACTTTTTCTTTATTGCGTTGACTAGGCTCTCCAATCCAGTGTTGAATAGAAGTGATGATAGTGGACATCTTTATTTTGTCCCCAAATTCTGGAAGAAGCATTCAATTTACTACCAAGCATGATAGTCATTGTAAGGTTTGTTTTGTAGATATCCTTTATCTTATTAGGGTGCTGTATATTGTGGGCAGATTTTACTATTTATGTTGGAAGTTTTACATCATTTAGCTCCTATAATTCATATTTATTCATCCTAGATGAAAGTAGCAATAAGCAATAAGTATACAGTTAACCAAACAGAATGTTGAGTGCTGTGAAAGCAATAAACTGCGGAGTTCCAAGGGAACCTAAAGGAGAGACACCTAAGCCATTTGGGAAGAATGGAAAAGCATTTTAAAGGAAATGATGTCTCAGTGGTAGCCTGAGGAAAAGTCCAAGTTATTCAGACCTGGGTTTTTGGGGAGGGACCAGAGAATGTGGTGAGAGGATTTGGAGAGCATTGTAAGCAGAGGTTATCACAGCATAGAATGCTTACCACCATTTATTGTGTTTCAGCACTGTGATCATTGCATTGAATTACATTGTCTCGTTTAATCTTTGCTACTAACTTGTGAGGTATATGTTCTCATTTTACAAATGAGAAAACAGATTCCAGGACTTTCAGATCATACAACTCTTAATTGACTATTTTACATATCAGCTCTTCAGAAGTGGTAGCATTTTCTTTTGCATATCTAGCTCAGGAGCAGCTGAATATATAAGGGTTTGAGGGTGAAAAGCTTCTGGAAACTTTACACTATTTTCTTGTCTCTTTGTGCAGGAGTCCAACATGTACCTATACCTCTTCCTCACACCAGTATCTTTTAAAATTCTATGTGATAGGTTGCTGTATTGTTAATTTTGAAAGGATTTTCATTGATAACTGCACAGGGAACTGAATTAAATATATCTTTTAGTTTAGGAAAACAGTAATGCTCAAAGCTTATCTCTTATCTAAGATCAGATAAACTAGAACTTGAGATCTTCATGGGCCTGCTGCCTCCTGCTTGGGCATTCTGCATCTCTGTAGGATCTTCTGATGTAGATTTACGTGGTAAGTCCCACATTTATTTGGAGAGCACTAGGAGTAAAGCACCTTAGCTAGCTCAGTGAACTTGAACAAGTTACTTAACTCTCAAGCCTCCTTTTCCTTATCTTTCAAGTGAGAATAATATACTTTCAAAGGGATTTTTTTTTTTGATGGCTAAATGAGATGGTGAGTGTGTTTATCACATTGCCTACCATTTGGTAAGAGGTCAGTGGATGTTAGCTATTACTGTGAGCTTTTAATGAATACCAATCCATTAAAATACCTTTTGTGATTTACTTCTCTAAAATGGTTTGAGCATCTTTAGATTTAATGTGTTCCCTCCAAACCCAGTTGCAACTTGACCCCAGTGATCATATTTTGTGTTTTAGACTGATTTAAAAATGAGAGCATTAAAGAGGGTGAAAAATTTGACTAGAGTCTGTTGGTTTTTTTCCCCTTTCCCTGGAACAAATGGTTATATTTGTTTTGTGTACCATTTTATTTCATTTTTCTTCAATAAGTTATACCATTAAAACAGAATACATGGGCTAGGAAATGCAAGTTGGCTTCTGCTGGTAAGGATGCAGTCCCAGTTTTCTTAGTGAGGAAAGACAGTTTTCATGATTTTACATACTTATGTTTTCCTTTTATGGGCAGCATAATTTAAACCTTTGGAATTTTTTTTTTTTTTCAAATTAGTTTTTTTTCCTGCAAGCAGTACTGCCTGTTTTATCTGATTGTGGCCCAAAGCATCGAATTGCTACTTAATGAATGTTTATTAATTAAAAAAAGTTTTGTTAAGATTTCTCAAAATTCAGTTCAGTTTAAAAATATCGTGGCCAGGCACAGTGGTTCACACCTGGAATCCCAGCACTTTGGGAGGCCAAGGCAGGCAGATCACTTGAGCCCAGGAGACCAGCCTGGGCAACATGGTGAAACGCCATCTCTACAAAAAATACAAAAATTAGCCAGGTGTGGTGGTGCGCGCCTATAGTCCTAGCTACTGAGGAGGCTGAGGTGAGAGGAGAGATTGAGCCTGGGAGGTTGAGGCTGCAGTGAGCCATGACTGTGCTGCTGCACTCCAGCCTGGGTGACAGAGCGAAAAAAAAAAAAATTGTGTGTGTGTGTGTGTGTGTATAATATATATCATGTTCATTTAAACAGTGTTCATAAAAATTTCAAATCTGTCAAAAAGTTGACATAATTGAATTCAGTCTGTTACTTAGGCCAATTTCTGTGATCAATTTTACTTATTGAGAAAAATGGTAAATAGGGCACATCCATGATTAAATTAAAAATTTTTCTACTTTTGCTTCTATGAACAATCACAAATTTCAAATCTTTAAAAATGATCAAATTAGTGTCTTAGTGAAAGTGATAGGAATGTGGAATCTCACAGAATCTGCATCATACTGAATTGTATATATTGAAATAAGATTTCCTGAGTATATTTAGAATCCAACTTTGAAATGTCTGAGCTGAATTAAAGTTATTAGCTTTATGTGGATCACAGTGTCTTTCTACAGGGGAAAAGAGCCTTGCTGCTTCTGCAGAACTCCCGGGCTGACAGACTACTTAGGTTATAATTGCATGTCACTCTTTAGCAAGTTTAGCATCTTAGGCTCACAAATAGGTTAACTTGTGTTATCTTTCTCAAGCTGCAGCCTTTTCCAAAGCAATTACAAATGTCAATCTATTGTATTGATTCCTTAGATTAAAAAATGATCTTTAAATGTAGGTTTTCTGTGACATTTCAGTATATGTTATTCAGTATATGTTAAATCCATTTGCTTTTCCTAAATGAAATGTTTTATGTATAGATTTTGTAAGCATTAATAGTCTGCTTGAGTATGGAGATCTGATAAATGTAAATATTAATTACATTTTTAGAAATAATAGTTTTCTCAAGAATGAATCTATTCTAAATTGGTTTATTTCATTGACTGGTTATATTTATACCAGAATTGCAGCACTCAAAAACTTTGACTACAAAGACTTTTTATCTAGAAGTGGTCTTTTTTATGTTATATAGGAGCATTGGTATAAAATGTTTATATGATAACATTTCTTTGATTCTCTATATATTTCTGTAGTATTGGTATACACTTGACTAGCCTATATAATATGTTCTTGAGCAATTTTATAATTGACATGTAGGCATAAAATAAATGGATAATCTGTATATTTCTTCTTAAAGACTTTTCTCCTTCTATTTTTCTCTTCTAAATTTTCTTCAGTAGAAAGCTATTTGAAAGATGTTTTCTAACAGTGTTTCTATGTATAGCTCTGTCTTCTGTCCATATAGTTATACTCATTCTGTTTGTCCAATCATGTTTTCTGCCTGTTCTCATTAGTGATCTACCCTGGGTATCCTCATATTATTAGTCTTCATAACCATAATTTTTAATGACTGGATGTATTTCATTATTCAATGCCATCATTTACCTAAAAATCCTCTATTGTTTTATTTTCCAAATTTTTATAATAAATGAGCACATGTTAATATTGTTTTCATAAGTATGTATCTTCTGATTTTTGATTCTTTTCTTTGAGAGTACAAGTTCTCTTTCAATGTAATTTAGTAGCAGGCTTACATTTCCTTTAAGGAGCTTAAGTGTTACCCTATTATCTTTGGTCTCAAATGTGTGACGTGATTTCATAGCTTTTGAAACCCTTTTAAGTCACTAGTTTTTTATTCCTAGGTTATTCAAAGGAATTTTTTTTTTCTTTAAAGCCACGTAATTTTTCTAGAATATGTCTTGATGTTGGTCATTATGTATTGCTATTGTTAGGTACATAGTGTGTTTCTTTTTTTTTTTTTTTTTTTTTTTGAGGCAGAGTTTCGCTCTGTCACCCAGGCTGGAGTGCAGTGGCACTGTCTGGGCTCACTGCAAGCTCCGCCTCCTGGGTTCACACCATTCTCCTGCCTCAGCCTCCCGAGTAGCTGCGACTACAGGCGCCTGCTACCACGCCTGGCTAATTTTTTGTAGTTTTTGTAGTAGAGATGGAGGTTTCACCACGTTGGCCAGGATGGTCTCGATCTCCTGACCTCGTGATCTGCCCGCCTCGGCCTCCCAAAGTGCTGGGATTACAGGCGTGAGCCACCACCCCCGGCCCATAGTGTGTTTCTTAATATGTAGTTTCAAGTCTTTTTTTATTTTTGGAAATTTTTCTTAAATTATAATTTTTAGTATTCTTTTTCTCTCTTTGGATTTTTTGTTGTTGCATTTTCTTTGCTTATCTTCAGTGGTTTATCATTTTTTCTCAAGTGTTTTTAAACTTTTTTGTTATTTCTTTTTGATTTTTAAAAATTTCTTTTTAACCTGTCTTTAAGGTATTGTCTGTTGTGTTTATTCATTTTTGAATTCCTTCTAAATTAGCCTTCATTTTTGAAGAGATTTAAAAAATTTCTAATTCTTTCCCAAGTTCTGACATCTCTTTTCTGAGTTTTAAATTTATGTTTTTTTTCTTAATGTCTTGTATTTTTTTTTTCCTTAATGTCTTGTATTTTTTTTTTCTTTCTGATCTTCTGTTGAGAACGTTTTTCTCCTTGTTCTCTTTGTTTTCATAAGTTTGTGTGGGATATATCTGTGAAATTAGTTTTAGCTTCCCTGAACTTCTAGACAAAAGGAGGTCAAAGTGGCTTTTCTAACTTCACAGAGCTCCCTATTGTTTTCATGTATACACACACACACACACACACACACACACACACACACACACACACATATGTGTATATATATATATATATTTTTTTTTTAATGGCTGCTTGCTTTCTGGGGTTCCCTGACTCTGCTCTACTTTTCCACCTGTCTGTGAACCTTTGTTGCCTCCATCCTGTTCAGGTTTGCTTCCACTTCTAGCAGATCTCCTCAGTGTGGGGCTCTGACCTGAGAGGGACACACTTTGGCTGGTCAGTTTTGGAATTCTCTGGCTAAACTGCTCTTGTCTTGACCTTCCTGCAAACCTGTAGCACAGACCTGTTAATGAAGTGGATATTCTGGGTTTTGACTGAGGTTGTAAAATTGGCCACCATGCTTTTCTGTGAATACCTTTTGGCTGTTATGGGCTGCTTCTGTTCTCAGATCTGTCACAGATTCCTTGTTATTCCTTCTACTTCCTTCTGCACAGACACCAGTACCATGAAGGACTTATGGCTGTTAATTGTTTGACCTCTCAGCATGTGTTTGGGGGTTCATGGGGATACCTCATCATCTAGTTTGTTGTAAATGTTGTCCGTGGGATTTTAGTTTTTGGTCATCTAGTTTATTATCTGTTGTAAAACACACACACACACACACACACACACACACACACACACACACACACACACACACACTCTCTCTCTCTCTCTCTCTCTCTCTCTCTCTCACACTCTCACATGCTGTGTTGGGGATTTCTAAGACCAGATTTGGTCATTCTCTAGGAGAACTCACAGGATTCTGTATATAGTCATACTCATGGCTATGATTTATTTTATAGTGAAAGAATACAAAGCAAAACCAGCAAAGAGAAAAGTGCATGGGGTGAAGGCCATAGGAAACCAGATGTTAACTTCCAAGGGTCTTCTCCTAGAGTAGATGTGCTTAACCCCTTCCAGGACCAAATTGTGACAACATATATGAAATGTTGTCTACCAGGGAAGCTAGTTAGAGCCTCAGTGCCCAGGGTTTTTATTGGGGGGGCTGGTTATATCTAGGAGTCCACTGCCTAACACATACCAAAATTCCAAACTCCCAGAAGGAAATTAGGTGTTCAGCTGTGGTTCAGCCTTAAACCATATCTATCACAAATAAGTTTAGGCAGAGTGAGTGAGCCACTCTTACGAGTTAAGGCAGTGGGACCCCTTCCAAAACCCAAGTTCGCAGATGCTAGCCAAGGACCAACCCTGAGTGTGGGACTTTTTAAAGATAGACAGTCTCAGGCCTGCTTTTCTACATACACATACACACACATACATGCACACACACGTACACATGCACTCACAGTATTGACGGTCATTCAGAAACTCTGCCACCACCATAACCAGTAACTTCTCAGAGACCTCCCATTGAAAGGATTTTAAGCAAAAGACAAATATGTTGAGATTTTTCAGGTTTGAAGATGTTAGTTACTGCAACAGAGTGCAGGATGGATAGTAAGCCACTGAGAATGGAAATGGGATAACTATGTAGTGGCTTAGGTGACAGATGATTTGTGCTTGATGTAAGGCCCTGGGAATCAAGAAGATAGGATGGAGTCAAAGGAACACTATATTTATGGCCATATATATGTGTGTATGTTCATATGTATGTTAAGATGTTTGTATTAATTTCTTACTGCTTTATAGTGCCTAGTAAGAAAATGATGTGAATGTATGTTCTTATCTGTGCAAAGGGAAGGCTTTTCTAAGCATAAATATAAAGAAGTATAGTTATAAGTCACTGGCAACAAGTTTGATAAATATAAATATATAAAAATTTAAAACTTCTGACAAAAAGCAAGGCAAAAATTCACAAAATTTAAATGAAATAGGGAAGGTATTTACAATGTATGAGAGCAGTTGCAATGTAAGAGCAGTTGCAAATTAGTATTTTAAAAATCTTCATAGCCCAATAGAAAATAGGCAAAGTAGAATAATGAGCAGTTTGCAAAAGAAGAAAGACAAATAGTCATTTCATATTTTCAACTGAGAACCTTTAAGGCATGAACATCAATGAATTACAATTTTTTTCATAAATTAACAGTTTTAAAAAAGGATAGTAATCAGAGTACTTGCAAATCAGAAGTAACCCAAATGTCTAACATGATATTATTTAGGTAAATTAGTATACTCATGCATTCATATCTTAAACAGCTATTAAAATCAAGTAGAAAACATTGACATGGCTGTTTATAATGAAGTATGATTCCAGGTTTTCTGTTGATACTCTACTGAATACACAGAAGCATACATACACACAGAAAAATACTTAAAGGATACCCCCTCAAAATGTCAACCACTTTTTCTCTGGGTAGTGGGATTATGGATGGTTTTTCTTCTTTGTGATAAAAAAAATTTTTTTCTATTAAATAATTATCTTAGTAGAGACTGAAAAACTATAACCTATGGTCTAGCCAACTTATTTTTGTAAAGTTTATTGGAACACAGCCATGCTTTTCATCTATATATTGTCTGTAACTACTTCTAAATAAGTTTTTGAAACCTTCCCCCCACCTTTAGTGAGTGGTATGTTTTTTATATTTAGAAACAATCTCCCTCCTCCACAAACATGCAACATTCTTACACAATAATGTGGTATAAGAAAAAATAGCATTGCTGCTTATACTGCCGGGATTTTTTCCCCCCCATAAGCTTCTTGATTTAATTCTTTTCTTATAAATAATTTAGTCTGGAACAAGATAGGGAGTTAATGACTTAAGTGCTGCTGATACTGAAATAAGTTAATATTTATTTTAAATATAATTTGGAGGCCAGGTGCGGTGGCTCACACCTGTAATCCCAGCACTTTGGGAAGCTGAGGCAGGTGGAGTGCTTGAGTCCAGGAGTTTGAGACCAGCCTGGGCAAAATGGCAAAATCCTGTCTCTTAAAAAAAAAAAAAAAAAAAAAATATATATATATATATATATATATAAAATGCACACACACAAGTAAATATATTTATATATATAAATTATATATATATAATTTAGTAAATCAGTGTTTTGTTTATCCAGGATTCTTAGCTAATATCTTAATGATATTCTAAAGAGAAGATTTAACAGATATAGAAAGTTAAGAAATGAAATTCTGTTAGTATTATCACAGAAATAATTGGAGACATTTAAAGAATTCAATGTGGTTACTTAAGGGTCTTTTAAAAAATATGTAAAAGATGGTTGAATGGTGGGTACATAAGCAATGATGAGCAAGTAAGTTATGAACTTCTGGAAATGGTGATGGCTACTGTGTACCTGATTCTGTACAGAAATGCTATTTAATCCTCAAAATAATTGTGTCAGGAAAACAAGAGTGTTTTCTATTATGTAGATGAGAACGCTGAGTTTTGGAGAGTTTAAGTAATTCACCTAAATCATACAGAGGTTTGCTGAGCGTCCACTGAACTTAGGTTTATCTGAAGGGAACATTTATCATTATCTTTAGCCTTTTTTTTTTTTTTTTTAAATAGTCTGCCATGTAGGTCCCAAGAACTTGAAGTAAGATACAGAATTTAGGTTTTGTCTTGATCAAGAATACATTTTTAACTGGTTATCAAGTTGTGTTAAAGACAGTGGTAAGCTCCTTGTTGTTTGATAGATGCAAACAGATTCTGGATAACCATGTTTTAAGGATGTTGTAGGAAAATTCCTGCTGTTGCTAAGAGGTTAAACTTTATGAACTTCGAGAATCTACCAGGTCTGTGATTTTTATGGTGTTTTTAAAAATTCTACTTGTGTATTTAGTCTAAATTTAGATCATGTGAAGGACGATAACTATATGAACTCCTAAAGTGCTGTAGAAATCTTTTTAGAAATCATGTTTTGCCTTATATTTTGATATGTTGTGTATGACTCTGTAATCATTAACATAATGCACTAAGTAGGTCTGTGTCTTTTATATAGTTAACATTCATGTAGTTTATTTTTTCTTGAATATGGACCAGAGAAAAGATTTGACTATTCAAGTGGATATACTTTTTCCCAACAAAAATAAAAATTATATAAACCAACATTTTCTCTTTGTACTTTAGCCATATGAAAATGGGCAAATTTAATGGGTTAACATATTAATTGTCTTAACTTAGGTGCCAGGTGACTAATAACTCCTTTTTGTTTTTTTTTCTTAGCATTTGGTTTCTGTATTTCCTAGACATTTTTTGTTGTTGTTGAGAGCTAATATATATTATTTGAGACATTTTAGAATTAAGTAGAATATAAATTCATAGGGAAAAATTAGCTTAAATGTAAAGTACTTAATTTTCCGCCTAGTAAATGACAACATCAATACAAGTTTGACAGTAACATTTTAGTAAAAAAGAAAAGTAGATAAAATTCAGTTAGTTTTAGTCTAAGATCAGTTTATTCAAACTAGATCTTTGTTTATTCTGGTCCATGGAAGCTAGGAAGAGAGAATATCTCCACTACCTGCAGGGATTTGTGTTTAGAGAAAGGCCAGCATTGCCCTCAGGCTAATGGTTTTGAAACAATGGATATAGTCCATCCCCAGTCTAGAGTGTTGCCAGTTTTTCCTTTGTGGTTTAATTTTTTTTTAAATTATGCTTCAGGTGTTGAATTGTCAGTGCATCAGATGCTCAGATTCAAACAAATGTATCAAAATATCTAAAATATAGAAAACAAATACAAAATATTATTGCTTTTTTTTTTTCTCCCAGTATTCCCTTATACTTGTTGATTTGACTGTGACAAGGCCTTTTATATATGGTGGATGTTCTAACCCTGATGAATTAATGTAGATAATCTCAATGTATTATATTTTTCCTCTGAAAGGAGAAGATTGAGGTAGCTATACTCCAAGATAATAAAATGACAAATATTAATAGGCTATTGATTGGTATGTTTCAGGTATTGGTATGTCATCTTATGGTCCACTGAATGACACCGTGGTTGTCATGATTGAAATTTGTTACCCTTTCTTTTCTTTTCTTTTCTTTTTTTTTTTTAAGACAGAGTTGGGTTTTTTTGTTTTGTTTTGTTTTGTTTTTAAGACAGAGTCTCACTCTGTCGCCCAGGCTGGAGTACAATAGTGTGATCTTGGCTCACTGCAGCCTCCACCTCCTAGGTTCAAGTGGTTCTCTTGCCTCAGCCTCCCAAGTAGCTGTAATTACAGGCGCCTGCCACCATGCCCAGCTAATTTTTGTATTTTTAATAAAGATGGGGTTTCACTAGGTTGGGCAGGCTGGTCTTGAACGCCTGACCTCAGATGATCCACCTGCCTCGGCCTCCCAAAGTGCTGGGATTACAGGCGTGAGCCACCACGTCTGGCTGAAACCTGTCACTCTTACACATCAGAGAAATCCTAAACCCCATGTGAATAGTGTGGTTGGCCATAATTTATATGGCTTATATCAAATGTCCTTATGAATGCTTATAATTACATAAAATTTATTCTTTCATTTTTATAGTCTGTTCGGCACTTGAAGTACTCCTTGTTTAAGAAATCACTACTGGGCAGTGTTTCGGATAATGGAATAGTAACTCTCTGGGATGTAAATAGTCAGAGTCCATACCATAACTTTGACAGTGTACACAAAGCTCCAGCGTCAGGCATCTGTTTTTCTCCTGTCAATGAATTGCTCTTTGTAACCATAGGCTTGGATAAAAGAATCATCCTCTATGACACTTCAAGTAAGAAGTAAGTGTGACATGCTTATTTCTTAATTTAGTAACAAATAGCTATTATTCCATTAACAGGCATATTTGTGATTTATATAGACCTCTGATTAGTGTCCAGGGGTCCTAAAGTTTGTACAGTTGATGGATCTAGTAAGAAAGAATTTTCTTCTTATGCAGAAAGAAATAGATGGGTTGCAGGTAGTATTTAGGGTACTTCTGAAACATGAACATAGAGAGATGACATCTTAATGATTTCACATTTTAATTTTAGCATCTTTTCCACAATATGATAAAATGCATATGTTTTTAACCCAAATGATTAATTTGCTTTAAAACTGATTAATTATCTAGAGGAAGGTTTAGAAACGATTGACATTTTGGGCTGGGTAATTCTTTGTTGTGAGGGGCTGTCCTGGGTATTGTAGGATATTCATCAGCATCCCTGGCCTCTGCTTACTAAATACCAATGGCCTAAATTGTGTCCAGACATTGTCAGATGTCCCCTGGTAGTAACCAGGGACAACCTGGGAGCACCCACTTGAGAAATACTGATTATGTACTGGTGTACATAATCCTCTAAGCATTTGGGCCCACTGTACCCTCTTCTTGTTAAATTTAGGTATGCTTAGTTAGCTAAAAAACAAAAACAAAAACAAAAGAATGCAAGAGTGATACAGTTGTATTCAAGATGCTTACCACTGTCTGTAGATCATGTGGAGTATGAATGTTACTACAAGGGAAGGTCCCACTGTCAGCCTTTATTATGATGCTAGAATTTTTACTGTTAGGACTTATTTGCTGTCTTCTTTTATGGAACAATTTACTGAGAGCCCAGTAAGCCATTCTTCTTTTCTACTATACACACCAGTAAAGAGCTCAGCTTCAGCAGATCACCATCCGTATTTCTTTATTAGCTTCCTAAGGATCAAGCATGTGAACTGTGTTCCTCTTAGCTTTTTGGCCAAGACTGTACAACTAAGAACAAAGTAACAGCTGCTCCCCTGTGAAAGGTCATAGTCCTCATGAGGCCTAAGCAGGTCAATAAATGGAAAGTGGATACTTAGGCCCTCCTCAACCATGAGGCCAGAGCCCCTGTTTGTGGCGTAATAGACAGTTCTGCTACATTCACTGTCAGAGTAATAATTAAAGAAATAGGTGCTGCTTCTATAAGATGCAGAATGTACCTATTGGAAGTGAATAGAAAAGTAAGATGGAATGTTTAGCAGTTCTCTATATGCCATTTTATTAGAAATGTCTCTAAGTCAAATTCTGAAATTATGCTTTAAACAAATATTTGGGATATGTGTGCTCTTTGACCAGTTTGAAGTGTTAATAACTCTGGTTTTGGTATATAGTTACTTATATAAGCTAATATACCTGTACACACTAACATTTCTACACATACTTTGTTCTCCTTTCCAAAGGCTAGTGAAAACTTTAGTGGCTGACACTCCTCTAACTGCGGTAGATTTCATGCCTGATGGAGCCACTTTGGCTATTGGATCTTCCCGGGGGAAAATATATCAATATGATTTAAGAATGTTGAAATCACCAGTTAAGACCATCAGTGCTCACAAGACATCTGTGCAGTGTATAGCATTTCAGTACTCCACTGTTCTTACTAAGGTGAGACATTTTCTTTTCAGCATTTTTTATTTTATTAAATAAATCTAACTCAGAATATGGAAATTATATGTGGTCAATTAAACAGTATAGTTTTGTTTCATAATTACATAATGATTTTACATGTAATGTATAATAATTTTAGTACAAAGCCATTTGATATTTAGTTTTAAAACTTTTTTTCTTTTTTTTTTCTCCTTATATATCTCTCTTTTTAAAAGTATTTTAAAAGACATTTTAATTTAGAGGGAAACTCAGGTCTGCCAGCAAGCTTAAGATTTGCAAGGAAAAAAATATATTTTTTAATCTAACAGGGAATTTATAAAATATTAATGTATAGTATGAAACATTAGTAACCTGAGCTTTTAAATATTCCATTACATTTCAGTCAAGTTTAAATAAAGGCTGTTCAAATAAGCCCACAACAGTGAACAAACGAAGTGTTAATGTGAATGCTGCTAGTGGAGGAGTTCAGAATTCCGGAATTGTCAGAGAAGCACCTGCCACGTCCATTGCCACAGTTCTACCACAACCTATGACATCAGCTATGGGGAAAGGAACAGTTGCTGTTCAAGAAAAAGCAGGTAAATGTTGCTTATATATTGTTGGAGGGTTGGTTTGTTTTTTTTTTGTTTTTTTGTTTTTGGCTTGCATATAATTAGCACATTCTTCAAGAACATAGAACTCAAATTTATTTGAGTACTTAGGTAAAATTAGTAGAAGTGAAAATCATTGAAGAAGTGAAAATAGTAACTTTGGCTATTAATTTCAAAAATGATAAAAGGCCCTTATTGTTTAGCTAAACTTCTCTTGTGAGAAATATTGTCTTAAAAATGGAAGGAGGCTAACTCAGAAATTATTCATCCTTAATACTACTAAAGACTGAATGGCTTTTCATTGTGTCTTCAGATTAACCAGTAGAAAATATGAAACTTTGACACTGTCTTATGATTTGATCTCATTAAATAAAAATAAATGAGAATGTTGCAATTTCTAATGATTTCTTCTTCTCTCATGTAATTGGCGAAACAGTTCTGAAACAGGATTCATTTAGACTTTATTGATGTGTTATATGATAAGCTTTCTCTTATTGTAGAAAATATTTCTTGCTCACAATAAAAAAATATTCTGTAAATTCCTGAAAACCTTTTCATTTTTATTTTAAGAAGTTATGCTATACTGTCAACGTGCAACAAATACTTTAGAAAGTCTACATGGTATACTAGTATGTTTCTGAAATATTGTGCTTAGTAGAAATACATATATCCATGTCTTTTAAATTTTTCAGGATAAATACTTGGGCAAAAATATTTATTGGTGTTTTTTTTTAGCATGATTTTGCTATTTCCAAGTAGAAGCAAAACTTTAATTTGTTGATCTTGATAGTGTGGAGTAGTATTTTAAAGTAAGTATATTCACTATAAATTTCCTGTGAATATCTGTATCATCCTTATATAAGAGCCATTATATATTAGGAAAATAATTAAGTTCTTATTTAGGAACTCCTGGAGACAAAGACAACTGATATCTACTTAAGGAAGAAATTATTTTTGAAATATAACTTTGAGTAATGTCTGCCAACATGTTGAATTAACTATATTATGAAAATTATCTTTTTTCAAAATTTTCAAAAATTAAACAAAATAAAGATTCTCTCATTCACTGTAAACTCTCTGAAGTCTCTCCATTATTCATTTAGTTTTATAGTAAGAAGGCTCTTGTTTAACAAAGACAGCATTAATTTGCAAATCAAAGGCTTGGATCTTTCAGGGTCATGGATTAACGATAACTCTTGGTAGATTCCCAACATTTCTGGCAAAGTGAGTGCTCTGCCCCCACAAAATTAACAATGTTTGTGTATTAATTGTATTTTGAAATGATTGTCATCTTACAGAAAAGTTTTAAGAATAGTACAGATAACTCCTGAGCATTACCCTTTGGCAGATGCACTTTATAAATTTTGCCACATTTGCTTCATCATTCTCTTTCTCTTCCTCTCTCTGTCTCTCATTCTCTCTCTCTCTCTCACACACACACACATTTTTCTTTGCCTCTGAAACATTGAGAATAGTAGACTCAGTCTCAGATCTGTCACTTCCGGCCAGGATGCTTTTAGGCAATTCTCTTAACCTTTCTGGGTCTCATTTTTTTCCTGTACACATTTAAGATGACATTTAACTGTTAGGGTTATTGTGAAAATCAGATAAAATGTATTGGAAGTACCTGGCACATGGTAGGCACTCAGTACACTATGGTGTTGATACTATCATTGTGGTCATCATGATCATCACTATTATTATTTTAAGCTTTGTATAAAATTAAAGTTCAGAAAAAAATTCTGTTGCTTCTATTGAAGTTGTCCTGATTCAGTTATTTCAAAGAACTTCTCTAAACTTGTTATTGGTACTTAGTTTTAGAAGGAAATCACCATTTAAGAAGAAAAGAATAAGACTTTAGCGCTGTTTTCAAATGATACCAAACTTCTGTTTCCTAAAGTTTCAGAGGCTGAGTTATGCATTCAAACATGTTAAGGACCTAGAAAAAAGGAGAGGAAATTTCTTCTTTGTAACAACTGAACTCTTGCTATAGACACTCTTCAACAATAGTACAAATGATTTGGTAATATTTTAACTTTATAGCAGGTGTTATTAGAAAAGTTTATTTTATTCGCCAGTCTTGGGCATTTTTGGATATGCAGGCTGTTCTTTGTTTTCATCTCAGACTTTTCAGTTTTTCATTTGGGCCTGAGATGCCAAATAAAGCACTTTTTAAAATGTAATACAGTAATGTGCTACCAATCCTGATGGCAGACTTTAATCAAAATTTTTGAACCTCTAAAACTGTCGTTACTCCAGTAATGAAACAGAAGCTTCTGAGCCTGCTGAGCTCCTCTTAAAAGGTCCCTACTCTAAAGCCATGTGTTTATACACTGCCAGAAAAAATAAACTGCTGCCGTCTCTTTATTGTTGTCTACCTTACTATTCTTTATGAGTTTGGTGTTCTGGTTTGCTTCCTCTTTGAAACTATGGAGGTTAGTGAAGTCATTTGAGATCTGTAATGCTGAGGGCAATGTTAAGCTCCCACTGTTAGTGAAAGAAAAGACAGAAAACCCCTTCACTGCAAGTCAGGGAAGAAAAGTAACATTAATTGAATCCTGCTGTATGTTAGGCATCGCTCTATATGCCTTACAGACTAAAAAAAAATCACATTTGTAGATGATCATGAGTCAGTCAATAGCAAAAGTAAGTTGTGTTCAGTGTACTTTAAGAGAGCAGCAAAGTATATAAATTATTTTAGAAAAATTCCAACAAAATGGCTAAAATAAGGTATTACTGTATGAACAAATAAGCTGTTTTCTTTTGAGGAACCTTTTGTTCCATGAAAATCCTGGTTAACTTTAGCTCTTGTCATATTCTGTTTTATTGTTCCATGAAAATCCTGATTAACTTTAGCTCTTGTCATATTCTGTTTTATTCTCCTTATGCTCATAGTTGTAATATTACCAACAATATGAGTGATACATTAATTTTTACAACCTAGCTTATGATAAAATTTATTTAGATGTAATAACATTGATTTTTATATCTAATTCCTATAAGGTTTGCCTCGAAGCATAAACACAGACACTTTATCTAAGGAAACAGACAGTGGAAAAAATCAGGATTTCTCCAGCTTTGATGATACTGGGAAAAGTAGTTTAGGTGACATGTTCTCACCTATCAGAGATGGTAAGTCTGTTCAGAGGATCCTGTTCTCTTGCTGGTAGTTAATATTTTTATTCTGGCTAAAAGATGTGAATAATAGCTTCAGTCCAACTCTATTCACGGATCAGTTTGCTAATTTTCTCCATCCCTGGGGTGGTATCTTTTTCTTTGCCCTGATATTTCAAATGTTATCATTGTAAAATATATGCTGGTAATTTTCACATGGGAATTATGCAAATAGCTCTCAAGTTAGCATTTTAATTTCCACAAAAGTTTCTTGAAGGAAGTTTTTACCTTCATAGGCAATCTGTCCCTTGTATCTACTTCTAAATTAATGTTCCTAAAATTTTAGATGTTTTGGTATGCAAAAAAGTCTTCCTAATTTAAAAAATTGTGTGTGTATAGGTGTACACCTCCCACCACCCCATAAAAAAGTTGGCATAATAAAAAGCAAATTTGCCAGCTTGATAAATAGAAGCATTATTTGTTATTCTTCATAGTGTCTGAACTAAGTACATTGTTTAGGTGTGTCTTTTTGGTACTAACATCCATAATGTTTTTCTTAGTGGAATGGAGTTACCTCATTGCTAACAGCAATATTAATAACATGGATACATTTCTAGAGGGTAATTTGACAGAGTTAATATATTCATACTTTTTGGCCTTGTATTTACATTTCTACAAATTTATCTCAGAAAATACTCAGAGAAGCCCACAAAGATTTGTGTATTTATTATTATAAGTGTACCATGTCAACAGCAGGATCTCGAAGTTGTTTCATCCACTCATTATCTTATACAATTTCATTTTTTACTTTAAAATTGTCTCTTTTCCAAATGTTCTACAATTTTATAGTCAGAAGGAATAAATACATACGTGGTGGTACAGAATTATTGAGTATCTTCTGCCTTACCCTGGCCTGCAAATTTCTATTTAAATTGCTAAGTCAAACTGAAAGAGGAAGGATTCTTTTCTTTCAGGATGAAGAGAAGTCGAACTACATCAAACTACATTGTAAAGGGTAAACAGAGGGACGGATGTAGGTGGAGAGAAAAGTGACTAGTGCTGGAGTTGAGAAAGGTTTCTGGGATTAGTGCTGAATTGCGAGTTTTGGCCAGTGAGACTCCTCTGGAGGAACTTTTGCATTGAAGAATGTACAAAGGGGCTTTTTGGAAGTGTTTGAGTTATAAATTAAATTCTCTTTAATAGTTTTTAAGACAAATGAATAAATTACTTTTTTCTTTAATTACTTTTGCTATGTTTAAAAATGTTACTAGCATTTGAGTCATACGCCCTCCAGATTCATTATGGTTCCAAAGTATTGATAAGGAAGCTAATAACTTCTAAAAGTGTGCATGTACATGCTGTGCAATTACTGGGAACATATACACACATGCACATAGATGATATTTCTCCTGATATAGTTGTGTGTTTATTGGCCATTTGAATTTCTAGTAAATTCGTTAATGACTTTGGCTCATTTTTAATTCACCTGTTAAATTTGAATTTTACAATTTTTGTTATGGACTGGCAAATGAATATTACAGGATTAAAATAATCTTATACATATTCTACCATGGAAATAAACACTAATAAAACTTTGTTCTGCTTTGCAAAATATTTTTGTATTATTTCAATTGATCCTCAAAGCAATTTTGTGAGCTTATCTGGACATTATCCCCATTTTATAGATGCAGAAACTGAAACTTAATTGCATCTGAGACTTGTCCAAGGTCACAAAGCTATTAAGTGGTATAGGCAGAACTGGATTATAGCTCTCCATAACCTACCCCCTACACCAGGGCTTGTTACACTATACCTTGCTGCCTCATTAAATGACTGTACTATAGAATTATCTGTTCATATTTGCTGCTAAAGTGTGAATGAAGCTAAAATAATGTAAAAGAGAAATTTAAATCAGTATTCTCCTACCTTTAACATCACTCATATTTAGCTTTTTAAGATTGTTAGTCTCTGAACTCTTTGGGGAATGAATAAGAAGCCTAAATTGATATGGTTTCTTTTTCACTAGTTTTAAAATTTGATTTTCTAATTTGTTATAGATGCTGTAGTTAACAAGGGAAGTGATGAGTCCATAGGCAAAGGAGATGGTAAGAACTACTTAGAAGTATTTTCGTGAAAATGAAAAGTGAATTGTATTATCTATGCTGTGTAACAAATCTCTCCAACACTTTGAGGCTTAAAAAAATAAACATTTATCGTCTCATAATTTCTGTGTATTAAGAACTGAGCATGACTTGGCTGAGTACCTTTGCCTTCAAGTCTATCTTCCTGCTTCAATCAGGATGTCAACCAGAGCTTCATTCAACTTAAGACTCAACTGGGCAGGGAACTGTTTCCAAGCTCATTCCTATGGCTGTTGGCTGGAGATATCAGTTCCATGCCAATGAGCTTCTTTATATATGGGGCAGCCAACAACATGGCAGCTGGTTTACCTCAGAGCCGGTGAACAAGAGAATTCGAGAGGGCATCCAAAATGGAAGCCCTCTCTTAAGATTATGTTAATAACCTTAATCTTGGTAGTGACATCTCACTACTTTTTCATATTACTTTTGTTAGAAGCAAGTTACTAGGTCCAAGCCACGTTCAAAGGGAGGAGATTACCCAAGGATAGCGACGCCAAAGGCAGGGGTCATTAGAAGCCATCTCAGAAATTGCCTTCCAAGATACATACCACAGATATATACCAAATTAACAATTTTCAGTTATCAAGAACTAATACTGACTAAAACATTGTGTTTTGCTGTTTTCAAAGTATTTTCACAAATAATATCTTTGAAGCCTTACCACTCTGGGAGATGGATATCATCATTTACATTTGTAGATCGGGAAATAGTCACAGAAAGTTTAAGACTTTTGCCCAAAAATACACATCAATTGCGGGGTGTATCTGAGAAACAAACCAGTCTTCAGAATGCAGATCCATATCTTCTTCCATGTTAATCTGCCTATCATGTTAAATGCTTTTCTTCAATGTCCAAAATTGGAGGACACCATATGCACATGCAGTTTTTCCCTTTTCCAGGCTTTGACTTTCTACCGCAGTTGAACTCAGTGTTTCCTCCAAGAAAAAATCCAGTAACTTCAAGTACTTCAGTATTGCATTCTAGTCCTCTTAATGTTTTTATGGGATCTCCAGGGAAAGAGGAAAATGAAAACCGTGATCTAACAGCTGAGTCTAAGAAAATATATATGGGAAAACAGGAATCTAAAGACTCCTTCAAACAGGTATTTGCCTGAAAATGATACTGAACTCACTGTATGTGTTTATCAGTAGAAAGTGGGTGGCTGCCAGTGCATGTATCCTAATTATTAGCATTGCTATGCACTTATTCATAAGTCTTGATGTCAGATTTTAATAACTACAGAATACTTTGAAATCTCGCTTTGGATATGTTGAAGGTTACAGCAGATGGAAAGTTGCAGTATTTTTCTAAGATGAGATACTTGATATATCTTGATAAAGTGTGCAAGAACAGTTTATCCCTGAATCCTTTTAAAGTGTATTTCATTGCAGTATACAACATCAAGTTGGTGGTTAAATCATTAGAGCAAACTGATGGTGCTGAGAATGGAATTTATCATTGTTACTTTCTGCTAAAATATATATATATAATACAGAATTTAATTTTTTATGTAAGGGTTCAAAATGATCAAAAATTACCAGGAAGGCCAAGCCAGTTGGGTATACAATATGTCTGTATTTTCGTATTTATTGTTTAGAATGATATTGAAAAGATACCATGTAAGAAGTACAAAAACATCTTTTGATTTATTTTGCAAATATTATTGACTGGTTACCACATGCATGGTGTTTTTGTTTTTGTTTTGCCAGTTATCTCTATTTTAAATGATACTTAACAGCAGGTGCTTAGTAAATGAGCTTTTCCTCATGTTATTGTTGAGATTGTTTTTGATTAGTAAGTGTTACTTTATTTTGCCTCCAGTTCTCTTTTTCTTTTTCTTCTTCTATATCTCTTCCTATTTTCCTTCATTTCTATTAACCTACATACTGGGACAAAAGAGAGAAGTAGGCAAAAATTATATGGGTAATATGAGTAAAAAAATTGTATATTAAAGTCATTATTTATTTTAAATATAAAGTTAGCAAAGTTGGTCACATCTGGTGCTGAAAGTGGAAATCTAAATACCTCTCCATCATCTAACCAAACAAGAAATTCTGAGAAATTTGAAAAGCCAGAGAATGAAATTGAAGCCCAGTTGATATGTGAACCCCCAATCAATGGATCCTCAACTCCAAGTAAGTACATGAAACTTCCTGATGTTTGAAAGTGTTTGATTGAAAAATCATCCCCATTATTTAACTTGTAAAGGAGAAATAGAGTAATCATAGACTAAAAATGTTCAAAGAGTTTAAAGTTTGTGGACACTTCTGTTGTGTGAGTGTTACTAAAGACAATGAAATGGATATGAATCGTTAAATTCAGGTACGTTGATTTGATCTTTTGGTGTGAATTAGATTTTCAGTGTAATATGTGTCTTTAATATGGTAGAGATAGAATTATTATGTAGGACCCTTTGAAAAGGGTTGGTTAACTACCTGAAAATGTCTTTTTCTCTTTCATATTAAAGTCTTATCCTTAGAGTTTGTGCTGCAGACCCATACAAACTTCATCACATTTAAAGGAATATTTGGTTTAACTCTAAGAGTTATCTACACAAAGCAACTCTTTGTTTACAATCAACTCTCATATAAATATCTATATTTTGCTTGAAGTTTTCTGTGGATATATATTGCATTAGCTTAAACTCTAAGGCTTTTCCTGTAGCAGTACTTTACTCCTATTTTCCTTCGGTTTGTTTTTAATAGTCTTGGTTTATCTAGTTTATGGTGCAGCTTGTCACATTCATCTTTTATAAGAGGAAATGGTTCATAGATTCTTCAAGATTAATCCCTCTGTCATGTGGTATTACATTAGACAGCTGGCAGTTTATATATATAGATAAATGACTATTAGAAATAATGTTATAGAAAGTTTCTAAGATTTGTATTCCAGACAGTGAATTTTTCTAAATGTCACAGGAACACTCTTCTTTGCCAGTTTTTCAAGTTTGCACATGCCAAATCTTATTTAGAAATGTTTGATGTCTCTCAGTCCAAGTTGACTATTAATATTTTCTTCATTCTTTATTTTAGATCCAAAGATAGCATCTTCTGTCACTGCTGGAGTTGCCAGTTCACTCTCAGAAAAAATAGCCGACAGCATTGGAAATAACCGGCAAAATGCACCATTGACTTCCATTCAAATTCGTTTTATTCAGAACATGATACAGGAAACGTTGGATGACTTTAGGTAGTAATTGAGAAACTACTCCTTCTATCTAGACCTTACTTGTTTTTTTTTTAGATGTAAAACCAGAACTATAGATAATGTTGTTGGTTACTATTGTCTAGGTTCTGGTAATCCTAAAGCCATAGAAAACATAATGAGTTTTGTTGATCTTTTCGTACTGCATTTATTGATTATGAGCCAGGAAAAGGCACATTTACCTAGGGCAATTATTAGGTAACTCAGCAGGGCAGTCTAGCAGGTAGACTGCCATTGTGAACTTTTTTTATTATTAAAATGTGGACAAGTTCTGGTAAGCTTAAATTGGGTTCTTAACCTGCAGTATGTTCATAGATCTATTAGGTATGCTGTGTGCAATAATGTAGTAGAAAAAGATACTTTAAAGCACAATTCTGAATGTTTTCCAATAGAATGCATCAGAATGTAATACTTAATCTAAAAAAAATTCTTTCTCAGACTTATCCTTGTCTGTCTCATCCTTCGAATTGTGAACATTCTAAGAATGTGTTCTACAATGCTGCTTTCTTTTATCATCTCAATATTTTTGGAAGCTATCTTCAATTATTAAAATCATTGGTGCCTTTTTTCCTTTCTAACCTATAGTTAATGTTGTAGCTCAGATTTGGATTACCGTAAGCAAGAATGTTGGAGAAAATGTGCAGTTTTTGTTGGTGCATGCTTCCTTTTAATGTTTTAAAATACTTTTAAAATATATTTTTAAATGTCGAAAAATACTTTTTAAAGAAAAATTGTAATTTTGGCATTTACCCTACCTAGTATATGTACCAGATACTAAGGATACATCAAATGATCTGCCACAAAGGCCTTGTGATGTAGTTGGGCTAGGTGCAGTGTGTTCTGCCATGTGTGTTTCTCTTAATGTGAATTAATTCATTTGGGATCAGTAGAATAGAACACTGTTGACAATATGATGAGGAAATTTTGTTTGTTCGTGTAATAGCAGCCAAAATAAAGTACACCTGAACACAGCTGAATGCAGCAAACCCCGTCAGCATCCATCTCTTTTTATTCACTTCCTCTTGGCTTGGCTGTGTGGTCTGTTAGAAGTACTTATTTTGTGATTATTTCCCATCTTTGGGCATTTTGCTCTTGCCTCTGTAACTTGATAGCCGCAATCCTTCTATCCTCTTCCATTAAGTGACCATCACTTCTTCACAGTAAGGGTATTATTCAATAATTATCTATTAGATTTTTACTATGTCTTTTTAACTATGTTAGTATTTTTATTAGGATTTAATTGTTTTTGTTGTGCTCTGGTTACAAAGTTGCATAGGTTTTTGAGTGCTTTGCCCTAATCCTTTTTCCCTAAGTTCTGTTATTTTTAATACACAGTGTTAAAGAATATACGTTTTTTTCAGGAGTGCATAAATATTTATGGCATAATAGTAGAACTGTCTGGATACAGCTGACTATAATACAGTGTGAGCAAAGTGATGTTGAAATCACAGAAAGGGAGCAGTTCTTCTGTGGGGGCAGATTTAGAAAGGTACACTGAAGAGATTTTATTTTATACTGATGTGTGTGGGAACAGCTTGAGCAGAGACATGATCATACATTCTAGGAATGTTTGCAGAGAGAAGGCACCGTGGTAAGAGACCAGGCCTGAGGGACAGTTGTGAAGGTCTTAACACACAGGTAATGGAGAGCCATCAGAGTTTTTAAGCACAGGAGTAATGGGTGCTGTCTATTTATTACCCATTTATTCAACAAGCATTTGGGTGTCAGTTCACCACTGGCTTCAGATGATTTGAGGACAGTGGGCTCAGGGCCTTTCCTTCAGCAGACCCAGGGATCTGAGTGCTGGAGCAACTCTGAAATCGCTGTGCATTTCTGCCCTGCTGCCAGCTTTCGGGGTGGCTGGAGCTTGTTTTTCACTATCTAACCTGTTCCTGGCTTTCTGTGCCTCAGGAGAAGTGTGTCTGTCCCACTTTCAGCCCTGCAGAGCTGCTGCAGCACGTTTGGTGAAGACGTACAGTCAGTGCCTCTTGGTTTTGCTGCCCTGTGCTGCATGTCTGCACCTAGGAGTGGTGGGTAGGGACTTCTCTCAGCTCTTCTGCCCTTTGACCATAGGCAGCCTCTGCCTGGGACGCAGTGAAGACCCAGAGTGGCTCAGAGGATTTCCATAAATTCACTTGTTTTGCCATTTGCCTAGGTGTTCATCAGACTAGGTGTTCATCTACACCTATCATTGGCAGGACAGAGAGGGTATTGAGGACCTCTTTCTCAGCCATCCTCCCGTGGCTGCCATCTTCTCCATGAGAGCCTGGAGTGCCTTAGAGGGGTTACTCTCAGTTCTTCTCTGCTGCCCTAAGGTTTCACCAGGCTCTGTGCATCTGTATCTTAGGGAGTCTCCCTCAGCCCTCCTGTTACACTTGTCCCTACTTTTTTTACATGAGCGCTGAATGAAGGCTTGTGGGAAAAAGTTGGTGAGTAAATTGAGACTCTCCTTGTGGCTGGGACCCCTTGGAATTCTAAACTATCAAGCAGTGTTTACTTGGCTTTTAAAAATCTTATTAAAATTTCAGCTAGTTCTTTTTACTCTGTCAAGGGCATGAAGATGGGTCTCTTTTCTCCTAGTCATGGGTCTCTTTTCTCCTAAGAGGAACTCCTCATTTTCTGGATTTTAGTTCATTTAGATTTCTTTCCATTCTCAGCTCTCGGTTGAATTTAAAATAATATGATTTTATAGGTTATCAGGTTTGTTTTCGTTATTAGAGTTGAGAAATTATACTTTTGCACCAACCTAATACATCCTAAGTGGAAATCTGTGCATCTGTTTCTGTTGTCTATTAAGAAGATTTAAGTTTCTTTTGGCAAGCAGATCCCTTTGATCCTTTGGTTACTAGGTTCAGGTTTTCTTAGCACTAGTTTGTTTCCAGTTTGCCTTTATTCCTAGTGTGTAGTCTTTTCTAGGACATCAGCTGAATGTCTGGAGTATTCACTGTCTTTTTTACCTTGGTGGGTCCCAAACTTCAGCCTCTATTTTGCCAGCATCACAAGACTTCCAGAATACTTTCTCTGCTCTTTAGTTACTTGTTTTTTGGTTGGTTTCCTGCCATCTAACCCAGGGGGAGCATTGCTTAGAAGTCAACAGATGTCTTGAGGGGAAATTCCACAGTTTCAGGCTTAGTTTTCTGCAGGCCTCCTCTCTTCAAGACCTTGGCTCTTACAGCCTTGGCTACCTTGGTAGGCCCAAACTCTTAATACTCCCCCACCCAGCGAGACTATCTCAACCTCCAGGCCACTGCTTCAGCTCGGTTTCTTCTCCACACTGTGGAATCAGCACATACTCTAGAAGGAAAAACAGAGGTAAATGAAGAGCTTACCTAGTAGTCTTTCGTTTGCAAGATCATGGCCCTTCAAGTCCTGGCTACCTCAATGGTTCCCTGATACAGTGTTTTTGTTTGTTTTCAATACAGTTTTTACTATAATTGAAAGTAGAAGAGGAAATTTTTAAAAATACCCTCATAGTTAGAACAGAAAAACAATAAGTTACTTGGGAATAAATCTACCAAAGGTAGTGAAGATTTTTGTAGAAAAACATTAAAAATTTTTTTTGTTTAAAAGCATTAACATTTAAATAAATGGAGAGATTATAAAGATATTAGTTCACCTAAATAGGTCAGTAGATTGAATGCAATTCCAATTAAAATCCCAGCTGGGATTTGGAAGAAGATGATGAAGTGATTCCAAAATATGTATGGAAGGAAAAAAATCTAAGAATAACTAAGACATTTCAGAGAAGAATAAGGTTGAAGGGGACTTATTTGTCAGATGAATACACTTAATTATTAAAGTATAATTAAGATATATAGCATGGCACAGGGATGACATACTGGCCAAAGGAATGAAATAAGCTGGAAAGAAACCTATGCATATATGGAAATAATAGAGAGGTAGCATTGCAGATTTATGTGCAAAAAATGGAATAATCAGTAAGTTGTGTTGTGACATTTGTTTTTTCCTGTAAAAAATAAGTATAGATTCCATGCAATTGAGAAAAATCAGTTCCATGTAGATTAAAAGTTGACTTTATAAAAGTTTATAACTTCATGGTAGGAAATCATTAAAAATAAAATAATGCACTGCCTATAAAAATACATTGGTAAATTTGACTGCATTATTAGTATATTTGAGCACATTAATAAGAACTATTTATCACACAATATCACAGAGTGAAGGGATAAGAAGATACCTGCAGTTCTCATATAAATAACAAAGGATCAGATTATGTAAAGAATGCTTATAAATGAATAAGAAAAAGATATGAAAAAGCATTTCAAGGAAGAGGAATGGTATATGAACACAGGAAAGATATTCAACTTCACAATTAATCAGAGAACTAAAAATGCAATGAGATACCGTGTCACACCGAGTAAATGGGAAAATATAAAAAATCTGGTAATACTAAGTCTTGATGATATAGAGCAAGAAGAACTCTGTTATACTGGTGACATCCATTGATAACTACCTTTGGAAAACAATTTGCATGATTTTGTAAAAGTATACACTTGAGTTACAGTTGGTTATATCATCAATGGACATTGGCACATGTGGGTTTGGAGATAATACATGATTGTTTATAACAACGTTGGAATAGTAAAAACTTGAAAACAGTCAAAATATTAACAGGAAAATAGATACACCAGTACAAACTAATGATATACAGATATATAAAACATGAATCTTCAAAACAATATTGAATTATTTCTTAAATATAAGCTATATGGTACCCTTTTTTGTAATGCTCAAAAACATGCACAATGAAAACATTGACTACAGATTATATGTTATACAAATGTATTAAAAAAGCAAAAGCATTTCTTTGTCCAACAAAATTCAGGAGAGTAATGACTTCTTTCTTGGGCTTTTTCCCAAGAGTTAAGTGATAGAATCAGACAGGAACACACAGGAAGCTTCTATTATTTGGTAATGTTCTAGTTCATAAGTTGTGTGGTGGGTGACTGAGTGTTTCTTTTGTTATTATACTTAATAATTTTTACATATTCTTTTGTAGGCATGAATTAATTGTATTTTATTGAGTAAGCCATGCTATATCCACCCAAATTGCCACTTTATACTGAAAGTACATTTTTTCAATAGCTAAACTGATAATAATAAAATGATCTTTCTAACCTAGTGAATTTTCTGTATTTCATTGTAAGATAAGTTTGTGTCTTAATGACAATTTCTATATAAAGGAATATAGTATCGGAGAGTTCAGGGGTTAAACAGCCTGGGTTTACATCCTAGCTCCATCATTTACTGGTTGTGTGACTTTGAACAAGTTATATCTACTCTGGTTAAGTTATTTCTTTTGTAAAATGGACCTGTAATAATTGCATCTACTTGTGAAGATATTTTAAACGAGTTCTTACATTTAAAGTAAAGGAAACAGTGCCTAGCACATAGTGAATAAATGCTCAGTGCATTGGTATTTTTATTATTATAGTAATTATTAACATTCAGTAATTTGGCAAATGAAAAAGTTTAGTGAGTTTCTTGAATGACCTAGAATTGGTTAAACTATTGTAATTCTAAAAAGTATTTTACATTCTTCCTAGAGAAGCATGCCATAGGGACATTGTGAATTTGCAAGTGGAGATGATTAAACAGTTTCATATGCAACTGGTATGTATGGCAAATTTTATTTTAATATTTTAAATGAAAGTAGAGTTGTGTGAATTTTTAAAAATCCATGAAAGGTAATATATTTTAGTTGTTTTGTTTAGTTTCTAAGATAAATAGGGAGTTTTATAGACTAAATAAGTAAAATAGATTTTAACTGGTCACCTCCTTTTTAACCTCTGAGATACTTAAGCCTTCTTTTTTCCATGGCTTTCTTCCTGATAAGTAAGCAAAAAGCATTTTAAATGTGCAAATATAAATTTTCCAAATATACTAATTTCACCAACGATCTTCCATTTATATTAACAAACTAGTAAGTTGTTAAGTACAAGAAATATCATTCACCTAGTTAATTGAACATGAGAGAAATGATAGCTGAAAGTATATTAAACATAGCCTGCCAAATAAATGTGAAATATCAATAATTTAAAAAGCATTTTCCTGTTTTTCTAGAATGAAATGCATTCTTTGCTGGAAAGATACTCAGTGAATGAAGGTTTAGTGGCTGAAATTGAAAGACTACGAGAAGAAAACAAAAGATTACGGGCCCACTTTTGAAATTTCAGTGAATACCTTAATGTTCTGTAATTTGGGAAGTTTCTGGCAACACAGAACTACATAGAATCAGTATTGTTTTCATGGCCTCCAGGGAAAAAATGTTTTTCAAGTAAGAGTAAAAGGATGATGGGATTTTATACCAACAACTGTTTCATCTTAAAAATATGTATATTTTTATATTAAAAATTGTACAGTATGTCATCTACCCAATAGGAAAGTCAACAGGATCTTTATTTTTTGAAAGCTTTAGCCATCCACTAAGTGCCCTTTTTCATAAGAGAAGAAAATTGTGCATAAAAATTGGTTATGTTTGTTTTTTAGTCATCTTTTTTAACATATATTTTTGATTGACAAATTGCCTTTCAAATTTTTGGGGCTAGTTGAGATTTAAAGAGTTTGATATGCCTTCTATTTTTATGGAGAAAGTAATTTTAAAATGGCAATTGGTGTTTCTAAGCCATTGACTAATAAAACATAGGGTTGGCTAGTAATTATTTTGTTAACTTGATGAAGTCAAGTATGACTATTATTTATTGTACATTTGATAAGACAATTTTTGGAATTTTGAATTGCACAAATTACATGATATCTTTTGCATTTATGTTACTATATTGTACTTCTGACAAATCTTTATTCCTGGGTGGTATTTTTAAGATATCTTTACCTATAAAAAATGTTTAAGGTTCATAGGACTCGACAAGAGCTATCTGGTGATTTTCTCATTAGTAACATGCAACGTTGTACTGCAAAATTTCAATCAACATGACAACTTATAATGAGTGGAGATTTCATATTAGGTACTAAATATTATAGTATTATTTCTATTTTCTTTTTCCAAATAAGAAGCTTGGATTATTTTATTTTGTGGTCTTTATCATTAACTTTAATTCTTTCTGTACTGTGTATAATATTTTTATATTATTGGCCTTACCATAAAATTATTTAGAAAGGTTGTCAAAATAAGTTATACCTCTTTGGCAATAGATAGATGTATACATCTACCTACTATGATCTACAATTTTAGGTTAAGTGAAGCTTGGGGGGGCTACTGACTTGGTTACCTTCTTGTCTCTTGTCCCAAAGATTTAAACTGTGTACCTTTGTATAGCTCTTCTGCCCCATTTTGACTTCTGAGATGAAAGTATTTACTAAAATTAAAAAAAAAAAAACAAAAAACAAACCTTTAGCTCACTAACTTTATGGGTTTCTGAAGTGATGGAAATTTTTAAGGATATATTTAATAAGCATAAACTTACTAATAATTACTTCCAAAAATAAAAACAGGAATATTACTTTTACCCAGTGTGGTTTATAGCATACATTTGTACTGAAGCATATAGGGATGTTAATGTGATCTTTTCCTGACAGATTATGAAAGCATTATGACTTGTAACAAGTTTCCTTGTATATCACTAACAGGTTTAGAAGACATAAATATTAGTGTGTTTTGCCTACATGGTGTATTTAAATCTATTAATATTTTCCTGTTGCTTTTTTAAAAAAATAAATACACATAATGTATATTAAAAGAGGTGGGATGAAATAATTTTAGTAATTATGTGTACAGATGAAACATTTTTGTCATGGAATTTAAAAGCTAAGTAAGTATAAAAAATAAAATGTTATATGCAAAAAATAGGAAACATGAAATTGAAATTTCATTGTTGGCCAAAATGATATGAGAGATTTACCTTCCCACCTGAAATTAAAAAAGAAAATATGTGAAACAGTTGTCAGATATTGATCCTTGAGAGAAACAAATGAGACCTAAGAAACTCAATGAACCTCAAACACAAGAAATAAAAAGAAAACTATGCCAAGGCACATCATTATCAAATTCCTTAAAGCCAGCAACAAGGGAGAATTTGTTTTAAGTAGCTAGAGAAAAAACACATAGAAGGACAGAGAGAAGAATGTCAGACACTGGAGCAACATCTTTAAAGTACTGAAAGAAAAGTTCAATTTAGAATTCTATACCTAGCGAAAATATTTTTCAAAAGCAAAAATGAAATAACTTTTTCAGACTTAGAAAAGCTAAAAGAGTTTATCACAAGCAGGCTCGCACCACAGGAAATGATTTAAAAAAATGCCTTTAGAAGGAAATTATACCAAATAGAAATCTGCAGCTATACAAAGGAATGAAGAACACCAAAAGTGGTAAATATGTGAGTAAATATAAAAATTATTTTTCTATTTTAAATTTATTTAAAAGACAATAGATTAAAGCAAAATAGTAATAATAATAGGGTGTTGTGCGGTTAACATATGTAAAGTGAAATATATGACAATATCAAGATTGGGATGATGGAAATGAAAGTATACTGCTCTAAAGTTCTTATACTGACCATGAAGCAGTATAACATTCCCTGAGAGTAAACTGATAAGAATGTGTATTATAAGACCTAAAGCAACCACAAAAAGAAAATCAGTGAATAAACAGCTAGTAAGCCAGTAAAGGTGATAAAATGAAGTCATAAAAAAAAATCTGAAAGAAGAACAAAGAGTCAATGGGACAGATAGAAAATAAACACTAAGATAGTAGATTTAAATAGCTGTATCAATTAAATGTAAATTGTCGGTTATCCTTTTTTAAAATCAGTTGAGTCTTGCTTTTTTTAATCCACCTGTTTTGAATACAAGAAACCCACTTTATACTGAACAGAATGCAAATGAAAACAAAATATCAAAATTTGTAGGAATCAGCTAGAGCAGTACTTACAGGGGAATTTATAGCATTAAATGTATATATTAAAAAAGGAAAGATCTCAAGTCAGAGTTGTCAGCTTCCACCTTTTTTTTTTTCTGTTAAGGAGACAGGAATTTCACTCTGTTGCCTAGGTTGAAGTGATTATATAATAGCTAACTTTAGCCTTGAACTCCTGGGTTCAAGTGATCCTCCCACCTCAGCCTCCCAAGAAGCTGGGACTATAGGCATGTGACACTACGCCCAGCGTAGCATCCACCTTAAGAAGTTAGAAAAATAATAGCAGATGAACTTCAAAATAAAAAGAGAATAAAGAGATAAAAAATCAGTTGAGGAAATCGGTGCAATTAAAAACTTTTTTTTTTTTTATTTTTGTAGAGGCAGCGTTTCACTATGTTGCCCAGGCTGGTCTTGAACCTGGCCTCAAGTGATGCTCCCACCTCAACCTCCCAAAGTGCTGGTATTGTATGTATGAGCCACCCTGCTTCGCCTCTGTTTCCTTAAGATCAAGAAAAATGATAAACCTTTAGCTAGACTAATGAGAAAAAGAGACAAAATTACCAACATCGGGGATGAGAGAATTGACAACACCACAATTTCTGTAGACATTTCTGATAAGATGCCAAACCTAAATGGCTACACTGATGAATTCTTTCAAAGATTAAAAGAAGACAATATCCCAATATTTTACAAAAGCTTCCAGGAAATAGGAGGGGATAATTTCCAGCTCAATGTTTGAGACCAACATTACCCTCATGCCAAAATAAGGCAGCATCATGACAAGAAAACTAGACAATATTTGCCATGAAGACAGATGTAAACGTTCTAAACGAGATTTTTTTAGCAGTTTGAATCCAGTGATGGGTAAAAGAGAACACATATGACCAAGTGAGGTTTATCTCAAGAATGCAAATTTGGGCTAACATTAAAAATCAATTGTAATTCGCCATATTAAACGGACTAACAGGAAAATTATGTGATCACCTCAATAGATGCAGAAAGAGCATTTGATAAAACCCAACATTCATTCTTGATAAAAACTCAGCAAAGTAGGAATAAAAGAGAACGAAAAGGACATCAAAAACCCCCAGCAGCTAACATTAAACTTAATACTGAAAAACTGAATGTTTTTTTCCCTAAGATCAGAGGCAAAGCAAGTGTATATGATGTTCTCTTCTATTAAACATTCTATTAGAATTTCTAGCCGAGGCAATTCGCAAGAAAAAGAAACAACATCCAGATTACAAAGGAATAAGTTTTTAAACAGCCTCCACTCTGACTATAGAAAATCCAATGGAATACATGAAAATATCTAATAAGTTTAATAACGTTACAGGATACGTCTATCTACAGAACTCAATTGCATTTCTATATACTTGCAACAATCAGAAAATGGAACTAAAAATATAGTAGCATAAAAATATGAGATCATTAAGTGTAAATTTGATAAAATATATGCAAGACCTGTACACTGAATTCTACGAAACAGTGCTGAGAAAGTAAACTTGAGAGATACCATGTTCACGGATTAGAAGGCTCAATATTGTTCAGCATCAGTTTCCCCCACATTGATCTGTAGATTCGGCAAAATCCCAATAAGAATTTTAGTAGGTTTTTTTGGTAGAACTTGTTAAGCTGCTACTAAAATTTGGAAATATATAAAGGACCTAGAATAACCAAAGCAACTTTGGGAAAATAAAACAGCATAGTAGAGGTCTAGAAATTACAGCACTGTAATTTCTAGACTTGTTACAAAGCTATTAAGATAATGCAAAAGTGCATAAACGTCACATAGATCAGTGTAGCACAATAAAGTTCAGAAATACACCCACACATTTATAGTCAACTGATTTTGACAAACGTGTAAAGCTAATTCAAAACCTAAAACGTGAAAGGTAATCCTTTCCAGAAAAAGGATGAACTTTCCAAAACACTGTGCTGGAACACACATGCAAAAACAAAAACCCTGATGCATACTTCACACCATCTACAAAAATAAACTCAAAGTGGATCATAGATAGACCTAAATGTAAAACTTAAAACTAAAAAAAAAAAAAAATTCTGGAAGATAAGACAAAGATCTTTGTATGTTTGGGGTAGATTTTGTGTATGCGACACCAAATGAATAATCTCCAAAAGTAAAAATTGATATAAATTGGATTTTCAAAGACCAATTAAAGTATAGTATTGGAAAGGTACCAGTAAGATAATTAAAAGACAAATCACAGACTGTGAGAAAATATTTGCCAATCATACATCTAATAAAGATCTTGTATTCAGAATATATAAACGCATTTCAAGACAGAAGAAAATAACCCGATGTTTTACATAGACAATGACTGAGATAGGCACTTCACCAAAGAAGTTATGAAGCTGGGTGTGGTGGTGTGGTTTCAATTACTCAGGAGGCTGAGGCAGGAGGATTGCTTGAGCCCAGGGGTTTAAGGCTGCAGCGAGCTATAATCATGCCACTGCATTCTAGCCTGGGTGGCAGAGTGAGAGTATCTCTAAAAACTAAAAAAAAAAAAAGACATGAAGATGGTAAATGCAAATGAAAAGGTGCTTGTAATCATCGTCACTTAGGGAAATGCAGGCTAAACCACATGGAGATACTCCTGAATATTTATTAAAATAGCTAAAATTTAAAAGCCTGACCATACCAACTGTTGGCTATGATGTGGAGCAACTGGAATTTTCATACTCTGGGAATATAAAATGGTCAAACATTTTGGGAAATGTTTTGACAGTTTCTTCAACCATTGAGCATATACCTACCATTCACACTAGGCATTCTACTCCTTAAATATGTATCTACAAGAAATAAAAGCACATATCCACACAAAGACTTGTACATGAATGGTCATAGCAGATATATTTGTAATAGCCCAAATGTGGAAATAATCCAGTATCTGTCAGCAGATGAATGGATAAACAAATTGTGGTATATACAGTGTAATGCCACCCAGCTATATGAAAGGAATAAACTATAGTATGTAAACAACATGAATGAATCTCAAAATTATCATATTGATTAATAGAAGCCAGACAATAAAGAGTATATACCATATGATTCTAGTTTTCTAGCAAATGTAAACTTAACTACAGAGACAGCCATTAGTTTGCCTGGGAACAGTTGAGGAAGGGCAGGAAGAAAGTTGTACAAAGTCACAGGGAAACTTGTGGGTGATTACTATGTTTATTATCTTGATTGTGATGATGGTTTCATTAGGCATGCCAATTTTCCAAATTGTGTGCCTTAAATATGTGTCGTTTATTTTGTGTCAGTCTGTTTTTCTATAAAAGAGGGACCACTTCTGATATTATATGTTTGTTGGAACCATTTTTCCCCCTATGTCTCATATACTTCATATTTTTCAAAATATGAAATAGATAATTTGGGCTTCAATGTAGCGCTCTACATGTTTCATTTATAGCTGCTAAGGTGTAAGAGGGCCATCAATATTGAACTTGTAAGGATTACATTCAGATAATGTCTACTCTTACTCATTTTTCATTAATACTCATACAAATACAGAGTATGTAAACAACTTCAACATTCCTAAATCTTTGATTTTAAAGAAATGTGAAACGCAATGGGATCATCTGGAAATATGAAACTGAACTATGATGAAAACCTTTTTTCTCATTTCTAAAAATTTGAATAGCACTTTATATTAGAGTCCTCTATTTACTTAAAATTTTATTTTGGAACATTTTATCTAGTTTAATAATTTCTATAGTTAATCAATTTTTAGTTTCCTTAAGTTCTTTTTGGAGCTAACCTGGTATATATTTATAAGTAAACACTTAATAGGTGAATATTTTGAATAGAGAAAATTACAAAGTTCTATATGAAGTTGATATATTTTCCTATGAAACTCAGATGCTTGATATTTATAAATAAGCAAATTTCTTTGATCACATAATTATTAAAGAGAAAAAGCTATCAAATGTAGTTTTACATTTCTAAAGGCAATATTTTCTCAAAAGGTAAAATCTAGGTGTGGTCTAAAGACACTGTCGGAGAAATAAAGGCAAGAAACTATGGTAGTGCCCTTACTAAAGCTTATTTTTCATATTTATTGAATGCCTGGCACTGTAGATAATGACATTTGTTAGGAAGATAAGAGTATTATTTAGTGGAGATCATCTTATTATTAAGTTTTGTTATCCAGTAAATTGTGGATTTTTAACATTCAAAATATATTTCAAGAAAAAAAAATCACTTTGGACCAGACCTGACTTTGAAGAACGGTTTCAACAACTTAAAAATGACTAAAAAGCTTAAGCACCTATGATATTATTGATTATATTTTGATCAGTTATTTAAATAAATTGTTTACATGTTAGTAAATATTATTTCCATTTCTAACATATGCTGAGGAAGGTATCTGAAATTATCGAGACCAATGAAACATGAAATTTTGAACATGAAAATTCACATATTTGTTATTCATAAATTTACAAGATCCAATTTCAGAAATAAAAAACTGGATTTTTTAGAAGGAAAGATCCTTTGCAAATAATAGGGCTGTAGCACTCTCACTAACAACTACCTAATTTACTTTACATTTCATAGTGCAAAAACTTTCCAAGCATTTATAAATTGGGCGTTTGGTGGTGGAGTAGGGGAAGAGTGGTAACATTAGGGAAGCATGGATTTATCTATTAGTTACTGTGCATCACTATCATTACAGACTTCAGTGATGCATGAAATGAGAATACTTCATAAAGTTACACAAAATGCAAGCATTATTGTCTATTTTATCTCCTGATGTCATCTGAATGATACCTGCATATATTTCTCCCAGTAGTCTATCAAACTATATTTTATTCTGTTTTATGAAGTTACCAAATTCAGATGTAATTTTTTTTAAAATTGAAAGTACTGATCAATACATTAGGCAGACTATTTTTAATTTGACCTTGGAATGATAAAAAAGTCATAAAGTGTCTGATTCTTGAAACAAAGTTTGATAAAAAGGTAAAGATAGGTCAAAATTGATTGCTTGTGTAACTGTGTTGATAAATTTAATGGTGTATTTACCCTGCTGCTTTTCCATAAGTTTTACATTTATGTGAAGAATTAATGTAAATTGATACCTATGCCTCCCTATGATCTAAAAACAAGTACAAATATACAGCCAAGTTAACAAGAATAATTCACCATTCTCTTTCTGGAGACATTCTGCAGTAGTAATTCACATGTAATTTAGTATTTAATGAGGGTTATGCAACATATTGATTAAAGTTTTGAAGGTAGAAATGCGCTATCTTAATATTAAGGTGCCAGAATAATGTCCTCTAGGCTAGAGAAAGTAATTAATAGCATTTCAATTCAGGAAACAAGTCTCTTCCTTTTCACAAATGTATTATCTGGGTTTAGGACCTATTGTATCTCTTATTTGAACTTTTGCCTCAGTCTCCTATTTGTTTTCTCTGTTTTAATGTTGCCAGAATAATGTGATTTGCCAGATATGCTGGAATTATCTGATATTATTCTCTACTTAATGTCTTATTTTTTGCTCTTGTCTTTCTTCATGAGGAGTGCCTCAACTCCCTCCTCCCAAGTTACTGATTTCTTAACATGTTCTCTTTCTTACTTTTAAAAATCAGAAATTGCAGTATCTTATAGAATCAGATTGCTTGAATATCCTTCAAGCTAGTGGCCTTAAAAACTTTATATCTAGCTTTTTAATAAAGTGTAAAAGCCAAAGACCACCGGAAACATGCCTGTAGTCAAAATTATGGAGAACACACACCAAGAGTAACCGTGGGGCATCTCAGTGAGACGAGCTTTGGAGAGGCTTGTTATAAGATTTTGGCTTGTGTTTGGTGATTTTTGGAGGGTTTAAGAAAGCAAGAGTTGGAGTGATGTTAGCCAGATGGCAGAATAGGAAGCACCAAATTCTCCTTTCCACACACATATGGATTTAACAATAGTAAAGAGGCCAAATGCCTCTGTGAGAAATCCAAGAACCATTTAAAATGTTCCTGCAACCCAGGAGAGCATGAAGCCAAGCACATCAAAGCCCAGTAGAAAAATAAATTGGTGACACTCTCACCAGAACCCCTTCTTCCAGCATGGTACTGTGTGATGGAGAGGAAACCCTCAACTCCCATCTTATCTCTGGGAGGGAAATGAGTAGAATGTATGTCCAGTATTCTGACCTTTAGGGTGGCTGCCCAAGGACCGGTTTCTGTCTTGCCCAAATCCAAGTACTGACAAGAACCAGGCCTCATATTGAAGCTCTGAAAACAGACTATCAAAATGCTCAGGAGTATGCATTACCAAAGAGATACTCTAGATAAAGCTCCAGTGTCATGGCTCACTATGGTATTCAAGAAGCTGCAGTAGACAGATCCAGAGTGAACTTTGAAGAAGAAACAAGCAATTCTCTTCAACTAGGAGATAACATACACAAACCAAGAGAGGATCCATACCCAGAAAGGCTGGGGAGATCTTCAGAATCCCTATATGGAATGAGTGGAGAAAGCCTATCCTGTGTGAAAGCAGTCTGGGAAAGTTGACTGATTCTTCAGATGCCAGAAATCCCAACAAAAAATAATGACACAAAGAAATGGAAACATGGCACATTTAAAAGACCAAATTAAATCTTCAGACATTGACTCCTTAAAACAGTGGTATTAATTGCGAGAAAAAGAATGCAAAATTATCATCATAAGGACACTCAATGAATTAGAACATGGATAAACAACTAAACAGAATTAGGAAAACAATGCATAAAGAAAATGGGAATAGCAATACAGAAAAATGATGAAGAAAAAACAACCACATTGTGTAAATGGAGAATACAATAACCAAATTGAAAAATTCACTGCAGGGATTCAACAGCAGACTTAACCAGGCAGAAGAAAGGATCAGTAAACTTGAAGGCAAACTTTTGAAATTACTGAGGCAGAGGAGCAGAAAAAAAAAGAATGAAGAAAAATGAAGAGAGCCTAAGGGACACATGGGATACCATAAAGTGAAAAAACATATGCATTATGGAAGTCCCAGGAGAGAGCTAAAGTGGCAGAGAACCTATTTGAAGAAATAATGGTTGAAAATTTCCCAAATCTGAGGAGAGAAATGAACATACAAATTCAAGAAGCTCAAAGAACTCCAACTAAGATAAATCTAAAGAGACTTAGACCAAGGCACATTATAATCAGATTTTCAAAAGTCACAAAGAATCTTGAAAGCAGAAGGAGAAAAATAACTCATTACATGTAAATGAGTTCCTATTAGATTATCAGCAGATTTCTCAGCAGAAACCTTGCAGGCTAAAAGGGAGTGGGATGATATATTAAAAGTACTGGAGGGGGAAAAAAAAAAAAACCTGCCATGCAAGACTACTACATCTGGCAAAACTGTCCCTCAAAAACAAAGGAGAAACTAAGACTTTCCCAGACAAAAAGTTCATCAATACTGAGGGAGTTCATTATCACTAGACCTTCCCAACAAGAAGTGCTGAAGAGAGTCTGACAAGTTGAAGCAAAGGACAACAAACAGCAACACAAAACCATATGAGAATTAAAACTTCCTGGTATAGGTAAATACATAGGCATATATAGAATTCTGTAGTGTAGTAATGTAGGTACGTAAATCACTTAAATCTGGCATAACATCTTTTTAAAAAAGCACAAAAATTGTTATAAAGTTAAGCAGGATGATAAGCTCTAGAGATCTGCTGCACAACATTGTACCTATAGTAAACAATAATGTATTATATACTTAAAAATTTGTTAATAGGGTAGATCACATGTTAACTGTTTTACCACAATAAAATTTAAAAAGAAAAGTAATCATAAATTAATATTATTGAATTTGCAATATAAAACAGGAAATTGTCATCAATAACATAAAAAGGGATGCAGAGATATAAAGAAGTAAGAGTTTTTATATATGATTGAAGTTATCAGGTTAAAATACATTTTTATAACTTTAAGATGTTTTATGTAACCAGTGTAATAATAATTAACAAAATAGCAATTGTAAGTCTTCTTCTGTTAATAATTACTTTAAATGTAAATGGATCAAATGTATCAGTTAAAAGAAATAGTTTGCAACTACTTGGGAGGCTGAGGCAGGAGGATCACTTGAGCCCAAGAGTTCAAGGCTACAGTGTGCCATGGTCTTGCCTATGAATAACCACTACACTCCAGCCTGGGTGACATAGTGAGACTCCCCTCTCTCAAGAAAAAGCACCCCAAAACAACCCCCAAAACAATAGTTTGGTTGAATGCATGAACAAGATCTTTATACTGTCTACAAGGGGCTCCTTTTAGATCTAAGGACATGCAGACCAAAAGTAAAAGAGTGAAAAGATATTCCATGCAAATGGAAATCTAAAGGAGAGCAGGGACAGCCATACTTATATCAGACAAAACAGACTTTGAGACAAAAACTGTAACGAGATAAAAAAGGATATTATATAATAATAAAAGGTTAAAGTCACCCAAATGATATAACAATTATACATGCACCTAACAGAACAACCAGATATATGAAGCAAACATTGATAGAACTGAAGGGGAAATTAACAACAACAACAACAACAACAACAACAACAACAAAAACAAGACCAAGGAACTTTAATACTTCACTTTCAGTTATGAATAGAACAATTAGACAAAAGATCAATAAAGGAGCAGGACTTGAACAACACTATAGACCAATTGGACGTGACAGATATATATACAGAACGCTCCACCTAACAACAGAAGAATACATACTTTTTTCTAGTGCACATGAAACACTCTCCAAGATAGATCACATAGTAAGTCTTAATACACTTAAGAAGACTGAAATCATACAAAGTATCTTCTCTGACCACAGTGAAATAAAACTAGAAATCCATAGCAGAAGGAAAAAAAATGCACATATGGATACAAAAATTGAACAACGTATTTTTAAACAATCAATGGGTCAAAGAAAAAATGACAAGGGAATGTAAAAAGAAATATTTTGGAGACAAATAAAAATGAAAACACAACATACCAAAACTTATGGGATGCAGCAAAGCAGTTCTAAGACGGAAATTTATAGTGGTAGACGCTTACATTAAAAAAAAAATCTCAAATCAATAATCTAACCTTATAACCAAAGGAACTAGAAAAACAAGAGCACACCAAACCGAGATTTAGCTGAAGAAAAGAAATAAAGATTAGGTCAGAGATAAATGTGATATCAAATAGAAAAAAAATCAATGACGCCAAGAGTTGGGTTTTATTCACCAATAAATTGAATAACCTAGAAAAAATGAATTCCTAGAAACATAAAATCTACCAAGACTGACTCATAAAGAAACAGAAAATTTGAATAGATCTGTAAAACTAGTGAGAAGATTAAAGCAGTCATCAAAAACCTTTCCACAAAGGAAAATCCAAGACCAGATGGATTCATTGGATAATTCTTCCAAACGTTTAAAGAAGAATTAGTATCACTTCTACTCAAACTCTTTTAAAAGAATAAAAAGAGGGAGTACTTCTAAACTCATTCAGTGAAGCTAGAATTAAACTGATATCCCAATCAAAGACAAGAAAACTAGAGACCAACAAAACTGATTAATGTTGATGCAAAAATACTAAACAAAATAATAGCAAACCAAATTTTAAAAAATAGCAAGCCAAATTCAGCAATGCATTAAAAGTATCATATATCATGATCAAATGAATTTATACGTGACACAAGGATAGTCCAACATACAAAAATCAATGTGTAATATGCCACATAAAATGAAGAACAAAATTGTGTTCACCTCAATTGATACAGAAAAAACTCTAGACAAAATCCAACATCCTTTCATAATAGAAATACCCTACAAACTAAGAATAGAAGGAAACTACCTCAACATAATGAAAGTCATCCTTGAAAAGTCCATAACTAACATTATACTCATTGATGAAAGACTGAAAGATTTTTCTTTAAATCAGAAACAAGGCAAGAACGCCCACTCTCACCATTGCTGTTCAACATAGTATTGAAAGTTCTAGCCAGGGCAATTAGAGAAGAAAAAGAAATAAAAGGCATCCAAATGGAAAAAGAAGTAAAATTATCTCTGTTCAGAGATGACATGGTCTTATATGTAGAAAACCTTAAGGATCTCACAAAAAAAATCATTACTAATAAACAATTCCAGCAAAATTGCAGGATACAAAGTCTCCGTGCATATATCAGTTGCTTTTCTACACACCACCACCAAGAAATCCACAAAGGAAATTAAGAAAACAATTGCGTTTATGTAGCATCAATAGGGATAAAGTACTTAGGAATAAATTAACCAAGGAGGCAAAAGACTTGTATACTGAAAGCTACAAAACATTGCTAAAAGAAATCAAAGAGTATAGAAATAAATGGAAAGACATACAGTGCTCACAGATTTAAGACTTAATAAATGCTAAAATGTCCATACTACCCAAAGCAATGTACAGATTTGATACAATTCCTATGAAAATCCCAATGGAACTTTTTGCAGAAATAGAAAAAGTTACCCTAAAATTCATATGGAATCTCAAGGGTTTGAATAGAAAAAAAAAAAATCTTAAAAAAGGAACAAAGTTGGAGCTATTACACTTCCTGATTTCAGACATACTACAATGCAACAGTATTTAGTGTTTCTGGCATAAAAATATATAAACCAGTGGAACAGAGCAGAGAGCCAAGAAATAAACTCTTGCATATATGGCCAAATATAGGGCCAAGACTACAAAATGAGAAGACGACAGTTTCTTCAACAAATGGTGTTGGAAAAACTGAATATTCACATGCAAAACAATGAAGCTGGACCTTTACCTTCCACCATATACAAAAATTAAAATGGATTAAAGTCCAAACTGTAAGACAGAAAATTATTAAATTCCCAGAATAAAATATTGAGGATAAACCTTGGGCCACTGGATTTGACAACGATTCCTTAGATATGACATCAAAAGCACAGGCAATAAAATTAAAAATATTTTAATAATAAAAAAAGATATAGGGGCCAGGCATGTGGCTCACACCTGTAATCCCAGCACTTTGGAAGGCTGAGGCAGGCAGATCGTGGGGTAAGGAGATCGAGACCATCCTGGCCAACATGGTGAAACCCTGTTTCTACTAAAAATACAAAAAAAATTAGCCAGGTGTGGTGGCGCTTGCCTGTAATCCCAGCTACTAGGGAGGCTGAAGTAGGAGAATCGCTTGAACTTGGGAGGCAGAGATTGCAGTGAGCCGAGATCGCGCCACTGCACTCCAGCTTGGGCAACAAGAGCAAAACTCCGTCTCAAAAAACAAAACAAAACAAAATAGGTTGCATAAATAGGAAAAAATGGTAAGGTACTCTACTTAAATCTAATACATTGGTAATCACATTACATGTAAATAAAATGCCCTCCAATTAAAAGAGAAAGGTCAAGGCCGGGCGCAGTGGCTCACGCCTGTAATCTCAGCACTTTGGGAGGCCGAGGAGGGCGGATCACCTGAGGTCAGGAGTTTGAGACCAGCCTGGCTAACATGGGGAAACCCCATCTCTACTAAAAATACAAAAATAAGCCAGGCGTGGTGATGCGTGCCTGTAATCCCAGCTACTAAGGAGGCTGAGGCAGGAGAATCACTTGAACCCAGGAGCTGGAGGTTGTCGTGAGCCCATATATCATGCCACTGCACTCCAGGATGGGCAACAGAGTGAGACTCCGTCTCAAAAAATAAATGAAAAATAAATAAAATAAAAGAGAAAGGTCATCAGACTAGATAAAAAACAAAACCAAGCTAAGTGCTAACTATGAGACATATTTTGAAATATTAGGCTACAGAAAGAAGTAATTAAAATAATGGAAAAAGGTATACCATGCAAAAACTAGCAAAAAGCTGGCACTTATAGAAAACTAAATTTTAAGGCAAGCAGTATTACTGGAGATAAAGAAGATATTTCATAATGCTATAAGGTTAAATTCACCTGGAAGACACAAAAATTCTAATGTTTCATGCGGTTAGTAACATAGCCTTGAAATAAATAAAGTAGATTTTATAGCCATGAAAAAAGGACAAATTTCACAACAATTTTTGTGGAAAATTTTAATACATCTAAGTAATTGATAGAAGAAAGACACAGAATATTCAATTTTCTTGTATTTTTAGTTCACTAAGAGGTTTTTGGTGTTTTTTTTAAAATCATGAGTGGGTGCTGAGTTTTATCAAATGCTTTTACAACATCTACTGAGATATATTAAATTTATTAATGTGACATATTGATTTTTGAATGTTATATCATCCTTGCACTCTTTGAATAATCCTCATTATCTTGGATTTGCTTTGCTATTATTTCAGATTATGTCATCTATGTATATGAAAGAGATTAATCTTTTTTTTAGAATATCCTTATCAAGTATGGGTATCAAGGCTATGCTATTAGAAACAAAGATGCAATATTCATAATAAACTTAGCGGCTCAAGATGATTTATCCTTCTCAAGAGTGGATTTACCCTTAGTTCTAGGTGAGCCAAGGCTGAATTTTGGTTTTGGTGGGGCTCCTTCTACCTCTAGTTCACCCTGTTTCCATACAGCCCTCTAAGGATGTCAACTAAAAACTCAATTTTTTCTCTGAGATCCCTCTACTGGTGGGTCTTAAACTCTAATCTTTGTCTTCTCAGCATCATTAACGGCAGAACATTTTATTACTTTGAAAAATATTATTCCATCCAGGCTTTAGCTTCAAAATTCAGAAACTGTCTTGAGGAAAAACCAGCCATGTGTATGAGGTTCCTCAAGTCTTCAATTTTTGTCTCTGTTCCTGAGAAATGCTAAAAGCTTTGCTGGTTTCTCTGTTATTTAGGCAAAACTAGGATTCTCAGCTTCTTGTCCATGCTTAGAATTAGAAAATTTCCCAGGGAAAAATTAACTGTAGATCGTTATTAGTTCTTCATGATTTTCTCAAGAATCATATCTCCTTTAATCCTTGTTGGTTATGGATCAATCTAATGCCTTTAAACAGATTATTTTTTGAAAAATCAACTTCTCTAGTTTTCCTCAGCATTGGTCTGCTGCAAGCAACTTCATTCTTTTAGTAGCAGAAATTCTTATGCTGCCTATTCTTGTTCTCTTTACTTTTTTAAAAAATTATTTTATTTCATGTTCCCTACTATTAAGAGAATATATATATATTCTATATGTATGTTTGTATAAGAAGTTTATAGTTTTTTGTATATATATAGTATATACTGTATATATTATTTATAAATACAAATTTTTTAAGGTTTAGATATAAACTTCTCTATTAATTGGTGGCTCTGGAGAGTAGAGTATGTGTATCTAACTTTTAAAGTCTAATATAAATGGTATATTTCTTTTCTTGGGCAATTCAAGGACTTTAAAAAACTTTAACATTAATTATATGTCTCTGACTTAGATATTACCGTTGTCAAGTACTTTAATTCTATATATCATACCCTGCTACCCATTATTTTTGTTGTATACAGTCAATATTCATTTAGACTTGAACACATATTTACCCTTTGTGGAGGCTGTTATTTCTTCATAGATGCCTGAGCCTCCATCAGGACATTTTTCTTTCGCCTTTAATATAGATTTATTGATGGTAAATGCACTGCTTTTATCTGAAAATGTCTTTATTTTAAATTAATTTTTAAATAATGATTTCACTGGATATAGATTTGTAGATCATTTATTTTAATTACTTTGAAAAATATTATTCCATTGTTTTGTGGCTTGTATGAGTCCATTCTCATGCTGCTATAAAGAACTGCCAGCAGTCATTCTCATTAAGATGAGAGACCACTGGACCTAACGTAGATTATAGATCAGAAGATCCTAAACTTTGAACCTAATGCTGTGATTAGGTGTGACTTTTGAGAAGTGATGGATGGGAGTGGGCATATATTGCATTTAGGAGGAACATGGATAGTCATTGCCTGTGGGGCAGACTGTGTTATGTTGCATTTTTATCTCCAATCCTTCATCCATACTGTATTCCTGTCCTTTGCCATTTGACTTTATTGTTTCTACTACTAAAGAGGTGGAATATATTTTCTCCACTCTGTGATTTTGAGTTTGGTCATGTGGCTTTCTTTGGCCAATAAAGGAAAAATGACGGTGTGCCAGTTCCAAGCCTAGAACTGATGAGGTCTTGTATGTATCACCTGCTCTTTTGTACGTCTGACATGGACATTAAAAGATCACACACATACACACAAAGCTCACTTGGCTAGCTGCTGGTCTCACAAAGAAGATGAGAAACAAGTGAAGCAGAGATGTCTCGGCCAAGGTCTAAGCCAAACCCAGCCAGAGCAGTCCAGCTAAGAATAAACACACCATTATATGCCACTAAGATTTTTTGTAGCCTTTTTATTATGCAGAAATAGGTAAACTTCTTGACTAATCTCTATCCCAGCTGTTGTGGTTTAGAGCTTCATCATACCTTACTGAGATTTTTCCAAGAGCCTGCTAACTAGATATTCTATTTTCCCCTTTAGCTTCTTGTCTGTTGTGTACACCTTACTAGAGTTGTCTTCTTCAAATGCAAACGTAATTGTCCACAAGAAACATCCATGGTCCTTGGTATATGGCCTCCTGATCCTTCCTTGAAAATGTATCTCTTACTATTCCACATACCCTGCACTCTCATATTCCAGTCTCAGGTTCCACAGAAGGTCATCCTTGTTCGTGTCTCTGAGCCATCACCTTCCCTATTTTCTCTGTCTGGAAAACTCTACAAATCCTTCAGGACACTTCCTACATGTCACCTCTTTTGTGATATTTTTCCTTGACCTAAAGGCAATGTTGAACACATGTAAAGATTGTTGTAAATTATTGATTTCTGTGCGGTGTATATGGTATTCTTGATAAACCTGAAATTTGATTAATCATAATCCTTCCTTGTTTACGCATCAAATAATAGCATTTATAGTAGTAGAATAAATTATGAACATAGAAAAATGACAACAATATTTGAAGATAGTTGACATGCCCTTGATGTGTAGATATTGCGATGTGTAGATACATTGAAGTGAAATCTGACAACCAGCACACTTAAAATTAAAATGTCAAAAATCAATTATGCTTCACTTTGCATTCAGACAAATTGAACTTTTCAAAATTTACTTGAAGCACATCTTATGTCAAAAGACACCTACTCTATTTTTTGAATACTAGTAAAAAGAGAAAACATTTTATTTCTCATTTGAAAAATGATCATCATACTAAATCTTTATCTGCCAAAATGAGACTGAAGAATATCAGAATGTCTAAATATTGCTGTAGTGATTGAACTCTCTTTTACAAAGTTGACAAAGAACAAAGTTGTCTAAATTTAATAGTAGAAAATTGCTGGAACATCTGCCACACAAAGGACCCTGTGAAGAAGAAGCCTGGGAATATAGGTGCGAGCAGATCAGAACGAGTTTTGTATGACATGGGTAAGTTTAGACTTTATCTACTAAGCAGAGGCACATTTGCTTGTACATTACACCATGAGGAGAGCAGCTATCTCTGTCCTCACTCTTCTTGTTAGAAGATAAGCAGATTCTTAAATAGGGCCACCATCTTCAACTTTGTTAGGTAAATGTAGCTGACACTCATTTTGTATTTCAGGCTTGGCTTTTTAAGTTTGAAAGGAGAATAGCATATCCTCTGAGTACGGGTATAAAATGATTTTGGTAGGTGAGTAGTATATCTGAGATTTGTAAGGTTGGCTTTGTTGGAATTTCTTTCAAGATTAATGGTAGGTAATATTCAAAAGCATTTTCCCCTAGTTTGGGCAATGCCTGCAGGAGATTCTATTTCAACCTATGCATCAGTAGACATGTTTCAACGGACAGGGCCCTCTTTTGTTCCCTCACCTTCATCTTTCATCATTCGTTCATTCATTTAGTGGACAGTAGTCACCGCCTATGTGCTAAACACTGAGGATCGTACGGAAAAGCATGCCCATTGAGTACAGAAGACAGATATATCAATAAAATAAAAACGTGCTAGGAGCAGGGAATGAATATACACACAGGGTGTCATGGAGGCAGCAGAGAGGGATATTACATGCAACCCGAAAAGGCAGAGTGATATCTGAGAAGGCTTTATAGAGGCAGTAGGAGGTAGAATAGAAGGTAAAAGATGTGAGCCGAGGATTAGAGATGAGTAGAAATAGTCCTGGTGAAGAGGGAGAGGAAGGAGGTTGCTATTTCAGAGAGGAGGCTGGAGATGTCACGCACAGGATCTGCAAGAGCCAGGAGGGCAAGATATAGGTTGCAGAGATGAACCAGGTCAGCTCACCAGCAGCCTTTGGTGCAGGCCAAGGCACTAGGATTCCTTTCTGAGGACAAACAGGAACCAATCTAAGGTTTTAAGCAGGTTGTAACATGATCAAATTTAGAAAGATAATTCTGACCACAGTGAGGAGAATGGATTTGAAAGGAATTAAACCAAGGGCAGGGAGGAGATTGTTCAATAGACCAGGTAAGAAATGGGCCTGAACCAGCAAAACAATGGAGCAAATGTTTAGAAGATAAAATAAGCAGACCCTGATTAAATATAGTGGATAAATATAGTGAATAAACTGAAATGCATCTAGAAGCTACCTGTTAAACATCAGGTGGTCTATTGGTTTGAGAAGTCACTTTTATGCTTAATAATTTTCCCACTAGCTCTAGTTTTCAGAGTTTTAAGCATTAAAGATATGTACAGGAATAACAGCTTCAAAAATCTATTGAGCTCTCCTCTCCTTTATGAAGCTATAGATGTGAGTTGTTATGACTTATTTTTGACTACTGACTCATCTTTTAGTGTGGGGGTTAAACTATAACACGGTTGGAGAGGATTAGCCTTCTTTTCTACTGTTGCATCTTTTTCTCTGGTACTTTATTTCAGAGTTCCAATGCCATTTTTCATAAGCAATCTAGGTTTCAAATTACCCTTGCCAGGTTTTTGTACAGGGAATATTAGCTTCTTAACAAAATTATCTTAAACAATAAATGTTTATCAAGTCTAGAGTATTAGTTGAGAAGAATGTTATAATGTTATGAAAGATGAAAAGAATGTCATAAAGTTATAAGGAATGCTACAAACTTATAATGTTATAAAATAAATGTATGTAAACATATGTGTTTATTATCTACTTGTGAATTCATTTTGTAATCAAGATGAGCAATATAACCTGAAACATAATATTTTCATTTAAAATTATCATAGAGGTTCTGAATCCCCTCTTGCTCTTATTATATGTAAATTGATCATATCAGTCATAGCAATGATTTATTTGATACTGGGTCATCAACTCCCTATTATAAATTATTCATATGGGAAGATACTGACTCAGATTGCAAAGGCAAGGACCACACTGCGATAAAAACAGGCTGTTGACTACTTTATGTGCCATCGTGTGTTGTGCAGTAAATGTGCTCTCCTATTTGTTTCGTTATGGCTGTGTTTTGATCCCTAAAGCTGCTACATTTCTGATTTGTTTTTTTCTTTATCTGAGAGCAACTGGTTCATTAAAATCCAACAACAACAAAAAGAAAAAACCTGCTAAGAATGTGTCTGAACAACAATAACCAAAAGTTACACATCCTACTGTAAAGTAAAGCACATCAAGGTGAAGTATTATATTGTTGCTTTACATTATCTGGGAGTTGGCTAGAAACACATTTAAATTTTGTTCTAACTAGTGTATTCTGTCAGTTAAATATCTAAAGGGTTAGTTATTTAAGCCATTTTGACAAAATGTAAAAAACACATGACAACACAACAGTAAAAACATCTGATCTAACTTAAAGTCTGTATTCATGTTTTATTTTTGTATAATAAATCACACAAAACTTAGAATCTTCAAACAACTCACATAGATTATCACAGTTTCTCTAGATCAAGAGTCTGGAATGGCTCAACGATCTACTCAGGGTCTCACAGGGCCACAATTAAGGTGTTGGCCAGGGCTGCATTCTCATCTGGCTGCTCGACTGGGGAGAAATTAATTTCTGAGGTCATTCAGGTTGTTGGCAGAATTCATTTCCTTATGGCTGCATGACTGCGGGTCCTGGATTTTTGCTGGCTGTCAGCTGGAGGCCAGCTGAAGTTTTTGACATTTGAGCTTCTCCAACATGGCTGGCTACATTATCAACCTAGTAAGGAGAGTTTCTTGCTTTTGGGAGGGTCCAGTTTCTCTTTTGAAGACTCATACCTGAATAAATCAATCACTACATCCAGGATAATCTCCCTTTCAATAAGTCAAAAGCAACTGATTTATGACAGCGATTACATCAGGAAAATTCCTTCACCTTTGTCATATTGTTTTGGCTAAGAGTAAGTCACAGGTTCCACCCCAAATCAAGGGAGGGCATGAACACAGGGAGCAGGATTCAGAGGGGCTGTCCTAGGATCTATCCAGCCAGAGTTACTTTACAAGACACTCCTCTTGTTTTATCTTACAATACGGTAACATTTGATTACGAAGTTACATGTTTCCTTTTAGTATGAAGGAAGAGAATAGTCAGTTGGGGCTGAACCTATCAATTGTGTCCAGGGATAATGCCATGGACATTTTGTTTGGACCCCCTGCCTCTGCCCAGGCTCTTTGTGCCAGACACGTTGGACCATTTGCTCTTCCCCAAACACATCAGGTTTGGGGACATGTTTCATCACGACTTACCATTGCATGAATGCTTATGCATGAACATCTTCCCTTTCCCATTCTTACTCATTTTTTCAAGACCTAGCGAAAATGACACACTCTATATTGGAACTTTGCTGACTTTCTCAGGCAGAGATAGCTATTACCTTCTTTGTTCTCATAATCATTTGCAGAAGTCATTTTCATACCAGCTTTTCTCTGAGGCTGAAGCTGTTTTTTTGTAGGCCTGATTCCCTGCTTCCTTTGTATCAGGAATCGAGGTTTACTCTGTTCCGTATCTCCAGTCCTGTATCGCCAGCACAGGACTTAGTACAGAGTAGATACTCCATAAATTAAATTTAAATGAATGAATAAAGAATGAGAATGGGCTAGAGTGATAACAAAATAATTACAGGAAAAATGAGAGTTAGAGGAAACAGGTAAACAACAGCGTGAATAGAATACAATGACAGAATTTTACAGGGTTTTATCAGAATTTGAGGATGAGAATGCGAAAGAGAATAGTTGTGAATAAGACGAGAAAGGTTAGATCATGAAGCCTCTTGAATTTGTCAGGCTAGAAAATGTGAACTTCATGAAGATTTGAATCCAGAGGGGAACAGATATAAACCAAAGAATCCCATAGATATATAATTTCAAATTTTGAAAAGCTCTGTAAAGAAAATGTCCCATATGCTGTGATAATAATTAGCAAAGGGTCCTGATCTAGCAGGGGTCACCTGAGTAAGTGACATTTGAGGTGAGACTTGAAGGTTGAGTAGGAGTTACCAAGTGGAAGTGTAAAGAGTTGTATATGATCTGGCTAGAGAGGAAGGTCAGAATCAGGTCTTGTGGAGCCTTTCACACTGTTATTGACATTTTGGTCTTTATCCTAGAGTAATGGAAGGACATTGAAGAAGTTTAAGCCAGGTAGACTTGGGGAAAGGATAAGAGAAAGAGGGAGATAGAGAGAGAGCCACACAGAGAGACAGAGAGAGGAGACAGAAATAATTTATCTTTTAAAAAAAAAGTGTCTGGAGAATAGATTAAAAGAGCACCAGAATAGACCCAGGGAGATGACTCTACTTAGGAGATTATGTTAATGGTGCAAGGGGGTAGACTACAGTAACTTGATCTATGGATGGCAGAGGAGCTTGAGATAACTGGACAGATTCAAGATAATTTATGGAGATGAGGTTGACTGGAATTGGCTATGGAGTGTAGAGGAGAGTGGAATGTTTCTAGCTTCCACAACTAGATGAATGGTGTTGCTCAGAAAGAACAATGAAGTATGGGCATGTTTGGAAAGTTTGGAGATGAGGGGAAGGTTTAAGTGGGGAAGGTTGAATGGCTTGCTATATACATGTGGGTCTTAAGCTCAGAGGAGAAGTCTGTGTGAGTGAAAATGACATTTCCCACACATCAATGGTAAAATGATTTGTGATAAGGGTGCCAAGACCATCAAGTGGGGGAAACAGCAGTCTCTTTAACACATGGTGTTGGGACAGGTGGATATTAACATGCAAATAGATGTAGCTGGACCCTTACCTCACATCATATACAAAAATGAACTCAAAATGAGAATTCAAAAGACCTAAATTTAGAACCTGTAACTTTAAAACTTGTGGAAGAAAACAGAGGGGCAAATCTTCATGACCTTGGATTTGGCAATGGTTTCTTATATATGACACAAAATACACAAGTAACAACAACAACAACAAAAATGATAATTTGAACTTTGTCAAAGTTAAAATCATGTATATCAAAAGACACTATCAAGAGAGTGAAAAGGTAGTCCATAGAAAGGGAGAAAATATTTGCAAATAATACATCTAATAAGGGTCTAGTATCTAGAATTTATAAAGAACTCTTACAGCTCAGCAACAAAAAGTCAACCTAATTTAAAAATGGGCAAAAGATTGAAAAAGACATTTTTTCCAAAGAAGATATACAAATGGCTAACAAACATATGAAAAGATGCTCAACATTATTAGTCATTAAGGCAGGGCAGATCAAAACCACAAGACACCAGTTCACATCACTGAAATGGCCACAATTTAAAAAGCAGAAAATAACAAGTGTTGGCAAGGATGTGAAGAATTGGAACCCTCATATATTGCCTGTAGGAATGTACAATGGTGCAGCCACTGTAGAGAACAATTTGGCAGTTCCTCAGTATGTTAAACACAGAAATGCTATTGTAACTGAGAAATTCTACTGCTAGGCATATACCCTGAATAATTCAAAACAGGTATTCAAGCAAAAACTTGTACACTAATATTCATAGCAGCATTATTCACAATAGTTTAAAGGTAAAAGCAACCCAAATGTCCATCAACAGATGAATGAATGAACAAAATGATATATCTATACGATGGAATATTGTCCAGTCATACAAAGGATGAAGTGATGATACCTGCTGCAACATGATGAACCTTGAAAACATTCTACTAAGTGAAGAAGTAAGACACAAAAGGCTATATATTGTATTATTCCATTTACATTGCATTTAGAATACCCAGAATAGGCAATTCTACAGAGACAGAAAGCAGATTAGTGGTTAGCAAGGTGGGGGAATAGGGAGTGACTGCTGAAATGAATACAGGATTTCTATTTAGGATGATGACAAAATTTTGGAACTAGATATTGGTGATGGTCCCGCAACACTGTGAATGTACTCAATGCTGGTGAATAGTTCACTTTCAAATGGTAAATTTTGTGTGTATTTTACTGTAATTTAAAAAATACATAATGAGATTCAGTGGCATCTAGATGTTGATGAAGGCCTTGTAATGAGGTCACCTAGGGCGACAGAATAGAATAAGAAGAGGAGCTATGACCAGGGTTTAAGGGATTCTAACAACTTAAGGACAGGTAGAGGAGAGTGCTTCAGTACTGGACATTGGAAAGGGGCAGCTGGAGAGGTAAGACAGAAAACAGGAAAATGTGGAGGTCATGGACAGCTACTGGACGTTTTGAAACAAAGTGGTGGGATCAAGACTTTTTCTTAGAAAAATCAATGTAGCAATTATGTGCAAGGAAGATTGGAGGAAAAACTTTTCCTTAGGAAAATCAATTTAGCAATCATGTGCAAGGAATATTGGAGGAAAAAATTATATGCAAGAAAGATTGGAAGATTGGAAAACTGGAGTATGGTGTGGCCCTTAAGGACTATTCCATGGAAATAGAGAGGTTGGATTGGAACAATGTCATGGAGGTAGAAAAATTGGCAGGGTGCTGAGGATGGTTAGAGAGAGAGGAGGTCTTAAAGCTGGATGGGCTCTTATAGCTTGGTGGTTTGGTCACTGGAAATTTCATGAACAGGAAGATAAGGATTCAATGTTTCTCAGACCAGTGTGTGGGCCATTTTGAGCTGGACAAATTATCAGGTTTGTAGCATTTCTTAGCTGTAGTAAGATACTAAATGCAAGAAATTTTTTCTTATATATAAATATATATGGATAGATAAGATAGATATCTATCATATGTGTGTGTGTGTCTGTATGTCTGTGTGTGTGTGTGTGTGTGTGCGTGTGTGCATTTCTCTTTCAAATTTCAAGAGTCTTTTCCAAATTTGGGGATTATGCCATACTTTATTAGTCAATGTTTTAAGTAAGTTACATAGACTTCTATCTGTACCTTTTTAGATTTTAATGCAAAAAATTATGTGATTATAGGGTTAGAAGGCAACTTACGGATCGTTGATCTAAACTTTTTTTTTTCTGCAACGATGGCAGACCCAGAAGGATCTTTTGTGCTAGTGGAGTCACCAACCCTGAGAGTCTTTTTCCTTCTTTAGTTTTTTTCCTCCCTGTGTCGGTTGTCCCATTGACAATTTATCCATGTTGTCAGACGGCAAAGGTATCAGAATGTAGCATTTATTTCATTTATTAATAAAGGACATACGAAATACACACTATGTACTAGCTACTGTTTTAGGTGCTGAATAACACATGAGTTATGACCCTAATGTTTAATTAATTTCCAGTACTCTTTTTGATATTACTTAGTGTGATAGTTTTCTTGGCTGCAGATACAAATAAAAAGTAAATAACATTTTTTATACTTATAGTATGAGAACTCAGGAGGACTTAGAATAAATCCCACATGGACATGGAATATGGATTTCAAGGTTTAGTTAATGTCATAAGCACATGCACTCAGCATCATCATTTTTTTTTTTTTTTTGAGACGGAGTCTTGCTCTGTCGCCCAGGATGGAGTGCAATGGCGCAATCTCAGCTCACTTCAACCTTCGCCTCCCCGGGTTCAAGCAATTCCCCTGTCTCAGCCTCCTGAGTATCTGGGACTACAGGCGCCCGCCATCATGCCCAGCTAATTTTTTTGTATTTTTAGTAGAGACGGGTTTTCACCATGTTGGCCAGGCTGGTCTCAAACTCCTGACCTCAGGTGATCCACCCGCCTTGGCCTCCCAAAGTGCTGGGATTACAAGTGTGAACCACCATGCTGGGCCCATAATTCTTTTCCATTTTAGATTTAGTGTTAGCAGAGCGTGGTATAACTTGGTGTGGAGTCAGGCAATGGGCTCTCTTCTTTTTCCAGATTATCTGTTCTCAAAGCTCTTCCTTGATACTATTCTTTGAGACATTTGATTCCTTTTGCTTTTGTCCTGAACTTAAGAATTTTCACTTTGTTCTGGTATTTATCAAGCTGATGTTTGGCTTGATGTATGTCAGTTGGTATGCAAGCACAATTTGACTTTCAATATGATTTTGGTATAAAGGGTGCCTTCATCTTTGTGGTTCACAATGATGTCATTAGCTAACTCAGGTTTCATCCTATTTAGAAATTAGAAGCTTATTTATTAGATCAATTCATTCAATTTATAATGTGGCTAGAAGTTCACAGTCTTATCTGAAGTCTGTGCAGCTTCAGATTTATAATTTTTGGGAATTTATTAAAGATAAGAGTTTATATATCTTGTACAGCATGACAATTTTTAAACATTTTTTTTTTTTGAAACAGGATCTCTCTGTGTGGCCCAGGCTGGAGTCCCGAGGTCTGAACACAGCTCACAGCAGCCTCGACCTTTTGGGTTGAAGTAATGCTCCCACCTCAGCCTCCCAAGTAGCTGGGTTCAAAGACATGTGCTGCTATGCCCGGCTAATTTCTTTTTTTTTTTTTTTTTTTTTTTTTTTTGAGACGGAGTCTCGCTCTGTCGCCCAGGCTGGAGTGCAGTGGCGGGATCTCGGCTCACTGCAAGCTCCGCCTCCCAGGTTCACGCCATTCTCCTGCCTCAGCCTCCCAAGTAGCTGGGACTACAGGCGCCCGCCACTACGCCCGGCTAATTTTTTGTATTTTTAGTAGAGACGGGGTTTCACCGTTTTAGCGGGGTTGGTCTCGATCTCCTGACCTCGTGATCCGCCCGCCTCGGCCTCCCAAAGTGCTGGGATTACAGGCGTGAGCCACCGCGCCCGGCCTAATTTCTTAATTTTTTGCAGAAACAGGTTCTCACCATTTTGCTAAGGCTGGTCTCGAACTCCTGGGCTCAGGCAATCCTCCTGCCTCAGCCTCCCAAAGTGCACAGCCTCCAGATGTGAACCACCATTCTCAGCCAGCACCATGACACTTTTGATAGGATCCGTGCAGCAGCCTGTAATCAGAAACATTAACTGTTCAGCAACAAAACATAGGAATAGTGACATTAAGTGGGATAAAGATTCCTCATATTTATACTTGTCATGTCTATTTTGTCATCAAATGAGTTGCAAGAAAATTTTTGGTTTTCAGAAGAGTATGGATTTTGGAATCTCAGATAAGGACGGGTTTACTGGCTTGTGAACAAGGTGAACAAGACGTAGTGTCTGCTCTAAAAGTTCACCTATTGATTCATATTGTGTCAATTTGGCCTTTTTTAATTTGTTGTAAACTAGCTCAAATGTGTTGTAAACTAGCTCAGATTTAAATTTTTAAAAAGTGGATGTGACTAACTGTCTCAATAATTTAAAAGTCTAGTAGACAGATTTTGGACACGGTTGTATTTAGGGCTCTAATGATGCCTTTGGCTGGGGTTTTCTTAGTCTTTCACATACCTTTTGTTCCCAGAGTTTCAGTCTGTTTGTCGAATGGCCTCTGTATGCTTTAGATCACCCCTTGTGATGGCAAAGATGGCTAAAGCGGCTCATTTTGCATTTCAATTTTTTTTCTTTTTTTTTTAGGCTAGTCAAGTGAAGCAGTGGGAGAGGAGAAGAAACAAGGCAATCTGTAACTGGTTGTGATTAATTAGTTGTAAACACCTCTGCACTGGGACCTGCCTCAATTTAATTCTTGTTTGAACATTCCCAGCAAAAATCTTGTGGCATTTTATTGGCTGTGTTTGGGTCACATGCCCACCTTTGAACCAGTCACTGAGGTCAGGGGTATGTGATGTCCTGATTGGGTTAGGCTTGGGCCACCTGATTCATCCTGGGACCAGGCAGGCCAAGCAGGTGAACTGAGCAGGTGGAGCTTTCTCAGACAAACCAGAAGCTGCCGCGAGAGGAAATGGGAAACACTGGGTGGCAAAAAACGGAAATTTTTTGATCCAGATTGACCCTGGATTTTCTTTGTAATTAAAATTCTTCTGGTGGAATACAATGGGGTTACGTGCAATATATTTTAAGCTATTTCTAGCTTTCCAGCTTATTGTAGCAAACTATTTTTACTCTTTTATATAACAAAATATGTAAGAGCCTGCGAGTCTAAAACCAAATTGAACCTAAACTGTACTCATCATCAAACCGTCATTCGTTAGGAACCCATCGTATCTTCAGCTACCACGTGGCACGCCTTAAGGTTTTGGGCAATAGCTTCAAAGATGCAATACTTAAAGCCCATGCCAGATTGTCTTTTTAGTGCAGAACTGATAACGCAAAGCCCTCTCTCTGGATGTGTTAGTATTATTTTACTTTTTTCATAGAGAAGCAATTGTGCACGATGGTGAAACACACAGACTCTGGAGCTGGGCTGCCTTGGTGTGACTCTTGTTTCCACTGCTTATTTCGATGAGTTACTTACCCTCTCTATGCCTCAGCTTCCTCATGGGTAAAAATAATATAACAATAGCACATACCTCCTCAGTTTATTATGAAGAGAACATGAATTAATACACGTCAATTACCTAGGAGCCTGACACAGTAAATGTGCTGTAATTGTCAGCTATAATTATTATTCTTTACGATAACACTAACCCTAAAATTCCCCTTAGTAAAGTGAGAATTTCTACAGCATGAACATTAACATTTCTGTGTGTGGCTGCCCTGTGTATATTACTACGGATAATACCATTTGTTTTATTGCCAAGTTAAAGTTTTAAAAAATAAACTAACCATATTTTTTTGAAAAGGCCTTTATTTAGGCACAAGAGATTCCTGTCAGCCTTACAAACTTAGAAAGTGGAAATCCTTCTCAAACTGATGGAAAATTAGTCCAATTTCAAATCGCAAACCAGACTCCTGTTTTTGTTGCTATTCTTTTCCTAAAAGACAAAACCTAATGTTTTCTTAGTGTATATAAAACAAATTTTTAAATCCACATATAGTACAGTGTTTCCCACCCACCCCTGTCCGTGGTATGAATATCACAAATTCTCTAAATTTCCTGAACATGAGATAAATGTCAGACCATTCTATAAATTGACTTTATGAAGCATTTCTGAGCCGAGCCTTCTGACATTCACACCAATGTTTCCATAGTAACTAATGTGTTCAGAAGGGGAAGAGCAGGAGGAGACGAAAAACAAAGGAGACAATCCAAATAACAGAAATGCATAAGTAAGGGAGAGTAGAAGGTTCGAGAAACTTTGAACCATTGCTTCTTGTGGGAGAAAAGCATTCTTGTTCACGTGGGAGGCTTCCCCTGCAGACTGACTGACTCAGGGGGTGCTTACTGAAACAGCTCCCAAAGCGTGGCCAGCTGGAATACACTTGGACAATGACTCATGAATGCCAATTTGGACTGTCCTTTCCTCCTTTTATTGTAATCTTATTTTTTTCCCTCTGTTTTGAGGTGCCTTCGTTACTATGGTAACAGTGAACTAATTTGTGCCTGTTGCTGAACTGTCAAAAAAAAAAAAAAAGCAGTATCAAGTCAATTTAGAGAATAGTTAGAAAGCAGGGTAGGGAAACATAGGTGCTAGCAATGATCACACTTGTTTGCAAACATTGGAGTGAAGAAAGCTAGAGTGCTGTTAAAATATGGTTCTGTTTTCAAATCTTATTAAATGGTGCCCTACCAGGTGCGTTGAGAATGAGGTTTCAGTGATCAGTTATTCCTTTGTGACGTCTGCAGCACAGCATCTTTTTCTCTTGAAAACTTCAACAAACCTACTTCTTTGAAAATGTGTTGAATCCCCCACTTGCTTGTTTGTAGGGGGTAGATCAGGTAAATGGCTACAGGTGAGTTGTTTCTTTTTTTTTTTTTTGGAATCAATTGGCGGTGAGTGTGGGAAGGCATCTGACTCAAAGAAGGAAATTGGCACTTGTGCTAAGCAAAACAATGAGTCCCCGCAATGTCCATATCCCAGTCCCTGAAACCTGTGACTGTTACCTTACAGCAAAAGGGACTTGGCCAACGTGATTAAGTTAAGGATCTGGAGATAGAATATCCTAGATTATCTTTGTGAGCCCAATGTAATCACAAGGGTCCTTGCAAGAAGGAGGCAGGAATGTCAAAGTCAGAGAAGGGGATGTGATGAAGGAAGCAGAGGTCCCAGCGATGTGGGGCCGAGAGCCAAGTAGTGCAAACAGCCTTTAAATGCTGAAAGAGGCAAGGAAACAGATCCTTCCATGGAGCTTACAGAAAGAATGCAGCCCGGCTGATGCCTTGATGTTAGCCCAGTGAAACTGGCTTCTGACTTTGCTCTTCAGAACTGTAAGATAACAAATCTATGTTGTTTCAAGACACTGAATTTGGGGCAATTTATTACAGTGGTAGTAGGAAAAGAATATAGTATCCTTAGCCAGCTCTGGTCCCACCAGGTTTTCAAAGGCCGCCTGATTTGATGCCTTCTTACACAGCAGAGGTAAACGGAGCCATCCCCCGACTGCTGGCTGAGCACTTCTGGCCGGCTGTGTGTCTCTGAGAGTCTCCTGGGTAGGTCTTTCTTTGTGTGATACTTCAAGGACTTTAGGTCTGATCACCATACAGGTTCTGGCCATGGCAAGGCAAGCTGCTGAGGCAGAGGAGGCCTCCACAGTCCTGGCTTGAACACCTGGTGAGGCCTAGCACATCCAGGTCCTGGGTGAAAAGTCCTTCCTGAGAAAGAAAACTCTTGGCACTCACAATCCATCTCTCTGTGAAAGTTAAGCTGTTCACCGGGTAAACTGCCGTGTCTTTCCAACTAGATCATACATGTCTTAAGGTCCTAATTCATGCTTTCCAGCACTGTGTTGAGCACCCAGTAGATGCAATGAGAAACAGCAGCTCCTCCTTCTCTAAGCTGCTTCCTTAGTGGATTTTAATTTTTCCCAATGATTTCACTCTTACCATACAGGTGCTGTGTTAAGCATGGTGTATTGCATCACCCAAAGCTGACAACAACCTTGGGGGAAATCTTTTTCTCATTTTGCAGATGCAGAAATGAAGATTCAGAAATTACGCCTCAAAGGTTACATGGTGAATAAGTGGCAGAGCTGGGCTCTGAGCCCAGGCATGGCTTCCTGAGCCCTCCACTTTTCGTTGTTGCTGTGCTTTGGAGTCAGAGGCACCGTGGGGTGGAGATCAGTGGCCTTTTTTCCCTCTGGTCCCCAGTAAATGCCTTTTTCCTCTGAGCTCCAGCGTTGGCTCTTACTCCCAGTCAAGCACAGGCCTGGAGGAGGGGAACGAGAGGCTAGAGGGTGCCAAGGGGGCTCGAGACCAGGTAGAAAGCAGGGGTACTTTAGGTCCTGTGGGCAGCCTGGCTTTCAGACATTTGTTATTTTAGGTAGAAATCTGACATCTGTAAATTAGCACATCCCTAGAACTTTCTATTTTCTTGGTTTATTTTTCTCTATTTTCTTCTGTGGTAGGGAGAATTCCAAGAGGACTTGCAAGATTCCCAGCCCCTGGCGTGCCTGTCCTGTTGCTATGGACTGAATATTTGTGACCCCCAAATTCATATATTGAAGCCCCAATATGCAATATGATGGTGTTAGAAGGCAGAGTCATTGGGAGGCAATTAGTTCACGAGGGTGAAGCCCTCATGATGGGACTAGGGCCCTTATAAGAAGAGAACGGAGAGAGAGAATCTCTCCCTCTGTCATGTGAGGATACAGTGACAAGAGGTCCCTCTGCAAAGCGGGAAGAAGGCCCTCAATAAAAACCCAACTGGATGGCCCTTAGGGAACCTCGATCCTGGACCTCCCATCCTCCAGAACTGTGAGAAAGAAATGTTTCTTTTGCCCCCGATGAATGACACTTGTTATAGCAGTCTGAAATGACTAAGCCACCTATGTAATCCCCTCCCATATGAATATGATGGGATACCACTCCCATGCTTAGGTTCCTCATCAGTGGATTTTGGATTGAACTAATCAAAAAGGAGATGATCAAATAAGGTGAGTTTTAAAAGAGAGATTGGGAGAGCATGAGGGAAAAGAGCTCATGCATGCTGGGCTTTATATCTAGGTGACGGGTTGATAGGTGCAGCAAACCACCATGGCACAAGTTTAACCATGTAAAAAACCTGCACATCCTGCACATGTACCCTGGAACATAAAAAATAAAATAAAATAAAACATTAAAAGCAAAAAAAAAAAAAAAAGAGAGAGAGAGATTGGGAGTGTGAGAGGGTCTATAGAAGGGACCATATGGCAAGGACCAGAGTGGCCTCTTGGAGCGGAGAGTAATCCTTGGCCAACAGCTAGCAAGACAGTGAGACCTCAGCCATACAACCTCAAGGAGATAACTTCTGCTAATAACCTGAGGGACCATAGAAGTGCCCATTTACCTAGTGTAGCCTCCTGATGACTATGCAGCTAGCCAACACCTTTAGTGCAGCTTCGTGACACCTTGCAAGAAGAACCTGGTGCCCAGATACCTGATCCACAAACACTGTGTGATAGTTAATATGTGGTATTTTAAACTGAATTTGTGGTAATTTGCTACATAGCAATGGAAGACGAATACGTCTTTATAAAATTTATTTTAAAGAAGAAATCAGTCTCAGCTGGGCTAGATAGAAAAAGGAGACAGACTCTGTCTTTCTTCAGACGCGGTTTGAGAAGTTAATACCTTAAAACACTTAATAGTGAGTTGAAAGGAACATTCCCATTTGTCCAGGGTCTGTTTTTACAAAGATACGACTCCCTTCAGTAGTTTAAGTTGTCATCTCTGATCAGTTCCTTTGAGGGAGAATTCCAAGGGAAAGCTTTTTGGTTTCCTGAAACCATTGGAAACCCGTAAACATACCTAAAAAGTGGGAAGGGGGAAGCTAACACCGAGAATGTCATTGAAAGCTTTTAATGAGGAAGATCTGTGCTGGAGATTGGCCCCTGAGCAGGTCCGCATCTCTCTTAGCTGAAAGACGTTTCATTTTTCTTGGGAAAGTGGCCAGTCTTTCAAAGATGCAAGGCCCCTTCCAGAAGGAAAGTTACCTTGAAGGTTCCACTCCAGCCCCAGTGCTATTTGCTTTATAGGTGGCAAGGTTTTGTCCCTTCCATTACTTCCACCCTCCTCTAGGGATTCAAGGTACGCGCTTATTCAACCACATCATTCATTCATCAAACTCTCATTGAGCTATTAACGTAAAGCAGGCTGTGCTCAGCTCTAGGGGACCAGGAATGAACTAAACCCCTGTATTGCAGAAGGAGGAAGCACTTGATGTCGACACTAGCACGTCATAATAATTAATAAGCACCAACATTTTCCGAGGGCTGAGCGTGTCCTAGGAGGTGGGCTAAGAGGACCCACATGCCAAGCCCTGTTTATGCTACCCCAGGTGAATCCCATTCAAATGTACTTTCCAAAAGGGCAGAAGCTGGGTCTAATTTGATTGCTAAGGGACCCCTTGTGTCTCCACTATGCTTGGGACACGGTGAAGACCTCAAAGTGTATTTCTTGCCAATGAATGAATGAATGAATATACGATCATAACTGATAACTGTGGCTTAGATATTAGTGTTATGACCATTTCCTTTGATGAGGAACCTGAGGCTTCAGACCAGTTAAATAATTCATCCTCGATAGCCAAAACCCAGATTCTCTCCCCCATCAGACCACACTGCCATCTCCCTGGCTCTACCGGGCACCCCACCTGGAACCTAAGCCCACAGCAGCGCGGGCTGCGGGCGGCGAGGCTCGCCGCGGGCGCCCTCTGTCGGCGCTCGGTTGGAGGCGCAGCGGCCCCGCGAGCAGACGCGCAGGTGAGCGGACCCGCGCTGGGGTGCGGGGCAGGTGCGCGGCCCTGGGGGACAAGGAGGGGGAGAGGGGCGAGGGCTAACCACGTCGGCCCCAAACTAGCTGCCTGTCTTTAAATGTTTGCTTTCATATTTGGAAGTGCTGAGCGGGCACTTCAGTGCGACCTGGATATCACCTGTGGGTTTCAGGGCAGTCATCCTTGAGACCTCTTGTTCCTCGGGAGACCTCTTGGCCTCTTTAAGGAGCCAGGGGTCGGCGGCGCACTTAGGGGAGAAGGAGCAGGAGAACTTGAGTTAAGAATTGCCCCCCGGATTGGAACCAGAGGTAGCGGGAAGCCAGCAAGGGCGAGGCTCTTTCTAGGAACTCTAGGTCCACCGCTTGCCTTTGGGGAAGAGGGAGGAAGGGGCCTTGGGGCGTGAAGTTGCCTTTGGGACATCAGCCAGAGCCTGCGACGCAAGCGCGGCCCAAATGACTGGGAAGCCGGAACCTTCGCTCCTTCGTTCCGAACCTTCTTTGTTCCAGTCCCGCCTGGCAGCGCAGGCCGTGCACTCCCCGCGCTTCCGGGAACCTGTTTGCTTAAGATAATCGCATCCCACTGATATTTGGGTTATTCTCCTTCATGCCGAAGTAATTAGACTCTCCACCGGTGTGGCACCCTTACTTAATTCTTCTAATTTCTTTAAAAACACAACATTCGCCCACATCCAAGGCAAAATTTACAATCAAGAAGATCCCTTCTTTCTTTAAAAGTGGCGGCTTTGTTCTGCTTTTAACATCAAGTAAAATCTACTTTGGGGAAGGTTTTTCGCTCCCCCCACCCGCATAATTATTTCTATTATTTATCTTTTATTTGGCCTATTGAAATTCTGAGCACACAAAGCCAACTTTATTAATTTCTCTCTCTAAAATTCCATCAAGAAATATTTATCTTTTACTCTTCCCATTGGAATAATATATTCCCTAGATGGTGAAATATAGCTCCATTTATTAGGAATCAGGTATAAAAAAACAGATAGAAAAAGCAGAGGTGGTGAATTATTCTAAAAAGATAGGACAAAAAAAATCAGTTGCCTCTGAGAGTTGGGGGAAGTGGGATGGGAAGAGGCTAGGCCATAGCTCCACGCATTTCACCGAAAGCAGTTTTGAGGATATTTGATTTGGAACCACTGTTCTTTCTTTTCATAATATTCAGCATGTTCCTAATCATTGTATTCCAGATATTGAACACAAGCTTTTAATCCCGTCTACCAAAATGTTTTGTGCCCATTTGAACACTTTTAAATTGAAATTCTAAATTAGTATTCATTGAAAACTGGTTTGACACAAAGAAAGGATCATGAATGAAACCTTCTAAGCCTTCTTTGCATTTCCAAGTGCGTGTTCAATTCTTTAGGAAAGTCATTGTTGTTGGTTTAGGGAGATTTACTCAATTCCCAAGTGCCACCTCCAGAGGGCACAGCTGTCTCAAAAAAAATTTGTTGGTTTTTTTTTTTCTTTTTTTTTTTTTTTTTTGAGTTTCTACAGTTTTACCCAAGCTGTTGAGTAAGGGGTCTCTATAGTCTATAATTGTGATTCCTGGTTTCCAAACTGGAAATACTTTTATTTAATATATTTAATATTTATTTAGATGTTATGGAAATCTATTATTTGCAAACAACTATGTAACATTTATAATATTTTATTTAAAAAAATGAAAAATTAAACCAAATGTTGTTTATTTGCCCCTGACTTAAAAATCTCTAATTCTCCTCAGTTTTAACTCCAGAGTCCAGCAAACAGCACCCATTATTTTTTTAATGTATTTAAAAGTTTATTTGCCTGACTTTATATTCCCAAGAGGTTGCACTCAAGGCCTTAGGTCTCCTTAAAAAGTGTGAAATGTGCTGTATCTTCTGTATAATAATATTTTGTGTTTGGTGCTCAGTGTATTCTTGTAGAGTACAATATTATGTTCAGAGTAAATGCCTTGGCAGCTTTTTACTCTTGAAGCTACACAAAACATCTGGGGGATTTATTTTTGCAACATTTAAATTTATGGTGACTATTTATTCAAAAATGATTTTGTTCATTTATAGAGGTGGGAAAGTTGATATGAATTTGCTCAGAAAAGAATGGCATTATTTTCTTCCAGAATGTACGTTAAACAACTCACTGTCTCCCTCCTTTGTCTCAGCCATCTCTGCTGTGTTTAGTGTGAAATTGAATTGTGTAAAGCTAAAATCTAAGAAGAGAAAGCACGAAGGGTTCAGGCAAAGATTTACATACATTTCTTTCCTATGTTTTCTTCCTAGCTTTCACTTGCTGCCCACTTTGGGCTATTTTTCTTTTCCTGTTATTTATTTATTTTTCCCTCTGTTAACATATACACAAAGAAGCTGGCAACAGGGTGTGAAAGGGGCTATTTGTAAGTATTTAAAACTGTTTAACATCTATTTATAAGAAAAAGCTTTTTAGGTTTTGGAAGCTAATTTCCATATTGGCATGGAAAATTGTGGAAACTAATACAGGGTAGGTGTTGAAAGTGTTTAACTTTCATGTTTGTATCTTCTAAAATGGGAAGGAGAGACAGCAGCCACCAGGACAGAGTGTGTTCTGTAAGAAACCATGCTTTGGGAATGGTGTTCACTATATGTGTAGAAGAATCAAGAGAGGGCTTGAAGAAATATCCCTGAAGTCAAGTTAAGCCATAGATGAACCTTTCAGAGCTAATCTATATGGAGCAGAAGTGTAATTAGCAAATCCATGCATGTATCCCTCTTCCATTTCAACTCAAAAAACTAAATGTTAGCTAAATGATTTATTACATGGCCTCGTGTATTGGTCTAGTTTCCTCGTGTATTAGACTAGTCAGTTAGACTGTGGAAGATCTTTCATAACAAGAAAACACATCTGATGTATTTTTTTCCTCTAGTCCACCAGTAAGTAGCCTTGTGTTCAACCAAAAATATCTTCCATAAATAGGTATCAATGCATTGGTCACCTATGGAATTGTTGATCAGGACCATTCCCAGTTAGAGAATGCCAGACTTGAAATTTTAAGGCATATATGAAATCCAAAGTGCTTTTCTCCATTCTGTCTCTATGAGGCTGATGGCATGCATTTCTTTAGTTGAATAGATACGGAACTGAAATCTGATAGGCAATTTGCAAAGAATTATCATAAGCATTTGGGATTTTTGGTGCTATTGTTCTTTTGATTTAGAGAATAAATTTAAAGGTAGTATAGTAGAAAGAATTCACAGGAAGATGAAGTTACATAGAATATTTGAAATGGAAGCGTCAGGAAACCAAATGCTTCAGCACAGCAGAGATAACTAAAATAAACGTATACTCTCCCTCTTACTCTTAGAACTTTACTTATTTATCTGTAAATGTTGCCTGTTCCATATGAGATCCTACAACACTGAAGTTGAGTGACTCAGGAGAGCCTTGATAAGAGGACATCTGTCAGTGGATGTGGTTAAGCAGAGGTTATCAGCAATGTGTCTGGGGTGCTTCCCAACTGTGGAGGAAGGTTTTATTAAGTGACATCTAAAGTCACCTCTCAATCAATATGTTTTGTGATTGTTCATTGAACTTGCATTACATTCATTTTATTAGAATCGAAGATAGCTTTACAAATGCTGAAGCATCATAAGGAAATTTGAGATGAAGACCAACAAGCTAAAAGCGTGGTGTCATTAGATTAAGGGTGGGTTATCCCGATTCAGGGTCTTATTTCTTGGTCAGTACTGCCTGTGAGCCTAAGGATGTATGTTAATTACATGAGTAGTACAAATTTTCTGTCTCTGGCAGTTGAGTCTAGTTTGCAGTGTTTATAATTCTAATTCAATTAGAAATGGATTCAAAGAGCTAATGTTATTTGCAAGAATTTAGAAGTAAATTCCTTAGTAAAATAAATGGAACTTTGGTAGAGTGAATCATAACCTAATTATAAAAAGCCTGGATGTTCTTCTATTAACTTTGCTTAAAGTCTGGCAGAACTTTTGGGAATTCTGGTGTGGATACAGAACTCATGTTCTCACTGTCTGACTTAGTTCAGGATCTGTCTGAAAGTTTTTCTTCTCCCAGCTACAACCACAGTTTCTAAAGACGATTCATTTATTTAAAAAGTCGATAATCTAAACAGTTCCTATTTTTGCCTTCTTGTTGTCAAGGCATCCCCTAGTTGCCTGTATATCCAGGTAGATTAATGAATTCCTAGTCAGGGGCAGCATCTAATTCTGTGTTGCAGATGGAGTGTAATGCATTATTGATGTTCAATAAACATCCAAACAATAGTACTATCACCTTCCCTTCCTTACATTCAGTGATTTTAGCCCAATGTACTCATGGGCTGACTTCATGCAATCAGAACCTGAAAGCCAGGACGGTACCTGCGTGTTTAATGTGAGTGGCCTCCTGGTGGCACTAGCAGGACACCTTCTTTGCACAGAAAGGCCACATGTTTGGCAGGCAGAAAAGATCCAGGATCTAGGATCCTCAAGTCACATCGTGCCTTTTCAAAGTCTATTTGATTACATTTGCTGTGATGTGGACAGGTTCCTACAATTTACCTTATGTCTCAGAAAGTGGTTTGGGGCTGGGCACACGTTTTCGTGTTTGTTAATTCCTGAGGTGACACTTTTAAGCCCCCATGTTTCATGTTCCACAGTTCCAGAAAGAATGATTTTTGGCTCTTTGATCCTGTAAGAAAAATCCAATTGTTTTTCTCTCTTGCAGTTCATGCCGATGGCTTTTGTTCTCTCATCGTTTTAGCAGGTATTTTCTTTCTCAAGCAAGCCGGAGTCATGGAAGGGGGAGGTCCATCAGGACACTGTAATAATATATATATAAATAACAAGCTGGTGGAATTACAAAGATAGCAGAGTGATTCTTAGAGCAAAAATTGGTTATGGTTATCAAGCTGGAGGACTGTTTTGCATGGTCCAGAGCTCTCTTTTAATGTCATGTCTGTTTCATTCCTCACTTTTAAAACCCTCTTCTGCTTGCTAAGAAGAGAAAACACAGGCTAAGGAATAAAATGAGCTGGATGTGTTTCATTTAGTTAGGTACCTCCCTCACCCTTTGGTCCTTGTGGTTGTTTTCGACCCCTCTACTTCTCTAATAATGTTACTTGGATAATTCAAGACAACCTGAAAAAGCAAAACAATGCAAGGAAGAAGGGCAGCGACAATGACAATGAGCTGAGCTCTCTAGGCTGTTCACAGAATGGCAGCAAAGACAAAGAACTTTTTTTCTGCTTTAGAAAAGCTGCCATTACCTTTCCTCTCTTTCAGACCCTTTTCTTCCTGTTCTTGGCTTCCTTGCAGCTTTTAGCATCTTTTCATGAATGGCTATTTTAACTTCTCTTTTTATCAATAAATAAGATGATGGAACTGTTACTAATTTACTATTTGAAAATAGAGGTTTTAAAGTGGCACTCTTGAAGATTTTAGAATAATTGCAAACTTCAAATCTCTTCTTTTTCTTTTTTCACCCATCGAAACTGATTTTTTTCTAAGCCAGAGTGTTTTGCCTATTTTTTGTTTTTACTGAAGGTGCTTTTTTTTTTAAAGAAAAGGATAATTGAAAGTTGTTCTACATATACAGCTTTTTTAAAAAATCATGTTTCTCAGTGAAAAACAACAACCCTGAAATGAAAGCCAGCTTCAGTCAGACCAAAATGGACTCACAAAGTGGAGCTGACATCCTGAAGGGAGGGGGGAGAAATGCTAATGTCCCAAGTCATCAGTTTGGGCCATTTCAGTGCTAAATGACAGGATCAAGAAGAAAAATTTTGAAATTGATTTTTAAGACTGTCTGAAAAAGAAGACTGAAATGAATATTAAGTGATTTCTTTGGGGCTGTCAGAAATGATAATGGAAGAAGAGACAAGCCCAGTCTTGCTACTGATGGTAGGATCAGGCAATTTAGAGTCAAGGCAGATTGGAGATGAAGTTCTGTGCTCCAGTTTTAAAGAAATGCTAATGAATGGAAGAAAAAGGAAGCAGCAAAGGCATCTGATATGAGTAGTTATGAGCTGGAGAGGGAAGAGGAAAAGATGTGGTATCATACGTGTTAGGGAAGAGGTACCATGATGAACATGTGCCAGGCTCTGTATTTTATATGGATAAAAGAACAGCCCCTTCCCTGGGAGGGTGAGCTGCATGAGATGTGGATATGGGGATGGATTTGTCTGGACACATCCGTGCTCTCTCCCACCTCGTCCCCACCAATAGCCATGCACATTGATCCGTTGGCTGGTTAGAGTGGGGCTGCAGGCTGGCTGCCGAACAAGCCCATATGGCATGAGGGTTGCATTTATGTTTTTGGTCTCATTAGCACCATGTTGGAACCAACAGAGTTAGCTGACTAATTAATATAGAGATGGATTGGGTGTTCTCTGGGATTTGGAATCAGTTTCCCTTAAATTAGCCATGTCAATTACCACAAGTCCATAGATACCAAGAGTTGGAAAAATATCTGGCAGGATTTAAAAGCAGATAGGGAAATGCAGATAATTTGGATAAAAATAGAAAAGAACACCAATTTTACCAGGATTGTGCTTTTTCAGCACACAAATTCTAACCATAAAAGCTTTGTGAAGGACTGATACAGCATTTTGATGCATTACTTTTTCTATGATTTGTTTTCAAATATTTTTTAATTCCATTTTTTTTTTCTGTTCTCTGAATACACAGGCTAAAAAACCATAATCTTTTTCAGCTTTCTACTTACCAATATTGAAATGCACAGCAAGCGCTAATTCCTCTATCTTTTGGAAACAATATCCCAGTTTCTGTTTTGGAAACTAATCCATCTTTTCTTTGTGTTATAGGGTTGTATATCAAGGTACCTGGCCTTTTGTAAGCCATGAGGTGGGCAGTTGTTGATTAAATCTAAGCCAGTGGTTCTCACCTGGGGGTAATTTTGCCTACTAGTGGACACTGGGCAAAGTCTAGAGACATTCTGTCTCAGCTAGTGGGGGTGCTATTGGCATCTAGTGTGTAGAGGCCAGGGGTGCCACTCAATACCCTACAATGCACAGGACAGCCACCCCCACCCCCCGCCACCCACCACAAGGAATTTTCTAGTCCAAAATGTCAGTAGTGCCAACAGGACCTTCTCCTCTGGAATTCAGAAATTTCAATGATATGATATAAGCGACAAACTCAAAAAATGACTTGACTTATTTATTTGAGTAGCAATGCCTAGTTAAGACTGTCAAGTTGGGCCTGATAGCTAGACCTCCTCAGACCTTTCTTCATTCCTACTTTTGTGTGTGCTGGGGTCTTCAGTCTTTCAATCTATTCTCCACTTTACTCGCTTTTGATACAGTCTTTTTTCCCTTTGATTATCCAGGGATATTTTCTGTTGCTTGCAATCAAAGAACTCTAAAGTGATGTGGAATAACCGGCAGTTGGTTAACATACATGTGTCAACTGGCACCTTCTAAGTAGACAGTACCTTACAAATCCTAAATATGGTTCTTATGTAGCTTTCTGGTGGTTGAGGGTCAAATTAGAGCAAGCAGAAGCAGTAGAAAAGAAATCCACATACATATTTGGTTTCTTGCCTTGACCTCCAGGGACCTAAGGCAAGCAACCACTGCAATAATGAGCAGAATCAATAAAGCAAATGATTGCCTGATAATTCACTCCAAAGCAAGGAAATAAAACATTTTCCAAGCTGGTAGGGCATCAGTGGCTGCAGATCAAGTGAAAATCCTGAAGAGCAAGATTAAAAAAAAAAATAAAGTGACTTACCATCTTTTTAACAATGTCTGCCTTTGACCTCCTTGGGCTGTTTTGCACAATATCTAAGCTACGGGCTGCAGATAAATAATTTCTTTTCTTTTAAAAAAGTAATTATTCTCATTTTAAGCTTCATTTTAAAATAATGAAAGCATAGATGATAGTACCTTACTCACAGGCATAGAAGTTTTCTTTAAAGATTTTTAAACTCAGGGCTGACACTGAGCTTGGCGCTGTATTTTATTAAACAGGAGAACCTTTTTTCAAATTAAGATGATCCAGTGAACATATCATTTGATTGCCACAGCTAGAATAGGGACTGTACGCAGCTACTTGCGTCTGTTTAGCTGTTGGAGACCTTGGGGGCTGCCTTGTAAAAAGACCTGTTTTGTTGGAAGCTTTTCTTTCACTAAGTGCATGGATTGGAATATGTTAAACTGTTCTTCAGTGAACAAAATCATAAAAATATGTGAGCATACAAATAGAGGATTCGTGTTTGAGATCTCATGAGGTTCATTGTACTTCCAAGACAGGCTTTCTTTTTTTTAAGGTGCCAGCAAAATGCCACGGTATTTTATTTTTGTCTCCGGTAAATTGCTCTGGAAACTTAAACAAATTAAACATCCTGTTTTGTGTTTCCGAGACTCACTGGGGAAACTCAGTCTCTTTAGTCTGAAGTTTCAGGAGGGAAGGAACATCAGAATATAAGATATTGTTTATAATCACCTTTTTGAAATGGTTATGCCTATGCTGGCGTGAAGGGAGGTACATGGGCCATTCAGTATCATCTCAAAGAAGCAGTTCTGTTTATTATCTAAAGAAAAAGAAAACAAATGTGAAGTTTTTAGAGGTGTAAGAGTGTGTGTGTGTGCGTGTGTGTGTTCTGTTACGCTGTACAATGCAAAATCTGTTCTGTTACTGTTCATATTTTAGAAATTGATTTTTAATATAATAGTTATACTCAGTTAAAATCCATTGTTCAAGCCATTTTGAGACAAATTTAAAAGTAAATCTTCATAAAGGAATAATTAATGATCATCATTCCAACCAAGGCAACATGACAGAAATTAACAACTAAAACTTAGCAGTTGCCTTTGGAATTTAATGGGGTTCTGTCTTTCTTGAGTTCCCAATTACTGAAAAATATTTTCCTCCATTGCCCATGTTGGTTAAATGGAAACAACTACCCTTCCCTCCCCAACATTCAATGGATTTTTCTGGATCACAGTATTGCTTCCCTTTGATTCCTTCCTGCTTAGAAGAATGAAACAGTCTGGAAGGCCGGACAGCTGGGCTTGTGCCCCTCGACCTGAGGGGTAAAATTAGCTTAAGTGGCTAATTTTAGTGCTTCCTGCTTTCAATGGGGTCTTCTTGACAATAGGAACTGTCTGGCTTGGTTGCTTTTCATGAAAACATCTTAACCTTCCAGCTTGCCCCCACCTGCTTGAACTCTCAGTTGAAATATTACATTTAAAGGCCAAACAGAACCCAAATGAATGGATGATAGCAGCACCTTTCAAATGTCACTTAAAAAAAATCTATGAACTGAAAGCTCAAGTCCTTTGGGAAGGAACAGAAATGAACTAACTGTCACCTTTCTCCTCCCTCCTCCCTCTGCAGAGATATTGGCTTTCACTTTCTCTGCTCTCTCTCCCCATTTTCTCCTTCCCTTCTGTCCTCCCCCCCGAACTGCCTCCCACACACACCTGAGAAATATGAAATTCTGGTTTGGGTGTATGCCTCGGAGGCTGAACTGTGCAAGAAGTGTCATCCGTGGAGGTGTTTCCTTTCGGAATGTCATTGTTTAACTTCAGGGTCCTGTTATTTTTGTGTGAACGAAATGTCAGAAAAGAATTTCACCATGTAATTTCCTAGGCATTGACAGGCCTTTGCCATCTGTCATTGAATCGTGGTTTTACCTTTGGTTCCCTGCCATGTTTAGGGTTTTGACCTATTCCTTTGAGTCCTGGTAATTTTACCTCTCAATATAGCCTCTGATGGAAGCCTCTGCTGCCAAGTGTGACTTTTGTAACTTTAGGGAAGGAAGTGATTTCTTTGATAGACTGCTTATTATTATTTTTAAAACCTCAAGTGTCAAGAATCCTGTCACTTGTAGAGTGTTGGCTTGTGATGAATCTCGTGTGTGTTATCTATTTTCGTCCTCAGTGTTTGCCCATGAAAAAGGGCTGCATTGCACAAAAGTCTCAGCTTTGCTTTTGAAATGTAGGGCTGAGCTCTGTTTGCTGAAAGAGGTAGTTTAGAGGAGAAGAACTGGTGTAGGAAGAGAAAAAAATCGTAATGGTTTTTATAAGAACCCAAGTTTAATTGGAAAGAAGGAAAACCGAAGTTTTTCATTCCCTACATAGTGAAGATTCTGAGAAATCCTATTGCTCTGAAGTCAGAAGATGGATTTTATAAAGTACAAGCAGATTGTCTTTGAACTGAATTTTAAAGCTCTGCTGTCAGAGTTGACAAGTTCCCGAATTCAATTTTCAAACTAAAACTTAGAAAACTGGGGAAGACACTGTGTCTCCTCAGTAGCTTATCAAAAGAAATGAGGTGGCAGCTCCCACTGCTGTCTCCGGCTGGCCAGGCAGAAGGAGGCAGATGCAGCCCCGTCAAGTTATCTCCGCTCCCTCTCATGGATCATGCGTGTTTGAGAGGGGCTTCGGTATGAGCTCAAGCTGGCTGAGATTGCAGGATCATGACAGGCAGACAGGCTTCTCCCCAAGAACAGGGAGAGTTTTACCATTTTCAGAGGAGCTTTAAGCACCAGTGATCCTTGCCCAAGACCTATTGGTCTTCACCTTTGGCAGATAAAGGATAAAGATGCATAGACATTAGCACACTAGTTGCTTTACTAGGACAGTGGTAAACTATAGAATTCCAGGCACTGCCACCACCAGGGCTCTCATCTTTCTTTTGGGAAAAATATTAGCTAGTTTTGGCTCCTTAGTTCTCAAGATCTTCCTTATGTATGGAGGCAATAACTAGTTTTCCTAAAAAAGAAAACATGTGCAACTAACTACCATATTAATATTAATACAAGCAAATGTTAAATATTTATAATGTGCCTTAGAGCCCATTTAAACCTAATATCAATCCAGTGAAGTAGTTAGTATCATCGACATTGTGCCGGGAGTGAGTTTACTCATGATTTCCTAACCAGTAAGCAGAAGTGCTGGGATTTTGACCCAGCTCCCCCTGACTCCTGACCTTGTCCTCTTAACAAGGGTTTTACACACTCATTCAGGTACTTGGACTATTTCTGTCCCTTGGCTCCAATATTCCTCTAGGATCTCACTGTTCTCTCCTGAGTCAAAGGAACCTGAATAGCAAACAAAGGAAGGCAGCCAGTTTGGAAGATTCTCTGGGAAGTTATTTGGGGCCAGGGTTGAAAGTGGTACCTTACATTAATACATAATTCTGCATTATACTGTAAAACCACCACCTAAATAAGGACAATGACGAGCTCAGTGGTAGAATTTCTTCCTACAGATTTTTTTCAAAAGTAAGTGAATACCACGACCTTTTGAATACTCCAGGTTATGTGATTCTATTAATTCTTAGATTTCCACAGGCTTTCATTTTGTATCCATTTGGTATCTGAAAATTCAGATTTATTAGTTACTTTATTTCATTTTTGTTCCTGTAACTGTTACAAAAACTTACTAGATTAAAATCTAATTACCTGAAACTCTCAATTAACCAGACTTCCCCCAACCTTTTCCATACTTCACTTTTAAAACAAAACGGAAAACCACAGAAAAAATAAGCTCATATCAGCGTTTCTTTTAAAGGTTAAATATGGCCTATGGTCTTATGCCTTTTTGTTAGTTGTTAAAATATGAGCATATTTCTTTATGATTTTGAAATGCTTGGTCTATTGCAAAGTCTGCTAAAAACATAAATGTGATTGTTTTAGTAAGGGTAAACTAATGTCTGTGACAGAATCCCTGCACTTCAGTAGCTCAACTGTAAAAGTTGATGTCTCATCTACCCACAATCCAATGGTAGTTGGTGTTGGTGGTTGCTCTGTTCCACATACTCATTCGAGTACCTGGGCTATTTCTGTCCTGTGGCTCTAATATTCCCGTAGGATCTCACCGTTTTCCCCTGAGACTAAGGAACCTGACTGGCAAACAAAGGAAGGCAGCCAGTTGGAAGATTCTCTGGGAAGTTATTTGGGGCCAAGTTTGGAAGTGGTACACAGCTTTTCCATCTAGATTTCAATGGCCAGGGCCCAGTCACATGACCCTGCCTAACTGCAAGGGCGGCTGGGAAATGTAGCTTAGCTCTGTACCCAGGAAGAAAAAAAGATAGGGTTTGGTATCCACCTAGCCCTGTCTCTGTCATAGCAGTAATGTTATAGTTTTTCTGGAGTTCTTATGGCCGTTCCAATATTGTGAACCATCTTAGAAAAATCCAGTTATCATCAAGATTAATGGTTTCCAAAATCTGGATAATTAAAAAATATCTCTGAAACTTCACTTAGACCCACACAGAATCAGGATGGGCGTGGGGCAGGCCAGGATAGATGCAGGCCAGGAATTTGCATTTCTCAGAAGCTCTGATCGTGATTCAGATATAGACAGTCCAGTGTCGTTTGTTGTTTGGGAATCACTGATCTAGATGATGTGCTGGATAAGGCAGCAATACAAGTTAAGTCATTTCAAGAAGATGTTAGCACAAAGGACTAGGAGAACAGAAGAGTGATCTTTAGTTGCTTAGTAAAGTAAGTTAACCCAAACCCTTGTTTACACCAATTATTTGAATTAATCAAGACTTTGAATACATGTTCTGCGATCAGCTGTTTTGAAAGTCCATAGAGTGTTTCCTAGATAAAAGTGCTTCATTTCCCAGTGAAACACTCCTTGCAAGAAGAGATCCACCCTAGATATTAAGAACAGACTGCCTATGTTTTATTATAATTTTGAAAGAAACGCCCATGTCTTATTTCAATCTTTTTCACCCTCCTATGAAGCACAATTATAAATTCCTAGTCACTTAAACTACCCCGGTAGAGGTGAGGCAATTGTGGTAGTGAAACTGTTTTCTGAAGCAAATGTCATTGGGTTTTAAAAATCGAATAGTATATTTCCTATTTTTGGTCTTTAAGTATATGGAGTTGCCAGTTTGTTCTATGCGTGAAAAATAGGTTGAAATGTGTTTTGAAATGCTTGGGACCAGAAGTGTTTTGGATATTGGAGATTTTCAGATTTTGGAATATTTGCATATATATCATGAGAGATCTTGGGGATGAGACCCAAGTCTAAACATGAAGATCATTTATGTTTCATGTATACTTTATACACATAGCCTGAAGTTAATTTTATACACTATTTTAAATAATTTTATGAATAAAACAAAGTTTTGACTGTGAGCTGTCACATGAGATCAGGTGTGGCATTTTCCACTGGTGGTGTCATATTATTGCTCAAAAATTTTCAAATTTTGGTGCATTTTGGATTTCAGATTCTCAGATTAGGGACGCTCAACCTGTAATTCTGTTCCATGTAGACTTTTAGAATAGTGTGTGGCTTTTGAGGACTAAAGGTAACTTCTTATAACCAATAAAAGTTACAGTGGTGAAATTGATCTCATCAGTTTTGCAGGACACTCCATGGTTACCTCCCCAAGTGAGACTGGGAGTTGCAGAAGGTGATATACTCATTTGTGGTGCCATCATATTGGATTTATGAAAGGCAGCAGAAATTTATCATCCTTCTCTGATATTCCTTAACTATAATTTTCTAGTCTCTTGGTTGCTTCTGAGTATATCTAATAAAATGTGCACTCTTTGAACCTTTGTAACACAAATTTGTTTAAGATCTCAAATTATATATTGCTGTGATCCAAGTGGAGGCTGAGAACCCTCTGGTGGCTGCACTTCCATACCGAGAGCAGCATTACAAACTATTCTTCAAAGGACTTTAATCGTATTGCCCTCAAAATTCTTCTGTGTTCTACATTGTCTACCTAATAATGTCCACCCTCAGCCTTTCATTCAAGCATCCTCAGGATCTGACCTCTCTTTGAAACTGCTGGTGAGCTTTCCAGCATTTCGTCTATTAGTCCTTTACCCCAAATCTCTACTCTAGCCAATTAGTCAATTCATTATTTCCCAGAACATCTTGAGTTTTCTGTCCCTTCATCTTTGTGCCTCGTATTTCCAAACCTCAATCTCTTCCCAAATGAAATCCAATTAGTTCTTGAAGATTCAGCTCGAAATGCCACCAACTCTGAAACCTTCCCTGTTCAACTTAAGTATGGCAATTGTTGCTTGCATTTACCATGATACATTTTAGTTTGGTGTTTCCATGTTGGTTTTTTCACTTGAGTATAAGCTTCTGGAGATTAATGATCTGACTTTTTTCACCTCTCGTTCCCTGTGATGCTTTAACTATGGCAAGCATTTGGTAAATAACCTTCATAATAAATAGCATGCAGTTGGGGATTATGATGCAAAGTGAAAATCCAACTTTAGACTCTTAATTTAGAGCATACTTTCTCAAAGCGGAATAGTGATACAAGTTATTTTGGGGGAAAATATCTGGTTATCTTTACATAGATTGCTTCACTGCAGGGCTTTTCAGAGCCTTTAATATGCTTATACAATGCCATGTGCTAATGTGACCTATCTTTAAAAGGAGATAGTAAGCATCATATTTCATATTCTTTTGACCACAGAACATTTTTTTTTTGTGAAGCATATTGATGAACCAGGGTTTTTAGTAATGCATTTTGGGAAATACTAATTTAGAGTAATATTTTCCCTTTTTATATAGTACCCTTTGTTACCAAAAGTGCTTTCACTTTGTTACCAAAGTACCCTTTGTTGCCAAAAGTGTTTTCAGGTCATTCTCATTTTTCTCGAAAATCATTTGCTGCTCATGAGAAAACAAAACAAAATCCTGTTTTCTAATTTGCACTCCTAGACATAATTATTTTGGGTATTATGTGTATGTATGTTTGTAAACTGCCAAAAATCACTAGATATTGTTGGCTTTAGCTAAGAGACATAATTCAGGAGAATTCCTGGTGATCTAAATGAAACCTATAATAAATGAAGACATGCAGCAGAAAGCCATTCTCTTGTCAAACATCTTTGAAGAGATATGCAAAGACCTTTGTCTTATAGCAATTTTCCTGAAGGTCACCCACCATTCAGACTATTTATATAAATCTCCATTAATGCAAGCTTTATTTAATGATTTGCTGAATGTTAAGTCAATGATTAAGGTTTTTTATTATTATTGATTTATCTGTTCCACATCTTCTTTCTGAGGACACACAGATTTTTTTAAAAAATCAGGTTATTGCGTGTTTAGATTTCTCTCCCTTAAATCAGGTCTATTATCATCAGCAATCGTTTGTCAGGGATGTAATTACATTTACAGTGGATGAGATTGAATTACAGAGCAAGAGGAGTTAAAGGATATTTTAAGTTGAAGTTAAACCTATGATTTTTTATGAACCTTGGGGCAACTAATTAAGTGACTAGTAACAAGCAGGAGTTTCCAAATGTCAAGTGTATAATTATGAAATAAACAAGAGGAGGTCTTTCCAATAAACTTCTATGCTGTGCCCTATTACCTCTCAATGGGCCCCAAACAAAGTCTGCTGATGAGCAGTATAAAATTAAGATGGATTTTCACAGTCGATAGAAGCAAATCTTGTCTTCTGGAACATAACCACTAAATACATAGAGTCAGAGTAGATTTGAATCTGGCAGATCTATAGATGAGTCTTAATTTTATCTCTCAAACCATACGTTATAAAACAGTGCCATGTTATTCCGTCTCATGTCTTTGTTTCCCTCAGCCTCTCTTACAATTGAGCTTCACCACCAACATTTTAGAATTCAAAACACTTATTTATTTTAAACTGGAAACTGAATTAAATTTGCTGGAGAGTAGAGGACTGGGAGACAAGTGAAACATTTTAATATTCAATTGAGCATAATATCGTCTATGTGAGAGCTGATAACAGAAAGTGAACGATCTTTCAGATTATAAAATTATTAAGGATGAGGGAATCTCATTTTTTTTGGATGAACAAGTCTACAGATTTAATATACAATATGAGGGCTGTAATTTATAAAATTGTGTTATATTTGGGACTTTTGTTAAATAAGCAGATTTAAAAAAAATTATTATACTTCAAGTTCTGGGATACATGTGCAGAACGTGCAGGTTTGTTACATAGGTATACACGTGCCATGGTGGTTTGCTGCACCCATCAACCCGTCATCTACATTAGGTATTTCTCCTAATGCTATCCCTCCCCTAGCTCCCTACCCTCCTGACAGGCCCTGGTGTGTGATGTTGCCCTCCCTGTGTCCTTGTGTTCTCATTGTTCAACTCCCACTTACGAGTGAGAACATGCGGTGTTTGGTTTTCTGTTCCTGTGCTGGTCTGCTGAGAATGATGGCCCCATTTTCATCCCCCATTTACTGCTGGTGTTTCTGTAAACATAGTCATGTTTGACAAATTTCCAAAGGTTTTCACCAGTCAAATATTAGGATCTATTATGTGCTAGGGAGAATAACAGGCACACAAAAAATAATAGTTCTTTTCTCTGCCCCTGGGAAGTTCGAAAGATTGTTGAGTGGGCAAGGTATGTACAGAGTAGAAATAGTTAGCAATTTTTATAAGGAAAGTTTTTGTCATTTGCTATTACACAAGTAATATATGAATCTATTCTTTTTTTTTTTTTGAGACAAAGTCTCACTCTGTCACCCAGGCTAAAGTACAGTGGCGCAATTTTGGCTCACCACAACCTCCGCCTCCTGGGTTCAAGCAATTCTTGTGCCTCGGCCTCCTGAGTAGCTGGGACTACAGGCGCCTGCCACCACACCCAGCTAATTTTTTTAAAATATATTTTTAGTAGAGACAGGGTTTTGCCATGTTCTCCAGGGTGGTCTTGAACTCCTGACCTCAGGTGATCTGCCCACCTCAGCCTCCCAAAGTGCTGGGATTACAGATGTGAGCCACCACACCTGGCCGAATCTATTCTTTTATTTAAGAATATTGTAATGCGCATATGGCCTATTTTTCTCTCAAATAGGTAAATAGAGAGGTAAGTGGATAGATAGATCTAGTTCTTTTCTTTTAACTACCTTCATATCAGCCTACGTAATCTTATTTTTTCATTTCTCTACTAATGGGCATTTGCAGTGTGTGCCAGCTTGGCAGCATGAAATAGAGAAACCCAGATAACAGTGATGCAAACAATATAGAGATTTATTTCCGTCTCCTAAAAAGAAGTGCCGAGGCAGGTGGCACAGGGATGCTGTAACAACTCGAGAGGCTGGCAGATACCCAAGCTCTTTTCAGCTCACTGTCCTTTCATGTCCTTGTCCTCATGGTCCAATGTGGTTTCTAGAGTTCCAGGGTCACACCTGAATTCCAGGCAATGGGACTGAGTATAGGAAAGAGAAAGCTGTGTCCCTAACGACACTTCCCAGATGTGGTACATACATGTTTACTTACATCTCATTGACCAAAATTTAGTCCCTGTGGCCATAAGTAGCTGTAATGAAAGATGGGACAAGTGGATTTTGTTTGTTTTGTTTAGCTGGGCAGCAATGGGCTCAGCTAAAGATCAGTGTTTTTATAATAAGGAAGAAGGATAGAGATTTGGGGAGGCAGCTGACAGTCTCTGCCACAGATCACTGTCAATTTTTTGCTATTACAAACAATGTAAAAATGACCATTCTTGGACATGGGTAACCATGCTGGTTCATATCAGTAAGTGACACATGTTGAGTGAGTTACTAGGATAGAAAGTCCTTGAGGAGGGGCTTGGAGGAGGGGGAGATCATGGTGGGCTGGGGTGGCTGGAGAGGCCATTACTGTTGAGGTGGATCTGAGCTTGGTCCTGCTGCCTGGCAAGTTGCAGATGGGAGGAGTGATTGGTGCTATAGGCAAGCAAGCCAGAGGAATGGCATGCACCAATTCATTCACTTACTCACTCAACAGCTATTGATTGAGCACTTACTATGCGCCAGAGTCTAGTCACGCAGAGATTTGACTGACAAGGCCACTGCCCTCATTGCAACTCACAGACAAATAATTCGCGGCACTTGGAAGTACAACAGTGAACCTTTGGGATAGGCTGTGAGGGGAGTCTGGCTGGATAAGAAGGCTTGGGCTAGACGAAAGGGAACTTGCACGCCAAAAGAGATTAAACGTGATCTTGTAGCCAGCGGGGAGCCACCTAAAGCTTTGATCAGAGGAATGTTGTGACTTGAGTGGTGTTTGAAGAAAGCAAATGTGACATGCACAGGTTAACTGGAGGAGGCAAGGAAGACTTGAAGCAAGGTGGGCAACAAGAAGCTATTCCTGAGCCTTCCCTGTGAGGTGGTGCGGGCCTGTGCTAGACAGCAGTCCAGGGAGCTGTGCAGTTTGCTGGCTCCAGGCGCACTCTCTAGAGAGAGGTGGTCTTGGGTTTGGATCCTGGCTCTTTTCCTTAGTAGTGGGTCAGGCATAGTCCCTGTTTTAGTCTGCTTGTGCTGCCATAACAAAATACGATAGCCTGGGTGGCCTATAGAACAGAAATTTATTTCCTCGCAATTCTGGAGGTTGGGAAGTGCAAGATCCAGATGCTGGCTGACTTGGTTCTTGGTGAGGATGCTCTTCCTGTTTTGCAGATGGTCACCTGCCTTCCACCTCCTCCTATGGTAAAGAGAGTGAACTCTGGTGTCTCTTCCTCTTCTTATAAGGACACCATCCCTATTGAATTAGAATCCCACCCTCATGACCTCATTTGACCTTTATCACCTCCTCACAGACCCTATCTCCAAACATAGTCACACGGGAGGCTATGGTTTCAATATACAAATTTTGGAGGGATGCAAACCTTCAGTCCATAACTGTTTTCATAACCGTCTGAAGCACAATTCTCCCTTCTGCAGAATGGCAGTGGGGGGTGGGGTGGGGGGGAATTCCATCAACCTCTTCAATGGGTCGTCATCACAATTAAGTGAGGTGAGGTGTGTAAAGTACCAAGCATGGTGTCTGACACATGGGACGTACACAAAAACTGGAAGCTGGAAGGGACAGATGGGTTGAGCATTTCAATGGAAAAATTTTAGAACTTGGGGTATGGATACAGAAGACAAGGGAGGGTGAGGGCACAGAGATGATGCTGAGGATCTGAGCCAGGGTGATGAGGAGAATGATGTCAATTGACAAAAATAGGAGCATCTGAGAAGGAGCAAGGTTTGGGGGAGAGATTGATGGATTTGATTTTAGGTGTGTTGCATTTGGTGAGGTGGCTGGATAGGCGAGTGGAAATTTCCAGCAGACAGTTGGGTTTTATTTACAAGAGAGGATGTATGGCTGCTAACGACAGCTCCTGGGGGATACAAAATTGGTAGAGGCTGAAATTCAAGAGGAAAGAAACAGAGAATGCAAATGAACCTGTCCAGACCCAATAAACCGGAGGCTCTATCCTATGCAGGAGGAATTTCGTTTTATAAAGTTTTCTGGTTGAACAAATGAACAGGCTGAGGCAAACGTTGAACTGGGAGCTGAATTCTCTGGATCATTTCCTCAGTTCTCCACACTTTACTTTTGTAGACACATACTGTAGACACAGGGAGATAGTTTAGGGTCCAAGGCCAAATAAACCCACAAAAAGAAATGTACATCTTGAACATTTGGGTTATTTCATATGAAAAAAGAAGTGGTTTTCTCAGTAATAGAACAAAGCAGCTGGAAAATTTGTGTGCTAGGATATTGTCTCTAAACAGTGCAGTCTTGGGCAGTCTGAAAGTCCTTTAGCACTTTAGGATCCAATTAAAAGGGAATTATTTTCTGTTCTACAGCTAAGGAAACAGATCAACAAAGAGGCTGAATGACTGTTTTAAAATCTGACAGATGTAACACGGCAGACAAGGAAATGGGATTTAGAAGGCTTCCCCTTTCTGAGATGTTATTTTCTTCTTAGTGTGGTCTGTCAGTTCTCCCAGCAATGAGTCAGTTGAAATTAACCTTTGATAGACTCATACCAGTAAATAAAAAAATAGCTCACCTTTATCCAGTTGCAGGCAACAGAAAAGAGCAAGTATGTAGAATTTATTCTCTCTCCATCTTTTGGACTCTATCCACACAATCCTGCATCCTCCTCCAAATAAAAGTAAAATATGATTTTCTTCACTTTAGTTTGTACCCACTTACTCTATTCTGCTGAAATACTAGCAGCCCTCATGTCTTTGAATCATCAAATCCACTGGACTTTAAAAAAATCCCCTTTCTGGCTTTTTCTGCTGTTTGTCACTAGTTTATCGAGATCTCTGTCCTCTTGGATTCCTTGATGCCTCACTCTCCTGGTTGTCATGACACCTCAAAGACTCTTCCTTCTTGGTTTTCTTCAGGGGACCCCCTACTGCTTACTAGTTAATTTCTGGCATTCTTTTCATCCTAAGCAAACTACTTTTCCCATTCTCTATACTTTCTCGCCTGGCTGCCCTAATCCATTCTCATTATATCGATTAGCATCAATATACCAAGGACTCCTGAATCTTATCTCTGGCCCAGATTTTTCTTCCAAGCTTTAGACTTACATATCAAACTGGACAGCTTCATTCAGGTATCTCATAAGCACCTCAAGATCAAAATATCTGAAACTAAGGGGGCTCTTTCCTCTTCAAGTTCTTTATCTTCTTTTTTTTTTTTTTTAACCATTCTCTTATCTACAAAAGTTGAAATCTGGAAACCAGTATTAATCTCTTTCTCCATCAGCACTTTCAGCCCCTACTCAGGTGTTAATAATAATAATAATAATAATAATAATAATAATAATGTTGGCCACTGCCAACATTAACTTATATTTCTCAAATCTAGCATTTGTGGAAGATAAATGCAGGATGCTTTATAAGAAGAGAAAAGAAATAGAAGTTAAGATTTGGGGATGTCAGATATATTGATAGTGTGGTTAAACTATGATCAGTCTCACTTTCGTCTTCAAGGTAGACTTATTTGCCCAAAAATGATTCATGCATTTTGATGAGATGCAACTTTTTATTTAAAAAATATTCGTTTGGTGAAGAAATAGTAAATACTGGAAATTAAAACAATGGCAACAACAAAATTGGATTTTGTAACAGAAAGTGCATGTACATCCCCTTCTCCCATTTTCAGAGGATCATGTGGAAATCCAGGGGGTAAAATGTCTTCCTTAAGGTTGTAAAGGCATTTTGCAGTAGATGTGCAGATTTTTAAAATTTTTCTCCTCTGTAGTCTTTCTCCTTCACCACAAGGCTTCCCTTTGCAATGTATGGTGCCCTATGTCTAATAATGAGTCAGGAAGCACTCATAGATTAGGTTCACTGGCACTCTCTGAGTTTTATTCAATCCTTTAGAATATTTATGCTGATTACGGAGGTGGGGTTTGGACAGGACCAGACAAGCCTGACTGCATACATATCTTTACCACCTCTTCCTTCCCTATGCTAGGTATCACCCATCAGTTGCAGCACCGTATTCTTACTGATCCCAGGAACAGCCTCCAAGTCCCTAACACAGGGATCTAGGCAGTCAGTGTCAATCAACTGGGGTCGGTAAGAGAATTGAAACCTATTTTTCATCCCTTCAGGTGTTTGCACCCCTATTTCTTTTGTTTTTGGGGTCACTGCAGTGGGCATGAATGCTCTGAGGAACTTCATCAGCCATTTAACTGGAGTCTTATCATCCATCATGTATCTGTAGATTATTACTGAGTAGGCAGTGCTTTGTTTTAACAGCTCCTGTCTTTCCTGTGCTGAATTTATAATCATCTATGAGATGGGGTGCTGGATATTTATTTCATACCACCCTGGACTTTTCCCATTAATCCAACACTGTGCTGAAGCCTGTGCTGGGTTTTGGACTTATTCTTTGTAGAGTCTGTCAGACAGGAGTGTAGTCCACTTATAGATGGAACAATTTAGGCACCAAGAAGATAAATGTATAGGCAAAAGGCAGAAAGCCAAGAGTGAGTCCCCACTTCCCAAGCTTCAGCACCAACCTAATATACCTTTCTAACACCTATCACACAGTGTTTTCTCAAATTCTCAGCTTTCACATGCAGTTCTTTCTTTATGTTAATTTTCTCAAAGTTTAAAAAAAATGATTTTATGAGTTGATAAATTGTCTGAGGCTCAGCATGCCAGATGGCAGGAGCAGTAGGAGGCCTATCTCATCAGGAGTAGAGAGAGAATGGTGAAGGAATAGAGAAAAGGTAGGAGACACTGTAAAATGATAATGGCGGAATGGAGACTAGGTTATTGTAACAGTTTTAAAAAGAAATTCCTATTGGATTTAAAGATATTTAGCAAATTGATGATAGATATTCATTGTATGATTTCTTTATTTTTAATACTGCCTTGGGGACCTTGAATGAGATTAATAATATCGCTCCTTTTTTTGAGAAGATTAAAATCTCATCAGAGCGATAAATACTTATAAAGGGTTTAGAGAAAAATGTGTGTTGTGTCTCCATCAGTTTGCATGTCTGGAATTGGTATCTCACCCTTCTGATCTTAGGTCTGGGATGGCGCCACTAATGCCATCCCAGTCTGATGCCTGAGACCACCTTGGCAGATCTCTCTCAACTTTGTTTTTGTCTTATTAGTGATTGGTCACTAAGGATTATGTTTTCCTTGTTCTTTTATCCTCATCCCCTTGCTGAGGCACATAAAAGATACTCACTAATTGTTGGATTGTCGTTTCTCTCTGTGCTTTGGCTCTTGTAGCTCTTCCTTCCAATTCAACCGTTTGGCAAAATCAAATTCATCCCATCCTGACCTCATACCTGGATTATTCTACTCCCCTCCAATTTTTCACTCCTGCCAGACCATTCTTTCTAAAATACCACTTTTTTCACATTGTTTCCTTGCTGAAGAATTGATAGGTGTCCCCTATTGCCCATGAAGTCTATACTTCATTACTTAGTTTTGAAGGCATTCTCATTATTTCCCTCTGTCTCATCCATCTCTCTATATCCATCATTATCCTCAAAAGAAGCCCAGGGCTTCATTAAGGTCAATTTTCTTGGTTCCTGTCTACTATGATGTTCAATGTAGTCTCTGAGCATGTGGGCTTCCTACTCTGCTTACTGTGAGTAAGCCCTACTTTGCCTTTCTATGGTCTACCTATAGTCTACTCTGTGTCTTCCAACAAGCCTTCTTTCATTCATGAGTCAGTTAATCAACAAACTGGAAATAAAGATCAAGAAGATGTGATTCCAGCCCTGATCTCACATTAATCCAGCATACTCAGCCCTGTGCTCAGGGCAGTGTTCTGTAGATCTCAATTGAATTGAGTAATGATGCAGCCCCTCCACTGCATAGTCTTGAGTGAATTACCTGACCTTTCTCTGCTTCAAGTTCTTTATATATAAAACAAAAATAACAACAGTACCATACACACATATATGTAAAGTTTCTAGAATAGTGCCTTGTATGCTGTAAGCACTCGTTAAACTTTAGCTATTATTATTGGTATGTGGATTCTGCAACGCACAACACATAGTAAAAATAATATACAGTCTCACATTGTCTTATGATATGTATGTCTTTCATATGCTTAGCCTGTTCTCTCAACTGATCTGGAGGCTCTGTATGGAACAGGTCCTTGTCTTTACTCTGGTGGAGCCCTCATAGTACCTGTGCAAGGCTCGGGGTCTGTTCTTACAAGACTGTTATTGACCAAGTGTGAGTTTGCATAAGGTCTTTCACATCTATTGCCATGGCCAGCATGAAAGAACCCTGGGAAAGGATTGGTTCTCCCCAGAGACTGGCCAAATAGTGCAAGGAGGAGAGTGAGTGATTACGGAAAAGAGAAAAATAGGCACTTTTTGGGGGTATTCAAGTTCACATTAAAAGGGCTTTAGATAAAAAATTAATCCGGAGGCTGGGGGCCAAGATGAATGAAGAGCATTTGTTGAGCTCCTCCTGTGTGCCAGGAGGAGCTTGCTGCTTTTCCAGGACAATCTCATTTAATCTTCCCAACAGCCCTGGATGGTGGATATTGTTATTCCTAGTTTATGTACCTGGAGCCTGGGGTTCAGACTTGATGTTTGCCCAGCTGAACTCACCCAGATAGTCATTGGCTGGTTTTCCTGCTATACCAGGAAATGGTATATCATGTGTACTATTTTGCTGTGTGACAATTTGTAAGAAAGTCTGGCAAAGTCATGTCACTTAATTGAACTTAATGGGGCGCATACAGGCCATGTAATGTTAGCTCCCAACAGCCAGTTTTGTTGTGTTTCTGATTAGCTCATACTCTGCCTTACTTTAGGTCCTTAGCCCCATAGAATCTCAAAGGTGGGTTAGTAAATGAGTTTGGCCTTGGTGCATATGAAATGGGCAGGGATGTCCTATTGCTTGGGCATCCCTTATACAGTACAAGTGTATAAGGGATGATTTGAGAGACATTCTGGTTATGATTTGAGAGACATGAATAGACACTCTTCCCTCTCTCCTGTCAAACATATCATGCTGGGTTATAAGGAGTTTTCACATTACTTATTTCTTTAGGTAAAGATATTGGCAGTGACTTTTAAAAATAGACAGGTATCTTAGGAAGGGGAAACGAGACGAAGCAATTATCAGCCATCAGTGTCCTGGCTCAGTGAGTGGACCTGTCATCTAGGGCCTGGATGGAATAGGAAGAAGGATAATTTTTTATTGCAAAGAGGGGAATGGAAAGACATGGGCATCTGAATAAGGCTCCTCCTAGATAGCCAGGAAGAGTAGGTGGCTGTCACACACAAAGAGATGGGGATGGCATTGAGGATGGACAGGTAGCAGAGATAAACTTTACTTATGTTCTTTAACTGAGCAGGGAGCCTGACCATCAAAGACAGAACAGGTATCATGAGTGGGCTTCCCTGATTATTGGTTGTGGGTTGTGGCATCACCTGACTTTATTTTGTTAGAGGATTCTTTTCCTTGGGGTGATTTTTCATAAAGCTGCACTGTTCTGCATTTGCATCGGGTAAGAACATCATCGTTAGTCTAGAACAGCCTGCTGTGTTTGTCCTCTGGAAATGAGGCTCATTAACTGTCACAGTAAAGTGATTCTGGAGTGCTACTCTGGTAGGTCAGAAGGTCCTCTCAGGCTCAAGAGCTGATAATGGAGGGGAGGAAAGGTGAGAACAGTAAGTACATGATAATATTCTCTTAGTAGTATCTTATTCCTTTTCCTTCCACACTGGAAATTTACCTTCCATCACACTTTGGGATCACAATGATAATTAAACAAACTGTGCAATCATTAGGTTAAATCAAGCCAGGTAATTTTTATTTCCAATCTCTTAAAACCTGCATTGAAGTTCTCAGACAACATAAAATAAATCCACTGGAACCTACCAGCTGCAAGTCTGTTTACCTGGACATGATAACATGTACAATTATCAGCCTTGTTTCTACTCCCAATTATTCTTGTGACATAAACCCAGATTATGGGGCAGGAGCACAGGGAATAGAGCTGAACATGTTAGGTCTTACATAATCTTAAAGCCAATTATTTGAGAATCTGACTTTGTCAAGACCTGGAACTGAAAGAAACTGTAAATTATTATATAAAAAAATCTTTGCAACAGAGTTGAACACTGCATAAATCTTGCCCATCCTTCCTTCTAGAAGTGGAGGCAGAATGAGTATAATACTGGACTGCCTTTTTCAAATCTTGGCCATCAATTCGAATGTGCATTTTAGATGTGGGTCCAAGCGTTTTCTATGAAAGCGTGCCATGTAGTTCCTAGAGAGGATGAAGTTAGCCTTGTTGAGCTAGGTGAAGATAAAGGTTGAACCATGTGATTATTCCATAAGTCTAAGTAGATTAAAAATGGTAGGAAATTATTGTCAAAGGATGAGTCGGTCTTCATTATGGAAAAGACTTTTTAGCATGTGTATACTTACTATGCTTTTCATTTCATTTCACTGGATATGTAATTTATGGCAATGGGAGGTACTTTGTTTTATGCATTGCTTCATTCACATAAATTATCTCATTGCTTCATGAGGGTGAAATGTGATCCAATACGGCATCTTTGGAAATTTCCAGAGAGGAAATTTTGGGAAAGCTGATGAAGGCAACAGGTGTGGGGCAAAGCATAGATCATCCTTACCAAGAAAAGGGTCAGAAAGCAAGGAAAACCTTTGGCATCACTGATTTTTTTTTTACATTTTGAAGTCGTAGGATCATTTTATAGTTGCCAGTATAAAACGCCTTTTTTTAGTCTCTCAAAATTTTGTTATAGTTCCTTTATATAATATCAACCAGGTTTCTTTTTGTTTATATTTACAATTACTATAAGTTCTTTGGAGGCATATAAATAAGGCTTCCCAAGGTGAAAATATTAGGTTGTGGATTAGGTTTTCTAAATAAAAATTTCAGCCCAAATATAGTTCAATAACTTAAATGAATGGTAATCTGGCCTCCTGTTTTAGTCATGTAAACACACACACACACACACACACACACACACACACACACACACCCCTCTAGAAAACAGCCTATCCAACAGAATCTTCTTTGGTAATGAAAATGCTTTCCATCTGTCGTGTCCAATACTGCAGCCCCTGGGTCCTCAACCTCCAGGCCACAAACCAGCACCAGTCTTTGGCCTGTTAGGAACTGGGCTGCACAGCAGGAGGTGAGCAACGGACCATTGAGCATTACTGCCTGAGCTCTGCCTCCTGCCAGGTGAGTGGCAGCATTAGATTCTCATAGGAGTGCAAACCCTATAGTGAACTGTGCATGTGAGGGATCTATGTTGTGTGCTCCTTATGAGAATCTAATGCCTGATGATCTGAGGTGGAGCAGTTTCATCCAAAAACTATCCCCCACTCCAACCCTGTGGAAAAGTGTTCTTCCATGAAACTGGTCCTTGGTGCCAAAAAGGTTGGAGACCGCTGCTGTATCAGTAGTTATATATAGCCATTGAGTACTTGAAATATGTTTCTGGCAAATAAAGAATTGAATTTTAAGTTAAATTAAAATCAAAATTTAATAGCCACCTGTGGCTAATAGCTACTGTATTAGACATGCAGCACTGGAATCAGAGGTATGCATTGAATCTTAACTTCACTACCTTCTAGCTTTGCAACCTGAGGCCAGTTACTTTCCTCTCTTGGCTTCAGTTTAGCAGGCTTTCATTAAACCCCAAATTCCTAACCTAACTTTTAAAGAATTCTATGCTTCAAACCTAACCTGACTTTTCAGTCTTATCACTTATTATTCTCCTCCATGTTTCCTAATTCCACACAAATTAGACTGCTTTTTTTTTAAAAAAAAAAGGCTCATATTTTTCACCTATATTAATAAGGGCTCTTAATTGCACGTTAAAAAAATCCAACTTGAGTTTAAGAAAAAGGGGAATTTAATGTCCTTGGTATCAGGCATTCCTGGATCAAGAAAGCCATTTTATTCTATCTCTTTTTTTCTGATTTCCTTTGTATGACTATTATTTCTAGGTAGGCTCTTCCATGAAAGGTAATATGTAGGCACCAGGAGTTGCAAACATATCCCACCAGCTTAGCAACTGTTGGAACAAAGAAAAAAAAAACTCTCATATGTCTTCTTGATAACTTCTGTAAAAATCTTGGATGTGAATCTCATTGGCCTACATTCCTACCCACCCTTGAATCAAGCAAAGTGGTTGGAGGTGGAATGTACTGATTGGTCAAGCCTGGTTACCATACCTGTGCCTGGTATCAGTCCTATCAAATCACATGGACTGGGAAGAGTAAAGGTTATTTCCATAAAGGAAAATGAAAATCAAATACAGGCAAAACTTTAAATAGCAATGATGCCTCTCATTGCTCCCCAATCCTTGATCATCTAAAGTCTACTAGTTATTTAAAGCTGTGGCAGAAATTTTAGCTGTCCACATAATTTGGGCTCCTCTCTTAAAGGAAAGAATTCTTGCTAGGAAGGAGTTGTCTTACCAGGGACTAAATGTAGCAACAAGGCCTCTTTCTTCATCCCCCCACCCTCTAGGAGGATCTAAATGACTCATTTTTTTAATGATAGGATGTGAGTAAAAGTCTGTTCTATAAATCTCTCCCTTAAACATTCCTCTCTTTCCCCACCTATTAGCTAGATATTGATTCCCAGAGAAATATTGGAAGCCATATACTGAAGTTGCTGAAGGCTCCATCGGCTTGGATCCTTGAATGTTAATGATTGTGTGAAGCAAAGTCCACCCTGATCTCTCTTTCTTCCACCTGATTGGTTTTTCACACGAGTGAGATTTATGCTTCTGTTGTGTTAGCCCACCAAGACATCATCTACATTTGTTAGAGTATCTAGTTTTACCTTAATACAAAGACTCATTTCTAATTTGAACACCATTAAATTTTTTTCTGTCCATAAGCTCCATTATACCCTCTTCTCAACTCTCATCTCCACCTCAAAAAGCAATCTCTTCTTCCTTTGACTGTCTTAGTTCATGATACATTTTTGACTGAGTACATTGGCTTATATTTATGTATGCATTTATCTTATCTATTATGCTTGATTTCTTTGAAAAAAAAGGTAGAATCTAAAGGAAGCCAGGAAGGGAAAGATTTTTTTTTTTTTTTATGACTGCCACTTTGTACTAGTATTTTCTTTCTTTACCTTTGGTTTACTACTACTACTCACCTACTCTTACCCACTTTGGCTATTCAGTCGAGCCAACAAATGGCTGTTCCTTGCATAAAAGGACTAGAGGACATGAACTAACCTCTATATTTTGTCTACTTTGGCTGAGATGATTTAGCTTTGTTAGCAACTAAGCTGGAAACTAGAATCCAGTTCACTTGACCCATTTTTTTTCTAGTACTTTTACCATCTGTATGATGGTTGTATGTAAAATCATCAATAGATTTGGATCAGAATAAATAGCCAGGTGTGTACAGTGGGAGAAAATTGGGCAGGTGGAAACTGGCTAACTGCTAAATTACAGAGGAAATAACAAGGAAAAATACCTCATAGCCAAAATAATAATAAAAAACTAAAATATTTCTAATGATAATCAGAGCCTGTACTTTTATTTTCTTTTTTCCCCCAAATGAAGACATCTTAGTTTATTAACCTGTTCACCTGTAAAGCCTGACCTTGTGTTTCAGTCACATGTGAATTTAATATTAACTGTCATGTTTACAAGAAAAAAAATTATAAGGTTCTCATTCTCTCCATCCAAGCTTGATTAGCAAGAACAGTAGTTTTACCAGTATAGGGCTGGAACAATACTCATCATTTTTTTCTAACAGAGGGTTAGACTTGATTTGGACTAAGGGCAAAAACTTGAAGCTTTGTCAGTTAAAGGTGGCCAACTTAGTTGTAAGCAAATGGGGAAAACCTGTAGCTTTGCTAGCTTGAAGTTGTGGTCCTGATTGGGTGAGCAACAGGCTATCCATGTGTTTAACTGGAGAAACTTGGAAATGACACAGCATAGAAAAGTTAGGATAAGCTCTCCACAGATCCTAGCTAACTGGGAAACTACGCACATGCACAGGGAAGACCCAAGAAAGGCCAGAGGAAAATGAAGCCAATGAAGAATTGAAAACTTGTTGAACTTTGAATGCATTCCTCAACATACACACAGATTGGTGGAGTGTAGAAGTTTTACACACTTGAGGTGTTTGACCACAACCTCCAGCCAAATCATTGGCCCACCACTAAAGTATGCAGGTAAAAGGGTGGACGATCAGAAGTCAGGCTAACAAATAAAAATAAATGCTTAAAAACTGAGTTAAGAATTAACTTCTTCATACTACAGGGGAGAGAGAGAGTCCACAGTTTAAAAACAGGCAAGTTACTTTAAAAAGAAAGGCCTTTAGAAAAATATATCACAATCCAGAGTTGCCACAATATATAATCTGAAATTTCAGTTAAAACAAAATAATTATGAGTCAAGGAAAGCATATTGTGATGCATGCATACACCAGAGGAAAAAATTATTAATAGAAACGGACTCTGAATGGGTCCAGATGTTGGACTTATATAAGACTTCAAAGCTGCTATTATAAATATATTCAAAGCATTAAAAGAAAATATGAGAAAAATGATTCAACATATAGGGAATCTGAACAGAGAAACAGAAACTGTATTTTTAAAAGATGAACATTTTAGAGTTAAGTAAAATAACCAAAGTGTAAGATTCACTAAATAGTCCTAACAAACAGATTTGAGACGGCAGAAGAAAGAATCAGTGAACTTGAAGATAGAGCAATAGAAATTATTCAATCCAAAGAGCAGAGTTAAAAAATTTTGAGAAAAAAAGTGAAGAGGATCTGAGATCTGCGGGACATCAAAAATAATAATATAGACCAGGCATGGTGGCTCACACCTGTAATCCCAGCACTTTGGGAGGCTGAGGCAGGAGGATCACTTGAGGTTAGGAGTTCGAGACCAGCCTGACCAACATGGTGAAACCCCGTCTTTACTAAAAATACAAAAATTAGTCACATGTGGTGGTGTGCGCCTGTAATCCCAGCTACTTTGGAGGCTGAGGCAGGAGAATTGCTTGAACCCAGGAGGCGGAGGTTGCAGTGAGCTGAGATCTCACCACTGCACTCTAGCCTGGGTGACAGAGTCTCTGTCTCAAAAAACCAACCAACCAACCAACCAACCAACCAACCAACCAATCAACAAACAAACAATATACAGGTAGTGGAAGTCCCATAAAGGGAGTAATGAGGGAAAGTCTCAGAAAAAAATATTTGAAGAAATGATGGCCAAAAACTTCCTAACTTTGAAAAAAAAATTATAGATATGAGAAACACAACAAACTCCAAGAAGGAAAAATACAATGTGATTCACAGGTATATATGCCATAATTAAGCTACTGAAGGACAAAAAGGTAAAGGGAAAGTGTTAAAAACAGTAAAAAAGAAAAACAACAATGACTTATGTACAGGGAAACCATTATATGGTTAATGTGGTTGAGTTCTCATGAGAAACATGAGAGGTAAGAAAGCCATGGCGTGACATAGTCAAAATGCTAAAAGAAGAAAAACCTGTAAACAAAGAATTCTATAGTCAGTGAAACTAGTCTCTTCTGAATACTAGTCTCTTCTGAAATAAAGATAAAATAAAAAACATTTTTAGATAAACCAAAACTGAGAAAATTCATTGCTAGCAGACCTGTCCTACAACAAATACTAAAGGAAGACCTTCATGGAAAGAAATGACATAAGATGGTGACATAAATATACAGTAAGGAGTAAGAACATCAGAAATGGGAAATATGTGGGTAAATATAGGATGGATATATATATAATTGTTTTCTCTCTTATTCTTTTAACTTTAAGAAAATATTGTTTAAACCAATAACTATTACATTGTAGTTTTGGCTTTATAGCATATATGAAGTGTGATATGTCTGAGAATAATAGCACAAAGTAGGGAGGAGAAAATAAAACTCTACTGAAGCTAAGTTGATATATGTTACCAAAATTAAGTCGTATTAATCTGAAGTAGATTGGGGTAAGTCAAAGATGTATATGATAAACCATAGAATGACCACTAAGAAAATAACTCAAAATTATGCATGAAAATCTAACAGAAGAATTGTAACTATATACTAAAAAATCTTTCCACAGAAGAAAGCAGTACATGAAGAAACAGGAACAAAAATGATGAACCATGTTAAAAACAAATTAAACTATATCAATAATTACACTATAATTTAAAAAATCCATCTAAAAGCAAATCCATCCACCATATTAAATGGAAAAACAAATATATCCACCCATAACAATAATCCCATTAAATGTAAATTGAACAGACACTGAAATCAGAAGGCAAACATGATTAGATTATATAAAAATAGCAAGACCTGACTATATCCTGTCTTTAAGAGACATACTTTAGATTCGAAGACATAAATACGTTAAAAATAGAAGTATGAAGAAAGATATACCTTGCAAACAGTAACCATAAGAGAGTTTTAGAGGCTATATTTATATTGAAAGTTACCTAAATGACTCTGATGTGCAGTCAGAAATGAGAACACCTTGCTTTACCCACAATGGGACTGTAGAGCATCAGGGAAGGCTTCCAGGAAGTAATTGTTGAAAGATAAGTTGATATCAGTCAGGTCAAGAAGGTGATGAGTTGAAGGTCATTTTGCCAAAAGGGAAGGATGCAGTGTGAGTGAGCATTAGGTCGTCAGGGAACTACAGTCTGGCATTGTTGCAAGGTTGAAGTGATAGGTTAGCAAAGGTGGAAGGTGATGCAGGAATGGAGTTGACAGGCGCCTGAAATGAGTGGTTTTACAAGTCATATACATAAGGCAAAAATTCTTTTATGTTGGCATATGAGGTTTTGAGTATAATCACTATGAAACAGGAAAAAGTGGGGGGAGAAAAGCAGACATAATCACAGTGATAGAGGGATAAGAGTACTTCAGAGAGAACAGGAAGGAGAGGAAGACAGTGAGCCAGTTGCCTAAGGCCTAGGACCCTTCTTAGTTTTTGTACATGTGCCAGTTTGCTGATTTGTGATAAATGTGGATGAGTTAATCTTATTTACCACACTTCATGTCAACAATAACATGCACAAAACTCTTATTTTCCCATAGAAATAGTGTGTTTGCACAGAAAAAGTCCAGTCAGTTTTGCCTACGTACATTTCAAATCTAAGACCTCTGGAACTGGAAGTGGCACTCCTTGGAACTCTCAGGGTATAAAAACTTCCAAGGTTTGGGTCTTTACAATATAACTTATTTCACAGTGCATTGTTTATAGTGGTGATTCCTAAACTTTTGTGTTGAAAACGTAGGTAATAGGGTCCCATGTCCAGATCTGTATCTCTAGGGTGGGGTTCAAGATTCTGCATTGTAACCAGCTCCCAACATGATTTGGCAAAGGCGTTTGTTGGATTCCTCTCTGAGAAGTATATAGTTTCAGAACTTTCATCTTTGGCCTTTTTTTCTGTGTATAACATCATAGTCTTTTTACATATGGTGGAAACTCTTTTTTTATAATCATGACTCTGTTCTGAAATTCAATGACCTAAAATTGTCAGAAGGAAAGATGCAAAAACTAATTTAAATGTCAGCAGATCAACAAAATCTTCAATGTATTTAAATATTGGAAATGTTATCAAACAGAAATGAATGTTAGGCAACAAAATACAAAGCAGTTACTTGAGGAGCTGCCAAAACTATTTTCAGAGGTAAGAATTTGGATGACGCTATTCAATGCCAAATTCAATCTCCTCAGCTTGTGAGGAAATCTACATCTCACCAGCCTCCACGATGTTGTAGAAAGAGCAGGGGCTTTGGAATCTGACCTAAATTTGAATGCCAGACCAGTTTTTCACAAGTGTGTTCCTTTGCATAAGTGTGCTACTTGGCCTTTTTGAGTTTTGTTTCTCTCACATACAATAGATGGGTAAGAATACAACTACACGCAGGTGTAGAGGAGATTCAATAAGGAAATGAAAATAAAGCATCAGGTACAAGAATGTACTTAAACACTGATTCCCTTTTATACATATTCGTAAGTACCCACATATGAAACTAAACTTGTAGCTGATAATGGAAAAGACACATTCTACAGCCCAGAGAATTAATTAGTAGATGATAAAATAGTACTGGTAGTCTAAGGATGCAATCCAGGATACTGACCTCTTTTATCTGTTTCTCAGGGGACTAGTTCTCCTTCCTCAATAGTCAAGGAGAAGGACAACACTCAGATCCTCCAGGTGTGTTTGGCATAAGGGTGATGGGGCATTGTCCTGTCTATCTCAGGGGTTCTCCAGTCCTGAGGGCTGGCCCAGGGACCCCTCCTTTAGTCCTAACCTGGCCTAATCACAGATCTGCATCCCTCCTACCCCTCAAACCTCTTCATTTTAGGCACCCTCACCCTCCCCGCCAGCAGATTTTGTTAAGAAAGACTTTGTTAATGGGTGGGCACTGTGGATCATGCCTGTAATCCTTGGACTTTGGGAGGCTGAGGCAGGCAGATCACTTGAGGTTAGGAGTTTGAAGCCAGCCTGGGCAACATGGTGAAACCCTGTCCCTACTGAAAATAAAAAAAAAAAAAATTAGCCAGGCGTGGTGGTGGGTTCCTGTAATCCCAGCTACTCGGGAGGCTGAGGCAGGAAAATTGCTTGAATCCAGGAGGCAGAAGTTGCAGTGAGCCAAGATCAAACCACTGCACCCCAGCCTGGGCAACAGAGTGAGACTCCATCTAAAAATAAATAAATAAATAAATAAATAAGTAAATAAATAAATAAATAAATAAATAAGAAATAAGAAAGACTGTTAATTACATAGGAGAATTGTTAAAGCACATAGGAGAATTGACAAAAGAAAATGAATCATGAGGCTGACATTTTAAATACAGGCATAGTAGACATTCTAATAAATTTTCTCTCAGTAATAAAATATTTGGCCTACACGAGTTCTGAAAAGGTTCAACAGCCTAAGAAAATGCAATAAGCTGCAAATGTAATTATGTAGGTGTCCACTCTGAGACTAGTGTTTAGATTACATTTCAACTTTTCAGGGAAAAAGAGTTGGATAACAATGTTTAAAGTAGAAAGTTCTATATCTTTTAATAAATTCAGATTTCAAGGTGAAACTGAGCATATTCTTTGCTAAACAAAGACGCTAGTTTGGCTGTGGCTCTCGAGCAGCTCCGGAGGCACAGGAAGAGGAGAAAAGGTGATTCATAAGAGGAGATAGACTAACAGCAGGTGCTGTTAATTCATTTTGAGTCTCATAAACGTGTTTTTTTTGTTTGTTTTGAAATTGATATAAAATGTGAATTTACTACTTATTTTTGCATATTGCAAATCTAAAATTTGGATTTTTTATTGTAAAGAAAACAGCATGTATAGCCCTTTTAAATAACAACAGGCTAGGCAATATTGGCTAATTTATATATCTAAAGGCTCAATTCTGAAGTGTAACACAATTGTTTTCAGTAGGAAAGATTTCAAAAGAAAAGAGGCATATAAACCATCTTTTTTCCTTTTCATTTATTACTGGATTCTGAGAAATGGAGACAAATTTAGGCAAACAAATTTAGAAAAAGTTCTTTTTGGAGTAAAGAATATTACCAATCAAGACATACTAGACAGACAATGATTTTAGAAAATTTTAGTTTTAAAAATTTTACCTAGCTTGTGTGATGTCTTTATTATATGATTATTACAAGATTCTATGAGTGTATGAATTGGGGTGTCAGTGATGTATGTGTATAAATCTATCTGTGTATTGGGTCAGCACAAATATCTGTGATAGGAAGATACAATTCCTTGCAATGAGTATCTTTCAAATGTGATTTTGGTTGAAATAATATTGTTGGGGAAATTATCTTTTCGATATAAACTGCCTAAGATTATAAGAAGATTCTGTATATAGATGTGGTGTTTGAAATGCCTAAAATAGTAAAGATAGGTTGATAATAATATATTTTTTTCATTTAACAGAAAGACCTTAGAACAAAATTAAAGCTGCATGTCTGGTAGCCTATAGTTACCTGTATTTTTCTTAAAACAATTCTGATGACTTAGTATTCAAAAGACCTTTTTGCACGACAATTCTATCAGGAAAGATCTGGGAGGAAAAAAATTACCAAACAAAAACGGTGATGGAGCAAACGTAACTGTTTGTATCTTATGGCAGCGTCTTGAAGAATAAAAGCTATTTTACCTTGCTTTTTTGTAGAGGTATGAATTCCAGATACTTATTTTACATATAAGGATAGTATCAAATATACGAATTTTAAATTTAAATAAAAGAAATGTCCGTTTTACATCAAGGAATTATGTGTTGACTCTCCATCCTACCCCTAGAATGGAGAATATTGTATTTCTTTTCTAAAATAAAGAGCAGATACAGAGAGTAGGAATAGCTTTCATAGCTTGTTCCCTACAAAATTTGAAGCTGCGAACTTTGCCATTTTTTAGTGTTCAGCTCAAGTTAAGTATACCGTAGAAAAATTTGAAGATGCCGAATCATAAATAATAGACACAGTTACAAAGCTGCTGGAAATTTCATAAAATTGCCAGTTTGAGCTTCAGTGAGCCACCAGGTCAGAAGCAAGTTCCCACTGCTCCATTCTCTGAGGCAAGCAATTGCGTGCAGCCTTGCATGAACTCCAAAGCCTGTGTAAAATGTGTCTTTTCTCTATATTCATAACTAAGACCTTAGCACCAAACACTGGGTGAAATGTTTTTTTTTTCTCTGTCCTCATAATTAAGACAGAACCCCACTGGCGTCTTTCCAGGTTTAGAAAAATGAACTTGTCCATTTTTGTGATAAAATTAATATCACAGACATATAACCTTAAAATTAAGGCTAGGAATACACACCTTGTTCCCTTGTACGAATATCTCTTCATATTCCATTTCCACTTCATATACCTTCTCTAGAGTGGGCAAATCACTTCAACAATTGCAAAGTAGGCTTCAGGAAACCAAGCCATTCTATGAAATATACAGAAGGGTCACAGAAACAGATCTCCCACCTGTTTAATGTTTCCAAAGAAAGGAGGAATCAAGTCCCCTGTTAAATACTCTTCTTCTTTTTTACTTTCTTTCTTTATTTCCCTCCTTTCCTTCTTCTCTCCCTCCCTCCATAATCTGCTAATTTGCTCCACAACATTTAATTATAATTTAAAAAAGAAAAATAATGTCACCACAAGTATCAGAGAAATTTCCTATAAACTAAGAATTTTCTAGTTGTTACTTAGAGTTCCTCATGCAAGATATTTAAATTAGGACTCTAAAGGGAAAGAGCAGAGGCATTTTCTATACTCAGAGACTGAGGAGTTATAAGCATTTTAAATATATTTTGATCATATTTATTAAGGATCAGAAGGCTTTTGAGAGCTAGTTTTAAAAAACCCTCTAAGTTTTAGAATAACCACCAAAGACATTTTAATTTGAAAGAACAAACAGGATTATGAGAATAGGTAACTTTTTCCTCAAGGAGCTATAAATGCAAGTCATTAGTAAAGTTCATTCGCTCCATCGGAATTCATTTCTTATAAGGTCTGCTGGATAATTATTCTTTCTAAACACGACAACAAAAACTGAACAGATGTTTAGGTAGATAACAAGTTTGATGGATAAGATATAATGAATCTGTTCTTTTCATTGTTTTTAATAAAAAAGAAATATCTGATGGTAAGGTTTCTTCAAGGTTCTTAATAGAAATATGTTTCCTAGATTAAAGAAGAAGAAAAAAAGCTGGTATAGAACTTGATGTGATACTAGGATAATGAAAAATGTATCACTTAACAAGGTTTGCATTATTCAGAGTTATGCCCATGCAAGTGTGTGCTCTAATCCCCAGCCAATACGTTGCTTGGTAACCAGCTACCTGCACACCTGCTCTGTAGCTATAAGAGACAGTGCATGTATGGTTATTGGCCATATTTAGTACTGAAGAAAGAGATAAAAATCTAACAAATATTAATATTTTATACAAATATGTATCTTTTACCTTATTATTGTAGTCACTGTTTAGCCAAAGGTTTTTTATTTTCTAAAAAGAATTACTGTTTCCCATCACACCATCACCTCCTGAGTAGCAAGAGAAAATACTTAAATTCCTTTCAGAGCATCTGTAATCAACTCTGTTTGCCGCAGACAACAGATGCTACCATTAGGAGGGATTTTGCACTTAAGAGAGAGAGGGAAGGCTGAATGGAGAATTTCCGTTTATAAAAGATTCCCACAGTGGAGGCAGAATCATTCTAGAATTGGTCTGACCGTAAGAGTCTGTCTACTTGAAGGCTTGATTAATGCAGCCCTAGAAATATCAGTCATTGTGATTAGCCTATGGTGTAGCCAGATTGTTCCTGATTATCTCCCTCTCAAGTTATGGTAAAGAACAATTTTTCCATTGATTGTATGGCAGTGACATGGTGGGGCAGCCAGAATAGGCAAGCTTTGGGACCAACACATGAAGCCTTGTATTGTTTTTCTCCTATTAGAAGGCTGATTGCACACTATGCACTGGAGCCTCGGGGCTGCTAGAAAAGGGTGCCCCAAGGGCCTTGAAGTCATTTTCTCTAACTCCTGGTGGTATCACAGCATTTTTTAAAAAAAGAGTTAGAAAGTATCTTTAGAGATCATTTAGTTCATTGGTTCTTAGCTCTCCCTACACATTAAAATCACCCGGGGAGCTTTTAAAACATACTGGTGCCTGGACCCCAGCTCCAGAAGATTCTGATGCTAGGTCTAGGGTGAGATTCACGCTAAAAAAGTCAAGAGGTAGAACAAAGCCAGGTATGTTATTCTAATCGATGGTCCCTCACTTAAGGGGGAACATCAACAGTGAGGAAGAGTCATTCCTTTTCCATTAGTTACCATATTTTTATTCTATTAGTTTTAATGAACGATTTTGTTCATTAAGCTAGAGCGGGGCTCTCCCAGTGCTCAGAAGCAAAGCAGCAGCCTGTTGGATCAGCCTGCTCTCACCTCCCTGCTTCCCTTGCTTCTTGGGAAATCATCCTGGAGCCACAGGTGGGCAATGAAGATTTTGCTCTGAGAAGGCTCTAACATAGATCAGACAAGTTCCTTAGAATTAACTCCTAGGCCACTTGGTTTTCAAGGCCATCTATTCGCCCTTGGTCTATTTTCTATCACAGATGATGATGGCACATAGCCCATGTCCTGCTGTGGGATTAAAGGACAGCATTACCATACTTCAAAACCAAAATACCAAATTATAAAGATGCATCCAAAGTGAGTATCAATTCCCTATGAGATGTCTAGGGAGAAATGAAAATCTAAAGCCTTAATAAATCCAGATGAATTCAAGTCCAAAATCGTATTTTCTTGCTACAGTGATTTGAAAGTCCAAGGAAATTAAAATCAATATTTCATCCTCCTCAGTTTGTTATTTTGATTAGTTTTAGTGAGAGATGTTCTGGATTCTGAATAGATTGGGAATTTTCCAGAGACTGTAGTCCAGGTAGAATCTAAGTAGAACTGGGGAGTTCTTCTGTCCCTCAGCAGTTGTCTTGATACAATTCCAAGTCTCCATGAATACCTCTTGTAAAGAATCTTGAGTGAATAGGGCATTAAAGATCATTGGTTAGAAAATAAGCCATCCCCTGGCCTTTGAACTGTTACTTCCTATCCCTGGTAAAATTGTGTTCCCAGAACACAGTATTTTACTTAAGAGTTGTCACAAGCTAGAGATACAATGGTAACTGCGTGGAGTCCCAAAAGAGGAAGAGTTCAGTTGCACCAGGAAGCCAGTCAGTTGATATCAGTTGTCCAAAACATATGACCTGTGACCTTAAATGCAATTGCAATGAGAGCAATATTCCAGCAAGAAGTCATCTAATTTGGGCACTGGGAACTTAGCATACTTGAGAGAAAACATTTCCTATATACCCGTCTCCTTCCTTTGACATGGTATTTGAGACATTGGTGACCTCGGAGAAAGAATAAAAATGTGCAATGGAGACAGCTCCTATCATTGGGTCTTAATAGAGCTGTATTTTTTCTCTTTGTTATCCCATACATTTGAAACTCTTCAAATTTATTTTCCCCTTTTGTATTTTCCCCTTTTAAATGCAATTACAGTGGGAAAAATATTCTAGCTAGCAGTTGGCTAATCTGGGCACTAGAAACTTAGCATACCTGGAAAACATAACCCTATATACACCCAGACTTCCATGGGGCTCTTCTGTATATATGGAGCTTAGCTGCTTCGCAGTTTAAAAGGCGCAGTTAAAAAAAAATCATTCCTCTTTCTGCCCCACCCCTCTATGGTCTGTTCCTCTCTTGTGATGAGGCTGGGCCGTTGCAGGGTTCTGTATATGCCATTCTGCATCTTGTTTGTGGAATAAGCCACAAGAAGAAAAGATCAGCCAAGGGGAAAACTGCATATGGCCTCTTGTCCTGCTAGGCAGTTAAAAACCAACTGCCTAACTGTCAAAACCTGCCACATGGAACATCTAAGCTTCTCTACTCACCAGACGGCCTCAAATCATGGGGAGCACCAAAGGCTTGGGACTTATGTATCCTCAATTGTCAGCATTTTGTCTCATTTCTCAATATTCCTGGTTCATACATCAGTTGTGGGGACTGAGGGGGATGGCACTGAGTTTATTTTCTAAAATTGTAAGGCTCCTTGCTGTGTTGAAATGCAGAGTAGAAAATGTGCTTTCTGAGGTCAACTTGCCACCAAGAGAGAAGAAAGAGGAATGTCTTTTTTTTTTTTCCTGCCAAATTCACCATCATATAAAATGCTATACCTGGAAGGGTGTGGAAGTAGGAGGACAGAAATAAGCCAGAAAGTTTATATTAATTGATGTCCTTTCACATTTAGGGAAACATCTGGAGTGGGAAAGAGATGTTCCCTTCTTAATAGTTGATGCTTCGCACTCACCTGTCTTATACCTGTTCTATATCCAATATCCACGTCTTCCTTTTTTTCCACTTCCTAAAAATCTGTACATCTACCCCTTTTGCTCTACCCACAATGCTACTGCCCAAGTCAGGCCTGTGCTTTCTCTTTTACTAAGAATTGCATTCTCCTCATTATGGGGATTCTGGCCTTTGTGCTCTGCCTTCCTCCTGCTGCCCCTGCCGCAACACACAAACAAGTAAAACTGAAATCTTTATCTTTTAGAGCACCACAGTCATCATTTTATTGTATATATCAGATGGTGTTATTCAGTATCCATGCTCAGTATTCATCAGTAGCTTCCCATTGCCTAAAAGATATTTTTCAGCTCCTGTGTTTGGTCTGCAAGATCCTTCATAATTTGAAAGGTGGTTAAACGTGTGGATTCCAGAGATGAAGATGTTGCTTCAAAGCCATTGAGTAGCTATGAGACTTTGAACTAGTAACTTGACTTCTTTGTGCCTCACTTTCCTCATCTGTGAAATTGGGGTGATAATAATAGTACTTATTTTAAAAGGTTTTTTGGGAGATCAAATAATCTGAGTGAAATACCTCTCATTGTACCTGGTACATTAAAAGTGCTCAATGATGAATCATTATTTTAATGTGTCCTCTGCTCACTTATCGAGCCCCATGTTCCATGGAATCCCCCATATTGTAGGGTCTACTCCCAGCTAATTGCTCTTTGACCCTGACCCATTTTTTCAGGTCGTTGTATCTTTCATCCACACTAGTCTTTCTGTTGGAATGCCTTTGCCAATTTTGACTGCCTGGCAAACTCTTATTCATCCTTCAATTCTCAGGTAAACTGCTTGGTCCTTGGTGGACTTATGTGTTGATTCTCTTGGGCTCTCATTAATAAAGCTAATACCCCTGTTCTCCTAAGACTGTGCACTTCTGAGGCCAAGGATTGGGTCTTTCTGTCTATGTTGCTATGCCTCACACAGCAATAGCCACATGGAAGCTGCTCAGAAATGTTTATTGAAAGATTGGCCATCCAAATGCAAATGAGAAGGTTCTTTTCCAGGGGAAAATTTCAGGTTGTTAAAGCTTTGCAAATCTGGTATTTTATGGAGAGCTGGCCCTTCATCCTATCATCTGATGCAATTCAGTGGAAACTTTAAATGAAAAAAGAATCTTAGGATACAGAAAGGTAATTGCTATTTTTTACTTCAAACTGCTTTTTAAAGTCTAAATTCAGAATTAATAGAGAATTTTTTACCTGTACTAATATACGGTAGGGGTGCAAGGAAGGGGAGGATAATTCACATCTAACTTTTTGGCTACCTTCTTTGCTGAAATAACTTTTTTAAAACTAGCGACACAGCTGATGCAATCTCTTTTCAATGAAGTGCAGTGCTGCCCTAAGTAAGTTGGTTAGTCTCAAGGCAAACAATTCATGTATACTGATCATCAGAGATTTTTTTTAACTTCTTAAAAGGTCAATTGGTTTATTTTCATGTATTTAGCAATAGTTTACAAAGCAATCTTTTAGAGCTGTCATTGTATTAATTTTCATGGTTTTAGTAATTGTGAATTTTATATTTCCTTGGGAAGCAATTAATACATTTAGGAAACTCTCCTGGGTTTCATAAACACTTCCAATTAAAATGCATTGATTTTGCAGTGGTTTCTTCTTGGTTTTCATTTACAAAGACTTGAAAGCAATTTGGGTGGCTTTCTGTAACCTGAATGTTAGCAAAAATGGGACAACTGAAGATAGTACCTCTTATTGCCTTCGAAGTTAATTAGTTCCATAGGTATTATTAGCCTGTAAGCACCTGGAGGGCAAGGGTAATGTCTTATTCATTATAATCTCTCACCCAGGGTCTAGCTGAGTCCCTGCATATATAAAGGACACAGACTGGTGTCCCAGCAGGAAGTTTGCATAATTAGAGAAGCTTTGCCATGGCCAGTGTGGAGCCTAGGAGGTGAATCAGCAAAGGGCTTGGGGCAGGAGCCTAGAAAGTGTGGGAAACAGGGCAAAAGCAACCTCTCAGAGGCACCTGAGCTGAGTCAAAAATGGAAATATAGTAGAGGAGCCCTTCCTAGGAAGCCCAGGAAAGGGGAGGAGGATCCCATCAAGAGACTTCTGGATGTAGTGCAATTCCCTGAATACATTTGAGGTTGAGGTTGCCTGGAGAATAGGGCTGAATAGATGTTTGCAGAAACTTGGGAAAGATGCCAAAGTCTGGAGATAGGAGTTGTGGTGAAGAGTGTTTGTGATGCTTTCTCACTTTGGTGTGTGTGAGGGTGCACAATGTGTTGTTATGTGGGGTTGTATGCATGTGGCTCTTTATCAAGAACTAGGCCACTATTGGAGCAAGGGATTGGATTTTTCCCAGAGGCTAATTCTTAAGTGTAAGGATCAATAGATGTTTTGACATTGTGATGCTGACTGCCACTTTTTTGTTAAAGAGCACAAAAGACAAAAAGTGGGTAGGAAAAAATCTAGATTTTCTTTTGTGATACCATCATAAATCTCCTATTAAGGAATCTTCTAGCCCAACCTTATTTCAGAGCTGAAGCAGCTAAGGACAGTTAGATTGTATGACTTGCTCCATTAGTGACAGAGATGAGACTAGACATTGGCATCCTTTAGTCTAAGAATCAGTCACTCAACACAGATTTATTGAGAACCTCCTAGATGCCAGGTCCTCATGGAGCTTACATTCCATGTGAAGAAGACAGACAATAAAGATGAATGAGAAAATTATGCCGTGCATCATAAATATGTTGTATCATATCATATTACATACAATGTGGAAAATGCTATGAAGAAAAAGCAAGGCATTTAAAATGGGGTGATCAGGGAAGGTCTCAGTAAGAAGATGGTATTTGCACAAAAAAAGAGGTAAGGGAATGAACCATGATGATATATGGGGGAGAACATTCTAGGCTGAGGGAATAGGAAGTATAATGAAGGCCCTGGGATTGGGAGGCAATGCTTGGTGTGTTTGAGGAATGACCGGGAGCTGGTGTGGCCGGAGTGATGAGCAGAGTAGTAGAAGGTGAGATCAGATAATATGAAGGAGGGGGTGCAGATCAGAGAGAATGGTGTAGGCCAGGTAGGGCTTTCTCTTTGAGGTGGGAACCACAGGAAAGTTTTGAGCTACTTTATCTGTTTTAGATTTTAAGAGGATTATCCTGGCCGTTGGGCTGAAAATAAACTGAAAAGGGAAAAAGGAAAAGGGTAGAAGCACTGTGGCAGATGGGGAGGTCATAACACTAATCCAGGAGCAGAATGACAGAAGCTTGTGGCCTGGGGGGTAGCAGTGAAGGTGGAGAGGTGATAAGATAATGATGATTACAACATTGACCTTGGTCTAGTTTATTTCAATTATCAAATAATTTTAAGTATTTATTACAGGCTGAGTATCCCTAATCTGAAAATTTTAAATAAGAAATGCTTCAGTGAGCATTTCCTTTGAGCATCATGTCAGGGTTCAAAAAGTTTTGATTTTGGAGCATTTTGGATTTTCAGATATGGCATGCTGAACCAGTAAGTATATAATGCAAATATTCCAAAATCCTAAAAAAAGTGAAGTCCGAAACACTTCTGGTGCTAAGCATTTTGGATAAGGGATACTCAACCTGTATTTTCTAGGCATCTCGCTAAGGGCCGGGGATACAGAATTATATAAGAGCCAATTTCTACCCCTGAGGAACTCAATCTTATGTAAGAGACAACTATAAAAAATATTAGGAACATTACAATGTGTTTTGGCAAGCACAACAATAGAAATACATTCAAGGTGCAGATGCAGAACCAAAAAAGAAGGCAGGAAGGGCTTCTGTGAGAAGCTGTATTTTGAAAAAGAAATAAGCTTTCTGGAGTTTCCCTCCCAGTAGCAGGAAAAGCAAGATTTGTAGGGCAGTATAAGCGATTGAGTTGTTCATTTCTGTTTCATTCTTAGTGCTGCAGTAGGTTCAAAGTATTGAAACGAGGATCCTCAAATTCTTGCCCTGTGCCCCAAGAACAGTCTGGCAGGGCTTGTGGTTTAAGGTTTGTCTTGGAGAATGAGTTCTATGTGGCACGAACAGCTAAGTGTAAAGATCCTAAAATATAAACTTGCTTTGTATGTGAAGAAACAACAGGAGGTTAGAGGGATGGAATGCCAAGAAAGAAGAAGAGCAAGACAGCCAGTCAAATGCCCTGGAGCCATGGGAAGAGCTTGGGGGCCATCAAAGGATTAATCTGGAATTGCAGGATGAGGGAGAGGGAGAGCGATCTCGATACTTTGAATTGAAAAGGAAAGTGACCTGAGAGGGGTGTGGTAGCTTCTTAGAGTTTGATAGGGATTCAAACTTCTAAGAGTTTGATGGAGACTTCTTTAAGTACAGGATAGGAAGGCATCATACAATGGGAATGGTACACGGATGCTTGTGTGGAGGTGGTGGACAAGTCCAGCGGTCTTGGAGCAATGGCCAAGTTCCTCTGTGGACAACCCTACAACCAATGCAGAGTGACATCACTCACAAGGGGTTGTAGAGTGCAGTGATTAGAGCAGGGACTCTGGAGTCAGGCTGATGGGTCAAATCCCAGACTTACCAGCACCCTGGTGGTTACTTAATCTCTGTGCCTTGGCTTTCCCACATTCAAAAAGGGGCTGGTGGGAATAGTAGCAGAGAAGGAAAAACAATTTTCCCCTTATCCTTCTAAGTTCTCGACTGGGGTCTCTGTAACAAAAGATAGATTAGTAAGAGAAAAACAAACATGTTTATTAACATGTTGCATTGTGCATGTGACATATGAGAATGCCCAAAAATGAGTACTTCAAAGAGGTGATTTAGAACTTTGGCTAACACAGCATCTTCTGCACAGAACAAAACCTTTTTAGAGAAGTGACAAGACAAAGAAAAGGAAGCTTGAGTCTCTAAGGTAGCCAATTGAGGGAGGGCAAATACATGGGACACTAGTGGCGAGTCAAGGCTAATAGTGAAGTTCGTGACATAGATTCTTCTGGTGCCAGCTCCAGGATGATAAGGGTCTCAAGTCATGTCTGTCTGGTGATTAACTTTTTGTCCTCCTTGGACACAATTTATGTCCTGCTTTTAGGCCCTAGAAGGGAGACAGAGAAATTTTCTTACATCTGCTTGTTCTCTATTGTCTTTGGCTCAAAATAATCCTCATGCCAAAGTGGCATATTTTGAGGCAGAATATTCTGCTACCCTTCAAGTATCTATCTCATAGAATTGCTATGAGGAATATGTAAGCTAATATATGCAAATTGCTTAGAACAGGGGCTAGCATGTAGTAAGCGCTATATAAGTATATGCCATTGTTACTACTACGCTCTGGAAAAAGCATTTGCGCATGCCCTGCAGAGAGCTTTGACATAGGCTTTATGTAAGGAGAACAGTCACAATAAAGCTGACCACGTGGACTGGGGAGAAGGCCTCTTTCCTGTGTGAGCCCTTACAGAATTGGGATTCTTATGGCACTGAGAGGTGACTGGGATTGAATTTCTGAGCAACTCTGGCTAAAAAAAAAAAAAAAGGCTGAGGCAGTTTTAATTTGATCTAGAAAAATAAATATGATGTTTCTCAAGTGTCTCATGAAGAAAATTCTTACTGGTTACATGAGCTTAGGGAACTCTAAGCTGCTATAAATTGCGGAAAGATAGTTCTGAGGTGAGGATAGGTGGCAAGTAACGGTGAAAGGTGAGCAGGGATCAAATCTAGATGGACCTTAAGTGCCCTTCTAGTGACCTTGGCCTTTATTCTGCAGATGCTGGGGAGCCAGAGAAGGAATTTTAAGCAGGAACAACAGAATTCGATTTAGATCTTTAATAACATTGTTGGCAGCAGGAGCATAGACATAAAATTGTCAAGGCTAGAGAGAAAAAGTGATCAGTTAAAGGCTGTTGTGGCAGTTCTGCGGGGAAAGAACAGTGACCCAGATAAAGATATTGATGGCAGGGATAAAGAAGGCTCCATAGAGTGGAGACATATTTAGAAAACGTGGGGCTGGGCACGGTCGCTCGTGCCTGTAATCCCAGCACTTTGGGAGGCCAAGGCAGGCAGATCACCAAAGGTCAGGAGTTTGAGACCAGCCTGGCCAACATGATGAAACCCTGTCTCTACTAAAAATACATAAATTAGCTGGGTGCGGTGACGGGCACCTGTAATCCCAGCTACTCTGGGAGGCAGAGGTTGCAGTCAGCCAAGATTGTGCCACTGCACTCCAGCCTGAGCTGTAGAGTGAGACTCAGCCTCAAAAAAAAAAAAAAAAAAAAAAGAAAAGAAAAAAGAAAAAAGAAAACATGGATCTGATATTGCAGACAAAGAAGTCGGGCTTTGGATATGAGGACTCCAGGAGGAAGAACAGGTTTGAGGATGACAGTGAGTTCTGTTTGGCTCCTGTTAAGCTTGAGGTGCCTGTGTCTAATAGGAGGTGTCAAATTCTGGCTAAGGCAGAGGTTTGGGAGTCCTAAAGATTGAGGAGGTAGAGTTGTATACGGCAGAATGGTAAAGTGGGAAGAGAAAGGGCTGAGGCCCGAAGCTTGGAAGCCCCAAAGGCTTTCGTTGGGATCACTGAGAAGAAAGGTCAGACTGACAGAAAGATAACAGGGAGAGGAATGAGGGAAGATGTTGCTGGGATGCCTCCTGGTTAAATTCGGGGGTTTCAGGAACTGAGGACTTTGTTAGCACACTGCAGTAGACTGGCAGGGGAAGAGATCAGCTTTCAGTAAGTCAAGGCTCCCTGGAAAAACAGGAATGGAGCTTGAATTTTATTTTGGAGAAATGGTTGGCGCTCTGTGAGAGATATATTTGGAATCATTGTAAATATGGTTTTTCCTTGCATGAGTGAATCTTAGATAGTTAGGAATATTCAGAAACAATACAGCATTCAGTGGGAAAACACTCAGATGCCTCATTGGACTCAGTGGTGTCTTTTATTAACTGTAACACCTGCCATTTCACAGCCTGTGCTGCCATCTCCAGATACAAAGTGAAGGGGGCCCTACAACAAGTATTGGGCTAATTGAAGCCTCCAAATAACAAAATAACAATCAAACTCTGTATTGCAGACTCAGTCATTTGTACATTCATGCATAAGCAATTTTTTTTTTGATGGAGTGAAATGTATCTGATCTGAACTGTTCATTTAACAAATATTAATGAAGTTGCCTTAACGTGCCAGGCACTGTGCTAGGCTCTAGAATTATGGTGGTGACTCAAATGGACTAGGTCTTTGCCCTGAGGTCATTAATGGTTTCATGTAGAATGACAATACTAAAACAATAATTACATGTGTAAGGAAATAAATGAGGCCGGGTACAGAGGCTCATGCCTGTAATCCAGCAGTGAGCCATGATCGTACCACTGCATACTCCAGCCTGGATGACAGAGTAAAACTCTGTCTCAAAATAAATACATAAATAAAAAATAATAAAATACTTTAAAAAAAGAAATAAATGAATAAACACAGGGAGTACAGCAATATTCAGTGGTCAGGGGTGTGGACTCTATTCACCCCTTTACTTTCATGTGGTGTAGGTGAAAACACCATTTCTGATGTTTCCTCCATGTAGAGGGATATCTATCAGACATTCTACCTGGCGTCTGCTGCTCCATCATCACTGCATCCATCATCACCAGAGGAGTCTCCTCTCCTTCTGTGGGTGAGTTCTGGAGAAGACCTGGGCACACTGAGCTCAGCCACTTCCCCTTCCTGGTATGGGTCTTCCCTCATGACTTCACCACCACCTTAATCACCTCCTAAAGGCCTCACCTTTTAATTCTGTCACATGGGAGTTTAAGTTCCAACAAATACCTTTTGGAGGGGTACAAACATTCAAACCATAGCATGGTGATGGTGGGGTCATATGCCCAAGAGATGTATAGGATTCACTGTAAAGATGGCACATAAAAGAGGACATATATTAATGGAGAAACCAGCTTGGATGTAAATAGATGACCGAATCTTGCTTAGATGTTGGTCTGATAGGAACATATTGGTTGGTATTATTCCACTAAGGAAAGCAAAGATACAAAAAATAAGCAGTTTTTGTTGAATAAACAAACCCACTGGCAGACTCAGAACTCGTGCACTTGACAGCTCTCCCTCACTATGGGGAGACCCCACAAGACTTGTTAGAAGAGCTCGTTAGGAAAACAGATGCCTTGGCCAGAAAACAAAGGGACAGTACAAGGAAAGAGACATTCAGTTTCAGCAAATAATGCTAGCTTTATTAGGGACAAAAGGGGCCAATTGAAGAGATTAAGGCTGTTACAAACTCCACTTAGCCTTCTTGAATGGAATTAAAAGTCAGTGCAGGGAAATAAAACTCTAGAAGCACACCTTCCTACTACAGAAGATGTTGCATGTGGAACTGCTACATGGTCTGGAACATTCAAAGCTTAGAAAAGACTGTCTTGGAGAGCCTGTGGCAAAGGCATTGGGCATCACCAGGCTGCCAGGGGCTCAAACCTCAGCAGGTTCAGTTCAAGAATCTGCTGAGAGCGATTCTGTGGCTGAAGCAAATGTGGCATTAAGGAGGAAGCTCCCCAAAAGGCATCCTTTACAATTTCAGGGCAGCCCTGGGACTCAGGACAGAGCTATCTGCCCTGGGGAGATAGGGGAGGAGTGGAGGCCGTGTTGCCAGACAGAGCCCATTGAGACACATGGAACTAGAAAGGAAATGGGTTTTAGGATGTTTCAAATATATTGGGTGGGAAAGAGGGACATTTCTCAACTTAATTAGAAGTCAGCATTGTTTGTTTGAGAGAGGACACAATTTGTCTAGTGGGATTTTTCCAGTAGATATGGTCAACAAACTGCTGTGACTTCTCAACCGATGGGCAGTTTTTCCTAACCAAGTTGAAGGTCCCAGGCCACATGTTCTGGACACGTGGCATGCACTGGCTGACATCCTGCCAAGGCTAAGACCCAGGTATTCTTCGTCTACTCTTCTTCCCTCGGAAACTGCCACATCTTTGGCAACACTAAGCGTTTGGTTCTGGCCCTAGGGCTTTGAGAAAGTTATAAATACATTAGGAGTTGAGGATTCCCTTCTCTGCCACACTTGGCCTGTGTAGGGTCAGGGCTGGGATTCTACTGTAAATCCCATTAACTCTTTAGGCCCTTGATTAAAGTAAGGCAAATATGAAAGACATTTGTCTTTTGAGGTCCTGAAAAGTTCTAGCCTGGGCTGTGAGAGTTAAAGGAGTAATATATGCAGTGAAACTAATAATGAGAATAATTATTATGTCAATGGAATGCCTCTTCTATGCAAGGTAAATCGTTTAAAATTTAAAATTAATTTTTTTTTTTGGCATTTTTAAGTCTGCCGAAGTAGTGAGAGGTAGGACTGGAGAGCCTGGAGAGGGAAGACAGGCCAGATTGGGCGGGGCCTCACCTTGTGTGCTTCATCTTGAAGGACGCGTGCAGCTATCAGGCAGGAGTTTTGGGAAGGAGAGTTTGGTGATCAGATTTTGACTTGAAAAATCCATCTGATTGGAGTGTGGAGGTTGCGTATGGGAGGACGGGGGCATGCAGTTAGGGAGATCAGTAGAGGGGCTGTGGACATAGCACAGGTGAGAAATGACAGCGGCCTTTATCCAATGTAGTGGGAGTGGTAGAGATATGGGAAGAGGTGGAGAACAGATGGGCCTTGTTGAGTGGATGTGGAGTTTAAATGTTGTTATCTAGAACTATTTACATGCTTTTAGCTTAGACAACTGGTCAGATGGTGATGTCCTTCATGAGATAGGGCATAAAACAAAACAAAATGAGCGCAGCAGTGGCAGTAGTAGTAAGAGGTAAGAAGGCTTTTTGCGCTTAGTAAATTCCAGGCTGTGCATCGATTACCTCATTTAACACGGGCAACAATGCAATGTGCTAGTTATTATTAATATGTGGATTTTACAGAGGAGGAAACCCAGGCTCAGAAAGGTGAAAGAACTTGCTGGTGGTTACACTTCTAAGAATCAGGGAAAGAAAATTTGGAATCAGATGGATCTGGACTCAAATTCTGGATCCCCTAGTTGTGGGAACTTAGGCATGCATAGTAACTGGTCCTATCACGGAGATGACACTTACCATGTAAGATTCAGGAAGATGGCAATTAAGGAGACTTCAGCATGGTGCCTGGTGTGCAGTAAACACAGAGAACGTAACCATCACTGACAGCATGTTGTTCAATTATTACCATAAACCTAATAAGCTAAGAGTTAGAAATATTCTCATTTCATGAACTTGTAAAGTGAAACCCAAGAAGGGCAGTTGATTTATTTATTTGTGCAACATCAGGAAGCTAAATGAGGTTTTCTTATTTCTAAGCCATCTTCTTTTTACTACACCAGGCTGTCTTTCATTTGCTTGGGAGTAAAAGGATCAATAATTAGCTTTCTGAGGTCTTGAGAAGTTATTAGCCTCCAGTAAAGCTAGAAACTATGTGGGCTCCTGAGGTGATTTTTGCATTTGTGGCTGTGGCAAATTGCAGCTCGAGGGTTCTAAGCTCTTAATTTGTTATCATTAGCAGATGTGATAGATTAGCTTTCCAAGTGGTTCTAATATTGCCTCAGTGTTGAGAGCCACTGTCTCAGAGACATTCCACCACCTGAGTAGGAACGACTGCAACATGTCCAGGGAGTACTGTTTGTAATAGCAAAAAACTGGGGGCATGGGGGTGGGAAACTCCAAATGCTCGACAGGAGACAGGATAAAGAATTGTGCAGTGCATGCTCCTCAGTGGAATTTAAGCGCTAGGAGGGGAGAGATTGTGTCTCTTTTGTTCACTGCTGGATCCTAGCACCTAGAACCACGCCTGGTAAACATTCAAATAAGCACTCCGCTATTCTTTTAGCACTGAATATAGTATATTTACATAATCCCATTATATGGTCCATCTGACAGCAGCAAATAGCAAATGGATTACAGCTATATGCACCAACAGGGATGAATGTCAGAAACATGAGTGCGAACATAGAAGGCCAAAGAATACCTGCAGTATGATGCCACTTTTTAAAGTTCAAAATCAAGCGAAACTAAATAACAGAATAATTAGGTACATAGCCAGTGAGACAACTCTATAAATAAGTACAATAGAAGGATAAAAGATGAAGGTTCAGGATTGTAGTTGTGGCGGTACAGGGGTGGGGGCGTGAATATGACTTTGGAGAGGGACACATAGAAACTTGTTTTGGAAATGTTCTGTTTCTTAAGTTGGGTGGAAGGTTCATGGGAATTTGTTTTATTAGGCTTCCTATCTTAATATTCCTTGAATATACACATGCTGTTAAAAATAGAACTGATGAGGCCAAGGCAGGTGGATCACTTGAGGCCAGGAGTTCGAGACCAGCCTGGCCAACATGACAAAACCCTGTCTCTATTAAAAATACAAAAAATTAGCTGGGCATGGTGATGCATGCATGTAATTCCAGCTACTTAGGAGGCTGAGGCACGAGAATCGCTTGAACCCAGGAGGTGGAGGTTGCAGTGAGCTGAGATCACACCACTGTACTCCAGCCTGGGCAACAGAGCAAGACTCTGTATCAAAAAAATAAAAAATAAAAAGAAAAAAAAGAAAGAAAGAAAAGAAAATAGAACTGATGGTAGGTTGATCAAATGGAAGCAGGTAACAGAAGGATGGTGCACCAGAGATGAAATATGTGAGCTTTGCTTTCTTCTTGCTTTAGTGGGGGCTCCCTCTAGGAGGCTACAGGAAACCTCCTGGAGCCATCACTGAGGTAGCCTTCATGGGAAGGTAAGGGAATACAGTCCTCTTGGACTTGTTGAAGGGCAACCATGGGGTGATAGATCAGCCTCACCTTCTGCGAGGGGAGAATGCCTGGAGCCACCAGGAGGTGAGGGGCCCCTAGTCTAGTGTTGGAAGGAGCTGACCATGGGCCTTGTGCTGATGCTGATGATGGCAGCTACACACAGTCTGGGATTTTGTTCTGGATTCTATCCTTGACCCACCCACTAAATTCTGGGTGAACTTGGCAGACACCATTTTGGGCTCCAGTCCCCTCATCAGTAAAATTAAAAGATGAGACAGGAGCATTTGTCATCAGCCTGTGTCCATGTCACCTTTATAGTTCCCTGGCGATTCTGTTGAGTCATTCAGGGAGGGAGAGGGTTCAGTTGAAAATGGAGGTCCTGGCCCTGCCACCCCCCGGTTCAATCAGGGCGGCCACTCTTATGGATTTTGTATGTTTAGGTTCTGTGTATGATTTCATTTCAGAGGAGAGTTCTGCTGCTGAAATAAAAAGTAATGCAAACTCAAACAATTAAAGGTTTGGAAAACACTGATCTAGACTAGTGTTTCCCAAACCTACTTGTACATCAAATGATCCCAAAGAATTTAAAAAGAAAAGGAAAACAACTCAGATTCCCTGGACCTCACCCTTGACTTACGGAATCAGTATCTCCAAGAATAGGGTCTCCAGGGGCCTTTATAATAGCTCCCTACATGGACCTCACAGACGCAGCCCATCTCTGGTCTACAGACTGGTTTTTGGAAACTGCTCTTGTGAAGGAACTTTGTTGGCATTCTCTTCCCAGCACTAACATACCATGAGTCTGTGTTTATATTCCTCCTGTGTATAACACCTTCTGTTCCATTTGTTTATTTTTTTCCCATTCCTATAAAAACAACAGCGTCTAAGAACCAAAATATCAAAATGAAGCTGCCATCCTATTTTTATTATTTCCCTGTGCACAAAATTTAGGGTTGTTTTTCTGGTTTTTGTTTCTCGCCCCCTCCCCACCCCAACCTCTGAACGTTGTGTATAAAAATAGGCTCTTTGTTTTTCTACACTGCCTACTGCTGAAGCTCCCACATGCTTTAGAAATCATGCCATTCAAGTTGGAACAGATACTAAAGGAGCCCGGGGAGTAATTTCTCCTTGCATCATTTAGGCGACAAAATATTTCCAAACTGTGCTCTGACATTGACTTTGAAATATTTCTCCCTTCCTGTTTGCCCCCACCCACTGCAAACATATAAGCATGCTTGATTGAATAGCCCACTGGAGAGGGTTAAAGGCAAGACTGGGAACACCTGCTCTTGAAAGAGTGTGTGTGGTTAGTACCCTTTAACAAAGGAATATGATTCTTAGAAAGGCCAGTGAAGGGCAGATGGAAGAATAGAGGGAATATGTGGGCTAAAACATGAGGTCAAACTAAGAAGATTAAGACTTTCAGCCTACAGAGATGAAGGCTGCATGGGGAGATGATCAAAGACGACAAAGCCACAAAGGGCATCAATATGTTTGTGTTCACCAAATTCCAAAGTATGAGAAGGAGCAGGGAGGACTCTTTGAAGCCTGAAAGAAGAGAAATTTAGAAAAAAATAGAAAAAAAAAAACCACATTAGTTTACACAGTGAGTCATAAATGTTTGGAACGAATCACTCCCAAGACATGGTCTGGGTTGAAAAGAATAAAGGTTCAAAGAAGGTGTAATGTATTTATGCGTCGTAGAGGCACAGTGGTTTTTAGAGGGTGCATTACACCGTCCTGTGGTACCTCTCTGGAGTTTAATGTTTGGATCGGTACCATGTCAAAGACAGAATGCTAAGCTATGCTTACTCTGCAGGTGATCTAATATGACAAAACTTACATCCTTAAGAGGAAACACTTTATTCTGCCAAATGCCTCAAAAATTTTAAATAATGGACGCCATTTCCTCAATCTGTAAGGATGTCTTGCTTTAAGAAAACTCTCTACTCCTTCTGGAATGCCTGAGGCTTGTCAGTTGCTGGGAGCTGTTTTCATGAACGCAAGAAGGCTGGGGTGGGATTGAAGCAACTGCTATGGTGGATGCATTATGTAACCTCTAACCAGCTTACCATGATGCGGGAGGGGCGTGGAGGGGGGTGTTGGGGGTGGGAAAGACAGGAAGGGACTTCCACTGGTGCTATCGTGTACCCCATGGGGCCCACACTAGTGAGAAAGCCACATAATTATCCTTGGTGCCACCCATGGGAACTCCTTTCTGGGGCAGGTGTGGCCTTTCTACCTTCACATTCCTCCTCAGTTTTGCAAAGGGCTGACCGTTGAAGTAGACAGACAGTGGAACCTTGTATCTGGGGATGTGAAGTCAGACATAGAAAGAGATGAAGATGAGAAGGGATATAAAAGCAGCAGTTGTTAGATTCTTTTAAACCCTTTCTCAGATTCCAATGAAATATATCTAGAAATAAAGTGTTCTACGAATAGTTCACCAAACATTGGGACTAAGAGTTGATTCCTTCTCAGCCTATCAAAATTGTACTCTAGAAATGGCTGAGTTATATAAGAAATTTGATTAGAAGTTTGTTCTACGAATAGTTCACCAAACAGTGGGACTAAGAGTTGATTCCTTCTCAGCCTATCAAAATTGTACTATAGAAATGGTTGAGTTATATAAGAAATTTGATTAGAAGTTTGTTCTGGTTATCTACGGCAGTGCAACAAACTACTCCAAAACTTAGTGGCTTAAGGTAACAGGCAATGAATTATGCTTATAGAGTCTATAAGCCAGTAACTTGGATGGTTAATCCCTCCTCCACAATGAATGGGACCTCCAAATGGCTGAGGGCTGCAGTCCTCTGGAGGCTTTTCACTAGCATGTCTGGCTGGGATGACTTGAAGCCTTGGCTCAATGGAAAATGTCAGCCAGGGCACCTACACATGGCCTCTATGTGGCTTGGGATTTTCACAGCACAATGTTTGGGTTCCAAGAGGAAGCATCCAGACATGAAGCAGATGGATCCACATGGCCTAGTTTCAGAAATCACAAAGTGGTCACTTTTTCTGCCTTCTTTTGGCGTCAGTGAATCACTAAGGCCAGCCCATATTCAAGGGAAGGGCATTAGATTCTCCTTGAGGGAGAAATGGTGAGGTTTTGTGGCAGAGGAGCATGTAGGAGAGTGGATTTTGTCATGGCCATGTTGGAAAATGAAATACAATCTACCACAAGGATGTATATGTATGTGTCTATGTGTATAAATAATCACCTGTTTTCCCACGTTAGGATCTGAGAGAGGAATTCTATTGGCATCCAGGTGTCAGGGAATACAGGATTTGTTTATTAGGGGGTGTAACGTGGGCAGGGGATTAAGATCAATATTTATCCATTAGAAGAGAGGGCCTGAATAAAACTCTCTTTGGTAAAGCAAGCTAACAAATAAAAATCAACATGAGGCCTTTGCAAAGTTTCTGCAACTTGAGAGTAGGGGACCATCACCTTGGAGATAGAGATGGAATATATTTGAAAAGGAAACTAAAGGAAACAGAATAATGTCTTTGAAATCTTCTCTAGAAGGATGAAAGAACATAACAGAACTTGCAGAAAGTTGCTATCAGTTCCCATGAAGAGAAAGTTGAGAGGCTCCTTTACAATGCAGAAAAAGTCATTAAAGAGATGAGCATGATAACAGCAAAGTTAATCAATAAGGAAGCCAGAGAACAGACAGTGAAATCATGAGTATCAGGGGCTTCTGAAGATGAAGTCAGCACAAATGGTATCGAAGTAATAATAAAAGATATAAAGAAGAAAACATTCCCAAATGGAAGAAAGATTGAGTCAGCATTTGATAGCACTTTATAGCTCTCAGAGAAAATAAAGAGTTAAGACCTGCTCACAGACTCATCCTGGCAGAAAATGTTTGAACCTCATAGACACACAAAGGCACTGATGCAAAACCCTAAGTCCTCAACGTTTTTTAAAAAAATAACACCCAAGCTAAATTCAGACTTCATTTCTACATTATTAAACTCCAGATAATGATGAGGCAATCTCTATAATATGAAGTAGTAGATAGTAGTAGTCTTTGAGGAAAAAAAGTTGTGGCTGGGTGCAGTGGCTCACGCCTGTAATCCCAGCACTTTGGGAGGCCAAGGTGGGCAGCTCACGAGGTCAGGAGATTGAGAACATCCTGACTAACACAGTGAAACCCCTTCTCTACTAAAAATACAAAAAATTAGCTGGGTGTGGTGGCGGGCGCCTGCAGTCCCAGCTACTCGGGAGGCTGAGGCAGGAGAACAGTGTGAACCCAGGAGGCGGAGCTTGTGTGAGCCGAGATCGCGCCACTGCACTCCAGCCTGGGCGAGAGAGCAAGACTCTGCCTCAAATAAAATAAAATAAAATAAAAAGAAAAGAAAAAGTTGTGACCTAAGAAGTCATCCAAGTTTTATTAATGTGTGAAAGCAACAGAAGAACATTTTCATATATACAAGTGTTCAGAAAGACTGTCACATATGTATCATGTCTAGAAAAAAAATTGAAAAGTCTGCTGATGACTTCTGGAATGATAAAATACACACTACAAGAAATTTAATAATAATTATTGAATTTCATATTGGATTAACAATATGAAGACTGGCAAGTAGCTAAGGGAAAGACAATGCTCAGCTTACACAGGAAGAAGTGACAAATGGACTGTTTCCACTTCTAAAAGCAGATCGAAGATTGGTGGAGCTGAGTGGAGGATGCCCTGCTATAATATTTGCATGAAAGGTTGCAGCTGAGAAAGGAGGAAGCCCGTCTAGAATATTCCAAAATGTCTCCAGACTTCAGGCTCAGAGACAGCAGCTGAGAGAGGGGCAGTGAGAGTTTGCAGAAAGCAGAAAATCGAAGGTTATATTTAAAGACCGTTTTATGTAAGGACACATAGTCCACTTCCTCCTTCAGAAAGCCCAGCAAACCAGTATTTTCCTCCAGGCAAAAACAGCAATGGCAACAAAACAAAAGCCCAGAATGTTCTTTTTTAGAGAAATTGAACAAATATTTGGGAAGAACTTGGGCTGTTAGTGTGGGTGTTATCGCCCTGGAGTGAAGCCCTTCACATTCTATCATTTAGATAGCCTTCAGTAAAGCTGGCTCTTACTTCCTCACCCTGTTACCCTAAAGTGAAGCTTGCTAGTTGATAAGTTCTGCTCCTAGTCAGCCTTATATTTAAGGATGTTTACCTCCTGGAAGATAAAGTAGAAGATAATCACAAAAACTGACCTCTGAAGAAACAAAATTCAGGGAACTGAAGATAATTTTAAAATGATGACAACTCTAGTGTTCTCTGAAATTTAAGAAGATACTGAAAGCTATTGCCTCCATAAGGGGAGAACAAAATGCTATGAAAATGAAAAATACAAAGAATAAGGAAGATCCCTTGGAAATTAGAGAGATGATGACTCAACTAAAACAATTGCTGGGTGGCTGGGCACAGTGGCTCACGCCTGTAATCCCAGCACTTTGGGAGGCCGAGGCGGGTGGATCACCTGAGGTCAGGAGTTAGAGACCAGCCTGACTAACATGGCAAAACCCCGTCTCTACTAAAAATACAAAAATTAGCCGGGCATGGTGGTGTGTGCCTATAATTTCAGCTGCTTGGGAAGCTGAGGCAGGAGAATCGCTTGAACCTGGGAGGTGGAGGTTGCGGTGTGCCGAGATTGCGCCATTGCACTCCAGCCTGGGCAACAAGAGTGAAACTGCGTCTAAAAAAAAAAAAAAAAAGAAAAGAAAAAATTTGCTGGAATGATTGGGAGAAAAAGTTGAGGAACTCTCTCAAAAACAGCACAACAGGAGAGGGTAAGAGGAGATAAAACAGAGGTCAATTAAGATAACGACTTTATATGAAAAAGACACATACACACACAGATATGTTTATCTCAGCACAATTCAGTTACAAAACTATGGAACCAACGTAAATGCCCATCAACTAAAGAATGGATACACAAAATGTGGTATATATACACTATGGAATACTACTCAGTCATAAAACGGAATGAAATAATGGCTTTTGTAGCAACTTAGATGGACATGGAGGCCATTATTCTATGTGAAGTAACTCAGGAATAGCAAACCAAATATCCTATGTTCTCATGCCTTAGAGCATGCCTTATGCCTTAGAACATATGCTTATGTTCCTATGCCTAAGAATATAGGATATGTTCTTAGGCCTCATGACTAAGCTGTGAGGATGCAAAGGCGTAAGAATGATATAATGGGCTTTGGGGACTCAGAGGGAAGGGTGGGAGTGGGGTGAGGGATAAAGACTACCTACTGCGTACATTGTACACTGCCTGGGTGGTGGGTGCACCAAAATATCAGAAATCACCACTAAAGAACTTGTCCATGTAATCCAAAACCACCCGTACCCACAAAACTATTGATATAATAATAAAAAAAGATGAGGATTTCAGTGTCCAGTGGATGGATTTAGCAAAAATGATGCCATTGGCAGTGATCTTGCCAAAAATAATTTCACAGGCGCAATAGAATGGATACAACATAAATATCCAAATGATGTGGTTCTATTTGGTTGGTTTAAGAAGATTGGCTCAATGGTTTAAAGTTAGTAGAAAGAATCCTGTATTTCATTACCAGCATATAATCCCAACTCATCTATAGTTTAATGGATAGTGACTCTACAGCCTCTACCTTTTACTCAAAAACTACCTACTATGCATTAATTGTCCCTTCTGGTTCCAGAGGAGTGGCAGTGATGACCTCAGGCCAGAAACGAGCTGGGCCAAGGTTGTTCAGAAGATCAATTTATTTTCCAGGAATGTAGCTTACATATCATTGTGGATCTAAATGGTATAGATTGTATTTAGTTGTGAGTTGGCGATCTCTACTAGGAAGACATGTGTGTTATTTGATTATTTTATCCATTACCATACCATAAAATGGCCCATAATTTCTTCTATAAGCAGTTAGAGAATTTTTCTGGGGGGGCGGGGGTGGGTGTTTTGTTTCCTTCACATAAATAAGTAAACTCAGATAAATATTAGAAGAAACAAGGCAACAGGAAAAATGATCCTTAAACCACATGTTTCAAAGATTGCCATGAAGTATTCAGTGACACTAAAGTAGTATATTACCAGCCTCAGTACCCTAAGAAAAGTAGTAGCTTGTATATTGACATTATTATTAGATTTTGAGCGGGGAGAAAGGTCGCCTTCCAGGTAAGAACTGTCTTGGAGCTCATTGTTTAACTACAAATGAAGGGTTTCCAGCTCTGCAGTGCTCTTTAACTTTGTACCATTGGCAGGAGGCAAAATGATAATGGGTAATAGCAAAAAAGTCACTTTTTATATAGCAAGTGAGCTTGAGACTTTCAGTCCTGCAAATTAAGTTAAAATGAATGGCTTCTGAACAGCACATTGGGTGACAGGAAGTTTATAAATGTTATGTCTCCTGAGATGTTCCAGTAATGGTAAGTTTGGGCAGAATAAGATTTTTCTACAACAGCCTCCTTAGAAAGACCAGCCATCTCCAGAGAGATTGGTTAATAAGTCAGTTACCTGAGTGTTGAAAATGAAATAGAAAAGGTAGGGGAATCAAAAAGACTGAGAAGGAGAAAAATGTTAATTTAGCCAATTCAGTGCTTTTCCTACCAGATTGCTATTCAAGGCTGGCTGACCCGCTGCCTGTGGCTTCCCTCTCATTTCAATTTGCATGATGGCAGCCACAAACACAGGGTTTTGTGTTTTGGTTATGCAGAGCTGATACGGAGAAAATGGTGGATGTGAAGATCTAGGCTTGGTGCAGCAGAGGCTGGAGATGGTTTAGAGGGATGACCAGGTGGGCTGTTTGATTGGGCAGCCCAGTGTGTGGAATATAGTGGTGAGCTGTGGTCTAGCCTCATCCTGTCATTGCTTTTGCAGGTTTCAGTGGGAATCAAGGTAATGGTAAGTGGTAGATCTATATGTCATGATCTGAGAGTCATCCTAGCAAAAACATTTTTATTTTCTCATCTAAAAGTGCTCTCAGAGGAAACACAATTAATTGGCTTCTGAAATACCTTGACACTTTGCGGTCATTGGACAAATATGTAAGTTCAAGAATAGAATGTGCTTGGGTATATGAAGAAAGAGCATCTCCTTGAAAAGGCAGTGTTGCTTGCTAGAAGTTTTATTTTTTTCTCACCCTTGGAATAGGGTAAGTTTCTGAGGCAGCAGAAAGAGAGAGAGATGGAAGTCTCTTCAGAATTCACAGGCCTCCAGCCCCGCAAGTCTCATGGTTTCATTTTATACACGTAATCCTACATACGTTTACACACATAGTTTTTCCGATTTTCCGGTAGCTCTAGAAGTTAATAGTGTTGTTGTTAAATAAATGAATGTATAAATTTTAATGTGAAATGATTTTTTGAAAATGCAGTAACATTTCCTCAGGAAAGCTTCATGAAGTATTCATTTTTCTATCACCACACTGTAAATCTATTTGCTAGTTATAATCATTTTAAGGTTTAGTTTGTTTGCTCTTTGGTTATTATTTTGACCGTGAGGGCAAGGAGGAGAGCATAACATCATTTTCACATCTCTTTTCCACCTTCTGCCCTCCTTTCTCTGCTCCCAATGCCATTACCCCAGTTCAAGCTTGCATCCTTCCTTGCTTGGACCATTGCAGTAGCCTCTTCCCAAGTGGACTCCTTACTCCAAATTTGACCCTCTGCAGATACTCCATGTGAACATGGTATGTGTGAGGGATACAGCTGATCACAATTCCTTCCATGATTTTCTTTTTTTCCTTCTTTTTAAAAATGTGTATAAATTTAGGAGGTACAAGTACAGTTTGTTACATGAATATATTGCCTAGTGGTGAAGTCTGAACTTTTAGTATAACCATCACCCAAATAGTTACATTGTACACATTAAGTGATATCTCAACCCTCACCCATCTCCCACCATTCCACCATTCAGACTCTCCAAAATCTATTATCCCACACCCTACCCTCTATGATTTTCTTTGCTTAGAAGATAAAATCCAGACTCCATGCAAAGCCAGTCATAAATGGATCAATTTCTACCTCTCTAATCTAATGATTCTCAAGCAGGGTCAATTTTACTGTCCAGAAGACAGTAAACATTTGACAATGTCTGAAGATATTTTTGATGATCACTTTGGAATGTGTGTGTGTGTGTGTTACTAGCATCTAGTGGGTGGAGGCCAGGGATGCTCTGAAGCTTCTACAATGCACAGGACAAAATGTCAGTAGTGGTGAAGTTGAGAAGCCCTGCTTTTATGTGAGCTGCTCCTTTCTCCAGTGCAACCTGGACTCCAATCACAGGCAACTATTTGCCCCTCCATGAGCAGGCCATACTGCATTGCTTGCCCTTATCTTCACACATTCTGTTACCTTTCACTAGAATGCTTCTCTCCATTTTTACCATTTGGAGGTAAACTAATATCATCCCTGGGCTTTCATAGCACCTTGGGGCTCTATTTAATTTGTGGTATGTTGTATGGTAATTTTTTGTTTTGTCTTTTTCCCCTTCTTCCCTACAAGGCAGAGCTATTCATGGTCAGGCATCATGTCTGGCATCTTTCTGTTTCCACCATCTGGTACAAATCCTGGCACAGAGTAAATGTTTGGCATGCCTGTCTGTTGGATACTTGGATAGATGCATGGATGAATAGAGTCTGTATTTAGAGCAGATGATAGTCAGTTGTCTGATATTGTTTATGATCCAGACTACTAATATTCCAACTTGGAAATGAATTCCTCTTTTGGTCCATACCTTTCAATGTTACCTTCTTGATTATTTTCTTTTGATTCGGACTTTGATGGCTGGCACGTTGAATGTGGTAGGTGAACAGTAACTACTTGTTAAAGGATTGCTGTCTAGGTTTAAACAGATGGTAGCATTGGATAACCTTAGAGTACTTCTCTTTAGGAAGGCAAGAAAGAGATATTTCTTTCATTCAAAATTGACCTCCTGGAGCCACCTTTTTCCTTTTATCTCTACTCCAGTGGTACTTCCCTCCCTGCCACTTCACCCACTATAGCTCAGCAAATGCTGACAGCTTGGGTGCAGAACTGAAGGCTCCTGGAGTGAAAAGGCCTGGAAGCCTCCCACAGATACAGCTGTCTTAATTCAGTTCACCCCACTCAAGTCTGGAACATTAAATCCCATCCCTGCTGTGCCAGTAATGGCATAGATTTATCTCTTTTTCAGGCTTCAACCTCTTCTTTGGGTTCTGTGCCCTTCAATTATGAATGCTGGTTAGTACACCCAGCTTCTACCCTGAAATCCCAAGTTGAGCTATTTTCTATCTTTACCCTTTCTTTTTGTCAACTGGAAGAGAATGGTCTATCCAATTTCTTCGGAATCTCCTTCCTTCCTCTGGCCTGAGACCTGGATCATTAGGGGAAGTAACTCCCTCTGGATCTGTATTAGGGCTCTTTTCCATTCACTTGCCCATTCTCCCTGTTCTCACCCCTTTCCCTCGGTTGCCGGCTGCTGAGAATCCCCAGTTTTGGACCCTTCTCCTTGTTTCCTGGCTCTTTCATTTTATTATAGATTCCGGTCCTCTTCTATCTGAACGATAATTATTTTCTTTCTTATCAAGTCTTCGGTTATTCTCCTGGACTCTTTCTTGTTCTTTGCCCTCATTTCTCTATAGGCACCTATTAGCACTTCCATCTCTGCCCTCTGAGTTTACCATGTCCTTTTTAGGCAATGGCAGTTTTTCACAGGCCTTTAACTTGAGACTTCTACTTATTGTGCTTCCTGAGTAGCAGACGCTTGGTGGGCTTAATCTTCAAGTTTTATTGTGTCTAGGAAATGGGGTTGGATGAGGGGAGAAAGGGAGTATTTAAAGAAGAAAGAGGCAAGAGATCTTCATTTCACTCTTATCGGAAAAGGGCAAGGGTCACAGAGACAGGGATTTTTTTCTATTAAACTCCATTCTGAGTTTTGTAGAATTTCCTTTTCTTTCTTAGAGCCTTGATCTCTACTTCTACCCATAAGCAAAGCTTCAGTAATTTGTCTGTGGAATTTGAAAAGGCAAAACCAACCTCAGGAAGTTTGCTATTGGAACCTATTTGGTACTGGGCCTGGCATGATAAGAAGCATACACCTCCCCTCAGAGAGAGTCAGAGGGTAGAGTGAGTGTATTTCTGATCCGAGGCCAGCGTCCTTGGATCAGAAACAAACCAAGGCAGAAAAAAGTCAGCTTTAAGCAAGGACTCCAACCAGAAAGTTAACCTTCCTACAAATATAAAATAAAAACAAACAGCAACCAACCAACCAAAACCTTCTTTTTCCTTTGTCACAGGCAGACAGAAAATACAGATCACCGAGAGCTCAGAGAATAGGCAGGCAGGAAGTCCCCAGACGTCATGAACTGAGAGATAAACAATGTATTTTGGGACTTAGCACAGAAGGTAGGCAGCCAGCCTGTTACAGAGGATATTGGAAGAAAACAAAGTGCCCTCAGCAATATGATTGATAATTAAAGTGGAGAAAGTGAACTCTGAAGTACATTAAGACAGATGTAATAAAAAGGCACTGATTAGAAATGCAGCTACTCCACTGTGGACCAGAGGGGAATAAGAATAAGGTGGTCAAGATGGAGGAAAAGGAGCAATTCGGGTACTATCAGAAGGCCAGTCCCCCACCCCAATGGCTAAGGGTTTTCAGCAAGTACTGCATAAAAAAGAACAACGTGTTTCTTTTAGAAACTTACCTCTCTTTCCTTTATATTTGTGTGTGAGTAAAGTTTAGTTCATTCTCATGAACTAAACTTCATAATGCCTCAAATAACCTCATTTGGTTTTATTGCATTCAGGCAGCTGATCCTATTTCAGCCAAGATTCTGGCAACTAGAATTGCAAGCCTTACTTCTTACAGAATGTTGCCCTAACCAAACTTCCCCATCCTCTGCTCTAGGTTCTTTTGTATAAAAGGTAAACCCTCTCTAAGCAGAACCCAATTAACCAGGACATTTTAATAGTCCCAGTTTCCACCACCACTCCTTGTAGTTTTGAAGATTTTGTAAAATTTTATCAGAAGATGGTCAAATATAAAGAACATAGATGGTGGTAGTATTGTGTACATGAAAGATCCTGAAAACTATTTATGATCAATGAATTAATATTCTGGGATTAGTGTAGAGTCAGTTCTATCTACTTTACATGGTTTAAATCAGTAGCTATGGAGACTCCTACTTGAAGTTTATTATAATAAGCTTGAAATAAAGAGCTTGGTCATCAAAGAAAGACACAGCTGTGTTCAGGATGATGAATGTATATAGGCTGGAATAGGATCTAGTAACACATCTTAGAAGGATATAAAACAAGAGTTGAAACAAAGGGTTCCAGAACATTCTGAATACATTTTTTAAAAACTGTGTTTTTTTTACATGAAAAATTTCAAACATACACAAAAATAGAGAGGATGATATAATGATCTAGAGGTTCAATTAGACTCAAGTTCAATTTTTGAGGCAAGACTCTTTTCTGAGCAGAGTTTTGCAGTTCTCGTTGCTTTACGTCATGAGGCCAAAAGGTCTGGTTGTCCCATTTTAAGTGATGCTAAGATCAGTGAGTGGGTTCAGGTATGTCAGCCTTATCCCTGCATTATCAAGTTTCCATTCCTTTGATGATTGCTGCCTAGATCCATTATTTCCTTCTTTAGGGGCTTGCAAAAGGTGATTTTTCTAGTTCTATCACTCTGCATTTATTAGTGGAAATTTTTCCATAAAGAAGAATTTCCCTCTTCAATGATTTGATTACTGTAAAACACAGGAAGTGTCACCGTAAAGTACATGAAGGGCAGGATAAATGCCTGATCTACTCTCTTCATTTATCAGCCTTAAGAGTCCTCTGTTGGGGCCCCAGCCACTGGATTGGTGGCCACCTAACATGTAATGAGGGGTGTTGTTTTTAAACGATTTGCTAAGGTCACTGGTGAAATGCCTTTGTCCCCATCTAGAATTATATTAATTCCTTGACTATATGCAGCCCTCTTACTGCTTCACATACTTCCTGCGTCCGACTAGAAACTAGTAAAAATTTTTAAGCAGAAGTGACAGTAGAGGCATTGAGTTGAAGGAAGAGTTATGGCTTTTGTGTTCATTCTTCAAGTATTCTGTGATTTGTGTTTAATACAAGGACCTCCCAGACCTGACATTGCAAGGGTAGGTTTAAATATAAATTCTAGATGTTGAGAGGTGATATATGACCTCCTCCTTCCCTTGCGGCAAGGCTATTGCAAGGATGTGCACATGCTTGTGATCTATGGACGGGAAAATGCCATGGCAGTAGTGTGTCTTTGCATTGGCCCTCATGTATCCTGGCAAGGACATATTGGTGTTACCAGCATGTCCTATAAGGGATTTTAGGAAGTAAAAATGGAATGAATCTAGGATACGCTTAACCTAAGGAATCATTGGCAGCACAGTTAGTACTTTATTTTGGGGGTACAGTGACATAGGGGGTGGGAAGACATTATTTAAAAGCAAAAATAATTTTAATAATTTCCTGTTTTCCCTCCTTTTTTATTATCTTTTGGCTCTTCACTGGATTCAGTCTCATGACCAGAAAATGGAAGAAGTTAAAAGCTTATTGGATTGACAAAAAAAAAAATAAATAATAATAATAACAAAAAAACCATGGTGAAGATTAATTCTGAGAAGCTGTTTAAACGGCAAACTTTTTGGGAAAATAAGGAAAGGCAATATCAAAAAGACCTTGGGTGATCATGTTGCCAGATAAAATACAGGAGGTTCAGCTAAAGTTGAATTTCAGATAACAATTAAGTTTTAGTAAAGTGTGTCTCAAGTATTGCATGGGACATACTTCTCCTAAAAATTATTTGTTGTTTATCTGAAATTCAAATTTAACTGGATGTCTTGTACATTTATTTGCTAAACCTGGTAGATCTACTTGGAGGACTCAGAACAATCTGAGAGTTGTTTGCAGTGCTGTGTGCTGGGCCCGAGGACTTCACATTATTTCAGAAAATCTCAGGAGCGTGCTAGTGAGGACCATGAATATTCCTCTACAATGTGCTGATATTAATCAGAGCAAAGCCTGCTGTTCTCTAATACATATACATTTTAATGGCTCTCTTTACTCTATAAAAGTGAATTTCAATAGGCATAGAGTTTTGTAGGAGTCTGAAAACCCCTGACAATCAATGTTTCTCCCTATATGAGGTCATAGCCTGGGAACAATGAAATGCTAGGAGCTGGGGCAGTTGTCTTTACATTTAACCTGGTAAAATGGATGTTAAATAAAGTTTTGTTTAACTTGTTCAGATATCCAGAGAAGAGGCCAGTGTAAAACTTGCATTTTTCATGCCCTGGTTATAGAACTGGAGCAATTTAATAAGATGTATCTCTTTGTTTTAAATGTTGTTGCGTGAAATAGATCACACCAAAGCCTATGTTTCTGGTGATTCCTGAGAAATTTGTACCTGGAATTTCTCTGTACTTCTGGTATGAAGATTATCAGGAAAGCCTAGAGGTGTCCTTCTCCAACTGGTTTATAGAACGTGTTGTTCTGTTGCTTTTTATAGTGTATATAAGCCTCAAACAGAAAGAGAGAGATGGCTGCCAAACTATATTTATGCGATATTGAATAATCTTCAGGGAAGGGTCTTTCTTGCAGTATGAAGGACTAAAATTTTATGCAATTAAATGTGCAGAACTTTATGGCTTTATTCATTCCATATTCCCTTTCTCCTTTTGCAAACTATACTTCCTTTATTTCAATGTTGTGCATTCATAGGAGCTGCCAGTTTTATAAAATATGTCCATGCTCACAGCTTTATTTGATTGGTTCAGGGATGGTTATGTGATACAAACTGGGCCAATCATAATACAGCTGTGTGTGTAACCCCTTCTGAGATGTCTCCAGATTCTTCTTCCCAAATCAATGAACTCCTTTTTTTCCCCAAGCCAAAAAGTTCAAGTGTTATTTCTAAGATCTGCAACCAAGAATTCCAACAAATAAAACCCAGAACTAAATTTTTACAAACTATAATACATAAATTTTCAGATGGCTTTTTTAAAAAAACAACAAGTTAAAACCCAACAGGCTACTCTTGAAATGTTAGTATTTATTCTTAACACTGCCTCTACAACGCTTTTTAAAGTTATTCTTTTGAAATTCTTTTTTCTTTCAATGAATAATTATATTTCATTATTGATACCACTGTTGTCACACTTAATTTATATTGTTTTGTGTCACAATTATTTTTACTCACCTCTTTCTCCTGTTCTTGAAAGCAGGGACCAAACTTTACCTCATTTTAGTGGCCCTTGCAATATCTACATGGTAAGTAAAAAATAGTATTTCTGAAATAAGTAATTAAGTATTTTCTTGGTTCTTTGTTCTTAATGGAGTACGGCATAATAAAAGTTGGGGTTGTTATACATCAAAGAGAAGCTATTTACAATAAAAAAATTTATTTGATTACTTAGAGATATACACATATTTGTGCAAATGGTATATTACACACAAAATAGAAAAGCACAGCATTGAAGATCTAATTTAAATAATAGTGGAAAATAAGCGTGTGAGATAATATATATGTTAATTAGCTTGACTTAGCCATTCCACAATGTATACATATTTCAAAACATCATGTTGTATACCATACATATATGCAATCTGTATTTGTCAGTTAAAAAAATAAACAATTAAAAATGTAAAAAACAAAGCAGTGTGGGATGATGTGGCTGGCTTGGGGAGAAAGAGAGTTTTGTTGGTGGAGGTTCTCTGTGTGCTCTGAGAAGATCAGCTTCCATCAGTGTCAAATGTGGGAGAGGACTTCTAAATTGTCATGGACAATTGGAGACATTGAAAAGGATTCTCAGTCACATCCTTGAGTTACTTCTGGGAGGAACCAGATGCAGATCCATCCATGAAGTTATGTTGTGGAAGGGACTGGGATTCCTTGAGGGAACCACACTGAGGGAGGCACATGAGGGACTCAGAGTGAAATCACATCAGGGAGACATCTGGAGGTTGGCCAAAGTGCACTGACTAGGATCATTGCTCGGAGAGAGTGGTGGTTCTGGGTACAATACCTTGTACCTAACCCAAGCCTCTGGAGAGCCGTGTGTTCTTGAATCTAGGAAAGAATCATGTCACTGAGGACCCGTGAACTCTGCTGTGGGAAAGCCCTGAAGGCAGCTTTTTATAGGAAGTGAAAGGACCTATTTTCTTGGCCAGAGATGAACACCAGGTGGTGGCCCTCCTAAGGAGAGCAGCAGAGGCGGTGGCAGTCAAGGGAGAGGTGCTGTGGGGATAAGGACAGCTAGGTGATGAGAAGAGGAGCTGGGGAACTCAGTTCTATGGCCACCTTCCTGTTCACCCTCCTCTTCCCTCCACCCAGAATCAAAGAGGGGATCACTAGGGGAGGCATTCCTGGGAAGTCTAGTCTTACTGATAATCAAGCCAGCGAGAACTTATAGCTTAGTATTATGGTACACATGTGATAGTACAGTCATGTTGCTGCATCATATTTCAGTCAATGACAGACTGCATATACCGTAGTGGTCCCATAAGATTATAATGGAGCTGTATTAGGCTGTTCTTGCATTGCTATAAAGAAATACCTGAGACTGGGCAATTGATAAAGAAAAGAGGTTTAATTGGTTCTGCAGGCTGTACAAGCATGGCACCCACATCTGCTTGGCTTCTGCGGAAGCCTCAGGGAGCTTTTAATCATGGTGGAAGGTGAAGCAGGAGCAGGCATGTCACATGGTGAAAGCAGGAGAGACTTATGAACAACCAGATCTCTTGAGAACTTGTGAACAACCAGATCTCTTGAGAACACACTCACTATCACGAGGATAGCACCAGCCCATGAGAAATCTGCCCCCATGACCCAATCACCTCCCACCTGGCACCACCTCCACCACTGGGGATTACATTTCAACATGAGGTTTGGGTGGGGACAAATATCCAAACTATATTATGAGCTAAAAAATTCCTATTGTCTAGTTGCATAATAGCCATTGAAAGGTCATAGCACAATGCATTACTCATGTGCTTATGATGCTGCTGGTGTAAACAAACATATGGCACTGCCAGTTGTGCAAAAGTAGAGCGCACACTATTGTGTATAGTGCATGATACTTGGTAATGATAATAAACAATTATGTTACTAGTTTATGTATTTACTATGCTACAGTTTCAATCATTATTTTAGAGTGTACGCCTTCTACTTATAAAAAGGAAAAGTTAATCTGTAAAGCAGTTTCAGGCAGGTCCTTCAGGAGGTATTCCAGCTGCAGGCATTGTTGTCATAGGAGATAACAGCTCCATGTGTTTTATTGCCCCTGAAGATCTTCCAGAGGGACAAGATGTGGAGGTGGAAGACAGTGATATTGATGATCCTCTGTGTAGGCTTAGGCTAATGTGTGTGTTTGTGTCTTAGTTTTTAATAAAAAAGTTGAAAAAGTTAAAAAAAATTTCAAATAGTGACAAGCTTATAGAACAAGAAAGAAAATATTTTTGTACAGCTGTACAATGTGCTTATTTTAAGCTTGGGTTATTATGAGTCAAAAAGTTAAAAATTAAAAAGTTTATAAAGTAGAAGTTACAGTAAGCTAAGATTAATGTATTACTGAAGAAAGAATTTTTAAAAATAAATTTAGTGCAGCCGAAGTGTACAGTGTTTATAAACTCACCACTTATTCACCCAGAGCAACTGCCAGTCCTGCAAGCTCAATTCATGGTAAGTGTCCTATACAGGTGTACCATTTTTTATCTTTTATATTATGTTGTGTTTTACTATACCTTTTTTATGTTTGGATATGTTTAGATACACAAATACTTACCATCATGTTACAGCTGCCTACAGTATTGCTAACAGATTTGTAGCCTAGAAGCAATAGGCTATGCCGTATAGCCTATTGTGTAAGCACACTCTGTGATGTTCACACAGTGACAAAATTGCCTAACAACACATTTGAATCTCTATCATAAAGCAATATGTGACTGTATATATAACATATATAGTCTTAAAGTATACAATATTATAGCATATAGTATTACTGTATCTAGTGTTATAGTATTACAGTAAATATACATAGCATTATAAGAACATGACACATTTATATATACTTGGATGAGGTCAAAGGATATTAGGGTGGCATGCTTATGAACCATTTGTTTCAACATGTCTGATTATGTAACAGCTCATTCTAATTTTTCACTGTCATCAATAATAGGACTGTGAATTCCTTGCATATTAATCTGTGTCTATATCTCTGATTATGTCCTTAGGATAAATTCCTGGAAGTATAATTAAATCCAAGAGTATAAATAATATTACAGGTCTTGAGGCCCATTGCCAAATTGCCTTCTAGGAAGGGTGTACTAATTTATGTTCCAACCCATAGTGTATAACAATTCCTACCTCAGTGATAACATTATGAGCTTTGAGTGTTATAATGTATTAGTTCATTCTCACACTGCTATGAAGAAATACCTTAGACTGGGTAATTTATAAAAAAAGAGGTTTAATTCGTTCATGGTTCTGCAGGCTGTACAGGAAACATGGCTGGGGAGGCCTCAGGAGACTTTCCATCATGGCGGAAGGCGAAGGGGAAGCAGGCACATCTTACATGGCTAGAGCAGGAGGAAGAGAGAGATGGGGGCGGTGCTACACATTTTAAACAACCAGATCTCATGATAACTCACTCACTGTCACGAGAACAGCACCAAAGGAGAATTCCACCCCCATGATCAAGTCACTTCCCACCAGGCCCCACCGCCAACACCGGGATAACAATTTGACATGAGATTTGGGTGGGGACACAGACCCAAACCATATCATCACTAAGATGAAAATCTTAGTACAGGTGAAAAATGGGTATATTCTGGGTTTTCCAAATGCTTTTTACTCTATTAATATGATGTATCATATTAATATTTCTTTTATTGCACTCCTTTGATAAACACCATTTGTGCTAGAAGTGTTTTTAAAAATAACAAGTTGATTTCCTTTTTATAAAAGAAATACATTTAAGGTGGAAGGTACAAGCAAGCAAAGAGGAGAAAATAAAGATTACTTGTAATCCTACCTACTGGAGATAACCACCATAGAAGCTTATGTGTACATATGTTTAATCTTTTTTTTTTTTAATGAGTACATTTCAGCAGTTTTCAAGCTTGGCTGCACATTAGAATCACCTGTGGTGCTTAAAAAAATACAGATGACCAGACCTCATCTCTGGAGATTCATATTCAGTAGGTCTTTTCTTAAAATACTTTCTTCCAAAGTGTTTAATTGGGCTGCATTACACATATCTTAGGGTTTTGTTTATCTACTTGCCCTCCCTGGGTCATCTCATCTAGTGTCAAAGCTTCAATAAGCACGTTACAATTGAGGGACTTATGATTCCTACCCTAGCCCAGGTGACTATACTAAGTGTTAGAACCCTGTATCCCAGCAAGCATTCCTCAACTCTACATGGATGTACTCCTAGACCCCCAAACTCAATATCTCCAAAACTCATTACTTTCTGGTAAAAACTAATCCCTGTTTCAGTGTTCCCAATAATATGGCCAGCCACCCTTTTATTCATCCTAACCCACATAGCCATGCAGACTCAAAGATGGCCCTCAATGATTCCCGCCTTCTGGTATTTCTGCCCTTGTGGAATCCCTTCCCCTTGAGTGTAGGCCAGCCTAGCAACTTGCTTGTCACCAATAGATGCCATGGGCATATCACTTGCATAATTAGGTTACATAAGATTAAGACTTCTGCCTGGTTACTAGACTCTATACTTAGCTGGCTTTGCTAAAGCCAGCTGCCATGTTGGAGAGGAACATACAGCAAAGAACTGAAGCCCTCAATCTAACTACTGCAGGGAACTGAATCCTATTAAAAACCACTTGAACTTTGAAGCAGATATTTCTCCAGTTGTGCCTTCAGATGAGACCCCAGCCCTGACCATCCCTTTGATTGCAGTCTTGGGTGAAACCATGAAGCAGAGGACCCAGATAAGCCATGCTCAGATAAGCCTGACCAACAGAAACTGTGAGATAGAAAAAGTATTTGTGCCAAGTTAGTGGTAATTTGCTATGCAGCAATAAATAACTAATATAAAACTAATTATCAAGTTCTGTTATTTCAGCTTTTTTGATACCTCTGAAATCTGATATATTTTCCATGCCTACCATCAGATGGGTCAGGCATGATCATGCATTCCCTGCATTGTTACAACTGCCTTTAACCCATCACTCTGCCATTTGTCTTATGGCCTCCAACCCCAATTTATTCTTTGCAGAATCATCTTTCAAAATGAAAATTGGATCATATTCCACTATTTGAAACCTTTTAGCACTCTTACGTTGTTCATGAGGTAAAGTTCAAAGTTTTAAACATGACTCACAAAATTCTCTGTGACCTAGCCCCATGCTGCCTCTGTTTCAGGTTCTCTCCTCTTGGCTCTTGACCTTAACCCTTACTGCTCTCTTTACTTGAAGTCTTCTATTATGTACTTACCCACTTGCTCTAACTGCAAACCTTTCTCTCACTACAACTTGTTTTTCACATACAAATAACAATTTCCTTTAACAAATCTTTCCCGGATGCCCAAGCCTGAGCTGGATGCCTCTATGGACAGTCTGCTATCTCCACTTACTTCACCTACGATTGGGCATATTATGGCCTTTACCTATTTATTTGTCTCATGTCTTCTATAGACAGAGCACAAAGATCATGCCTATTTCATTAACTACCTTGTTGACACTCAAGTAAATATTTATTGAATGGACAAATACATAAATGGCAGTGGAAGATTTTTTTTTCCTCTGTTTGGTGAAACCTCTGAACCACAGACTGGTTTTCTGTATGCACCATGTCTGGATCAAGCTGTGACTTGGTACTTGCATTTAGTATCTGGTCTCCTTCTGCAACACAGCCCAGCATATTCCCAACATCATGCCAGCTTTTTGCTTTAAGTGGCTGCCCAGTGGATCCTAGGGCCACCCTTTTTCTGATGTCAGTGATAATCATCAGGGGTGAAACAGAGTACAAGTGGTGTCCGGTTGCCCTAAATCTAGCCCAAGACTGCAGCTTAGAAATATCAAGGAGATGGAGCCAGGACTCCCTTCATTTCATCCTGGATTTAATGCTCCTTCTTAGGAAGGGGCCGTGTAAATGGAACACATCTAAGTCATCTCTTAATCTGGCTTTATCTTCAGTGATGAGAAAGTTTTTAGCGTTTTGCCACATGGATGCTATCCTTCCCTTCCAGGGCATACTGCTAAAAGATTCCTCTTCTATTCATTGGGAAAATGGGAGGGAAGAAATTAAATGGCTGGGCTTAATGCATTTGGCCTGAAAGAAACACTTGCAATGATTTTAGCTTACCTTTTAACTCATGCTGATGCTCATCTCCATCCTCTTAGACGTGACTTCTTGATTTCTTAGCTCCTTCTAAAAATTCATCTTTGTTCATGGGAATGTATTTTCAAGTATAGTTTTAGATTCATTACATATGTGAGAATGTCTTTATCTTCACTTCGTACATGAATAACAAATTGTGAAGTATAAAATATTTAGATAGTAATCTCTTCCTTTCAAACCCTGTAGCTGTTGATCTGTTGTCCTCTAGTCTTTACTATAAAGAGAAGTCTGAGACTAGCCTGATTTATTTTTCCTTTGTGGATCACAATCTTTATCTGAAGTCTAATGTGATTTTTTCCCTTTATCATTGTAATTCACTTTTTTCCCCCTAGCATGTAATCTTAGTTCTTAATTTTGCTTAGACCAAAGTAAGCCCATTTTGTCTGCACACTCGAGTCATTTTTTTCCAGCTTTGGAATGTGATTTTCAGTCTTGTTGACAAATCACTTGTTGACAAGTGAAACAGAAGTTTCACTTGTACAGAGTTTTAAAATATTTAAAATTCTTAGATGGAATCTCCATGTCAATTGTGAGGATTGCTTTTGTGTGGAGAAAAAAAATCTATGCTGTTATCCAAGGTTTTAATTTAATATGCACTTATTAAAGGTATTTACTTATTAAAGGTACATTAAAAAAAAACTCCAGCATTTTTCAAGCCCTTAAGTTCACCTTACATATTTTATTACTTGATTTATGAATCTAGCAAAATTTAGCAATTGCTTTCAAGGGAGATTTTGAATAAGGCTTGATCAATTTAAGTTGAACACATTGAACTCCCAAGCAGGTCCCTTTACAACTTGGTTAATAAAATTCCTCTACATATTTAAACTCCATTTATAAATTTAAAACATTCAGTTTTCTTTTTAAGCTTTTCAAATGTCTGACCTACAGCCAAACCTTAACGACTCCAGTAAATCTAATAAATTAAGAAACGAATCACATGTTCTCTTAACCATTCCGATACTTTTAAACTTGATTAAATTCTCTAAATCTTTCCACTTAAAGGTAACTGTCTAAAATCTATTACTCAATACGCCATTAAATTGAATTCCCAAGGCTAATCTGTCATATTCACTGATATGCCATATGCTGTTAGACATTAAACCTTTTTATATTGCTCCATGATTAGAACCTTATTCCCAAACTTAACACAAAAGTATTAGTTGGTGGATTTTATTTACTTTATCATGTCTATATTTAATACAAATATTTTTATAGTGCAAACACATATAGCCACTAAATTTTATTCTCAAAAAATTGGGGTAGCTATTCTGCCAAAATTGGAGCTACAATTCTGGAGTATGGAACTACCATTCAGGGAGAACGGTACCATTCAGTGTTTCATCAATTGGCTGAGAATGGATATTGCCTAGAGATTTTTGACCAGAGTACATAGGTTCTAGGTTGGCAGCATAGTATTGCTGTTATGACAATAGGGAATTCCTAATCTGTTACCTGTGGATAAGATTGGTGCCTGTTGGTTCAAATTATGCAGCCTACTAAATATTGCAACTAATTCCAAAACTGCTTTTTTGGAATTTGCATTTCTTTAACGTCTTTATTTTACTGTATTTCTCTTCATCTCTAGAGCCATGTATGTAAATTCTTTCCTCTGGTTGGAATAAAAACAATAAGAATAACACACAACAACTGATTTACTGTGCATTTGCTATGTGCCAGATTAAGTGCTTTGTATAACTCTTAATTATCATAGTTCTATGATAAAGAAACTATGATTTTTCCTCTTATGATTGCATTAGAATTTTAAGTTTTTAGGCAAAAAAGAAATAAAGGGTCACATAGTGATGTATCCAGGATTACAACCCTAACATTGTCTTTATGCTTACTCACTGCAAAATATTATTTCTCTGCTGTAGCTAAGATCAAAAGAGACCGGAGTCCAAGCCTTTAGAAGGCAGTGACATCTCCTAAGTTCAAGTTATGTTTTAGTTTTGTAATCTCCTACTAAGGTTGCAGCTAACTCTCTTCTTAACCTCTTTGCTGCCTGGTTGGACTCTTGATTCATCTGCAGAATCTTCATGAAGAGCCACCCTTCATAAGAGGTAATTTGCTGATCTTCTCTCATGCCTTTGTCTGCATCTGTTATCACAACCAAGGCCATACTGAGCACATTCTGTTATTTGTCTTGCCTTCTTACCTGGCATTCACAAATGACTGAGTTCTCATGTTCTCTCCCACCCTATTTCTGATTTGATTTTTTGCAATATGAATTCCACTGTTATGAGCTTCAATGTGTTTTAATTCTGTTATTGCAATTTTCACGTTCTTGAAATTCTTCCTTGTTTTGTTTCACTCAGCAACTTTTGTATTCAGTTTACTGTTTCCAAAACTCATCCTGTTTCTTTTATTCTTGACTCTTTTCTTTCCTAATGGCTTTCTCTTTGAGTATCATGAAAGATACATCCTCTTGCACAGTACTCAATTGAGGCTGCCAAGCTAATTCTTAGAATTCCTTCTGATTCCTCTAAGTACAGAGCTTTCCCTTGGGGAAGTAAAAAGGTTTTCTTACAGTGTCCAGCACTAGAAGAGCAAGTAATGCATCATTCACTGTTTAGTTCTTGCCTTGCTATTTTCTGGGAGTTTTAGTCTAAAGAGAGAAAGATGAGTGGGTTCGGGGCGGGTAGAGGGGAGAGTGAGGAGGGTGAGTAAACAGCCTCTGGCTGCTCAGGTTTATGGTCTTCCAGATCAGGGTCTCTGAGGCTCTGCAAGCATAAGTTTAATCCATGTTTGTGAGCCATATATTTAGTTGAAATACTTCTTAGAGTCTAGTAATAAGTTGTCTGTAATTCTTATTATTTTACTGGTGGTGTGAGTTTCATATTTTTCTATGACTTTATAGGTATTTTAGTGAGGAATTGGGAAAGGCCATTTCAAGGGTTGCCAGCCCGGCTCTATTTAAATCAGAAGTATTTAGCTATAATTCCAAAAGATCTCTATGGAATAGATTTTATATCCCAGGTGACTTATTCCTTGGATTTTATAGTGGACTTGGATTTATCTCATCTTTCTTCTTTTTATCTGAAAGATAATCTTGAAAATCTTATATTTCTATATAACCAGAACTGAGAATTTTCTTTTGGGAGCAGAAATGTTGGTAACTCATGCACAAAAACCAAAGCAACGTATGTGACTTAAAAAAGAGAAGTATAAAATACTTAGTTTACTTACATTCATAATAGATAATAGAATAAAGAATCCAGCATTTTGTTTTGTGAATGTGACAAATAGCAACAGGAGAGCTGGCAGAATGAGAGAAAGAGGACGGGAGAATTCTCAAAGGTAAATCTTTAAATAAGTCCCATCAGGTAAACACTATTTACTATTCATGGTAGATAGTACACTCTAAATTCCTTTGCTGGCATTCAAAGTCACCTACAATTTGGGTCCCATCTGCTTTTGCATTCTGATCACTTACCACCTCCCTATGTGAACCCTGCACTAAGGACAAAATAGTCCACTGTACTGACCTTAGCAGCAAACATTGTCCTTACTATCCTATGTCTTTGCTCACAATGTCCCTCTCTGGAACATTCTTCAGGCCCATCTTCTAAAGCCCAGCTCTGATGATGTCTCCTCTGAACCCAGCAGCCAATAGTCATCTCTGCACCCTCTAAAACACCTTGGCATTTCTGGTCAGACACTACCTTGGATGGCAGCTATCTGGGATCTTGTCTTCTCTCTTCAACTCCATTGCACTTTTCAGGTTAACAAAGACCCCACCTTGTATTCACATTTGTCCTAAAGCCCAGCAAATTGACTTGCACAGAGTAGGGCAACAAAGAGTAGGTTAGCTGACTGAAAAGGGAGTTACAGCAAGAAGGAAAATGAAAGGGGGAAAAAGAAGAGATGGACAGAGATGACAGAAGAAAAAAAAGTAAAGACAGGTAGATAGGGAAGAGAAACAGACAGACATCGCTTTCTTTAATTTAGAGAGATACACATTTAAAAAAAATAACTGAAATGCTTGTTACTATGTCAGTGACTTCAGCATTGGGAAAAAGAGCCTGTCTGCTTTTATTTATAAATTTCAAGGCTTATATTTGAAATAAACACTTATTTTCCCACGATATGCCCACGGATTTTGTATTGTGTCAAAGAATGTGTTCAGGTTTTTAAGAAGCATTTTTGAAAACTCAGGGTATCTATCAATTTTCTAGTTATTCCTGTGAGTCTCTTTGACATTCACATTCTGTCATTTTTGCCTAATCTTTGTTATTTGAGAGATTAGGGCTGTCTCATTTCACAATACCTGAAAGATTATGTTTGAGAACAGAATTTATTTCATTATGTGTACGCTTTTTTCATATCAAATCTATCATTTTCTTAAATCCAGTCCTTTTTGTTTTTGTCCTAATTGTTTCATGGTGAGGATTATTATATTATGTATAGAAGAAACTAAAAGTAACAGTGTAAAAACTCATAGGGAATAAATGAATTGCTCCCTGTTCACAGCTTTTAATCTGTTCTTATTAGACCTCCAGAGGCTTAATTCTGAGCTCAGTCATCTCAAATGCTCACTGAAGCCAACTTAGGCTGTGGGTTGTCATGTTGCTACTGGTTCAACAGAACCTTGTGACAGCTTTTCTCAGGCCAAATGAAATGAAAGCTAAATGTGATTTCTTGGCTATTTTCCACTTTTGTTTATGCTAAGGTTCTAGTCAGTAAGAGGTTTAAACAATCCCAATTCCTTTGTGATGCGTGCCCTTGCTTAAATAGGGTAGAATTGACTTGGCAGCTTCTTGAATGTACATCATTCTTTTGTGGGAATGAGTTTCCACACTTTGCATCTGAGTCCAGTACAGGGCAACATATATTAAGGTGGCTGATTCAGGAATGTGGCTTGTAGCCATGTTTCTTCCCTCACTACCATTGGAGGGCACTTCTAGTGGAGAAGAATGTGTGTCTGGAAGCTCTAGGGAAAACCACTGAGAATGAAGTACTGTTGAAGAAGTTTCCAGAATTATAGTCAGTTCAGGAAGAAAGAATACAAAAATCTCTGGCATTGCTGATAATTTTGGCATTAGAAAACCAAATTAGAAAGTGAGAATGCATCAATGGAGATGGAAGGTGGGAAGGGAAGAAAGATGTTTCAGGTAGAGGCAACAGCATATGCAAAGACCCAGAGGCAGAAAAGAACACAGTGTGTGATTTGCGGGGGTGGAAGGAGATGAGACAGACAGGAGAGATGAGCCAAGGGCCTTGTATGCCAAGATAGACCGAGCTTCAGAGAATAAGGAGAACTGGCTTCATGAAATGAGATAATGATAGTGTATGCCTGAGGGTTCAATTCAGCAACAACAACCTGGCACAGAGTAAGACAGGGCTGCTGCTAGCCTACAGAGCCTCATTGTGAGTTAGAAATAGGTCCTGGGTGGATGATGTTTTAGTTATCTATTGCTGCATAACCAACCACTCCAAAGCATAATGGCATAAAGAAGCCTCTTTTTTTAATGCTCATGGACTCTGTAGATCAGGAATTCAGACAGGCCCCAACAGGGATGGCTTGTCTCAGTTCTACAATGTCTGGGGCATCAAGTGGAGAGGCTAGAAGACTGTAACAGTCAGCCAGCAGCTACATATCAGTTGGAGGTGTCTTCACATGCATGTTCGCTGGTTGATGCTGTTGGACAGCCCCTTAGCTGGGACTGTCGGCAGAACACCTGGGTGCAGCCTCTCTTTGTTGCCTGGGCTTCCTCACAGCATGGTGCTTAGCTTCCAAAGGTGAATGTCCCAAAGGGCAGGAAAGGAAAGCTGCCATATTATCACTTTCACTATTTTCTATTGATTAACCAGTAAAAAACTCAGATTCAAAGTAGGTAGACCCTAGGCCTTATTGCTTAGTGGAAGGAGTAATGACAAGTTTGGGAGCCATTTAAAAAAAATTGCCACATGCTAGTTAGAAAAAGATGTCCCCTCTAGGTGGACACATCCCTTTAGTGAAGAAAAAGCTAAACTTTTCTCCAAACAAATGTAGCCCCACACCACGAAACACAGGTTGGGTTCAGCCCCATTCAACATTTTTGTTGAGAGCCTTTGCAGAGTTAACAACTGGCACAACTACACCCAGAGAGGCCCCGGGCTCAGTAAATCCCAGGTAGTTACCTTCTCTCCACTGCTCCTCAAAACAAAGAGGAAAATGGCCCTTCATTATGAACTTCTAGCCTTTCTCTCTACATGTATTTTTTCCTTGTGATTAACTTCATTTAATTAATTTTTTTTTTTTTTTTTGTCATGTGGTTTGTCTTGGCCTTGGGCTTTCTTTGGCTGGTCATGAAAAAAGGACTTCACATTATTGGTCACTGAATATTCTCTTGTCTACTTGTTAACTTCCTCTCTCCCAATCTCTTCTTGGACTATACTTCAAACAGTACAAGTAGTAAGGATGATTTCTTTTCTTTTCTTTTTGAGATGAAGTCTTGCTCTTATCCTCCAGGCTGAAGTGCAATGGCGTGATCTCGGCTCACTGCAACCTCTGGCTCCCGGGTTCAAGCGATTCTCCTGCCCCAGCCTCCCAAGTAGCTGGGATTACAGGCACCTGCCACCATGCCCAGCTAATTTTTGTATTTTTAGTAGAGACAGGGTTTCACTATGTTGGCCAGGCTGATCTCGAACTCCTGACCTCAGGTGATCCGCCTGCCTCGGCCTCCCAAAGTGCTGGGATTACAGATGTGAGCCACTGCGCCTGGTCTGCAATTTCCACTTTAGATCTCTCTTTTTATTTTGGGCAAATATTTTGAAAATATAAATCCTCTTTTCTCTTAAAAACTTCCAAATTTTAAATGTTTAACATTCAGAGCAGGTTTTTAAAAATTATTTTTATCTAATCACATGATATGTGTGAACTTTTCCCTAGGAACTTTCCTGAAGCAATTGACATTAGAAAAAAGTAGGCAAGAAAACGAGTTGTAGATAATATGTATTGGTGAGAAATGCTTCCAGAGATAAAATTAACTGAGCTACAAATAGATGAAGAGTGAGAAAATGGACCAGTATATCATATTCATGATCCTACTGAGGAGGGGACAGGACAGTGATGAGGAGAATTTGGGGCAGAACAATATCTTGTACCAGCCACTAGCAGACCCTATTAGCCAAGGGCAGATTGTATGTTTCACAGATGGACAAGAAAGCCTGGGAAAGAAGGAATGGGGACATCATTTGGGGGGAAAAAGGACATTCATACAAATGCTATATTTGCAAATAGCATACAGGGAGGGATTAATTGGTGATACTACTTTCTATAAATTATTCTCATATTTACTTCCTGATTTTCAGTTCTAGAATTGGGTCAGATATTTATTTTATATATTCCACTACCCAGCCAATGCCAGACTGTACTAAGATTGTAATGGACTTTATGGGTCCCCCAGAATTTCTGTGTTGACACCCTGATCCCAATTTGATGGTATTTGGAGGGTGAAGCCCTCATTGATGGGATTAGTGTCCTCATAGAAAGCCAGGAAGCTAGCCAACTCTTTCTATCATGTGAGGATACAAGGAGAAGTTGCAGTAACAACCCAACTGTGCTGCCACCCTGATCTGCAACTTCTGGCCCCTGGAACTATGAGAAATAAGCGTTTGTTGGCTTAGCTACCCAGCCTGTGGTAATATGTTATAGAAGCCCAAACTTAATAAGACAAAGACCATTAAATATGAAGTAAAGCCTGGGTGCAGTGACTCATCGCTATAATTCCAACACTTTGGGAGGTGGAGGTGAGAGGATCCTTTGGGTTTAGGAGTTTGAGACTAGCCTGGGCAACATAGCAAAATCCAGTCTCTACAAATAATACAAAAAAATAGCCAGGTATAATGGTGTGTGCCTGTGATCCGGCTACTTGGTTGGCTGAGGTGGGAGGACTGCTCGAGCCTAGGACTGGTTGACAGAAAGAGACTCTATCTCAAAAAAAAAAAAAAAAAAAAAGTGAAATCAAACAGTAATTTTTAGCCAGCAGCCTTTGGAACCAAAGTGTTTGAGTTTATTCTTTTGTGGGCCTCTTCTCTTTCCTTTCTGGATTAGGAGATCTTGATCAATGCAGTGGGATGACATTAGGAGAAGGAAAAATGACTTCAGGAGTCATAAGTATAAAAACCGGCTTCAGATTGAGAATCAGCTGAATATTCAAATCGTAAAAGAGTAGAAGTGCTTCGGATAGTGTCTACAAAATACAAAAATTAGCCAGGCCTGGTGGCTCATGCCTGTAATCCCAGCTACTTTGGAGGCTGAGGCAGAGAATCACTTGAATCCAGGAGGTGGAGGTTGCAGTGAGCAGTGAGCAGGTTGGAGTGCCACTGCACTCTAGCCTGGGTGACAGAGTGAGACTGTCTCAAAAAAAAAACAAAACAAAAAACAAAACAAAAAAAAACCCAAAATATTCTGTTCATTGCATATTAATTTTAAAGGACTATTTTTAAAGCAAATGGAAAATATGCACAGATAACAGTTCGTGTTGCTAAATGCAGACTTTTGGAAAACCCTTAATGAAATCAGATAGAACTAAATGGGCATACTGGGATTCAAACTAAGGGTTCCACTTTAGTGAGCACTGTGGCCAAATTTCAGTTTCCTCTGGGTATTCAGTTACATCATAGCCCAGAGAAACACTGCCTTTCTTGTCCGCTATTCCCTGTAGGAACAGCAGGAAGAAGATTGGGGTGATCAGGGCTTGAGGTGGCAATCCAGGCTAGAAGAATCCTTTGTTGTCTTGCTTTGGTTGCCAAAGGGACAAGGAAATACTCTTATTTTAAACCTCCCTCCTATGTGGATTTCAATGCATGGCCTCTCTTCCTTTAATCCACTTATAAGAGTATAATACACTGTTCGATTATTTGGCTACTAGATGAATCTTTCCCAATAGGTAAAGGTTTTCTTATCCTTCCACACTTAAAAAAAGTCTACTTCAAGAAATGTGAAAAAGACTGTTTTTTAAAGCTCTACTTTACTGTTTAATTGAATGCACCATTATCAGCTTGGGTTAAAAGCTCTTTTTGAGGGGTATGATGTTAGTATAATACCATATCTGATCCACTCAAAGGATCATTATTTTGTGCATCATTATAAAGCAAAACAAAAAAACAAAAAAAAAACCCAAAAAACCCTGCTACTTTATTGTGAAGGATGAGATGCCATAAATTGTAAGATTCATTCTGATTTCAGAGATATTAAAAGGCAGAAAAGTATATCTTAGAATCAATAAAATATGATATATATTTGAAATTTTACCACTATGTACACATATACTTTTATAAAAATATAATAATTTTAGTATAGTCTATTATCCCTCTTTTTTCCCCATCATCATTGCCAACTATTATTTATCTCATATAAATAAATTATATTTTTATATCACATAATTAGGCATATAACATAATATATAAAAATGTATATTATATATGAAGGGGCTCCACAAAGTTCGCGGAAAAATAGAAGTAAAATATAAAAATAAAAAATATAAACTTTATTTCTCAACATACACTCCATCAGGTTCAAGATACGTTCATAAGTGATAATACCAGCCATTTAGCCCATCTCTAAGGAACTGAGCATCCTGGGAATTTAACCTTGTCAATGCAATCTTTTTTACATTATTCATTGAAGAGAAATGAGTACCCTTACAGGTTTTTTAATATTATGAAACAAAGGAGTCAGAAGAAGCCAAATCAGGACTGTAAGGTGGACGTCTAATGATTTCCCACTGAAACTCTTACAAAGTTGCCCTTTTTGATGATGAGAGGAGGGAGTAGGAGCACTGTCGTGGTGGACAAAAACTCTCTGGTGAAGCTTTCCTGGATATTTTTCTGTCAAAGCTTTGGCTGACTTTCTCAAAACACTCTCATCATAAACAGATGTTATAGTTCTTCAACCCTCCAGGAAGTCAACAAGCATATTTGCACATCTCAAAAAAATTTTGCCATGACCTTTGCTCTTGACCAGTCCACTTTTGCTTGGACTGGGCCACTTCCACCTCTTGGTAGTCATTGCTTTGATTGTGCTTTGTATTCAGGATTGTACTGGTAAAGCCAGGTTTCATCTATTGTTACAATGCTTCAGAGAAACACTTCGGGATCTTGATCCCACTTATTTAAAATTACCATAGAATCCTCTGCTCTTGTCTGCAGTTGACCTGGGTTTTAGCACCCACCAAGCGGAAAGTTTGTTCAACTTTAATTTTTCAGCCAGAATTGTGTAAGCTGAACCAATTGAGATATCTATAGTGTTAGCTGTTGTTTCTGCTGTTTATTGTTGGTCCATTAAATTATGGCATGAACAATACGAATTTTTTCCTTTCAAATTGATGTAGATCTACCACTGTGGGCTTCATCTTCCACATCTTCTTGTCCCTTCTTAAAATGAGTTACCCATTTATAAACTGCCGAATGCTTTGGGGCACATTCCCATAAACTTTTCATAAAGCATCAGTGATTTTGCCACTCTTCCACTCAAGCTTCACCATAAATTTGCAGTTTATTCTTATTTCAATTTTAGCAGGATTCATGTTGCTCTGATAGGGACTCTTTTCAAACTGATATTTTATCCTTAATGCCTCAAACTAGATCCTGTTTAGACATGTTATAACAAGTTAGTATGAGTGCATTTGGTACAAAAAATTTTTTGAAATCCATGCATAGCTTTCTCATAATACACATTTTCATGAAGTTTTTGAAGTCCTCATATAATCCATATTTATCTCCATGATGATGTAATCATACGCACACATATACATATATGTACATAAGTGCAAAATTTTAAGAAGTTTCATTATTGTTTTATAATAATGTGTTTTTTAGAAGCATTTTTTTCTATATTGAGATTTTCTTATTTGAAATACCTTGTGGAAAACCCTTTTATCCCAACTGACAGAGCTCTAATTCATTCTTTTTTGATGACTGTATAATGTTCTTTGGTGGATCCAGTTGATGATCACTCCCATTGTTTCCATTCGTTGTTGTCATTGTTCTTGGTTTTTGCAGGCAGTAAATATCCTGTACCATATTCTTATGTATTTGAGCTTTCATTTATTTTGCTAGATTCCCAGAAAGGGAATTTGAGTGAAGACAAGTGTATTTTCGTTTTTAATGAATGTGGACACATTGTTTATCAACAAGGCTTTTACAATACACATTTCCTCTTAAACACATTTCTACGCTTGTACACATTTTCATCCTCTTTAAGAAATGTGAAATGGACATGTTAACAGCAAGAACAGTGATTATTACTCTTTCATACTTTGCCAATCTAATGGGCATTTTACATTTACATTTTACTTTTACATTTTCTGCACCACCAGTGCAGTTGAACATCTTTGAGTATTTTCTGGCCATTTATATCCAGTCTTCTGTGAATTTTTCCTCCTATTCTTTTCCTATGGGGAAAAACTGTCTTCTTGTTAATTTGTAGAAACTTTTTGTGCATACATCATATATTAACCGTTTTTCCAGTTTTGCAATTTTTTTAAAAAAAATCTATTGTTTATTTATTGGGTTTGTTTAGGGTAACATTTGCCATCAAAAGTATCTAGTTTTTACTTAGCCAAATATGCCTATCTTACCTTTCATAGTATGTGAGTTTTCAGTTTGAATGATACACATAGCCTTCTATAATTTTTTGAAATATATTTGTTTAATATTTTTATGTTTATATTTTTAATGCATTTAAAATTTGTTTTGTTATATGGTGTAAGATGGTAGTTCAAACAATTTTTTTCCACGTAGATATCCAAGATACTTTATTAAATATTCTTTTTTTACTTGATGAAATGAAATGCTACCCTTGTTATGTGTTAAATCCTCATATGCTAGTATAGTTGTTCCTAGGTATCCGTAAAAGATTGGTTCCAGAACCCCTGATGGATATCAAAATCTGCAATGATCAAATCTCTTTTATAAAATGTGTAGTATTTGCATATAACCTACTCACAGTCTGCAGTATACTTTAAATCATCTCTAGATTACTTATAATACCTAATGCAATGTAAGTGCTATGTAAATAGTTGTTATACTGTATAGTTTTTCTATTTGTATTTTTTATTGTATTGTTATTTTGAGGTTTTCTTGCAAATATTTTTAATGTGTGGTTGGTTAAATCCACAGAGGTGGAACCTGTGGATACTGAGGGCCAGCTGTATCTGATTCTTGATTTTGATTTTTTATTATGTTCCAATGATCTAATTTTCCATTTTAAGTTAATATTATTTTCTCTTTATATGATATTCTGATATCTGGTAGAGCAGACTCTTCTTCTACTCTTTCAAAAAATTCCTTTCTCCACAGTCTGCAAGTATTTATCCTCTCATAAAAAAATATACAATCATTGTAGCAAAAATCTAAAAAAAAATCATATTGGAACTCTAATTGAAGTTGCATTAGAAATTGTATTGATACATAAATAGATATTAATATAAATGATTTCTTGGTATTAAGTCTCCCTATCTGATAATATGGGTAATTTTTAAATGAGATTGTACTAATGTTTTCTCTACTATCTTATCATGATTTAGTGTAACGGTAAGCTGGATTCAATTAAGTGATAGTTTCTTCATTTTCTCTGGCCTAAAGTAGTTTAAATAACACTGGGAGTATCTGTTTACCAGAACATTTTTATACATGCTGGTGTATTGGTCATCTCAGTTCTGGTAAGATGCTAAAGTTGTTTTGTACCTTGTAGCTAGGAATGGGTTAACATTCAACAATGCACAAGACAGCCCTGCACAACAGAATATTATTCCATCGAAATTGCCAATACTGCTCCAGTTGAAAAACACTGGGTTTGAAAAACTAACCTGAGAACCTATAAGATCTCAGTGCTTTTTTTCTAATGGTAGAGTTTTTGTTTTTTCAACCTTTCAAATCTCTCTACTAATGGATCTCCTTCCCTTAGGAGAAGTATTCTTTTCGTTGCTTTCCAAATAGTTTATCATTTCTCTTTTGATTTCTATTTTGGTCCAAAAATTTTTTCTATTTTGGTCCAAAAATTTTCTAAGTGTTCAAATTTCCTAATAGTTATAATGTTTTGGGGGCAACTTTTTATTTCTAATTGTATCAGTTTATAATTGGAGAATGTAGCATGTGTTTTTAAAGTATATTACAGATTTTCTCTATGGTTAACTATGTGATTAGTTTTATAAATGAACCATGGGCCATTTCCCTGTCTCACTGAGGGCAAGCAAGCATGTGTGCACACACACACACACACACACACACACACACACGCATGTATATTTTCTATTTGAGAATTAAAATGTTCAATATAGATGGTATTTGCTTGCTAGAGCTGCCATAGCAAAACACCACAGACCGGGTGATTTTAACAACAGAAATTTATTTTCACAGTTATGAAAACTGGGAGTCCAAGATCAAGATGTCAACAGGTTTGATTTCTTCTGAGGCCTCTCTCTCTTTGGCTTGCAGATGTCTGCCTTCTCAAGGCGTCTTCACATGGTCTTTCCTCTCTGCCCATACATTCTTTGTGCCTCTTTTTGCATCCAAATTTCCTCTTAAGGACACAAGTCAGATTGGATTGGGGCCCACACTAATGTCCTCATTTTAACTTAACCACATCTTTAAAAGCACTCGAATTACTTGGGGTTAGAGCATCAGCATATGAATTGGGTTGGGGGTCACAATTCAGCCAATAACAGATTTATCAAGTGAATTTTACCAATTGCACTCTTTAATTTCTCTTTGATCTTACTTATTTCTTGTAAACTAGAGTTATATAATGTTCAAAAGATACACTGATGTTTCAAACTAAAATTATGTTTTTATTAAGGTCTTGCATTTATAATAATTTTGCTATATATAGAATTATATATAGTTATTTTAGAGAGAGGGAGAGAGAGTTATTATATCTTTTTTTTTTTTTTTGAGACTGAGTCTCGCTCTGTCGCCCAGACTGGAGTGCAGTGGTGCGATCTCTGCTCACTGCAAGCTCCGCCTCCCGGGTTCACACCATTCTCCCGCCTCAGCCTCCCAAGTAGCTGAGACTTTATATCTTCTTAAATTATGACTTTTGTTAAAACCTAATGATCATCTATTTCCTGGTTAAGGCTTTTAACATTATATTCCACCTTATCTAATATTAATATTATCTTGTCTTTGCCAACACATTGTTTTCAACTTTCTTAATCACTGTGTTGTACAATATTTTTTAACTGCATAATTCAAAGTTTTGTCTTTTTGTTCAATTTGACAGTCTCTTTCATTTAATGGAGAATTTAGTCTATTTGTTGTTACTTTAATGAAAATTTTATTTCTCTCCTTTTACTTTATTATTTATGTTGTCATTCTGCTTCTCCCTTATTCTATTTTTTTTTAGAGATGGGATCTCACTATGTTGCCCAGGTTAAAATACAGTGGCTATTTACAGGCCCAATCATAGTGCACTGCAGCCTCCAACTCCTGGGCTCAAGTTATCCTCCTGCCTCAGTCTCCTGAGTAGCTGGGACTACAGGTGTGCACCACTGCACCTGGCTCCTTATCTCCTTACCCTGATTTTAATTGGTTTGCTTATTCTATTCTTCTGCTTATGTATTTGGAAGACCCACTATACCATTTCTGTCCATTAATGGTTACTTTTCCATTCCCTGTAGTTATAATTTTATATGTATTTCTCTAATATTATTTGAAAAATGAGTTGCTAGTTTTCAATTTTTTTATTTTTTACCAAGAGGCACTGCTTCCCTCCATTTTCCCCACGCCAATAAAGTGATTCTCAGAACACTGACATGTATCCTCTTTCCACCCTTTATCCCACCTTCCCCTGTCAAGATTCTTACAGTGCTTTCCTTTCCCTGGTCCAGTAGAGGTCATTTCATCATCCTCAAGCCACAAGTGTTAAAGATGAAAAGTCTGATGCCTGCCTTATTCTTTTTCCTTTGTGGTAACTCATCTTGTTTTGTTTCTGTCAGGAAGTTTGCTGAATTTTCTTTTTATCCTTAGAATTCATAAATTTTATTAGGATAGTCTCAGGTCTATGTCTTTTCTAATTAGTCTATGACTGAACTTTGTCCTTTCATTCTGCAGACTCGTTTCTTCAGTTCAGAGAAAATTTTCTCTATTATGTATTTATGTATACATTGTGCCTTTGTCATCTCTTCCTGCCTTCTTTAGGAAAAGAAAAAGACACTAAGTTCTTGGCTTTGTCCTACAAGTCTTTTTTTCTTTTCTCTTAATATTTGTCACTTTCTATATTTTTATCTGCTCATATTTATCTCTTTCTCTATATATATACATATACATACATAATACATATATACACACATATATGTATATACATATATAACACATATGTACACACATATATGTATACACATATTATACATATATATATGTATTCCATCTATTTCTACTTTGGCTTTGTGTTTTGAGATGTTTCTTTTTTTTTTTTTTTTTTTTTGAGACGGAGTCTCGCTCTGTCGCCCAGGCTGGAGTGCAGTGGCATGATCTCGGCTCACTGCAAGCTCCGCCTCCCGGGTTCACGCCATTCTCCTGCCTCAGCCTCCCGAGCAGCTGGGACTACAGGCGCCCGCCACCACGCCCGGCTAATTTTTTGCATTTTTAGTAGAGACGGGGTTTCACCGTGTTAGCCAGGATGGTCTCGATCTCCTGACCTCGTGATCCCCCCGCCTCGGCCTCCCAAAGTGCTGGGATTACAGGCGCGAGCCACCGCGCCCGGCCGAGATGTTTCTTATACTTGCTTTTCCAAGTCACTAATTTGGGTCTTAACAGTAACCACTCACTCTCTAAATGCATCTATTAATACTAATATTTGCTTATTTGAGAAATCATTTTGATTCATTTTGATTTTCCTACAGTAAGTGCGTTTTGTCATTTGCTTTGTGATTGCTCTTATTGTAATATACATCTTTTATATCATCATCACTTATTTTCCTAACGTTTTATTTTTCTAGACATGTGTTTCTGTTTGCTTTTAATGACCTTACTCTCTCTGGCTTTATTATAATTTTTAAGAATATTTTATTCATTTATTCACTAATTTTTTTTTATCTTTCCCGGGGCTCAGTTGTGATCATTGAAGACATGGATTGGTAGCAGTTCAGGAAGGGATAGAAGGAGTGGTCTCTGCATTGTGGGTGAATGGCGTAGGCATAGGCAGGCTGCCAGCCTCCCAGGAAGGCTGCCTTCCCAGGAAAAAGCCTTCAGTCCCAGTTTTCCTTATACTCAACAGGGCTGAGGACAGGGAGAACTAGACCCACCTTCTTAGCTGCTTTTTATTCACTCATCTACCACTTCTTGCTTAAGCAGCCCAGGCATCCTTATGGGGCTTAGAATCCACTGTGTTCTGGGGCCCAAGCTCTTTCCAGCATCTCAGGAGTTGTGATCTTTGTGATGAGATCCTCTCTGAGGTTGATCTCCTGTAGTCTCTTGCTCATCTAGCCCCTATGGGGAAAACTTGAACCATTTCTTCTTTTGGAGACTTGCTCAGAGGGGAGGCCTCACTTCCACTCAGCAGTCATATGAGCCAATAAAAGCAGATAGACTGGAGTTGAGAGTGCAGCTGTTATAAACTACAGGAGGGTAGCCATGTTTTCAGAATCCCCAGAGGCCTATTTTAAAACGGTTACATTATAAATCAGCAAAATCTTAGCAAAATCCAGAGTTTCCTAGCCTTTTAAACAAGAGAAATAATCAGTCTAGCCTTGTTCTTTGCCTTAATGCACCTTGGCAATAAGAGCTTAAATGCCAAACAATGTTTTTTCTTTCACATGTGTGAGACCGAGGAACACTTATTGTAAAAGTTAAACAGAGTGACAGCTTGCTTTGGCTGATGTGTAAGAGTTCTTGACTGGGCTGCTTTCCTTTCTTCCATAATAAGTAGTTAATAGAAATTCACTGACCTGCAGTGCAGACTTAATTTATCGCGTATATCAAGTTGATTTAACAGGAATGGAATGTGGTGGAACAATAGCTTCCCTCTCTCCCCACCTCTTGGTGATCCTCCGACATTCGTTTGGAAAGAAAATCAGATTTAAAAACATGTAGAACCTTTGTGATTTTGAATAATTGGACTATGTTTGAAAAAAGTATTTAATCAATGACAATCATCTGTTTATTTGAAAAATGGTTGGGTTCAGGGAGGTGGTATTTATCTTTAAAATTTTCACTTGTAGGAAAGACTGAAGTGGCTGAGTACGCTATGTGCTTTGCACTGTATAAAGGGAAAACTGAAAATCCTGAATTGCTTCATTCTTTCATGGCATGTTCTTTATTTAGAAAATCCTTAATTAATTTTGTGTGAAAGCAGACGGTCAAAGGATTTAAAGAAGCAGAAAAACATCTTGAATTTCTTACTGCTTGCAAAGTGGGGAAAGTGAAAATGGTAAACTGATTAAAAGAAGTCATCTTGAAGCCTACCATTATAATGAGTTGTAAATAACAACAGTGACAAATCTGAATCATTTAAGAAAGTTTGCGCAGGATTTTTCCATTTGAAATGCATTTTTTTTCCAATTTTGGTCTCTTGAGACATCAGCCATTTAAAAGCATGATATTGGAACTAACCCAGCATCACTTTTAATTAGCACAGAAATGCTAATTATACTTTTTCTATGTGACGCTTAATGCGAGCTGTCAGGACACTGCATTTTTTACATCAGTTGTGGTGAGATACACAAGATCACCAGACCCACTTTAAAACGATAAAGACCAATACATCTAAACTGATGAGTATTTTTAAACTATAGGGAAGTGCTACAAGATGCATAAAAATAATGGCATCAAAGTGAAAAATTTGGGCTTTTTATTCACACCAAGTACAAGCATAATTTCACAAATTTTTCAATATTTGTGGTCTGTGAAACCAAATTTCTTACCATTGAATCATTGAAAATACACATAAAGCTTGATTTTGGAAGAAAACTACTTTTTCACTAAAGAATCTTTTCGAAAATCAAATAGCCACCCTCTCTTCATTTTTTAGGGCTTCGCATTTCAGATTTTCTTTTAGGGCTTTGCATTGCATTTTAGCTTTTAGCTTTTCGTAAAGGAAAGTCTACTTGTGTTCTTGGCTTTTTTTTTTTTTTTTAACAGCTCTAGGGCCGGGCACAGTAGCTCACACCTCAATCCTAGCATTTTGGGAGGCCGAGGCCGATGGATCACTTGAGGTCAAGAGTTGGAGACCAGCAGCCTGGCCAACATGACGAAACCCTGTCTGTACTAAAAATACAAAAATTAGCTGGGCGTGATGGCTCATGCTTGTAATCCCAGCTACTCGGGTGGCTGAAGCAGGAGAATCACTTGAAACCAGGAAGTGGAGGCTATGTTTAGCCAAGACGGTGCCACTGCGCTCCAGCCTGGGTGACAGAGCGAGACTCCACCTCAAAAAAAAAAAAAAAAAAAAAAAAAAAGAAGATGACAGCTCTAGGAATGCAATGGTTGCTGTCCCTCAATAAAATCTGTTGCCAAGTATAAATTTAATTAACTTGATTTTAGTTACTGAAGACAATTAGACTTAAATCCTCTCAATATTCAAACCTTCCATTTTGACGAATATTTGTATCAGAATGAGGGTGAGATTCTAAATAGCTTTTGAAGTTTATATTCATCATATAATTCTGGGATTCTATATAACAAAAGGGATTAAATCTATATTAAATTACTTTTTAAAAATGGTATTGATGTAATGAGTACTAGAGTTGGCCAGCAACCTGGAAGGAAAAATTCAACAAAATTATTTTGGGGGCACAAATTTTTCCTCAACTATAGTAAATCCTGTGAAATTTTGTCTCACTTGGATAAAGTGATGAATTTTTTAAAAGTCTGAATTGCGAAATATTGTAAAAGAAATTGAATTTGATTTTGTTTGGTACTGTGGCTTGCTATATAATAATAATAACAACACAGCAGTGATCACTGTTTTATTTATTGACCGTCCGCTCTAGTCCTGGCACTGTGCTGTGTGCTTTATATAATGGCCATACCAAGGAAGAGCCATCACTGTTTCTATTTTATAATCAAGTACAAGGCTCCGGACATTATGGAGCTTGCCCAAGGCTTTGCAGCTAGCAAGGCGCAAGAGTGGTTTACACCCAAAGCTGTCTGGTACTAAAGCCTTCTGTTAACCATTGCACTGTATGATAAAATGTATGCATTTTTAGTGATAGGGTAAAAAAAATCCTGAAGGGAATTTTTCTCCCTCTAAAACGAGGTTTAGTATGACCACTTAATCACGTGTTCACTGTTCTTGGGAAACCATTTCTTCTTTTTTTTGAGATGAAGTCTTGCTCTTGTCGTCCAGGATGGAGTGCAATGGTGTGATCTCGGCTCACAGCAACCTCCGCCTCCCAGGTTCAAGCCATTCTCCTGCCTCAGCCTCCTGAGTAGCTGGGATTACAGGCACCCACCACCATACCTGGCTAATTTTTTTGTATTTTTAGTAGAGACAGGTTTTCGCCATGTTGACCAGGCTAGTCTCAAACCCCTGACCCTAGGTGATCCACCTGCATAGGCCTCCCAAAGTGCCAAGATTAAAGGCATAAGCCACCATGCCCGGCCCCATTTCTTCTTATCTATGGCAAAAACAGATCTCAGTCCAGCAGGATTGACAGCTGACCAAGCACAAATGAATGCAAGACAGATAAATGGTCAATTTAGGAAGTGAGTTGACATCTACTTAAGTACAACAACAGTAAACATTTATGAGTCCTTAGTATGTGCCAGACACCGATTTGAGTGCCTCATATGTGTAACTTAATTGATCTTCACAGTTATTCCTTGTGGTAGCTACTGTTGTTATCACCTCCTCATTTTACAGTTAAAAATACTGAGGGACAGGGAAGCTGAACAGCTTATCCAAGGGCTCCAGGTAGAGCCAAAATAGAGCTAGAATTCAAACTCATGTCATCTAGCTCTAGAACTCATAGCAATTCCTTCCTTTTCTCCCAGAGGTTTTTTGTCAGTTTTTGTATCTGGAACATGGGGAAATGGCTGTCTTATTTACAGGACAAGGAGAAATAAGAGAAATAAGTGAGATCATGAATGTGACACTGCTAAAAACAATGCAAAATAATATAAGGTATTGATATTTATTAACACAAGTTTTCAAGTTTGATAATTATTTAGTGAATTTATTGGTACCCTAACTCTCTCAAAAAATAATTTGAGACATGCTACCAAAAAGGGACGTACAAATAAGGTTAACAGGAAAATCAAGTTTAAGCAAAGGAGGGAGACACGACAATAAATAATAGTAAGACTTGTAATACCGAAGACAAAAGGTAAAACACAGCTTCATAGTTTTGTCAATAAAAAGAAAATAGAATCTTTTCTTAGGAGAGAGAAAGTTTTTTTCCCTGCCATTTTATTTTAAAAGAAATTTCTCATGTTAGAACTTCCAGAGTGAACATAATGATCAATGGTTCCAGAGAGTAAGCAATTTGATTGATTACAATATCATCACTTTTGCTTTCTCTCTTCTTGTCATGGTAGAGATATTAAGGAGCCATGAAACCTTCACATTTGGTCAGCAGGAGGGAGATGTTGTAGAATATAAGGATATGGTTAATTTAAGACTAGATAATCAGCCCTTAAATTGTCAAAAATTGACTGTATTTCAAAAGAGAACCTCCTAAGTATACCAGATAGATCTGCCATGGCTGTAGCGATGCTAACCAGCAGGTCATTTAACACTGATGCCATGTGGGCTGTGATGCGGGATGCATAATTAGATAATTAGATGCGGTTTCTGCTCCTGGGGCCCAAAGTTTAAATTAGACACAGCATATTAGTGCATAGAATGATCAGAATATAGATAAAGGAAACACATATGCATTGCAGAATATTTAGAAAATATAGAAAAATATGAAGAAAGTCAATATCAATCAAATTACAACCATTGTTATCTTTTGGTATATGTTCCCTTCCAGTCTCTTATTGTCATCTTGTCTCTTTCTATATAGGTAGAAATATAGCTGTAGATATGACATAGATATAGGCTAGACATGTTATAGATATACACGTCTCCACACACACATTTTCAGAGGTTCAGAGGGATTATGTACCTTTCCCAAAGGCCCCAGATCTAGTGACACAGATGGAGCTTAGACCCATTTTGGTCTGATACTAAAGCCCATTTTCTTAATCACTGTGTTTTGAATACATCAATTTTTGGACACAGATTATTTTATGAAGGTAGAAGCATACATTATTTAGCACCTTGTACACTACTCTTCCCTCTCCAATCACCTTGTATTGATTGGGACCAGTGTTTCAGGTCACTAATATTTTTCTAAAACATGATTTGTTTTAATATTGATATTCTATCATACACCCTCATTTATTTAATCATCCCATTATCTTAAATCTTTAAGCTTCCAATGTTCACAAGTTATCATTTATCACTAAGAAAGGGAGAGCAATAAGTTCTGTTTGCATGTGTCAGGGAAAGCTTCCTCAAAGAGGAGGCACTTGAGCTAGATCTTGAAGTTGCATGGGGTTGATCAGTCAGACATGTAACAGACATATTCAGCAGAGGAAAAAAAAACATGGTAAGTTTGGAGAACTGAAAGTTGTTTAGTATGGCAATATACTGTAATAGTTGAGAGATCAGACTGTTTTCAGACATTAGAACCCTGTCTGAGTTCCAATACTAGCTTTAGCACTAATAAGTATTTGCTATGTGACTTTGGTTAATTTGTTTAGCCTTTCCAAGCCTCTCTCTCATTTGTAAAATGAAGATAGAAAGAAGGTTGTCATGAGGGCACAGAGAGCTCTTTGTGTAGAACCTGATGCCTAGTAAGAACTCAAGAAATATTATTTTTCTTTGTTAGTGTTAGTATGATTATTAGCCACCTTAGGGTGTGTGCTGGGGAGTGTTGAGAGATGAAGCAGGACAAATCCTAGAGAGCCTTAAATATCCTGCTAAAAATCCTGGTCTTTGTACTACACACAGTCGAACCTTGATAGATTTTTAAGCTAGAAAATAACCATGATCAGGTTTCAATTGCAACACAGATACAGGACTGTTAAGTAGGGACTTTGCAATTCCAGATGTGACATGGTGAGAGCTTGAAGTAAGTCATAACAGTGGATCTGAGAGAAGGAGAGAAATAAGAGACATGTCTAGAGAATCACTGAAACTAAGCAATTCTTTGGCTCAAGAAGTGAAAGGAGGAATTTGATGTTTCTGCCTGTGCAGTGTTCCCCTCTACTTTTTTTTTTCTTTTGAAATAGCACCTCAGTTTTCCTTTAGGAAATCACTTCTCCCCCATGCTCAGTCCATTTCCTGATCTCATTCACCCACGGTGTGTGCAGGTGGCCCAACAGTTCCACATCCCTGGTCATAGGGACTGGGCCAGGGTATGCATTGAATTACATTGTTCTAACCAGACCAGGATAGTTGCTGAAATTATTAGGAAGGAGAACCTCTTTCACTGGAATTAACACTGGAAGGATATAAGCTTGGCATACCCAATCTAGAAAAGGAGCCAATGATAGACAAGAGCTGAGAACAGGAAAGAGCAGGAGAATAATTTTATAAAATCATTTAGCTAAGTTCATTCATACTTAGAGATAGCATCTCCTTATAGACTTTGCAATTAAGTATTCATTAAATTATGTTTTCTATTCAAGCCAACTTCAGTTGAATTTCTTTCACTTGCAACTAAAATTTCAATACATGTGAGCAGATACAGGTGATTCCCCGATTTTTGCCTCGCGTGATTGGATGGAGTAACCAATGTGTGAAGCACAGCGGAGGTACAGATTTGGGAGAAAATGATGACTTTGATTTGGAGCACACTGTGTCTGAATTACGCATGGGGCATGTGGGTGGAGAGGTCTAGTAGACACTTGAATAAATGAGTCTGACACTTAGAAGACACATCAGAGCTAGAGAAACATGTTTAGATCCATCTGATTCTGTGGCTAGGACAGAGTTTATTTCCTTCTGAAATTCTTTTTTGGGGCAAGGATGCTCCCATGGCAGGCACTCAGGCTATACTGGCAAACTATGGGGGGAATGGCAAGCAAATAAATATCATGTATAGGATTGCTTTTGTGGTAAATGTACTTTTTTGTCCCATTGATGTTTATGTGTACAACACTATTAATATAACAGTAGCACAGTCAGGTAATTAACATACCAATTTCCCATCTCAAAAAAAAAAACAAAACATATATTTTGAATAGCCTCTGTGATTTTTTGGGGGTGACAGGGGCAGCACAATAATGGATACAATGCTTTTATAATGCAAGAAAGAACTGTGAGCTGTAGTCAAGCCTATCTGTTTTGAGGGTGGATGTAGAGTGTGTAGATGGGTTGGTAGACATGACATTTATGAATCTGATATTTTGTGCTGATACAGCTATTTAAATTGGAGAAAATAAACAGGCTATACCTGCCATCTTCCACACTGAATGTCCAGCCAATGGCCACAGGAAGTATAGCTCAGTGCTTTGTGGACCTTGGTCCCTGGATGTTTGGCATCTGAATAATCTGAGCAGCTTTTTAAATCCACAGGATTTTGGATCCCACTCTTAAAGATTCTGATTCTGCAAGTATATATGTGGGAGATATAGATGTGTAGCCCCAGTTGCATGTGTTGTTGGGCTGACATTTGAATTCTTTGGGTGTCTGTTGCCTCACTGACAAACTAAGGGGCTTGAAATGATTATCTTTAAGGTCCCTTCCTGATCTAAACATACCTTCATTTCATTCCCTTAACCCATTTGTTTCTCTGTTCTTCATATGTGAATCTTATAATGCACTTCTCCTACTTCATAAAGGAGATAAAAGAGATAAAATTCAAACCAGCATTTCAACTGTCTTTTGACTACTGACAAGATGACAGTTTTAGGAGTGTCTCAGTTTAGTGATGTGCGACGGTAATGATAGTGAGCTATGTTGTGTATAATTTAATCCTTAAGCATGCATCTACCACTTAAAGTTATTTCCTATACACATAAAATGATAAAACAGTAAGCAGTTTTTTTTTTAACTTTCTCTATTTTGTTATTGTGTATTGTGCTATTCCCACTGGAGAAAGCAGTGTTTTTTTCTTCTTTCCTTTGAAAATCAAGTTCATGCAAAGTGACAGGTTTAGAACATATTTCTAAATCAAAGAATGACCATTATAGGACTTGATCATACAAGTTACTTCCCTAACTACCATTTATTTGCGCTAAAATTGGCTACATTCCTGATGATAATTCTGCAAGACAGCGGTAGGATATGACTTGCCTTCCCACTGTTTGATATAAATCTCCACTGATATGAATTGAGTTCAGCTGCAGTGAACTTAAATGCTAATGTTGAAAACATAAGGCAGCCTGCTGTTTCTTTTATACCAGAAAGTTTTAACTTCTGCAGTCTTCTGTATTCCACCACTCCCCGCCACCACCTTAGGTTAGATCAAATTAGAACCACTCCATTTCTGTCTGAAGGGTGAAATGTGCAAACTTGATTTACATAACTCAACATGAAAAAAGAAGAAGGAATTAATCATGAGGCTGGGCACACCACTCTTGTCCTTGAATAATACACCATAACAGTCATGGGAAAATTGTTGGTGAATAATTTTATCAGGTAGCTCGTCAGTATTTGTTAAGCACTGACTCTGTGCCTAGTACTGTGTAGAGCATTTTAAGGTCTAGAAAAGAATAACAGTCAAAATTATAATAAAATTTCTCACCATATGCCAGGCATTGTAGTAAGCACTTTATAGTTGTTATGTCATAGAATCCTCAAACAATCCTATGAAGGAGGTATCTGATATTTATATCGGTTTTACTGATGGAAAAACTGAGGTCCAAAGAGGTTTGCAAAACCATTGCCCAAGGGCTTCAGAAACCGGGATTCAAAAACAGGTGTCCATACTCTTGGCATCTCGATGTTCCTTGACTTTAAAGGGTTTCTGAACTAGTTGGGAACGCAAGGAATACAGCTCGTCTGGAAAGGCCTAGCATTGTAAGGTTTGCATAAAAAAAGTTACATCCGGGTTCCTTCCTGATCATGCATGATGTCAACAGAGGTGAAAGTATCATTCTGAAGTGAGGGCATGATATGGTTTGGCTGTGTCCCCACCCAAATCTCATCTTGAATTGTAATTCCCATAATCCCTAAGTGTCATGGGAGGGACCCAGTGGGAGGTAACTGAATCATGGCAGTGGTTTCCCCCATGCTATTCTCATGATAGTGAGTTCTCACGAGATCTGTTGGTTTTATAAGGGGCTTCCCCTTTCACTTGGCACTTCTTCCTGCCTCCATGTAAAGAAGGACATGTTTGCTTCCCCTTCCACCATGATTGTAAGTTTCCTGAGGCCTCCCAGCCATGCTAAACTGTGAGTCAATTAAACTTCTTTCCTTTACAGATTACCCAGTTTTGCATATGTCTTTATCAGCCGCATGAGAACAGACTAATACAGGCCATGAGCCGGGTTAAAGAAAAAAGCAAGAATAGGAAAGAAGAGCCCGATCAACTGCATGACACTTACTTGGTTCACACAGTTCCCTTGAGCTTACATGCATGCACTTTTCTCATTTTACTTCTTCTACCCTGACTCAGAAGAGATCCTGGGCTGTCCCTCATATTGGGTGTGCCTGGAATCTTAGATGTTCAATATGGCTGATGCTCTGAACTGGAAAGGGAGAGGGGAGTGAATTGAGAGTGAGGCAGCAGGCAGGGCTGGGCGGTGGGGACCATTGGAGGCATCATAAGGAATTTAGTCTGTATCCTAGGTGGGGCAAGGGAGTGACATGCTCACAATTGGTTTTTTTGGCAGGATTATTCTGGAAGTGATGTGGTGTATTAGCCCATTTTCATGCTGTTGATAAAGATATACCCGAGACTGGGCAATTTACAAAAGAAAGAGTTTTAACTGGACTTACAGTTCCACGTGGCTGGAAAAGCCTCACAATCATGGTGAAAAGCAAGGAAGAGCAAGTTATGGCTTACGTGGATGGCAACAGGCAAAGAGAGAGAGCTTGTGCAGGGGAACTCCTCAATTTAAGACCATCAGATCTCGTGAGACTTATTCACTATCATGAGAACATCATGGGAAAGACTTGCCCCCATGATTCAATTACCTCCAACCAGGTCCCTCCCACAACAAATGGGAATTCAAGATGAGATTTGGGTGGGGACACAGCCAAACCATATCACATACTAAATAAGTGGAAGGAGATGCAAAAGCAATATGAGTGAGTGATGACAGTGGTTTAAACCTGAATTAAGATGGAATGAATTAGGCATACTTGGGAAACGTTTAGAAAATGGAGCTACAGGATTTCTGGTTTATGATTTTTCTAATACTGCCTGTATCACAGTCACAGTCACAGTCACTTAATTTTGACAAGTCTGTGGACACTTTTCTGTTCTCCTTTTATTTGACAGTGTTCTAGTATTTGAACTCTTGACTTTTGTGACTACATTTTTCTTGTTTTTTTCCTGTACTTACTTCTCTCCTTCTTGGTCTATTTTTACCCATTTCTCCTTTCTCTAATATGCTTCTGTCTCTTTTAAACTGTTTCCCCCACTTTATTCAACTGTGATGAAATTCATCATCGAGGGGATCCTTGGGTTGCTTTCTTTCTGTCTCTACTGTACAGTGTCTACACTGTTCTTCTAGGTGATTTTATTGTCTATATGCTACTGACTCAAAAGTTTCTGTCTCAGGTCTAGACCTCTCCTTGAAGTTCCTGGTTATGACCCCAGCTGCCTACTTGACAAGCCCACATGGAAGTCTAACCGACCTTCCAAACTGAGCACATCAAAAACTGAATCATTGATTTCCCACCTCTCTACCACCTGCCTCTCCACTACCTGAGTCAATAGCACTATCATCCACCTACATAAGTCAATTGAAAAGCCAAAGCTGAGAATATTCCTTAATTTCTCTTTTTTACTTAATGCTTATGTCCACTCTCTCAGGAAAACCTTTCAATTCTAACTTCCAAAACATCTCTTTATTTCTTCCTTTCCCCAATTCTACTCCATCCTGGGTTATCTTTCAACTTGTTTTATTTTTTCTTGTATTTCATGCTTTCTTATTTGTTTGTTTGCTTGTTTAGTGACTACTGTTTTCCTCACTAAACTATAAGTTCCATGAGGGCAGGGATTTTGGATTTGGGCTGTTTTGCTCCGCATAGCACCTAACATAGAGAATTGGCTGAATAAATATTTGTGGAATAAATTAACAGACTGATGCTTGATTTAATGAGAGTGGTGAGAGATAAGAAGAAGAGAAAAAGGTACCCAAAATTATTCTCAGATTTCTGCTTGAGTATGAGCGTACTTAATTATGGCATTTGCCAAGAGAGAAGCAAGTTTTAAGGGGAAAAATTAAGTTTCTTGTTAGACATATTGAATTTAAGATAATTATAAGACACCAAGTGGAGATGTCCAGTTGGCCCTTTGATGTATTGGAGTGGAGCTTAGAAGTCAGTTCTGACCTGGAAATACCAACTGCAAACTCTTTAGCCTAAGGATAGTACTTGAAGTTATAGGAGCTTCTAAGTTCCTTTAAGTGAGAAGAGTGACTTAGAGCCCAAGGAAACATCAAAATTGTAGAACCAGTAGAAAATGAGGATGGCCAAGGTGGTAGGAAGAAAACCTAACAGCGTGTGCTGTTAAAAAAAAAAGAGAACTTCAAGAAGAAGGGACAGATCAATAGTGTCACATGCTGCTGAGAGGTCAGGAAAATATAACCAAAAAATGACCACTGGATTTAGCAATATGAGGACCGTAGTGATCCTGAGGAGCAGTTTTAGTGGAGTGAAAAGTGGTGGTTCAGACTTAAAGAACATGAAGAGTGAGAAGGAGATAAGGAAGATGAGGTAGTGTTTGTTAAAAACATTGTCAGCTGCAGGTTGGATGAAGGGCTGATGGATTTTTTCTTTTTCATATGGAAGAGACTTGAGGATGTTAAATGTTGGGGAGTGAGTGAGAGAGAGAGAGAGACAGAGAGGGAGGGAGAGAATAACAGACAATGGTACCTTGAGAAGAGAGTAGTAATAACCAGGAATTACCTGGTAATTCTTACTAGCGTAAGAACCACCAGAATATAGGAGGAGATAGAAGCCTAAATGCAATTAGAAGGAGTGGCTCTCGCAGGAAGTGGAAGAGGGCTTGGGCAGCTGCAGGCAGATTTGTGAATTTGATCAAAACTACAAGAGCCTCATCTGTTGGCTTTCATTTTTTTGATGAATGAGGAGGAGAGGTCTGTGCCAGCACTAACCCTTTTAGGGACCACTTTCCTCAGATCTCTGAAAGCCACCCCTCTTCAATAAGGACTACTCTAAAATGTTCTGTATAACCAAGTTGTCTTGAAATATTTTCTTTCTATGATGGTCTAGAAATACACCTGTCTGCTGGACTTCTCATTCTTAATAGCATTACCACTCTATGGATGAACCTTCAGAGAATCATGGCTAGTGCAGTTAATTTGTAGATGGGTTCTCATTGTTCCTATGAGTAATATAAAATTGTCTATTTATTATTCATTTGTTCCCTCTCCTTTTTTATGGCTACTTTGCATTTTACCTTCCTGTTTGTTGCCAAGCATGATGAGCTAGCATGGAGATACTTGGTATAATGGTTTCAAATTATACTATCAGTACACTTTTGATGTCCCTACATAATTAATGCTAAAATGCACAGCCAGTGGTGGTAATAGGAGCCAGAAAACAACTCTACACATAATGAAATATGCTTAATAATTGGTTTGGTTTTTTTTTCCCTCTGACTAATAGTCAACTTAATTTTTTCCTGCTATGACAAAGACTGGTTGGGGTGGGCAGGGGGAAACCTTATTATATAACAATCTTCTGCTTGACCCGTCCAAGTCTGGAAGGCATTTTTCAGTGGGTGACTGGGAATCCCAGGCAATATTGTAGTCATAGCTTTTTCTATTTCTATTTTAGAAATAACAGTAGCTACGACATCACTCAACTCTTTGGAGACCCACGCTACAGTATCGGCAGTCGTCTTACATTGCTTTATTGCATGACCATTAAACAACTTTGAAAATCAGATTTTCGCTGTTAATAATAAGTAATTAGGGAGTTATGAGCTTCAACAAGAGTTCTTCATCTTTCGATCCCTACAGAGAAAATAAAAACAACAAAGTGAAAGTTAATATACTGAATCCACTGACTGGTTTTTGCATCCTGCAAATGCCTTACCATTGAAATTTCAGGGAGAGATGGACCAGGCCCCTCAGAGATGGATTATTTTCCCCTACTCTCCCAATTGCATGTTTTATCAGAGATCATCTCTCTCTTATCCCATAGATAAATATGTGTGACATTGGCTGGGGGGCTGCTTGGGTATTTCTCTTATTCAATCAGAGGTTTGCAGAGTTCTGAGAATCCCCTTGAATGTCAACAGAGTCTGAGGAACGGCAAACGGGGTAAGAATTGGGAACTAGGAAAGAAGAAGCTTGAAGTTAAACAAGCTTAGATTCAGATCCTAGCTCTCTAATTTATCAACTTGCTCTTTGGCAAGTTAATTACACCTCTGAGCCTCAGTTTCTCACTTTTATATAAGGATAATATTAAGGATATATAAGTATAAAAAGGATAATAATATGCACCTCAAGGATTTCTCGAGATTAAATAATTCCTAAGAAATTCCTAATAGGATGTAGAAGATTTGTCCTAATATTTGTTAGTTTTTTCTCCTTCTTTCTCAGTATAAAATTTGTTTAGAGCTCCTGAATACCTAAAACATCGTTCACAGACTCATATTGTTTATCTACTTCTGTGACTATCTCTTGCATCTACAGCTGCCTTTCCATTCCTGTTTCTACCTCTCAAATTCAGATTGATATCCTTAAAACATGATTCCAATCGTATGATAGTCCTGCTCTGAGCCTTCGGTGATTTTCCATTGCATGCCTAGAAAAACACCAAATCTTAGTTCAGGTAGGCGTGGCCTCGATGTTTCGATCACCTTCTTTTTCCAGCCTCTTCACTGAATTCACTACCAACAGCTAACGAAATCATGCTATTTGTTTTCCCAGAACACTCCTCTTCCTGGCCTGCCTCTGCCTTCTCTGTCCTACAATCTCTTTCCCACCATCGCCTCCTGATAAAGTCTTACCTTTGGTTAATTCGATCACTAGTGATCTAACTACACACTGCAGGATGCAGCCCCTCTACCCTCACTCCTCCCACCCTACCCCCGAAAGAATGTATCTCTCTGAAAGCTCCCAAAGCAATTTTTTATTCTTTGGCCACGTCTAGAATGTTTTTCCCCAAGCTGTCAGCCTTGTCACCTACTATCCATCCTAAAGGTTTCAGCCCCAAATCACATCCCTGACGGTTGGGTCTGTATCAGTCCCCTTTCTATCTGCTGCCTTCAGAAGACTTATCTCCATTTATGATGCCACTATCATTCGTCTGATCACTCCATTAATGTTCTTTATCCACTCTTAAGACTTCCAACATCATTCATAGAATTAAAGTGAATTAGGACCTTGCTCTGGATTAGGCTTTGGCTTAAGGGAATGTTGTAGCTTGTTTGATCTTCTATCCAGACCACTAAAATGTTCTCCTTATCAGCAATAAGGCTGTTTTGCTTTCTTATTAGTCATGTGTTCGATGTAGTGAAGTTTCCTTCAATAACTTTTCCCTTGCATTCACAACTTGGCTCACTGCTTGTCACAGGAGGCCTAGCTTTCAGCCTATCTTGGCTTTCAACATGCCTTCCTCACTAAGCTTAATCATTTTTAGATTTTGATTTAAGGTGAAAGACATGTGACTCTTCCTTTCACTCAAATATTTAGAGTCCATTGTAGGATTATTAATTGGACTAATTTCAATATTTTTGTGTTTCAGAGAATAGAGAGGCCCAAAGAGAGATAGATGGAGGAACAGCTGGTTGGTGGAGCAGTCAGAAGGCATGCAATATTTATCAAGTCCACTATCTAATGTGGGCACAGTTTGTGGTACCTCAAAACAGTTGCAATAGTAACATCAAAGATAACTGATGGCAGATCACCATAGCAGATAAAATAATAATGGCAAAGTTCGAAATATAGTGAGAACTACCAAAATGTGGCAGAGATGTAAAGCGAGCACATACTGTTGGGAAAATGGCACTAATAGACTTGTTAAACACAGGGTTGCCACAAACTTTCAATTTGTAAAAAATGCCATATATGTAAAGTGCAATAAAGTGAGGTATGCTTGTATCCTCCTTGCCATGTATTACTTTTCCTTATAGCTTATTTGTACCCATGTCTATCACACCTATGTCACTGGGAACAGGGGCTGTGTCATATTAATCCTAATTGACCCTAAGGCACTGCTATGGGAATGTTTGTGTCCCCTCCGAACTTCGTGTTGGAACCTTTGAATTTAAGGCAATAGTATTAAGAGGTGGGCCCTTTGGAAGTGATTAAGTCACAAGGGCTCCATCCTTATAAATGGGGTTTATGCTTTTATCAAAGGGGCTCAAGTGAGCTTCCTTGCCCCCTTCCACCATTTGAGGATGAGGCAAGAAAGTGCCATCTTTAGAGCAGAAAGTAAACCCTCCCTCAACCCAAATCTGCTATAACCTTGACCTTGGACTTTCCATCCTCCAGAGGTGTAAGCAATAAATTCCTATTGTTTACAAATAATCATATCCAGTCTAAGGTATTTTGTTATAAAAGCCCAGATGGACTAAGAGAGACACCTAGTTCAACGATTTGCTGATCATTTGCTTAGGAAAAAATAAATGAGCATGGAAACAGAGAACCTAGCATGAAGCCTACTGCAGACATTTAAAGTGGTACAGTAGCTATCTACATAGAGAAAAAGAGATCAAGTCCACTTAAGGTTTAGTAGGAGTCTTCTTTAAGTAAACAAAACACTTGCAGTAGGTTACCAAACTTCGGTTTTCAGATCTCATTCATAAATGGTAAGATTTTTTTTTTTTTCAGGAAAAAGCATTCTTAAAGCAAAGATTAAAATATAAACCCTTTCAGTAACAAAAACAAAAAGCTGCCCCTCCACCCGCAGGTTTCTGATGAAATGGCCTTTCTCTGAAGATATAATTTCTTCTGTTCAACATCTTTCTTTTAAATTGCTCATTCAATCAGGAGGGGGGATTTTTGCCCCCACCTGTGGCAAGACATTTTAAAGAGATGAGACATTTGATTGCTATGTTTAGATTGATGGCGATTGAGATGGTCCTAAAGATTAAATGAAGAAGTAACTGTGAAAAAGAAACTGAAACAGGGAGAAAATTGATCTTTACGTTGAAGACATACTGGCATTGAGGGGTTTAAATGAGGAAATAGACCAGCATGATAGGGTCCAAGTGGTGGGTGAGGGGACACCCTGAGGGGAAGCCACCTTGCTTAACTGTCACTGTCACCGGTGTAAGCTCCATTGACCTTCAACAAGCTCCGAGAATGAGAATATCTTGAGACTTGAGTTTCAAAATCACATTTAGTGAACACCTAATCAGAGCTACAGATGGGCTTTAGATTTGATCCTCCTGATGGAACTGAATTAAGACAGGGTAGCAGACAGATAATAAAGAGTGACTATGAGATGAAATTCCTCAGAGTTGTTTTTCAAGATGCGAGAGGCAGCAAAAAATATATTGCTGGCTAAAACAGAAAGAAATTTAATCAATGAAGATAAAAATATGAAATTTTTTTCCAATGGGGAAAAAATGTCTTGGAAACCTCCCTAAAACGAATGAGAAGTTTCTTTAGAGGAAATCTACGTCTGCATACCTGAAATTCATTTATTTTTGTTTCTTTCTGGGTTATTGATCTTTCATCTGGTCTTCTAGATTTTGCACTAAAACATCATTCTTTTTTGTCTTTTCTCCGTCGTCTTTTGATGACTTCAAAAACACCTCTCCAGGACTGATTATGAAACTTCAGTGGCATTCAGTAACTGTGTTTTTGGTTATTTGTCCTTTGTTCAATGCTCCTACATATTTGTAGGATGTAAACTGAGGGTCCTGTTCCTAAGAATTTAAAGAACTTTTGAGGATGCACATATGTGCAGTAATGAATAGACAAGTCATAGACATGAAGTCCAATAGGAGTTCAGGAGAAAGAAGAAGAATCCCTTTGGGCTGGTTTATCATGGTAAATTCCATGAAGGAGGTGAGGTTTAGATAGGGAGTTTTGTAGTGGGGAGATGACGGATAATGTTGTGTGGGGAGAAGTAGACTAGAAAAATCATGAAAAAATTGAACATGGGGGTGTTGAGCAGTCAGTGAGGAGACTGATCTGATGAGACTAGAAATTAGTTATTAAGAAGTGAGGGTCAACTGAAATATAACCTGTGGAGTTTGGGTAATTATTTGTGGCAAAAGGGAATTATGTGTTCTGAGAACATGATTACATAATTGCTAAATCATTTATGTATTGCATTTATGCATTTATGCATAAAGACATGAATGGAAGCACCAGATCCTATAATTGCATTTCTTTGTTTCTCATTCTTGAAGACACTTGTTTACACACACACACACACACACACACACACACTATGCAAAACACTTTGTTGAACATAAAGCTCCATTGTAGCACTTAATTAACATGATGGATTTTTTACTTTTTATTTTTTTGAGACAAGGTCTCATTCTGTCACCCAGGCTAGAGTGCAGTGGCATGATCTCAGCTCACTGCAGCCTCGACCTCCCAGGCTCAAGGAATCCTCCTACCTCAGCTGCCTGAGTAGCTGGGACTGTAGGTGTGCACAACCACGCCTGGCTAATTTTGTTCATTTTTTGTAAAGACGAGATCTCACTATGTTGCCCAGGCTGGTCTCGAACTCCTGGACTCAAGAGATCCTTCTGCCTCAGCCTCCCAAAGTGCTGGGGCTACAGGCATGAGTCACTGCACCCAGCCATGATGAATTTTTGGGTGGGGAGATACCAAATTTTGTTTCTGAGCATATCCTTTTTACTAGATAAATGGGCTAAAGGGACTAATATATGGCCTTCTGCTGGGGAAATAGAAATTAATAAATACAAAAATTCCATTAATGAGTCTGGATGAAAACAGAATTATGGTAAATAAATGATTTAAATATCAGATTGTTCTTTGGAAATGTACATTGAAAAAAAGATGAAGACAAGACATTTGGACACACAAAAAAAATCAGGAATGATATAAGAATATCTTCTCATATATAGGTAAGAGAGGTAAGCCGGGACAAAGGATCTGCATTTAGTAATACTATAAAAAGAAAAATGAAATTTATTTCCAGCATCAAGTTTTAATTCATATGAAACTAGAGTGGTAAAGAATATAAGGATAAAATGTAATTTATTTGGAACTGGCATGAATTGTTGAATAATTGAAATATGGGATTGAGAAGTTATAAAGATTTCAAAATATTTGTGCAAACAAAATTTCTCTATTTTAAAATAACATTAAAAAACAGTAGTAATCACACCACGACCACCACCGCCACCTTTCCTTGACAGTTCTTGACTTATTTGCTCTTAGACTCCTTCTTCGCTGTTTTCCACCACATGCTGTGAGATATGTCAGCTGTCATTTTGCTGGGTTCTGCCCTGGAAAGCATTCGTAGGAGATTGGAGGGTGAGGGGAAGGGAGACGCCAGGGTATTTCTTCCTCTGTCTCTCTGCCCCCATTGCTCTGGCTTCAGTCAGGTGGCCCAGCCTCTGGGCTGTGGAAATACCACCTCTTTTTCTTAGGGGAAGAGGCTTTCTGTATTGTTAATCTCTGGTTGCTTCACTGTCCCCTTTGGTTATTCATTTCTTTCATCAACTGCATAACACATTTCCTCCAGTATTAAATTCCTTCTGTTTTAAATACCGTTTTCTTGCTTGGACCCTGACTAATATGTTAGTTTTGTATGGATAGTACAAGGAATAAAATAGACCTTGTCTACAGTAGACCAGTCCGAGATATTTGGAAAAATTGTTCAGAGTTTTTATTTAATACCTTCTGAATTTAGAAGAATCATTCTTAACACTGCAGGCTTTCACAGAAGTACTGCAGGACTGACTTACAGGGTAAAAATCTCTTGGCAACTCAGAAATTATCTCTAAGTATTGCTTGCTCAATTGTCACTAAATACTTGATAAATTCCCAAGTTCTGTAATGTATCTGATCTATAATGTAACAATCCAGATAAATGCTTCTCAGTGATAAATTTGTTTTAATTCCTTTGGCATGTTTAGGGATACGTGTTTTTTTTTTTGTTTTTTTTTTGTAACTTTAACTTTATTAATCTTTTGTTGCCTTTATTAACTTATATAGTAACTTTATTAATCCTTTATTACCTTATTGATTTGACCAAAGAACAGATGGTCACAGTGTACAAAAAGGTCTACCTTTCTCAATCAAGTGTATTTCAAAGCAGTTCCAGCACATTCTCAGGTAATACTATAAGAACTTAGTCAATCTGTTATCCTTACAGTCGTGATTCAGCCACAAAGTCTTTTTGTATGACATTGACCTATAATGGCTGACTTCTATTCCGATCCTATGATACCTGACTGTCCAGATCAGTTTTATTCAAGTGTAGTTTAAGAAATGTTTATGCGGAACTCACCTGAGGGTGCTTGTTAAAAATGCAAATGCAGAATTAGAATTTTTAAAAGGAAGGCATGAAAACTTGAATTTTAATAAGTTTTTTTTTTTTTTTTTTTTTTTTTTTTTTTTTTTTTTAGCCTACTAGAGTTTATGAAACCCTGGGTACTAATGAATGCATTACACTGTATTTATCTCCTTAGTGAGATCAATGGCTTCTCTAGAAAGTTTGCTTCTTCCAGTCTTTCCTCTTCATAATGCCTGGCAGAGTAATAAGCAATTAGTAAATGTGCAATAAGTACTTGTAAAATTGATTTGAGTTCCTTTATCAACCCAAATATGAGGAATAATTACTGGAGCATTATCCTAATGATAATGATTATTGTTGTTCTTAAAAGGTGAACAACACAAATAATTGTCCAGCAAAAGCAAGGTAAATCTATAGTAACAGAATAGAATGCATATTAAAAGGAAGCCTGTAAGCATTGATGAAACATCTAAGGATAATGATATTGGACATTACAAAATAGGAATTTAAAAAGAGCAAATCATGCCAGACAAACTTGATTGCTTTTTTTTGATAGAGCTACAAGATCAGTAGACAAATGTAATGTGAAATTGTAGATGCAATCTATCTCAATTTTGGTAAAGTGTTTGATAATGTCACATGAAATTTTCCATCTTGAATTAATTGAAATTGGCTTTGGTGTGAACCTCTTATTTTCTGTTAGATGCTAGGAAGACCACTAAGATAAAATAATGGTTCATCTGATGACAAGATATTTCAGATGTGAGGACTAAGTTTGCCTTCATTTACCATCTTCGTGTTTGATTTTGGAGGCTCTATTTAAGTAAGTTGATGACATTTTACATTTGTATTGCATTAAAACTTGTTGAAATCACCGGGGAAAGAGAAATTATACAAAGATGTGTTCAGATATCATAAATATTCATATTTTATACCATTGACAACCTTCAAGTTCTTAAATATTCTACCAACTTGCACAGTTATGTTCACATATAGCCTTTTCTAGACTTTGTGAATGTACAAGCATATGCCTATTTCAAACATATTTAGAGCTGCCAGATTTATCAAGTAAAAATACAGGCAACCCTAAATATACTAAGAATTCAATCTCAAACACAGATGCATTAGGAGGTTATATGAAAAAGTTGTGATAATAATTATACTTAATCTTCTAGGCTTGCTGAGTCAATTCTTTTAGGTCTAACCTGCTTTCATGGACTGATATAAGTGACTGGTCTGAAAGATGATACAGCTGTCAAAACAGATATGATTAGGTGTGAATTGGAAATTGCAGATTAAAAAGGATATTGAAATTTTCCTTTCCTATGATTTTGAGGAAAACATTACCTAAATTATTGTATTTTAAAAATAATATTTGTAGAAAATAATAGGATTGTTTAGAGCTAAAGAATATCATTCATGTAGGTTAGAAATATGAGAAGAAATAAATATGTGTAGTTGATTGAGATGATAACTGAAAAAGTGTGATGTGCTGAGAAAGTTATCAAATAATATCCAAAAGATAGAAACACTGCAGAATTAGTTTCCATGGTACATAGGTATTGATGAATAATATTAAGTAAATGAAAATTGAAACACAGTGATACCAAGGTGAACTATTTTAGTTATAAAACTCTTATAAGAAAATGTTGGGTATTTGGCTTATGCCTTTAATCCCAGCACTTTGGGAGGCCAGGGCAGGAAAATTGCTTGAGGCCAGGAGTTTGAGACCAGACTGGCCAACATTGTAAAACCCTGTCTCTACTAAAAATACAAAAATCAGCTGGGTGTGGTGGCATGCACCTGTAGTCCCAGCTACTCTGGAGGCTGAGGCAGGGGAATTGCTTGAACCCAGGAGGCGGGGGTGGCAGGGAGCAGAGATCATGACGCTGTACTTCAGCCTGGGGAGAGGGAGAAATTCCATCTTAAAAAAAAAAGAAAGAAAAGAAAAGAAAAAAGAAAAAAAAAGGAAAATGTTGGGTAGTCTAACTTTTAATATATTTAAAATTAAACTAAAACCCAGCATATACTTGGAAGGAGTTTTATCTAGAAATGACAACTTCTAATTTCTCATTTCCTCTGATTGTGTGACCTTTTAATTTTTCTATATAAGTGTACTAATGATAGTAACTTTAGTGCTAAGCATCAGACAGTGTGCTACGCATTTTTACCAGGATTAGCTCACCAAATCCTCTCAACAACTCAAGAATATGACTCTTTTTATAAAATACTTTTATTTTAGGTTCAGGGGTACATGTGCATGTTTGTTATATAGGTAAACTGGTGACACGGGGGTGTGAAGTACTGATTATTTTATCACCCAGCTACTAAGCCTAGTACCTAATAGTTATTTTTTTTCTGCTCCTCTCTCTCCTCCCACCCTCCACCCTCTGGTAGGCCCCAGTGTGTGTTGTTCCCAAGAGGGTGACTCTTTTCATCCTCATTTTATAAAAGAACTTGAGGCTCTGATAAATTAAGTGACTTGACCAAGGTCAAATAGTGAATAAGCTGGGATTTGAACCCAGGCCTGCCAGTTTCCAAAGCCTGTGCACTTAGCCACAATGCTACATTGCCTCTCACAGTAACTAAGGGGTTTTTGATTTAATTCATAAAAATATTAGTATTATTTTAAGCAGTAAGCTTTACTGGTACATTTGAAATTATTCAATTTATTCAAATTTGGTTTAAGCCCAGCTTTTTAGAAATAAATTTGTTCGGTAAAGTGAGACATATCTGCATTGCTCCAATTTGTTCATACGGTCAGGGATATTAGAAAAGCCCCACCCCAATCATAAGCTATGCTGGTAATGACGTGGGATTCATGGACATAAAAAATGCTTCATGCACTTTTCCTGAAATATCTATAGGATGATCTTTCAGGACTAGAAAATGTGAGCATTCCCTCAGAGGAAAATCTGATAGTTGAGCCTAGAGAAAAATATTTAAAAGAGGATTAAACAGAGGATCTGAATGTGTTTTTCTTATCCTCTTCTAATATCATTTTTCAAACAATGATTTTTTTTTGGGAAAATGTATTGAAAGGAAAGATCTTCGGTTTCTTATGGTATACACCTTAGTAAGTCATTTAACCTTTCTGGTCCTGACTACTTCATAAAAGGTAGTATAGTGATTATAGGCTCAGGTTCCAAAACCTAACTGCTGAGCTTCTGATCTGGACCTGAGGCTATCTGCATCTGGGTCAGATGTAGATTTACCTTCTCTTCCAAAACAACTAGACAACTAGATAACATTGATGCCATTGGGCAGTTACAAAGACATCAGACCATGAAGGACAGGGATTTCTGAGAGATGGAAAACAAACAAGGTGAGTGCCACAATTGTCCCCCTTGCTGCTGGAAGTGAATTTCCAGGCTGAGGTGCAGGGAAGTGAACCCAGGCCTGGCAAGGCAGTCTGAGTTGAGAAGACAGAGCTGAGTCCAGAGAGACCAAGGCTTGAGTTTACAGGGTAGAGCACTGGAGAGAAGAGAGCTACGTCAAGCAACAACCCTGGAGATCTATAGAGGGTCCTCCTGAGTCTTTAGCTGAGTACTGATCAGCACATCCATGGGAGGTAATTATGCAAGAATGGGGAAAGAATTACCTGAAAGGATTAGAGGGACCATAATAGGAGCTCACACAGGGCTGGGACCAGTTCCTGTTCCTACCAGCCAGAAGAGAAAATCTCACAATTTATGGGGCATCAGGTACTATGTTGTGAGGTATTTTGCGTCAGTAGTGAGGAATAATTAGCCTTTGAATAACACTGGTCTTGTCCTGCCCAGAAAACCTTAAAAGCAAGACCTAAAAGAACCAAAATTTTCCCAAGTATCTTAATTATATTCCAGAATACAAGAAAATAATAGAAAAATATCTAATACCTAACAACTTAAAATTCACAATGTCTGGCTTCCAATAAAAAAAAAAATTTCCGAATCTAAAATTGACCATTTACCAGCTGTGTCTTGTGTAAGGGCTCAGACTCTCTAATGCTCTGTTTCCCTATCTTCAAATGAGGATGATAATAATACATTTTATAGAATTAGGAAGAGCTAATGACTGCACATATGTCAACTACTTAGCATACTACATGGCACATAGTAAGCAGTCAATAGACAATACTCATCGATTACTCTTTTTTTTTTTTTTTTCCTGAGGCAGAGTCTCGCTCTGTGGCCCAGGCTGGAGTGCAGTGGCATGATCTCCACTCACTGCAAGCTCCGCCTCCCGGGTTCACGCCATTCTTCTGCCTCAGCCTCCCGAGTAGCTGGGACTACAGACGCCCGCCACCACGCCTGGCTAATTTTTTTGCATTTTTAGTAGAGACGGGGTTTCACTGTGTTAGCCAGGATAATCTCGATCTCCTGACCTCGTGATCCACCCGCCTCTTTCTTCTAAAGTGTTGGGATTACAGGCGTGAGCCACCGTGTCTGGCCAGATTACTCTTATGGTTGTTATTTGTGAAGAACCACATTTCTTACACAAACCTTTGGGATAGTTGTTGAAGACTTTTCCACCTCTAACATCTACATATTCATGAAATACAGAAAAGCACTGGTCATTGTTTTTTGCTTGTTTGTTTTGAGACGGAGTCTTGCTCTGTCGCCAGACTGGAGTGCAGTAGCCCCATCTCGGCTCACTGCAACCCCCGCCTCCCAGGTTCAAGCGATTCCCCTGCCTCAGCCTCCCAAGTAGCTGGGACTACAGGCCTGCGCCACCACACCCGGCTAATTTTTTGTATTTTAGTAGAGATGGGGTTTCACCATGTTGGTCAGGATGGTCTCAATCTCCTGAACTCGTGATCCGCCCGCCTCGGCCTCCCAAAGTGTTGGGATTACAGGCGTGAGCCACTGTGCCCGGCTGAGCACTGGTCATTGCTGAGTAAAGACAATTCCTCTAAGACGCAACCACCACTTTGGTTTTTAGTAGCATCCCCACCACCCCCAACTTTATGCTAAAAAGTAGTTGGGAATGTACGGAGGGTAACAAGAATTTAAATACTCTACCTTGACAGATAAAAATCTGAGTTTCGTGAGTTGCAGACTTTTAGTCAGTGAAAAAAAAAAAGTAAAAAGAAAATGCAGCCATACAAATGTCATTATTTGAGAGCCTTTTCTAACAGGAAAGGGGAACACCAGGATTGACTCGAATCTTCTCTTGACTGCCACCATTTGCCAAATCCTTAGTCATGTCATAACTGCCTCCCAGGACCCCTTACTCACCTAGTATTATTTTTTGGCCTCCTGTCCATTTTCTTCTGTTACCACTCAGTCCATTTGGCCTGCTATATTATTCTAATCCCACCAGGGCCACAGGGACCAAGAATGCAGGGGTACATGATGAAGCTCATGCCATATCAGCCAATGATCCCATCTCTGGCTCTGAATGCTGTTATTTTGAACATGTGTGGTTTGAACAAGTGGTCAGCTCTATTGTCTTCTTAATGCAAGTTCATATTTAGCAAAACAGAATAGAATCTGTTATATTGAATTTGATGTTACAGAGCCTAACATAAAAAGGTAAACTAATTGAAGTTACTTTAGATGTATTTATTTTTGTTTCTCTTCATTTTAGTGTATGACTCTTATTTCTGGCATTACACAGATTTTTGATGCTTTCTTTTTAAATATATATTTAAGGGTTCTACCCCACTATTTCCTTTCATGACCTTTCTTTCCTTGGTTACTCTATTCTTCATTTTATTTTATTTGCTTTTTAGATGCTTGCACACTGCACCTCCAAAGGTTGTTAGCATTTGTCAGCTCTCAGAATGACAGTTTTATTCACTATAGGAGACAAGTCATTTTCTTCCTGAAGAAAGGGGAAGCTAATCTCCTCCCACAGTAACATGTTTTGAGAAATATAATACAGTGGGAAAATGTACCAATTATTTTGCTGCAAATTGTCTCCCTTCTGTTAGATAGACAATCATATCAACATTTTCGAACACTTTTTTTTGTTGTTGCAGTTTTATAACACAACTTGCCTCCCGCAAAGTTAAACTTGATGTTGTAAAAAAAAAATGAGTGAATGTTCCATAAACTGTATGAGTGATAATATATTGCTATGTGGTTCTGGGCAGCTATCATTTGAGATTTCATTCCTGTTGATAGCTTCCACCCAAGCCCTTTAGCAAGAACATTTGTTTTCCATCATTCAGGGGCAGGAGCCAGGAAAATGGCTGAATCACTTACTTATTCTTCATGAATTCGGTAGGAGAAATTAGATACAGGGTGTTTACTATATATTCATTTTTCTCTGACCTCTTTGGAGGGCAGTGGGAAGTGCACAACTTCTTTTTTGAGTCCACATTTAAAATGGTTTGCCCATAACTTTAGATTTAGAATGACTCGAGTTCAAGTCCTGACTCCTGCATATGCTGGCTGAGTCACCTTGGGCAAGTTGCCTGACCTCTCCAAGGCTTACTTTGTGCATCTGTAAAATGGGAATCGTAATAGCATCTTCCCTAGAGGATGCCTGGGCCAATGCACTCAATGCAGTACCCAATATTCAGTGAAGAGAGGCATGTTGACCACTGTGATCATAACCATGGTCTTCGATACATATTTTAAGTTAAGTGACTTTAAAATAATTATAACCTCTTTTAACATAAAATTAGCAGTGTGCAAAATCCATTTTTTTCTCAATAGAGTAGATCTATACTGTAAACATGCTTAGCATATGTGAAAGTGGCTATACAGTTCCTAATACATAGAAGGTGTCTGGTCCATATTATTTCCCTCTGTCTTAGTCCATTTGGCCTGCTATAACAAAATACCATAGACTGAGTGGGTTATAGACAACAAAAACTTATTTCTCACAGTGTGGAGGCTGGGTAGTCCAAGATCAGTAGATGATTTTGGTGCCAGTAGATTCAGGGTCTGGTGCCAGTAGATTCAATGTCTGGTGAGAACTCCTATTCTGGAAGAAGGGTTGAAGGAGCTCTCCAGGGCCTCTTTCATAAGGGCACTAATCCCATTTATGAGGACAATGCCCTCATGACCCAGTCATTTACCAAAGGCCCCACCTTCTACTAACATCATATTAGGGGATAGAATTTCAACATATGAATTTTGGGGAGACACAAGCCTTCAGTCTATACCACCTACTGTATCTGAAGGTAGGTGAATCTAAATTGATAAAAATTCTAACTTTTTAAAAACAAATGTAGAGGCAATACAATGGATAAAAGATAGTTTTTTCAAGAATGGTGCTGGAAAAACTGAACATCCACAAGCAAAAAGAAAATAAAAGGAATCTAGACACAGACCACCTTATTCTTTTCAGAAAAATTAACTCACAGTGGATCACAGACCTAAATGTAAAATGCAAAACTATGAAACTCCTAGAAGATAACATAGGAGAAAATCTAGATAACTTTGAGTTCGATAATGACTTTTTAGGTATAACTTAAAGGCACAATCCATGAAAGAAATAGTTGATAAGCTGGACATCATTGAAATTAAAAGTTTCTCCTTTGTGAAAGACTTTGTCAAGAGAAAAAAAGATAAGCCATAGACTGGGAGAAAATATTTGCAAAAGGCATACCTGATAAAGGACTGTTATTCAAAATATACAAAAAACTCTTAAAACTGAACAATAAGAAAACAAACAACCCAATTTAAAAATGAGCCAAAGACCTTAGCAAATACCTCACTAAAGAAGATATACAGGTGACAAATAAGCATATGAAAAGATGACCCATAACATTTGTCATCAGGGAAATGCAAATGAAAACAGTATGAGAAGCCACTACACACTCATTATAATGGCACAAATTCAGAACACTGACAATGTCAAATGCTGGTGAGGATGTGGAGCCACAGGAACTCTCATTCATTGATACCGGGAATTTATTTTATTTTATTTTTTATTTCTATAGGTTACTGGGGAACAGGTGGTGTTTGGTTGCATGAGTAAGTTCTTTAGTAGTGATTTGTGAGATTTTGGTACACCCATCACTGGAGCAGTAACACAGCTATTTGTGTCTTTTATCTCTCACCCACTTCTGACCTTTTCCCCCTGAATCCCCAAAGTCCATTGTGTCATTCTTATGCCTTTGCATCCTCATAACTTAGCTCCCACTTATGAGTGAGAACATACAACGTATGATTTTCCACTCCTGAGTTATTTCACTTAGAATAATAGTCTCCAATCTCAATCTCATCCAGGTCGCTGCAAATGCCATTAATTCATTCCTTTTTATGGCTGAGTAGTATTCCATCATATATATACCACAGTTTGTTTATCTACTCGTTGATTGATGGGGATTTGGGTTGGCTCTACGTTTTTGCAGTTGTGAATTTTTCTGTTATAAACATGCATGTGCAGGTATCTTTTTTGTATAATGTCTTCTTTTCCTCTGGGTAGATACCCAGAGGTGTTATTGCTGGATCAAATGGTAGTTCTACTTTTAGTTCTTTAAGGAATTTCCACACTGTTTTCCATAGTGGTTGTACTAGTTTACATTCCCACCAGCAGTGTAGAAGTGTTCCCTGTTCACCACATCCACACCAACATCTACTATTTTTTAATTTTTTTGATTATGGCCATTCTTGCAGGAATAAGGTGGTATTGCATTTTGGTTTTGATTTGCATTTCCCTGATCATTAGTGACATTGAGCATTTTTTGCGTGTTTGTTGGCCATTTGTATATCTTCTTTTTAAAATTGTCTATTCATATCCTTAGCCCACTTTTTGATGGGATTGTTTGTTTTCATCTTGTTGATTTGTTTGAGTCCATTGCAGATTCCAGATATTAGTCTTTTGTCAGAGGTACAAATTGTGAAGATTTTCTCCCACACTGTGTGTTGTCTGTTTACTCTGCTGACTGTTCCTTTTGCCATGCAAAAACTTTAGCTTAATTAAGTCCCAGCTATTTATCTTTGTTTTTATTTCATTTGCTTTTGGGTTCTTGGTCATGAAATCTTTGCCTAAGCCAATGTCTGGAAGGGTTTTATCTGATGTTATCTTCTAGAATTTTTATAATTTCAGGTCTTAGATTTAAGTCTGTAATCCATCTTGAGTTGATTTTTGTATAAGGTGAGAGATGAGGCTCCAGTTTCATTCTACATGTGGCTAGTCAATTATCCCAGCACCATTCGCTGAAAAGGGTGTTCTTTCCCCACTTTATATTTTTGTTTGCTTTGTCAAAGATCAGTTGGCTGTAAGTATTTGGGTTTATTTCTGGGTCCTCTATTCTGTTCCGTTGGTCTATGTGCCTATTTTTATACCAGTACCATGCTGTTTTGGTGACTGCGGCCTTATAGTATAGTTTGAAATCAGGTAATGTGATGCCTCCAGATTTGTTATTTTTGCTTAGTCTTGCTTTGGCTATGCAGGTTCTTTTTTGGTTTCATATGAATTTTAGAATTTTTTTTTTCTAATTCTGTGAAGAATGATGGTGGTATTTCAATGGGAATTGCATTAAATTTGTAGATTGCTTTTGGCAGTATGATCATTTTCACAATATTGATTTTACCCATCCATGAGCATGGGATGTGTTTCCATTTGTTTATGGCATCTATGATTTCTTTTAGCAGTGTTTTGTAGTTTCCCTTGCAGAGTCTTTCACCTCCTTGGTTAGGTGTATTCCTAAGTATTTTATTTTTGCATCTATTATAAAAGAGGTTGAGTTCTTGATTTGATTCTCAGCTTGGTCACTATTGGTGTATAAAAGAGCTACTGATTTGTGTACATTAATTTTGTATCTGGAAACTTTGCTGAATTCTTTTATCAGTTCTAGGAGCTTTCTGGAGGAGCCTTTATGGTTTTCCAGGTAAACAGTTGTATCATCAGCAAACAGCGACAGTTAGACTTCCTCTTTATCAATTTGGATGCCCTTCATTTCTTTCTCTTGTCTGATTGCTCTGGCTAGGACTTCCAGTATTATGTTGAAGAGCAGTGGTGAGAGTGGGCATCCTTGTCTTGTTTCAGTTCTCAGTGGAAATGCTTTCAACTTTTCCCCATTCAGTATTATGTTGGCTGTGGGTTTGTCATAGATGGATTTTATTATATTGAGATATGTCCTTTGTATGCTGATTTTGCTGAGAGTTTTAATCATAAAGGGATGCCGGATTTTGTTGAAAGCTTTTTCTGCATCTATTGAGATGATCATGTGATTCTTGTTTTTAATTCTCTTTTTGCAGTATATCACATTTATTGACTTGCGTATGTTAAACCTGGTATGAATTCTGCATTCCTCTTAGCACATCATACCAGGAAACCTGCATTCCTGGTATGAAATCTGCTTAATCATGGTGGATTATCTTTTTGATATGTTGGATTTGGTTAGCTAGTATTTTGTTAAGGATTTTTGCATCTATGTTCATAAGGGATATTGATCTGTAGTTTTCTTTTTCAGTTATGTCCTTTTCTGGTTTTGGTATTAGGGTGATTCTGGCTTCATAGAATGATTTAGGGAGGATTCCCTCTTTATCTATCTTGTGGAATAGTGTTAATAGGATTGGTACCGATTCTTCTTTGAATGTCTGGTAGAATTCTGCTGTGAATCTGTCTGGTCCTGAACTTTTTTTTTTGGTAATTTTTTTTTATTATCATTTCAATCTCACTGCTGGTTATTGGTCTGTTCAGGGTATCTAATTCTTCCTGATTTAATCTGGGAGGGTTTTATCTTTCCAGGAATTTATCCATCTTTTCTAGGTTTTCTAGTTAATGCATGTAAAGGTGTTCATAGTAGCCTTGAATGACCTTTTGTATTTCTGTGGTGTCAGTTGTAACATCTCCCATTTCATTTCTTATTGAGCTTATTTGGATTTTCTCTCTTCTTTTCTTGGTTAATCTTGCTAATGGTCTATCAATTTTATTTATCTTTTCAAAGAACCAGGTTTTTGTTTCATTTATCTTTTGTATTTTTTTGGTTTCAATTTCATTTAGTTCTGCTCTGATCTTGGTTATTTCCTTTCTTCTGCTGGGTTTGGGTTTGGTTTGTTCTTGTTTCTCTAGTTCCTTAAGGTGTGACCTTAGATTGTCTGTTTTTGCTCTCTCAGACTCTTTGATGTAGGCATTTAGGGCTATGGACTCTCCTCTTAGCACTGCCTGTGCTGTGTCCCAGAGGTTTTGATAGGTTTTGTCACTATTGTCATATAGTTCAAAGAATTTTTTAATTTCTATCTTGATTTCATTTTTGACCCAATGATCATTCAGGAGCAGGTTATTTAATTTCCATGTATTTGCATGGTTCTGAAGGTTCCTTTTGGAGTTTATTTCCAGTTTTATTCCACTGTGGTCTGAGAAAGTGCTTGATATAACTTCAATTTTCTTAAATTTATTAAGGCTCGTTTTGTGGCCTATCATATAGTCTATCTTGGATAAGGTTCCATGTGCTGTTGAATAGAATGTATATTCTGCAGTTGTTGGATGGAATGTTCTGTATATATCTGTAAAGCCCATTTGTTCCAGGGTATAGTTTAAATTAATTGCTTCTTCGTTGACTGTCTTGATGAACTGTCTAGTGCTGTCAGTGGAGTATTGAAGTCCCCCACTATTATTGCGTTGCTGTCTATCTCATTTCTTAGGTTTATTAATAATCATTTTATAAATTCAGGAGCTCCAGTGTTAGGTGCATATATATTTAGGATTGTGATATTTTCCTGTTGGACAAGACCTTTTATCATTATATAATGTCCCTTTTTCTTTTTTAACTGCTGTTGCTTTAAAGTTTGTTTTGTCTGAATAGGAATAGCTATTTCTGCTCACTTTTCATGTCCATTTGTCCAAAATGTCTTTTTTCCACCCCTTTACCTTAAGTTTGTGTGAGTCTTTATGTGTTAGGTGAGTCTCTTGAAGGCAGCAGATAGTTGGTTGGTGAATTCTTACCCATTCTGCAATTATGTATCTTTTAAGTGGAGCATTTAGGCCATTTATATTCAATGTTAGTATTGAGACGTGAGGTACCATTCCATTCATCATGCTATTTGTTGCCTATATACCTTGGTTTTTTGTTTTTGTTTTTTAATTGTATTTTTGTTTTATTGTATTTTTGTTAAATCCTGTGAGATTTATGCTTTAAAGAGGTTCTGTTTTGATGTGTTTCCAGGATTTGTTTCAAGATTTAGAGCTCCTTTTAGCAGTTTTGGTAGTTGTGCCTTGGTAGTGATGAATTCTCTCAGCATTTGTTTGTCTGAAGAAGACTGTATCTTTCCTTCATATGTGAAACTTATTTTCGCTGGATATAAACTTCTTGGCTGGTAATTGGTTTGTTTGAGGAGGCTGAAGATAGGGCTCCAAGCCCTTCTAGCTTGGAGGGTTTCTGCTGAGAAAGCTGCTGTTAATCTGACAGGTTTTCCCTTATAGGTTACTTGGTGCTTTTGTCTCACAGATCTTAAGATTCTTTCCTTTGTCTTAACTTTAGATAACCTGATGACAGTGTGCCTAGGCTATGATTTTTTTGCGATGAATTTCCCAGGTGTTCTTTGTGCTTCTTGCATTTGGATGTCTAGGTCTGTTGCAAGGCTGAGGAAGTTTTCCTCAATTATTCCCCCAGATACGTTTTCCAAACTTTTAGATTTCTCTTCTTCCTCAGGAACGTCAATTATTCTTAGGTTTGATTGTTTAACATAATCCCAGACTTCTTCGAGGTTTTGTTCATATTTTCTTACTCTTTATTCTTTGTTTTTGTTGGATTCGGTTAATTTGAAGACCTGTCTTCAAGCTCTGAATGTCTTTATTCTACTTGTTCAGTTCTATTGCAGACTTTCCAGAGAATTTTGCATTTCTATAAGTGTGTCCATTGTTTCCTGAAGTTTTTATTGTTTTTTATTTATGCTATCTATTTCCTTGAATATTTCTCCCTTCACTTCTTGTATCATTGTTTTTTCTGTTTGTTTGTTTTTGGTTTTTTTTTTTTGGATTTCCTTACATTGGGCTTCACCTTTCTCTGGTTCCTCCCTGATGAGCTTAATAACTAACCTCCTAAATTCTTTTTCAGGTAGGTTAGGGATTTCTTCTTGGTTCGAATCAATTGCTGGTGAGCTAGTGTGATTTTTTTTGGAGGTATTAAAGAATCTTGTTTTGTCATATTACCAGAGTTGGTTTTCTGGTTACTTCTCATTTTGGTAGACTTTGTCAGAGGGAAAGTCTAGGGTTGAAGGCTGTTGTTCAGATTCTTTTGTCCCACAGGCTGTTCCCTTGATGTAGTACTCTCCCTTTTCTCTATAGATGTGGCTTTCTGAGAGCTGAGGGGTAGTGATTTTTATCTCTCTTCTGGGTCTAGCCACCCAGCAAGTCTACCGGGCTCTGGGCTGGTACTGGGAGCTGTCTGCACAGAGACCTGTGATGTTAATCCTCTGTGGGTCTCTCAGCCGTGGATACCAGCACAGTATTTGGGGTGTATTCTGGGTCCTACAGGGGCAATCTGCTTCCTTCAGGAGGTCTGTGGGTCCTTTCTGGTGCAGTCATTTTGGAAGACAGTTTGGAAGTTTCTTACAAAACTAATCATACTCTTATCATATTATCCAGCAATCACACTCCTTAGTATCTGCCCAAAGGAATTGAAAACTTATGTTCATACAATAACCTGCACATGCATGTTTATAGTAGCTTTATTCATAATTACTCAAATTTGGAAGCAATCAGATGTTCTTGAGTAGGTGAATGAATAAATAAACTGTGGTGCATCCAGACAATGGAATATTATTCAGTGTTAAAAAGAAATGACTTATTAAGTCATGAAAAAACATGGAGGAAACCTAAATGCATGTTACTAAGTGAAAGAAACCAATCTGAAAAGGCTACATACAGTTTGATTTCAAGTATATGACACCCTGGAAAATGCAAAACTAGAGACAATAAAAAAGATCATTGGTAGCCAGGAATTGATAGAGGAGGCAGGGACGAATAGGCAATGCATAGAGGATTTTTTTAAGACACTGAAAATACTTTATATGATGTTATAATGATGGATATATGTCACTATGTAGTTGTCCAAACCCACAGAATATGCAACACCAAAAGTGAATCCTAATGTAAACTATACACTTTGGGTGAAATGAGGTGTCAATGTGGGTCCATCAATTGTAACAAAAGTACCACTGTGTGGGGGATGTTGATCATGGGGGAAGCTATACTTGTGAAGGAGCAGGAAATGTAAGGGAAATCTCTGTACCTTCTGCTCAGTTTTATTGTAAAGTTAAAACTGCTCTAAAAAGTTAGTCTATTGACAAGTGTAAAAACTCAGATTAATAATTCAACCTGATCACTGAAAAGTATTTAACCCGCAGGGCCTACTTCAATGATTTGATAACATCTTAAAACTTTCTAGAGATTGAAGATACTTTGTAATTTATCTAATTCAATCATTGAGTTTTATAATTGAGGTAACTAAGATCTAAAGAGTTTCCTTTTTTTCAAGATTGTATGATACAAGCTTTTGTTCACAGAGTCAGGATGTGTTCAGATTTCTTCCAGCCTAATTGAGCACTTTTTCTATGATATCTTTCTGTCTCTTATTGGCTCTTTTGAAATTTTAGCACAATTTTATGCAAACAATGTATATATATATCTTGGGGTCTCAATGTATATATTCAGGGGCCTCATAATAAGTTACCCATCCTCACTGCACTACTACTTAGAATATTAATTTGCTTTAAAATTCCTTGCTCAGTAAAGTTCCAAACAGTTACAAATTTGGAATTAGTGTTATCCAAATGACTATTACTGTATTTTAATAGTGCCTGTAATTTCATTGTGCTTTATAAGATTTTTAACAGGATACATTTTGTTTACATACCTGTGCATTTTCCCATCTTGAAAAGATAAAAATTAAGCTTTTTAAAGCTAATAACTCAAGGAGAAACCCAACCAGGTTTTAATTTGACAACGTTAGTCACGTGCATGCCAGAATCACAGCTTGCATTTTCCCCCTTACTATGCAATTATCTGTAAATACTGTATGTGCTTGGCTAAAATGCTAGGAAGTCTACAATTACATTAATGTAGCTCCTTAATTGCATATAATGAGATTTTCAGGCTACTGCAACCTATCACATTTATCATATTCTTAATAAAATTATTCAGTTTTTGTCTAAGGCCTTTTTATTTACTCTTCATTTAATTTAGAGGAACTCTAAAAAATAATTCAATTCTTGAGAAATTAAATCATTTTGGATGAAGGAGGAAAATATGAAATCCAGGTTAAGAACTGAATCTACTTATGAAGCAGTTACCAAAAACTCCAAGTCTCAATGATGAAACATTTTGTGCCCCAGGTGGCAAACATTAACAAGTGAGTCATGCTAGGGCTCTTTGCTTGTAAGATTCCCAGCTGTCCTTTGGGGCAAAATATGAATGTTTGTAACCCCTTTGATGTCTAAAACAGGTATCCCTTGGTATATAAAGTAGATATGTTATCCTCCAAAAGTTAGTTACCTTTAAGGCAAATATCTTCTCATTAGTCCCATTTGCACTGATGGCCATTAAGAAATCCAACTCATATTTCAGGACCAAAGAATCTCAAGCATATATATATATATATATATATATATATATATATATATATATATATATGTATGTGTATATATATGTATTTATATTTTCAAATATATATATTTCAAATATATATATTTATATTTTCAAATATATATATATTTCAAAATATATGCTCATCACACCTGTTACTTGCTCAAAAATATATTGAAATATATATATTTGAAATCATAATAAAGACAATTGTTTATAAGAAAAGGTTAATAGTATTCAAAAATCATGGGAAAGTACACATGCTGATCCCAAAAATACCAAACTCTGTTTAATCCCGCATTGAAGAGAGAGAGTCAAGCCCTAAGGAATGAGCAAGTGAGGGCTATAGGGCCCAGGCAGAATTCATTATGGGTGCCCAGATCCATGAAGGGCAGGCTCCAAAGTGACTAGTTAGGTATTGACTTGCTTGCTCTCTCCAGTTCGCACTCATCCTCTCTCTTTACGTCGCTCTAGCCTCATCACATCTGTTACTTGCTCAAAGCTTTCATTCTGGTGTCTCTAACTCCAGCATTGAATCCCTCTCTCCACCTTTTTTTTTTTTTTTTTTTTTTTGAGATGGAGTCTCACTGTGTCACCCAGGCTGGAGTGCAATGTCACGATCTTGGCTCACTGTAACCTCCGTCTCCTCCACTCAAGGAATCCACCCACCTCAGCCTTCTGAGTAGCTGGGACCACAGGCACATGCCACCACACTCAGCTAATTTTTTTGTATGTTTTTGTAGGGATGGGGTTTCACCATGTTGCCCAGGCTGATCTCAAACATCTGAGCTCAAGTCATCTGATCACCTTGGCTTCTCAAAGTCCTCTCTCCTTATAGTTGGGCAGAAGACCTTGGATGCATGTGTGGGAGCAGCCAAACTGTTTCTTCTTCCAGCTTCTGGAGAACCTTGGCACAGAAATGAATGTGTAGGCCCAGACATGCTGCTTTTGTCTTTCGGTCTCACCACCCCTCTCAGAATCTTCTCTCCAGGTTGATGGTAGCCTCTGGTTGCTCCATGGGCTCAGTGAAAACTTCCTCTGGACTGTGGTCCCTAGGTCCTGAGAGTATGAATTCTGTCTCGGACCACATAGTTCCTAGAGAAGTAGTGCCTTCCTCCAGTAATGCCAAGTTCCCCAGAGAACCTCTGGCCATTGATGTTATGGTCTAAGGGACACTGGAAGAAGTGGGGGTGGGAAGGAGAGAGATAACATGTGTTGAGAGGAGGAGAACAGATAATGACATAGAGGCATTTGAAGACAGGAAGTCCCTAGGGCAAGGTCTGATTCGCTCAAGTGCATTGGTGACCATCAGAGACAGTACAGCACAGCGGTTGCAAGCCCAGGCAATGGAACTAGGATTCAAATCCCAGTACCATTTCTCGGGTGTGTGACCTTTGGCAAGTTATTTGTTCCTCTGTGCCTAATTTTCATCATCTGAAAAATGGAGGTAACTGCCCTTATAGGGTTATGGTGAGGCATTTTTAAGAAGCAGAAAGTAAATGTTAAGGCATGTATGCTATTACCAGTAGCCCCAGGGTCAAGTGCATGCTCAGTTCACTCTTCTTATGAAGTGCCTTGCACTAGTTTGGGGGTCAAAATATTGTCTATCTTTGGGTAAAGTTATTACACTTGGATTTTTAGGGAGTGTAGGTAGCATCTATTTGTTTCCTGTTCTATACATACTGTTACTGTAAAATGCTGCTTCTCAGGTTGCCGTCTCATGAAATATTTGTCCTATATGCAATACATATTTAACATATATTGGGGGGGAGGGTCCCACACACTGGAAGCCTTAAATTGTAGCATCTCTAATAACAAAAGGCTTTAAGGCATTTTCCTTTAGAACAACATGTGCATATTTTCTATGAACCAAATGCTTTCCTTCATGATTTTCTTTTCTGGTAATATCTGTCTCCTCCACAACCATCTCCCAAGTCCTTAATCCTAAGTACTAAATACCATATTTAATAGTGTTCCATGAAGGTTGAGCATCCTTGGTTTTATATTTATTCTACTGAGAACTATCATTTAGGTCTTATTGGTGAACATAAGGATGACGAAGTAGACTTTAGGAGAAATTCTTACTTTCTACTTCCTCTTCCTCTGTGCCTTTTGCAAGGAGTTTTCTTGTTGGTTAGATATATTTTTTAAAAATACCATAGCTTAGAATAATCTTTTTGTTTGCTATTTTGCACAGTTTTGGAAATGTTGAAATTGGGTGTGATGTGTGGAGGACTAGCTCTCTGGGGCTGCCTGGAGAGTGTGAGAATGTTTAGGGGCACTGCATTATTTGCTAGCCTGCTTGCCTACTTGACCTGATGCGTTGGCATCTGGGAGAAATGAATCTCAGGAGAGAATTTATTTGGGTCACCATAGCAACAGGAGAGGGTGTGCGGCGATCGGTCTGGAAGCCTATAAAGAATGCACACAAGTCAGTATGACAACTGCAATACCTACACTTAAGCTCTCTGAGTTGAAATGTTTCAGGGAAAGTCTAATATTTAACTTTTCCAGTGGCATTCAAACTTTTCTTTGGCCATTGGTGGTTAATGTGGCATGACTCAAACTTTGATGTCTGATATCTTTTTAAGAAGTTCAATTCCTACAGGAATTCAGTGACTTACATTTTGAGTCATAATACTCCTGTGGCAGTCTAGTAGGAATAAACTTTTTTTTCTAATTATCTTGTTCTGTCTTTTTGGCTTCTGACTAATAAAAAAAATGTTCTTTTACCGATGTGTACTAACACTGGGTGTCCTTCTTTATCATTCCATTACTGAGCTGAACATTTTAAATGCCATTTAGAAGTACATTATATTGAGCTGCTCACAAAGAAATGTCTTTCATGTTGGGATTCAATATGGGAATTTAATTCAGCCCTGTACTGAGATACTGGAAAGATTAACAGATTATGGAATGAGAATGGAAATTTAAATGACAGATCAAAGAGAGTTGAGTAGGCTGTCATCTTCTCTTCCTCAACTAAGAGACAGATGAGTGAAATAAAGCACACGTATTTGAAAAAGGACAGATATAAAAGTACATTACACACTTTTGTTTGAAGTCTCCACACTAGAACCTGTGTGTTGGAATCTGTAAATGTGTGGCAATATGGAAAATATGGAGGTACAAGCCGACTGTCCTCTTCCCACCCATGATATGTTCTTACTCTGTCCCAGACCCAATCTTTTTCTTGCTCTTTTTCCTGCTTCAAATTCTGTAGTTCTCATGTGGAGCCTACTCTTAGTTCCTTCTAGGCATTGAGTAGGGTGGCCAACTGTCCCATTTTGCCTGGGACTATCACATTTTTAGCACTGAAGGTCTTGTGCAACTCCTCAGTCCCAGGCAAACCAGACAGGTTGGTTCCCCTCATACTAAGTGTTCTTTGCACATTCCTCCTTGCTTTCCATGTTCTATTTCCCATCACCACTCTGTTCTCTGCCACTTATGATTTGCAAGTGGTCCAGACATGCACTGTACTATATCTTAGCCACTAGCTACATGTGGCTATTTAAATTTAAAATAATTGAAATTAAATAACATTTAAAATGCAGTTCCTCAGTCTCTCTAGCCAAGTGCTCAATAGCCTCATGTGGCTAGTGGCTACACTATTGGGCAGTGCAATACAGAGGATTTCTTAGAACATTCTAGTGGACAGTGCTGGTCTATGTAATAGCTCCTGAGAGAAGGGGTTGGGCAGTGGCAGGAACACACAGGCAAAGTTTCCCTGTAATTTATGACTTAGATATAATGTTAGCTGGAAATGTGAAATGCCAAAGAACCAAGTCATCTTTAGGTTCCATTTTCTTTGAATTTCTCCTTATACTCGTTATGGAACATGCAATAAGGCTATCTGTCACCTTTATTGAGCCATTTGTCAAACAGGTATTGAACACTTGTGCTGGGGATATTATGACGTATTATGGTGTCTGCCTTCTAGTAACTTATAGTCTAAAATGGGAAGAAGAGGAGTTGTAATAGTTATCACATAATTAGACTCTTCACAATGTACATAGGAGGGGTTGATTAGCAATTGAGCTTGGTGGTCAGAGAGAGCTTTGTAGAGGGGATAATGATGATGCAAGGAATTGAAGAAGCAGAGAGAGGCAGTGCAATGCATAGGCAAGGGCGTAGACCCTGGGGCTGAACTGCCTAGGTTTGAATCTAGCTTCCTCCCTCCAGCCACCAATGTACTGAATGTGTGACATTGGCCAAGTTTCCTAATTGTTCTGTGCCTAGATTTCCTCATCTATAAAAGGAAGAGAATAATACTACCTGTCTCCCAGGGCTGTGATCATTAAATGAGTTAATGCTCATAAAGCTCATCGAATAAGACCTGGCACATGCTCAACAAAAGCCAAAATTGACAAATGGGATCTAATTAAACTAAAGAGCTTCTGCACAGCAAAAGAAACTACCATCAGAGTGAACAGGCAACCTACAAAATGGGAGAAAATTTTTGCAACCTACTCATCTGACAAAGGGCTCATATCCAGAATCTACAATGAACTCAAACAAATTTACAAGAAAAAAACAAACAACCCCATCAAAAAGTGGGCGAAGGACATGAACAGACACTTCTGAAAAGAAGACATTTATGCAGCCAAAAAACACATGAAAAAATGCTCACCATCACTGGCCATCAGAGAAATGCAAATCAAAACCACAATGAGATACCATCTCACACCAGTTAGAATGGCAATCATTAAGAAGTCAGGAAACAACAGGTACTGGAGAGGATGTGGAGAAATAGGAACACTTTTACACTGTTGGTGGGACTGTAAAGTAGTTCAACCATTGTGGAAGTCAGTGTGGCCATTCCTCAGGGAACTAGAACTAGAAATACCATTTGACCCAGCCATCCCATTACTGGGTATACACCCAAAGTACTATAAATCATGCTGCTATAAAGACACATGCACACGTATGTTTATTGCGGCACTCTTCACAATAGCAAAGACTTGGAACCAACCCAAATGTCCAACAATCATAGACTGGATTAAGAAAATGTGGCACATATACACCATGGAATACTATGCAGCCATAAAAAATGATGAGTTCATGTCCTTTGTAGGGACATGGATGAAATTGGAAATCATCATTCTCAGCAAACTATCGCAAGGACAAAAAACCAAACACCGCATATTCTCACTCATAGGTGGGAATTGAACAATGAGAACACATGGACACAGGAAGGGGAACATCACACTCTGGGGACTGTTGTGGGGTGGGGGGAGGGGGAGGGATAGAATTAGGAGATATACCTAATGCTAAATGATGAGTTAATGGGTGCAGCACACCAGCATGGCACAGTATACGTATGTAACTAACCTGCACATTGTGCACATGTACCCTAAAACTTAAAGTATAAAAAAAAATAAAAGACCTGGCACATGCTAAGAACTATGTAACTATTTGTGAACTACAGTACCAAGAAGGAAGGGTACATGAGACACAGAATGTGGAAAGCATAGAGATTACAGTGGCATAGTAGGATTAGTGAACCACAGGTTTTCTGGAACTGTAGGAGTTAAAATGGTGGTAGAAGGTGGTGATGCTAGGGGTGTATGGTGAGTGGGGAGTTGAGAAGGAAGAAGTGTCTGAAAGTAAGAGAGATTGAGGGGAAAGTTGAGGTACTTATGGGTGGTGCCTACCAAAGAGTGGAGACATTGTTCTGCAAGTGATGGAAAGTTGTTGAAGTTTTTTAAACAGAGGAAGGAGGAGACTAGACATGCAGTTTGCAAAGGTCCCAACCCAGTGGCTGGGAGGATGCATTTGAGATTGACAGCATCTGAAATATGAGGAGACCTATAAGGAGATAATGAATTCAAGAGATTTTAAGAGGTTTAAAAAGAAAAGGAGAATTTGGTGGCTAGTTAGGTGTGGGAAATGAGTGAAAGGAAGAAGTCCCGTGTGATAATCAACATATTAGTTAACCCAATGTACTTGAAAAAAATATACAGAGTTAAATTTGGGGGCTAATTTCAGACAGTTTTCCCTGCCTCTAGATGTCACAAAAGATATGCCATTATTCTTGATGGCTAATCTGTTGTAAACTCAGATGGAGCTTTAATTTTTTAAAAATAGAATGTTCCTATGATATGGAGAAAGAACAAGGGAAAATTTGAGAGTGGAATATGGTAGAAAGTTTAACATCATTCTGTTATTCTAAGTTATTGCTTTGTCTCTGGAAAAGTAATAAAAGCTTATTTCCTTTATAACTTCATCTGTGTACCCAAGGCTGTCACATTAACCCCACATTAGTATTAGATTTTAATAACGGACAACATGGCAGGAAGAAAGTTGTTTGCTAAATCTAGAGAGTAGGCCATATAATTTAGTTTTTGGAGGGTTTCAAATATTGTTTTTATTTTTTCATTGTCTTGAAAATGATATTTGACTTTGTCAAATAACTGCAACAAAAAACAAAGGCTGTGTTCAAATAGTACTTGGAAGATGTTGCTAAACAACATAAGCAGAGATCTTACCGGTTTCTTTACTGTTTTACTTTACAGGTTTACTTACTAGTAGCATTTTGTAGCCAAAATAGAGGTGGATTTCCTGATTAGAACAGAGTTCCTTGGGGTCATCTCTGGGTTGTCCAAGACATATCTAAGAGGATCGTCTTCTCTGGTGTGCTCTTTTCCTTTCTCACATCCTCCTTACTTAATGAGATTGGTGATTGCTTTATGTGACCTCTTGTAATGCTTGAGACTCCAATGACTAATGAGCTTTGGTCCTCAGCCCAGAGCTGTCTTCTGCCACTCATTCATTTGGATGGTGTCTTAGCATTCTTTTTCTTTTTTATTTATTTATTTTTTTGAGATGGAGTCTTGCTCTGTCTCCCAGGCTGGAGTGCAGTGGCACAATCTTGGCTCACTGCAAGCTTCAGCTCACTGCAAGCTCCGCATCCTGGGTTCACGCCATTCTCCTGCCTCAGCCTCCCAAGTAGCTGGGCCTACAGGCGCCTGCCACCACGCCCGGTTAAATTTTTTGTATTTTTAGTAGAGACAGGGTTTCACCGTGTTAGCCAGGATGGTCTCGATCTCCTGACCTCATGATCCACCCGCCTCAGCCTCCCAAAGTGCTGGGATTACAGGCGTGAGCCACTGCGCCCAGCCTTAGCATTCTTCTTCTGAGAGCCTCTTCCCTTGCTGCTCCGTCTGTAGGGACCAGGTTTCCCTCCCTAGGCAATTCAAGCCCAGATATTTCCAAGGATAGAGGAACTCTCCTTTAATATCACCACTTCCCACCTCCCATCCCAGGATGTAAGTATGTCACTCCCAAGACCGTTAGTATTGTTTATTTCACGTTCATTTTGCTTCTTGGCTCTGGGAGAAGATTAGAAAAAAATGGAGAGGCATGGAGCTGCATGTTTGTAACTTCTACAAGACTTAGTGAAATGTGAGAGTGACCAGGTGCGGTGGCTCACGACTGTAATCCCAGCACTTTGGGAGGTCGAGGCAGCCAGATCACCTGAGGTCAGGAGTTTGAGCCTGGCCAACATGGTAAAACCCCATCTCTACTAAAAATACAAAAATTAGCCAGGCATGGTGGTGGGTGCCTGTAATCCCAGCTACTTGGGAGGCTGAGGCATAAGAATCACTTGAACCCAGGAGGTGGACATTGCAATGAGCAAAGATTGCACCACTGTAGTCCAGCCTGAGTGACAGAGTGAGACTCCATCTCAAATATATATATATATATTTATATATATAATAAAAGGGAAAAAAAAGAAATATGAGAGAGAGCCTCAAAATGTCAGGTGAAACAGAATTAAGCAACGGTCTGTGGGCTTCATTTGTCTATGCCATGCCTGCCTCCTGGTAGCAATAAGCAACGAGCACTTTCCCATGGCAGGCTCTTTGGACCTTCATTAGTACTGCAATATGATATTAACAGCTAATGTTTTGTGTTGCTTCCTGTGTGCCAGGCCCTGTGCTAAGTACTTTACATTCATTATTTCTTTTAGTCTTTAATATAACCTAAGGATGTATGTACAGTTATTACCTATACTTTACAGGTGAGCAAGCTGAAATTCAAAGAGGTTGAGGGATTTATACAAAGTCAGCCAGTAAAAAGTGGAGAAGCTGGGATTCCAATCAAGGGGGGCCTGGCTCTAGAAACCATGCTCTTAATAGCATCATGCAAGTATTACTTTCCCTGCCAGCCACCAGCTGTTCACATATATACCTTGCTTTGCTAGGAAGCACCACATCTAGTAATAAAGTCTGTAGAGCAGTCACTTAGTATGTAGGATTTTGGAGAAACCAGACTTTCTGTTCCATTAGACATGACGGACATCCAAATCCCACTATTCATGGTTCCCAAAATGCGCCTCAGAATCTTAGAAAAAACGACAACTCAGCACCTAAGTATTACACTTCCACAAGAGTAACTTTGTCTTTATAAGACATTGCGGTAGCAGTGGCTCAAACTCTATGAGGAGCAAGGCATCATTTTTATCATTCCCATTTTTGTAGACAGAAAAAGGAAACTGAGAAAGTTAAGTGACTTCCCTAAGGTTGAGCTGCAAGTCTTCAGAGGTGACAAAAAAGGTGTTGAGAAGATAAAGAAATCTCAACTTTTTTGCAAAGTCTCCTAAGTTTGTGGCTTATAGGATTCTCCTCGTGTCTTCAGGTTATATAAAGCCCCTGCAATGGTCTGAGATGACCTCTCCTTTTTCCCTGGGAGGGCTCATGCAGCGGCAGCAACAAGTTTTTGTGAGGGCCCAAGTTTGTCGATTCATTTAATGACTGTCTTTTGTTGTGTTCTTTCCACTCAGGAAGGGCTCTCCCTTTTTCTTCGGTGCTTATTCAGTCATACCTCCCGTTTGCTGCTGAGAAAGGCCACAGAGTATTTTTATTCTGGTCATCCTCTCATTACCCTTCTATAAAGCAGCCACAGGCACGGCGTAGGTAGCGTTTATAGTGGTTTTTAGTACAGTTGGCATTCCTTTCTGTTTTTCCAAAACACAGCTAAGAAAAATCTCCTGGTAGTCAGAGAGAATGGAAGCTGCTCACCCACAGGTCAAATCCTATTACAAAGAATGCTGCTACTGCTGACATCTCTGTATGATGAAAAGGATTTTCAGCCATAGCACCCATCTTTCAGAAAGCAACATGAGACCGATTTACGCCTTCCAGCTGCTGTTTCATCTCCGTCCTTTCATCTTAATCACTTCTGGAGCACTATGCCATCTTAGCATTCGAAATTCCCAGAGACCCCTTTCAGAATAGCTCTTATTTCTCCAAATTACACAGAGCTCCACAGAGCCCAGCCCCCTTTACCAAGACTGTTGAAGGCTCCCTGACTGTCAGATCCAAAGGCTGCTTCTCAGCCACTGCAATGCTTCTGGTGCTGCAACCTACACCTTTATCTTTAACTAGCAAACTCTCTGAGGACCCAACACAATGCCTGGTACATAATAGGAGCACAGCGAGATCACCCACTCTGACTTGGGCCTCTGAGGAATGGGCTGCCTATTATTTCTCTGACAACTCCTCTGTACCTCCCGTTTCCCACTTAAATACTTTGTGCAGCTTTAGCCTGAGTTTCTAAACTTTCCATCTCTATTTGCGTTCTCTCTGTCTCCTGATTAATCATCTACACCCTCTGGCTTACAATTTCATCTCTTTCAGCCTCTACAATTACATACTTACTCCAGCCCCTGTGATGTTCCTCATCCCTAATCCTCTCCACACACAGGAACACCCACAGACTAAATATTCTTGGATATTGCTTCCAACAAAGGACTTAAAAGTTTTCTTCCAAGCCAGGCACAGTTGCTCATGCCTGTAATCCCAGCACTTTGGGAGGATGAGGCGGGAGAGTCACTTGAGCCCAGGAGTTTGATAGATTGGTCAACATAGGGAGACCTGATCTTTACAGATAATTAAAAAAAAAAATTAGCCAGGTGTGGTGGCGCATGCCTGTGGTCCCATCTGCTAGGGAGGCTGAGGTGGGAGGATTGCTTCAGTTCAGGAGGTTGAAGCTGCAGTGAACTGTGATTGTGTCACTGTACCCCAGTCTGGGGGATAAAGCAAGACCCTGCTAAAAAAAAAAAAAATTCTTCTCTTTAGGCGGTGATTTGAAACTTTGTTCACGTGTTTTCCTCTTCTGTTTACAGAAACATATAATGGATTGACCAATTCCCAATGGCTTTGCCCTTCCAACCACTTATACTGAAGGTTGACAAATTTTTCTAGAAAGGGCTAGAAGGGCCAGATAGTAAATATTTTAGCCTGTATAGGTTTCATAGTCTCTGTAGATATGAAAGCAACTGGGCCAGGCACGGTGGCTCACGCCTGTAATCCCAGCACTTTGGGAGGTCAAGGCAGGTAGATCACCTGAGGTCAGGAGTTCAAGGCCATCCTGGCCAACATGGTGAAACCCCATCTCTACAAAAATACAAAAATTAGCCGGGCATGATGGCAGGTGCCTGTAATCCCAGCTACTCAGGAGGCTGAAGTGGGAGAATCTCTGGAACCCAGGAGGCGGAGGTTGCTGTGAGCAGAGATCGTGCCACTGCACTCCAGCCTAGGTGACAGAGCAAGACTCCATCTCAAACAAACAAACAAACAAAAAGAAGCAACTGATATGGTTTGGCTGTGTCCCCACCCAAATCTCATCTTGAATTTCCATGTGGTGTGGGAGGGATCTGGTGGGAGGTAATTGAATCATGGGAGAAAGTCTTTCCTGTGCTGTTCTTGTGATTGTGAATAAGTCTCACAAGATCTGATGGTTTTAAAAGGGGAATTTCCTGGCACAAGTTCTCTTCTCTTGTCTGTCGCCATGTTAGACGTACCTTTCACCTTCCATCATGATTGCGAACCCTCTCCAGCCACGTGGAACTGTAAGTCCGATTAAACCTCTTTATTTTGTAAATTGCCCAGTCTTGGGTATGTCTTTATCAGCAGTGTGAAAATGGACTAATACAGCAGCTATAGATAATATGCAAATTATGATTATGGCTATGTTCCAATAAAACTGTATTTACAAGAGAGTCCAGTGGGCAAGATTTTATTTGTGGGCCAAAGTTTGTCAATCCCGGATCTAGACTATTTATATAGCTTTAGTCTTTGAACCAGTAAAGTGAGAGTCCCAGTGTAATTTCTGTGATCAAATTCAGGTCAGATTGCTGTGTTCTGTCACAGCAATGGAGTACCTGAACTCTTCTGAAAGGTATGCCCAGATACTTTCAAACTTTTCTCTCACTCTAGCTGAAACTTGGGTTCCACTTTCTGCTGCTTTTCCAGGTCTCTATTGACTTAATCCTTTGCAGCTAGGAGAAACACTCCAAAATAGTAAGGGCTGTCTCTAGACAAGACCCTGCTACCAACTTTGCCTGCTGCTTATTGCTCCTACAAATTGGACACACAACTTCCTCTACCACTGCCCTCAAAGAACCAAAGGCTCCGTTCTATGCTTGCCAAAGAATCCTGTCTCTCTGCTCACTGCTTACATCCACCTTCCTAGTCTTGCATGGTTTGTCTGCTTGGCAGGACCTAGGCCACTTGCAGAACCAGCATTGCAAAGGAGTCTGAAAACTGTTGCTCTCTACCTTTTATAGTGCAGGATGGTGCAATGGGATAGCTGAGTGGGTGAATGGCCGTACCTGCCATGACCATTTATGGGCCACAACCTTAGGTGAATTGCTTTGAGTTTTCCTGTAGATAAAACGAGGACAAAAGGAAATTTCTCATAGTATTGGTAAGATGATGTTTGTAAAACATCTACCACATAATAGGTGCTCAATAAATAGCCATTATATCATTATGAACAGACACTAAGTTAACGAATGCATTTTAAAATATATAAACACACAATGACCATATTAAGAAAAAATTTCTTATGTTTAAAAGCATGCAGAAATAAGAAGCATGGAGCAAGCTTCTCATCTCAATAATTTTAGTGTTCTGACTTGCTGAAATTCTGTCTTTTGGTTAGTTCAAACTAATCCAAAAATAGTCTTAGCTCATGTGTATTTCCTGAATCCAGTGCTTCTAGTCTAACTCCAGACTCTAAGACATTACCATATCTTTTCATTCATAAAACATGTTTTCTGGTTATAAAATTTACACATGATCACTCCAGGAAAACTGGAAAATACAGAGAAGTATAAAGAAGAAGGTAAAAATCATAAGTAGTCTATCATGCTCATTCTTAATTTATGCATGATAAAGAAAAAAGGCATCCATGGTAGCCAATTCAGATGTTCGTTGCTTAATGTTAATGGAATTGAGGTTTAAGTTTAGCAAAAATTTGAACACGTTTCTAATTTGTTTCTCCTTAACATTTGGAGAGGCAGTTATAACTGTCATCCTCTTTTTATAATGGAAGGAACTGACCAGAGGTGACCAGTGTGTGTTTTCACAGCTTGTGACTTGATGCTAGGAGTTGAATTTGGGTCTTCAGAACCCAGGTATTGCTCTCTTTTCATTATCCGATACTTATTTTCTTTCTACGAGCTGTGTCACCCTGCGGTCAATCAGCAACACACAGGGAACAATTCCAGGGAACAATTCCATTGCATACCTCCCAATTATACTCTTGAGGTGAGCCATTCTTAGCCACTTTCAATTAAAAAGTGAATTCATATTATCCACTCAGTTTAGGAAAGATAGTGTTTGCCAAAGATTGTGCCAATTTGTTGCTTAGAAATAACCTTGGGGGGCCAGGCACAGTGGCTCATGCCTGTAATCCCAGCACTTTGGAAGGCTGAGGCAAGTGGATCACCTGAGGCCATGAGTACAAGACCAGCCTGGCCAGCATGGTGAAACACCATCTCTACTAAAAATAAAAAAAATTAGCCAGGCATGGTGTTAGGTGCCTGTAATCCCAGCTACTTGGGAGGCTGAGGCAGGAGAATCGCTTGAACCCAGAAGGCGGAGACTGCAAGAGCTGAGATCATGCCACTGCACTCCAGCCTGGGCAACAGGAGCGAAACTCCACTTCAAAATAAATAAATAAATAAAAAGAAAGAATTTTGAGATGATGACATAATGAATTTACAGCACAAGAAGTGGTTTATTGTATTATAAAGATGGGAATTTTGTTTTTTGACTATGTATGCTTAGCACATACTAGGGTCTTAAATATCTCTTGAACTTAATTCATGTTTATAACAAATGTACTTGATGTATGGAGAAACATGTTTCTAAACTGTTTACTAGTGATCAGTCTATGCTTAGAAGGAGTTATTTCCTCATTTTTGGTGAAATGGAAGTAAAAGACAACAAATGAGTACCATCTAATTTAAGTTAATTTGACTGATTCTTTTTAATGCATTAAAGTGTACTCTGACATAATGTTTGAGTTTAGAAGTTAAATGAGGTAAAACAAAACCAAAGAAACCTGGATATGTGCAAGATGCACCAATATCCTTTTTTGGTCTGTTCTTTGGGGGCTGTGTTCCTCTTCCTTTCTGTATTAAACTGCAGGACATTCGATAAATTGCCCCAGCACTGTTGTTAAACTCAGGTCATGTACTTCACTGTTATACATAGACCTATTCTTAATTGACTCAGTTTCACCAGGGCTAAAAACCAGTATAGGGGAAAAAAATCACTTTGTGTGGCTGGTAGAAGAGGATGGGCCCGATTAATTTCTTAGGGACATTTAGGTCCCACACCAGGGCTGTGGGAAGCAGAGCTAATTCTACTGGTGCACAATTGCTCCACAAGGTCCAGCACTGCTCAGGATAGACTGTGTATCCCCTTATGTATCCATGCACTGGGGATGAGTCATGATCAATAGGTAACCATGGGCGTGATGGAGGCCTGGCCCAGAGCAGCAAGAGCAGCGGATGGGATGTGCCATCAAATTATCTCCTGAGAACTAGAGTGACTGTGTGATTCCCTGTGCAGTATGTACACAGAGGTAGAATTTCTTCTAGAATGTTACCATATTGTCTTTGTCTATTTGCCTTTTCATTGTTTTCTGTGGGCTTTATTTGCTCTGCTTCTTAGCTAGCTTTTTCCTCATTGCATTTCATATAACTAAAAAGAAATTGTCTCTCACAAGGCAGAAAAGTTGGAGAAGGTGAACAGGTGTCAGTTTCTTCCCCTCTTATGATCACCTACTAGTCAACAGATGTCACCAAAGACAGCCTCAGATGAAACATTGCCATAGGATTGCTTTAGTAGAAATATTTCCAGGCTGGGAATAGATTATTGTGATCTATTTTCAATGCAAGTCAACAGGGATATTTTATTCCTTGACACTGTGCTTTATTTGTATTTTTAATAAAATTAGAAAGTGCCTACTGTTGTGAACATCTTCAGATTTACTTAGTGGTCAAAATAGCAATTAAAGATGAAAACCTAGGCCTGGCACAGTGGCTCATGCCTGTAATCCCAGCACTTTGGGAGGCGGAGGCGGGAGGATCACCTGAGGTCAGGAGTTCGAGACCAGCCTGGCCAACATGGTGAAACCCCGTCTCTACTAAAAATACCAAAACTAGCCGGGCGTGGTGGCAGGTGCCTGTAATCCTAGCTACCTGGGGGGCTGAGGCAGTAGAATCGCTTGAACTCAGGAGGCGGAGGTTGCAGTGAGCCGAGATGGCGCCGTTGTACTCCAGCCTGGGGAACAAGAGCAAGACTTTGTCTCAAAAAAAAAAAAAAAAAAAAAAGAAAAGAAAAGAAAACCTAGTTCTAGTTCTTTAATTCTTAGGAAAGTATGAATTCTGGGGTGGAAGTTTAGTTCTTTCTCCAGGGTTAAATTCTGTCTTTAAAAGCATGTTACTTGTAAAATACCCTTTGCTTCCTCATTTCCTTAAAGTGGTCAGATGGACATATTTACATTTATCTCTAGAGAAGTGATTCTCAAACATGGCTACACATTAGAATCACCTGGGGGTATTTTAGGACGTACTGTTCAAACCTGCAGTGAGTCTCATTTAATTGCTTTGGGGGGGTGTGGTCTGAACTCTGGGATTTTGAAAACTTTCTTTTGATTCTAACGTGCAACCAAAGTTGAGAACCACTGTTCTAGAACAAGGACATCATAGTGCATCAGTTGGATTCTTGGTGGTTTATAGCTATTAAAATTGACTCTTGCTAACACATACAAAAGAAATTTATTGAAAGGATAAAGGGAAAATCATTTGGCTCAACCGAATAGCTAAATTTCCAGGTTGCAGAGAGGACAGAAACCAAGACAATTATGGCAATTGAGATAACATGGACGAATGGACAAACTCTTCAGGTTATCACTGCTGGGATGAAGTGGCTCCAGCTCTTTTCTGTCCCTGAAGTTCTGCTTAAAGTTCAAATTTCAGGGAGAGAAAGAGGATTGGCCAAGCTCATAGCCCTACCCTTAGCCAGGAGAAGGTGGGATGGGGTAGTTACCCAAAGGGAAATTGATTTGCTCCTCTCAGAAGATGGCACTGTTGATTCTTGGCAGACAATCGTAACAGATGTCCCCACACCCTGAAACCATTTTGCTGTGGAGGAGGAGGATGTAAGGAACGTTTCTCTCAAAAGGCAATTGGCTCCGGATCAGACTCCCTTGGTGTCTGCTAATTTGTTCATGGTAGTTACTCATTCATTCAGAAAATGTTTATTGAATATCTATAATATGAAAGTTTCTCTGGGAATTCCCATGTTGAGAAAGTAGTTGATGCTGTCAGGATACTTACAATTTCATCACGGTAAGGAGACATGCAAATATAAACATCATACACCAGGTAATGTGTGATTAGTTCCATAGAGGAAAAACAGAAGTGGCCAGAGAACCAGTATTTGAATGTCTACAGTTTGTTCGGCTCTCACAGGTGCAGGTCAGTGAAAAGAAGACAGAGACCTTCAGTTGTCCCTGGACAAGTTTGATCCTTGCATCATTTACCCATGGTTAGAATTTCTGATCTTCTGACCGAATCCTTTCCTAGTGTTTCTCAGTGTCTTGGCCCAGCTTATTGATGGTACTTTCCGTGTGGTGTACCTGGACTTACAGAACTGCCTTCACCCTCTTTGCTTTAGTTGTCTTTTCTGGACATAACCTCATGTTTTCCTAACTTAGAACCCTTACCACTATTATTATTTTTTTCTGAGCCACTGTACTGACATAGGCTCACATTCTTGCTTTGTTTTGCTGAACAAGATCCAAGAAGACAGGCTCTCTCCTTGGTATTAGGCACATTCTTTATTTGGCCTGTGGAAGATGCTACAGGGGCAGAAAATGTATTCATAAAACTGTTCTCTGACCTCTTAGGCTTATGTTCTAAACTCAAACATTGTCCAGCGACTCTATGTTAGACCTGTAGCATACTTCAGTCCAATTTTCCTAATTTCATATGGACATTATGGTGGAAATCTGCCAAAGCTAACAATATAGCAATAGCGACAATTGTGGAAATCAGAATTGTTGGGCATACAGGCACTCACCTGTAGTCTCAGCTACTTGAGAGAATGAGGTGGGAGGATGGTTTGAGTCCTGGAGTTTGAGTCTAGACTGAACATAGTGAGACCATATCTCTTAAAAAATAGAAAAAGAAGAAATCAGAATATGTTCCAATTTTTAAATTAAAACACAAAACTAAAGGATCCAAGTTAATAATAAAAATAATAGCTAACATTTCTTGAGTGTTTATCATGCTCGGTCCATGGTATGTAATAAATGCCTAATAAAGATTGGTTGTGGTTTTCTGGTTCTTTGTTGCTGTTATTGTTAATATAGCTTGACAGGCATTGTGGTATATTTACAAACTTATTTAGTCCTTCCAACAATCCTATGAGGTCAAGGTACTCCTATTTTCCACACCTTACAGATGAGGACACTTAGTAAGTACACAGGCATTCAAGAACTTGTCCAAGGCCCACAGTTAATAAGTGGAATGACCTGGAATCAAACCTAGGCAGCAGGGCTTCATTCTCTTAATTTCAAGATGGTTATTGTTATTTTTACTGATGAATACATGTGCCTACATGTGGTTGCTTCACAAATGTTTGTTGAGTGACTGAATGAATTAATGAATAAATGAATGGAGAGTTCTATAGCTGGCTTTATTTTTTTTCAGCATGATCCCCACCACCATACTCTGGAACACATGAATTCAAATGTATTTTTAATTTTATCTAAGACATAGTTATGATGACATCTTAGCTATTACAAAAACACCCTATGTTCTACAAACTTTACTTGCAGTTTACCCAGATGTTTCGTTAATGTGGTTCCTCATGGTTTTATTGGTTTGAATAACTGAGACATGCTTATCTTCAGGAGAATAATGATGTATTGTACCAGTGTAGACAAAGCTTCAGGAAAATGCAGCCATAAGCAAGAGAGGCAAGGGGGGCGTTTTGTTCTTGTTGTTTTCCTGATTCTGTTTCCTGTGCTTGCTTTCTGTAGGCTGGAAATGACTCTCCCTGAAGTTAATTCCTCAATTGTCCTTGCACTGTCAGATGCCTTTCTTTCTGAAGGATTTCCTTAATCCGCTGTGGTACTTTAAGTGGCTGTCTTGATAACACCAAATGTCATCTGGCAAGTGAATGACCTTACCTGCTATCCACATATATTGTCAGAGGGAACTGTGAACTTTGTTTTGGCTTTAATTTTAAGAGCCTGAATCCCAAGGCAGATATCACAAACATGAAGACCTATCCTATTCCTGCTTCTGTACATTGCTGGAGAATAATAGAATTATTGCTCTTTTTATTTGTGTTTATTTTTCTATTTTTGGAAGAGCTACTCATTGTTAAGTGATAGAGAAAGAATGCCAATAAACCAATACCTGGGTGAATCATGGACTGAGAGTAACCCTGCTGCGGATGCTACAAAGATACTGCTGTGTCTTTCAAACCAGGAGAGCTTGAAAGTGACTATTTACAGTACCTCTTTATAAAACGTTGCCCTCAGTTTAAGTTGTGCTATGACAAAACAAATGGCTCTGATAAACACTGGAGTCTATTCTTCCTATGCTAGCGACAGCAAAGCCTGGACATACTCCTGAGCCTAGTTTACAGAAGATTCTCTGTTTAGAGGCAGAGTTGACATGGCTTCTGTGCTGAAGCAAATATCCAATCAACGCACAGAGCTAGGCTGGCGGGATGGTGGACAGGGGTGGTATTAGGTGAACTCATCCCTATCGCTGCATAAAACAAAAGAAAGAGAAAGTCTCCAGGTATGCGGCTTATCAAACAATCCTATGCATCCAATTCAGACCAGATTGTGTTGGACAAAATTACCTTTGATCCAAATTTTAAAGGAGTAGGAGTTGGCTCAGCAGAGAAGTAAGGAGAGCATTCCAGGGAAGGAGGAATGAGTAGATATTTTAAAAGAACAAGAAACTATGAGTGGTTGATATAGCTATGTGCAGGATAAGGCAGGGAAAGAATACAAAGACTAGATTACAAAGGCTTTGTTTCCCAACATGAAGGTTTCTGCTTTATCCAGAGGGCTCTGGGGAGAGGGAAAGTAGCAGTGTTAAATTTCCATTTGAGAACCATCATTCTGATTGGCAAGGTGAAGGCTGAGCTGGAGGTGACTGAAAGCTAGAGACATGAAGATGAGGTTCAAAGGGTGGTTGAAGGATGAAGAAGAGGGGCTTACAGTTATGAGATATTTTAGGAGGTAAAATCAGCAGAATTTGGTGGGTGTTGGAACTTGAGTAAAAGCAATTAAGGACTGACTTCCTCTAGGCTGGGTAGCTGGCTGAATGGTGGCACTGACTTCAAGGGAAAAGAAGGCAGGAAAAGAAGCAGGTTTGGAGAAAAACATTACATGTGGTGACATCTACAAAAGCTGACTAGATTTATATACTGGGCTGTGTTATCAGCCCCAGCTTATCTCATGTCAATATATAGTGGTATTTAAGTTCTCAGCCCTGGCTCATTCAACCCAGTGGTCCCTGTTAAGGTTGTCACTATGGATTCTCTTGTGAATCATTTCAAGACCATAGGAGCTTGAAAGCAGAGGCATTTTATCTCAAAATGGCTGGAGGTTCATTCTCCCCAATGCTTGACCCTTAGACTGGAGAACCAAAAACAATTTGGCTTACCAGCCTCTTGGAGAGTAGACTAGTGGTACAGCAACCAAGCTACACTGGGCAACAATCAAACCACTGGACCTCAAGGGGAAGTTCACACCAAGTCTGCCTCAATCAGGGTCTTGTGTTCTCTCAACCCCTTCACACAGAGCTCCCTCATACATGGAGCCCACACATTTCTACTTCTCTCTTCTTCCACCCTCACAGCCTACTGTGGTTTGAGTGTGTCTAAGTTATGGGTGTTTAAATTATGGGGGCTTCACCCTCATGAAGGGACTAATGCAGTCCTCTTGGGATTAAATTACTTTGTTCAAGACTAGGTTAGTTCTCACAAGAGTAGGTTGTCATGAAGCAGGCCAGCCTGCTTCATCTGCCCTCTTTTTGCATGACTTGCTTTCCCTTTCAATTTTCCACCATGCCATAAAGCAGCAAAAGGCCCTCACTAGATACAGCTCCTTGATCTTGAACTTGTCAGCTTCCAGAACTGTGAGCCAAAATAAACCTCTTTTCTTTATTAATTACTCAGTCTCAAGTATTCTCTTATAGCAAGAGAAAACAGACTAGTACACAGCCCTTCTGCAAAATAGGGTCCAAACATCTTATGCTCTTGGTCACCCTTGGGCTGCTTGCACAACAAGCATTTTACCATTTTCAAAACTCATTCTTTTGAGTTTCAAAGTCTTTTCCTAGGTTAATGGGATCTCAAAGATAATAACAAAAGTATCCCATCGTTCTACCTTCACCTGCATAATCCTCTCCACCCAAGTATTTCAGGGAGTGCCCAGAGGATGTTGCACATGTGCTCAGAGTACTCATGTTCTTTTGTTCTGACTGGTCACCACAACCAGACACCACTGCTGCTCCTACTGGCGTCTTGCCTCTTTGGTGGACATACTGATGTTTGTACCGTGGGTCTTTTAAGAATTATCTATTCTATGCTGTGATCATTAATTTTAGGTGTCAACTTAGCTAGATTATGGTGCTCGGTTGTTTGGTCAAACACTAGTCTAGATGTTGCTGTGGAAGGATTTCGTAAATGTGGTTAACCTTTACAATTAGTTGAATATAAGTAAACCCTCCACAATGTGGGAAGCTCTCAGCCAGTCTGTTGAAAATCTTAAGAGCAAAAACTGAGGTTCCCCAGAGAAGAAAGAATTCTGCCTCAAGACCGTAACATGAAAATACGAAGTTTCTGAGTTTCCAGTTGCTGGCCTCCCCTGTGGACTTCAGACTTGCCAGTCACCAACAACTGCATGAGCCAATTTTTTAAAATAAATCTCTTTCTGTATATGTGTCTCCTAATAGTTCTGTCTCCTTGGAGAACTTGGACAAACACAGATATTTATGTCAATGGTACTCTGATACTCTGAGCCTTCTCAATTCTTGACGTTCCAAAGCTTATGGATGTCTTTGCAGGGAGAAGGTCTCTTTCCTTCACTTGTATGGTTAATCACTCAGGCCCAAAGTGACCCTCCCCATCCCTCCCTGAGTCTCCATCTACCCAAGATGTTTCGTAAAGACTTCTCTCCTAGCATCCATCTGTAGCAATCACTTCACACTACTTAATTACAGGTCCTAGAAGGTAGAGGGCCAATATTCTTGCCTGAAGCTGCATAAAGGGTTGACACCACATTTACTTTGCTCACTCATGTGCCCCAGTTCCTAGTAAAATACTGCCATGTAGTATGTACTAAATAAATACTTATTGATTGACACATTGAGACAGATACTTCCTACTCTCTGCTTTACTAGTCACTTTCTCTAGATCCAACAATCCAAGTGTAAATCAACTCCTACCTGTCCTGCCTACCACCAGCCTGTTCATCAGACCAAGTCTGAGTACCACTTTAGGCTCTAATTGAAGAAGCAGGGCTAGGCAGTCCCCTTCCTCTCTGGCTGGAATTCATCACCCCACCTGCTCCCTTCCCACAAATCTTTGCCAAGCAGAATCCAGCTCATTTGTCTCACTTTGCATTTTAATTACTTTTTTCCACTATCTTCCCAACAAGAATGAGTCCCTGGCTTATTTAATCTTCTCAGTGCCTCAAATAGTACCTGGAACCTCTTATATCCTTAAGTAATTTTTCATAAAAGAAAGAATGGATGGAAAAAGAAAGGAAAAGAGGAAGGCAGAAGGAATGAGACAAAGGGAAAAAATGGAAGAGGGAAAGAAAGGGGGAGTTGATTTGAGAAACAAATCCCTAGTTTTAAGGCCGCCTCCACCCCTGCTTGGAATTGCATTTCGTTTTGTCATATTCAGGTAACAAAATTTCTCCAAGCTGGTAAATTAATTACTTTCAGAGTCCTATTAATTTTAAAACTGTTGATGCAATACATTGAACAGGATGCTTGTGGCTTGAAGGAACAGAACAGAAGCTAACTTAAAACCTGAACCTGAAAACTCAATTCACTAGACTAAATTTATTTCCTACACTCACACTCCAGATCAGTCACTTAAGGCTGTAATGGAGAACAATTATATTGCATGATATATTTTGACTAATGAGAATGTGGGAAGGTACTTCTGCGACTGCAATGCACGTGGCTTCTAATATGGCTAAGTGGGACTGATGCCTGGTTTGCTGAAATCTAGTGTTAAAATTGTTGTATTTGCAGCCACATCCTAGAGAGACTCAGATGGAAGAATCCTCTACAATTAGAATGTCAAATCACACTTTTTCCTCTTCAAATTGCATTTCTAAAAATAAGATAATGAAAACATGTATTTGTGTGGGAGAGGACTTCTTGTGGAAGGCTGCAAATAAGACACATGAAAATGTCTGTGCTCAGAAACCCCATTCAGGAGGAGACTTTCACTGCAGGGAGCTTCTCTGCCATAAAGAAGGTTGCACAATGTGTTCTGTGCACAAAAGGGTAGCAGCCCAGGAAGCTGATTGCATTTCTAAGCCTCTAGAGTGAAAAGGTATGCAGACAACATTGTTTTACTGGTTCAGGCTAGTTTTTCCTCTTGCCTGTCATTTAATCTCAGACATTCCTTGAAGGAGTTGGGGAAAGACTTCTAAAGATTACTAAACCATGCAGCAGCTTTAAACCTTTAAAATGGTCCACTACTGAGTACGTTTGGTGGCCACTAGGTAACGGAAGGCATCTAAGAAGTCCTGAAGTAATCCCATAGGATTTCTCCCATCCTTCTTTTCCCCAGCTTCCCCAGTGCAGATAAAACTAGATATAGTAAAAAGGTTTAGGGTTGTCATTAGTGATGAGTGAAAGACTCAGCTGATCTGTGAGCTTCCTTCCTTAAGGAGACTATTTCTTACTGATGTGAGTGACTAGAGGCCACCTATCTTTTGGAATAAAAGAAAATATCAAGTGGAAGGAAAAGTTTGGAGAAAATCATCTCCTTAAGATTTTTTTTTTTTATTTTTTATTTTGGAGAAGTGGTATTTTTAAACCCAGAAATAGGCATTTGGAGTGCCCCTTTCTTTCTTTTCTAAAGTTAATGGATATTTTAGAAATATAATATTTCTCTGACTCAAGTGAAGATGTGAGTCAAACTTCGTTTGAAGCAAGACAGAAATAATGTTTTTATTTTAACAATCAAGTACTTACTAGGAGGTAATTAGCATGCTAGGAACCGAACCAGCTATAAGTTGTTGAACTACATATTGTTATGGAGATTACTGGCAGTATTTTGAAAACATTTGCTTTCATTGCTTCCTGGATTTCAAAGTTGCTATTTGGGATCTTTTTCCTTCTCTCTGAAAAAAAATCCTTTTAATAATTTTATTTTTTAGTTTGGATATGCTAGCAATGTATTCTTTCCATTCTGGGCTTTTGAAATGTCTTAATTTTTTCTTTATTTTTGAGTGTAGAAATCTTGGCTGTCAGTTACTTTCTTTCAGCACTGTATGATGTGATTCCATTGTTTTATGATTTTCATCATTTTGATGAGAAGTTATTTGATAATCCTGCTGTTGCTCCTTTCATTTCTTTCTCTTTACCACCTCCCTCTACTTTTAAGATTTTTTTTGTCTTTAGATTTCAATAATTTGATATGATGTGTCTATAGTTTTTTTTATATTCACTTTGTTTAGGGTTCTCAAAATTGAAACTGTCAGTTTTTGTCTTCACAAGTTTCAGAAGATTTTTAGTCATTATCTCTTCAAGCATTGCTTCTTTTTTCTCTCCTGGGATGTTAATTACATATATTTAAGACTTTCCTTTTGTCCCACATGTATCTATGCTCTTTTATGTATTTTTATTATTTTCTTCTTTATTCTTCAGTTTGGATATTTTTTATTGACTTGTATTATATTTTAATAATTTTGTCTTCTGCTTGTCTTTTGATGTGTTCAATCCATTCAGTTAGTTCTACATGTACATGTATACACATACATATATATCGTAAAAATATATAAACATAAAATATGTGATATCTTGTATGTAACTGGTTTGATATATTTCACTATCTTAGTAAGTTTTAGTAATTGTGTTGTTTTAATTTTAAAATTTTTATTTGATTCTTTTTTATATATTTTAATTCCTTGTTAAAGTTTTACTTTTTTATCTATTTGAAAAATTTTCTCCTTATTTTTCTTAACTTATAATTCGTAGTTATTTTTAAGGATTTTTTTCTGTTAACACTAATATCTGGATCAACTATGCACCTATTTCCATATCTAGTCTTTGGGTGTTTGGACATGTTATTTTCTTTCTTGGCATACCTAGCGATTTTTTAAACCATTTGCTAAACTTTGTATATAAAAACAAATTGTAGTAGCTTCAGTCGAAGTTTGCCCTTTATTCTGCTATGCAGATAGAGTTAAGGCTGTTTCTTAATCCAAGTAAGGGCTATGTTTCAATTTGGGTAAGTTTCAGTCTACTCTTGGTTCACCTCCACTCCCAAGCCCTAATCTTCCTGAGAGCTTGAGAATTTCATGGAGTCTCTCACCCTGGCAGGCCCCACACTCTTTTGAGATCCTCAAAACTCGGCTTTGCCTTTGAGTTTATCTACTTAGCTTCTAAGCCTGCTTGCCTAGTTTCAGGATTTGGCACAAGTTATAAGAGAAAAATTGGTTGTATTATCAGGCTTAGTTCTCTATTTCTCTCTTGTTACGAGTATCTTGGCTCGTTAAGTCTCAAATCTTGTCTCACTGGCCTTACAAAACAGTAAAAATCCTATTCACTTATCTGTCCCTAGCAGTGGGCTTCTGCCTGGGCACAACCCAGGTTTGCATGCTCTTGCGCTGAGCGCAGAATCATCAAAACACATGCACGATGTGAATGTGCCTTTTTCTAGTTCTTCCCTTGCCAGAATCGTGTCCCCTCTGGTTTTGATTATTTGAACAACTTTCCGATGCCTTTACACCTGCTATTATGAAAAAAAAATCTGAATTTTAAGTTATTCTTGGTGGAAATGTTGGTCTGCCATCATACTGGATTTCTTTTGCAGGCAAGAACTGTTCACAGCAGCATCTAAGATGCATCAAGTACTGTTTAAGGCATGAGGAGTGTAAAAGCAAATAGAGTCGATAAATTCTTAGGGCAGATTCTGTTTCTTCAAGAATGTGTTTCTGTTCTAAGTTTAATTGTGTCCCCCTGAAAAAGATATGTTGAAATCCTAACCCCCGGTACCTCACAATGTGATTTTATTTGGAAAAGGGTCATTGGTTAAGATGAGGTTATGCTGAAGTAGGGTGGTCTCCTAACCTATTGTGAGTGCTATTCTTATAAGAAGATGGCCACATGAAAACATAGATACCCAGAGAGAATACCCACAAGAAGATGGAGACAGATTGGAATGATGCATCTACAAGCCTACAAATTCCAAGGATTGATGGCCACCACCAGCAGCTAGGAGGAGGCAAGGAACGATGCTCCCCTACAGGTTTCAGGAGGACCTGCACTCACCTTGATTTTAGACTTCCAGCCTCCAAAACTGTGAGACAAAAAATTCTGTTGTTCAAAGCCACCCAGTTTGTTATCCTTTGTTAAAGCAGCTGTAGGGAATGAATATAGGTCCTTTGCCTTTAGAAATCAGAGAAGCTACTCTGAATAAGTGAGACAGAATAATTAGGAACTCCTGTGGGAAAACAGAGATGGAAGAGGGCTTGGAGGAGAAGAGACAGCAAGTTAGAAGCAGTGGCTTGACAAAATGCTTTGTGTTTCAGTGTTTGTAGTATTCAATGTTTGCGGTACATCCTAGTAACATGACTTTATTGGTGTGATTAGGTTTTTTGAAGCAACCGGAGAAGGGCTTGAGAACATTGTCCAGATAATTGTGGGATAAAACCAAGTTAACATACATAGGTGTCAGAGGGCAGAAGACCTATGGTACTTCTAAGTCCCTGGCATTCACAGAAATCTTAAGGATTTTCGAATTCCACTGGCTCTGAAAATTTTCTTCAGTGAGAATGAGGAGGGTTATTTTTAAGAAATTTATCTGGAACCCAAGGATCATGACATATAAGTTACTCATAAGTTCATTTACTTGATTTGTAGCATTTAGTTCAATATGAGCTATATTCTGAAGTCATACTTTAGAAGGTTAGTTACTTTTCCTAGTTATTTTTTCAAGCATAATGCCAACTATATTAGTCAGGGCAGGCTAGATTAGGCTGCAATAATAAATTTGCCCTACAATCTCAGAAGTATAACAAAGGGCTATTTATTTTTCATGCAATATGTCTAATGTGGATAGTAATGGGAGATACTCTGCACCACATGGTACTCAGGTACTCAAGATGATGGAGGCCCCACTCCTTGGATCATCAACATTCACAATAGCAAGGGACAGGAGAATATGGAGAATCGTGTGCCAGTAAATTCTTTTGTGGCCCGGAAGTAACACACATTACTTTTGCTCATAGCCCATTGATCAGAACTAGTCAGATGACTCACTAAGCTACAAAATAAATGGGAAATGCAAGTCAACACATAGAATATTTTGGTGTGTACTATTGTCTTTGTTATTTCCCCTTAGCCTATAAATTAGTTACTATTACTATCCCCAGTTTACAGATGGAGACATTTGAGGCATAGAGAAGTTAAATAATTTTCCCAAGGTCACATAGCAGGTGAGCAGCTGAGCCAGGACTCCAGTGCAGACAATCTGGATTCACAAGGCTATGCTATATAGTACGGAGAGGAACGAGTGGTCAATATGCTTTTGAATCTTGGTCTTCCTAGTGCTCCTTCCCTTGCCCCCATAGAGTGGGGATTTCATTACACTTCTGCTTCCTAGAGTAATATATGAAGAATTGTTGAGTGGAACATGTCTTTCACTCTTTTCTGGAAAATGAGCAAAACAGATTACTTCCCATGAAATCTTTCTTAACTAGCTAAAACCGATCTCTCCTTGCACCGAACCCTCTTGTACTTGAACTGCATTGCAACAAGGAGAAATTGAGGAGAAACGATTTTTTTCATAATCCTGTAATGCCCATTGGTCTCTCTGCCTAACACATACATGTGTCCACATACATATACATACCTCTTTGTTATGGGCAATTGACATATTCTCAATCTTATGTATAGTGCTGGTCAAATATGGCTTTTAACTTCACCTCTAAGCAAATCGTGGTTCCTAAACTACTACTTCTATGTAGAAGTTCTGGTACTACTGTTAACGCATTTGGGGTTTCACTCTTTAGTTTGAAGTACATATACAGTTTTGAGTACATACCTTGTGCTTCTATATTGTGGGTGTGGCAGTACAAGATCCACTTACTCTCTCTATGGAGTAAAGGCAGGACCAATAAATATACAAAGAAGTATATAATCACTCACTGTAACCTTCCCATGGTTGACTCCCCTAACATAGTTGTAAATTTCTAGAAGGCATTTGGCATGTTTTATGCTTATTAGGTCTTCCCACCATGCTTTGTTACACCCTTTTAGTTGATTATTAATTATTTGGCCATCTGGACAGGAGAAGACATTCTAGGTTTAAGGACTTCTTGGCAGAAGAAGTTCTCTGAAGCTGATACAGATTCCTCCTTGGTTCCAACTTTTTCTATTTTTCCACTTAGGAAGACATTTACATTTTTGGGGTTGGCTTATGATGTGGTCAGAGGTTGATTTGTTCTATTAGAGAATTTATGTTCACCCATGAAATTCAAAGTACTAAACTGAAGTCAGAGGTATCATTTTCTATAGCCAACTAAAGTGAAGCAGGTAAGTAAAACAGTTTCTAATGCAGGTGATCATGCTGAGCTAGCACAATGCAGGTTCCATCTCAGAGACCCCTGAGCAGTAACTTGTCCCAAATAAGCTAAAGGGCTCTTTTAACCAAGTTAAGCTCCCTCCTGCTTTCTGACCCCTGAACAGGGCAGATTTCATCTTATATTCCAATATGACACCACTTGTGTTATCACACTTGGGACCTGGTTAAAGGAACTTTTATTGAACTACAGCCTCTCATACTGCCAGGAATTCTCTTGTCTTGTTACTTAATAAGGCTAAGAGCTGCATTGATGTTAAAGTGACCACATGACCTGAGCCCAGCAGCCTGCTGAAAATAGTGCTGAAGCCTTAGGAGAAAGAACTGTGCCTTTTCGGTGAAAGAATGGGCTTACGGTACACCCTAGGAAGGAGGATGCTGGCAGGAAGAAAATAATGTGACAACCCTAACTCTTCTCTTTTCTATGCCAACCAACTATAGTTTAACAGCCTTTTCCATGAGCAAGGCATTTTCCCTTTCTGTTGTGTTGCTGAGACAAAGAAATATTTCATCTGTGTTTGAATGGATCACATTTTGTCTGCCTTTGCTTCTAAATTAGGGGTAAGTCCAGAGAAAAGGAAGTAGGTGCCTCCCAGGTTATAGAAAACACTGTTGCCAGTGTGTTTTTCCAATGTGAGTAAAGACTAGAACATAACCCCCTTAGAAGTTTATATGCTTAATTTGTAGTTAGGACTGTCCCAGTTATCAAGAATACAAATGGAAATCTATAATCCACTCTTTGTTACTGTTGTTTGTTCCATGTAGGCAAATGTCCATAGGTGTGTTGCTAAAATAAAAATCTGAACTACCGGGGAAGTAATTTATTCCCTAACCTACTGTATTAATTTCCTATGACAGCTGTAACAAATTACTACAAATTTAGGAGCTTAAAATAACAAAACTGCAAACTATCTGGTGGTTTGGATATCCAAAATCCAAAATGGGTCTCTCTGGGCTAAAATCAAAGTGCTGGCAGGGTATGTTCCTTTCTGGAGACTCTTGGGGAGACTGTTTGGCAGCCTTTTCCACCTTTTAGAGACCACTTGCATTCCTTGGCTCATGGCCCCTCCTTTCCTCATCAAAGCTAATAACATTGGTCCATCTTTCTCACAATGCCATCTTTCTGTTTCTCTTCTGCCTCTCTCTTCCCTTTTGAAGGGCCCTTGTGATTACATTGGGCCCACTTAGATAAAATAAGGCAATCTTCCTAATTAATTTCAGCTGATAGCAACCTTAATTTCACCTGCAACTTTAATTCTCCTTTGCCAAAATAACGTAAAATATGCACAGGTTCTGGAGATTAGGTTTTGGGCATCTATTATGGACTGAATGTTGTGTCTCCCCAAAATTTATATATTGAAATCCTAAGCCTGAAGGTGATGCTATTAAGGCAATTAAGTCATGAGGGTGGAGCCGTCATGAATAAGATTAATGCCCTTATAATAAAAGAGAGACCCCAGAGAGCTTTCTAGCCCCCTCTCCATCATGTGAAGATACAATGAGAAGATGGCTGTCCATGAACCGGATGCAGGCTCTCACCAGACACTGAATCTGCCTCTGCCTTGAACTTGGACTCCCCGGGCTCAAAGAACTGTCATAAATGAAAGGTTATTGTTTAAGCCACCCAGTCTATGGCAACTTGTTGTGGCATCCTGAATTAAGACAACATCTTTAAGGAGCCATTTTTCTTCCTGCCACGGGCATTAGGAGGTCTTTTCAAGTCTTTTAAAATTGGATTTTTTAAAATTCCAGGCCCTACACCCTGTCACGGGTTTTTATCTGTAAAATTTTTAAGAAGGAATCTTTGAAGTTAGCTCTCCACAGAGTCTTCACTGGTCTCAATTCAGTGTCATAGCACAATATTCTCAATTTCACAACTTAAGCAGCTAGATACAGGCATTGATTATCAACTAACTATTTCATGAGATGAGGAATTGTTGGTGAATTACTTATTGATTCTATATGGCTGTGACATGATTGTCTTTGCTATACTGGGGTCTTTGCACTGACTTTAAGATAGGATGAGATCTGAACTCGTTTCCAATGCGACTTATTCCCTCATCCTCAATAGGTTGCTCCTCTGAATATCTGATCTTTTCCCAGACAGATAGACTGGAAACTTTGGTGTCATCTGTGACATTCCACAGTGTCTGTTCCCAGAGCCCTGACTCCCAGGATGCACCATTTCCCTAATTACTGCAATAGCTTCTGATTGCTTGCTCTGATTCTGATCTTTTCATGCTTCTAGTCCATCCTGTACACTACATCCAAAAGAATTTTTCTAAAATATGTTTTGGAAATTACTGATTCTTGTTTCATTATTTACTAGCTGTGTGACCTTGCAAAATTACTTAACCTGTCCAGGAGACTGACAAAATAGAGCTAGTCACAATATCTGCCTCTAGGGATGCGATAAGGATAAAATGAAATGTAATTCATGTAGGGTACTTAGGCATATATTAAGCACTCAACAAATGTTTGCAGATATCATTGCGATGGCCATTTGCATCATTGATGTATTAACCAATGCGAATGCCACCTCTGTTCCTGTCTGCCCCATCCCTCTGGCCCAGTCATCCCATGTGGATATATTGACCTCTTCCCTGCTTTCTTCCCCTTCATCTTCCTGCTACTCACTAACCATCTACAGCCCTTAGACCCAGGACATCTATTCTGCTCTTGGGCAGGCAGAGGTGGAAAGCCTTCCTTTATCTCATCAAGCTGTCTTGCCTGCACATCCTCTGAGCCTGAGCTTCTGAAAACTAAAAGGCCAGACTTCAAACTTCAAAAAAAGTTTATTTTCATTTTTATTCTGTTGACCCTTCCAGAGTTTGAAGCTCCACTGTTTGCCTTGAGTGGGGGAAAGTGCCAGAATATAAATAAAAAATAAATACCTGCCCCTAAACACACACACACACACACACACACACACACACACACACACACACACACAATCTAAATTATTGAATTATGTGGTCTAAGAAGTATTTTTAATAACAATAACAACAACTGACACTTATTAACCTCTTTTTACGTGCCAAGCACTGTCTTTGACCCACAACCCACCAATTCTATCTTATCTTTGGCCCCTTTTCCGTGGAGCTTCTGCCTCAGATATCTGGTTTACTCCCTGCTTCCGGATTGGCCTTCCCACCTCTGAGTCTTTGCTTCTGCTATTTCCTGTTTTCCTTGTCTGGACTGCCTTCTTTCTTCTTGTTCATTTATCCAAATCCTCCATATTATTTGTTGTTTTTGTTTGTTTGTTTGCTTTTTAAAGAGTCAGGGTCTTGTTCTGTCTCCCAGGCTGGAATGCAGTGACACAATCGTGGTTCACTGCAGTCTTGAACTCCTGGACACAAGAGATCCTCCCACCCCAGCCTCCCAGATAGCTGGGACTACAGGCATGTGCCACCGTGTCCGCGTACCTCCTAATTTTTTATAGCCCATCTCTAACACTTCCTCTGACCACTCTGAAAGCCATGGTTCCTCTTTTGACCAGGCACTGTGGAAAAATGAAACAAAAGAAAAGGACCTTGCCACTGAAAAGCTAACCAAGGAGACAAGACCAATACAAGATACAGCAGAGAAAACTCCACAGTACTGTTAAACTCTTAGGTAAAAAAATCATAATTGCTTTTCAAATGAACTCAAGGCATAGTCAAATGACCAATTATAATCCTTAATCAACACATGAATGGACTTGACAAAATCCTTTCACCCTCAAAGCAGAATTCTGTTATGAGTTTTGATCCTGTTTAGATTCCTGTGTATAAATTTGTTCAGGAGCTTCCCATTTGCAGCAAAGCTGATGTATACAAAACAGGATTTACTAAACATTTTAGGTCGTGATTAGTTCCACCAAAAGACTCACCATAAAATTTCTTCTAAGAAGCAAAGCTTATTTGCTAAATAGATTAAAAGGTGATTTGGTTCACAGAATCATTTTGTTTACACAGAATTTCAGGACAGATAGCCATTGCATAAAACTGAGGCAAACTTATAATTACTTTACCAAATAGCCTGGAGTGCCATGAGTTAATACAACTCCCTAATAAGCTTAATTCATACCCAGGAAGTAGCCTGAATTTAAGTTTTGGTAGAAGGTATTAACAGAGCATGTCCAAAAGATAATTAACTGCCCATAGTCATCAATTTGGTTACCTCCGGAGGAGTCTCACTGCCATCTCTACTCATCTGCGGATTTATTTATGAATAATGAGTCACTACAAACAGAATGATTAATCCATAAAAAGGAGAAATCTTGGAATTTAGACTGGCTCTCTTTCCAGAGTAAGTTTTCTTAAATGAGATTTTTCAAACATGAATGAGCTTTAGGGAATTCTCAAACACTGGAAATTATAAGCTAAACTTTGTATGTGTGTATTTTTTGTGTGTGGAGAAGATCCATAACTCTGATCAGATTTTTCAGAGGGATCCATGACAACTCGCCCCTGGCTCCCCAAAAAAGTCACTGCTTATTTTCCCATGAATGAGCTTCAGGAAGTTCCATGAGCCTCTTTGATTTGTATCACAATCTTCTTTGTCACATATACCAAGAACAAAGCCAACTAAGGTGCCCAAACTCTCAGTCACCTTCATTGCCCCTCCTTCACTCTCCTCTACTTTGTCATTAACATTTACCCATTTTGGTTCTGAGAATTTGACTTTATACTGAATTTCATTAATGCATTTTCTTGAGTATTTCACCTTTTGAGGCATTTCTGCCTATTTTTATAAAGACCAGTTTGGATTGTGCACCTTACAGGCATCTGAGCGCCTTGAGTGAAATGGTCTCGGGATCATCTTGCAGTCATCTGCACCTTGTACAAATTCCTCCTTTCAGAGTCCTGGTGGTCATTTAGAGATATATTATGCAGACATATTATACAGTGTGACCTTCCTGATGTCTACTAATTCAGTGAGTGTGAATTCACCTGTATTGTTCTCATTGGTTTATTTTATCTTTGCTATATTTTTTCTTTCTGTATTGAAGATTGAATCACATAACAGAGTATCACTGGTACTGTATATCTTTTTATGAGTGTTATCCTAATGCTAAAACAGAAAAGAGCTCAAAAAAAAAAAAAAACCTAAAATGAGCAGGCAGGCAAATAACCATTTAGTGGCCTAATTAATAAAGAGAAATCACCGTGTTGGATTATGTTATGATAATGAATGTTGACTATTGAGAAAATTGAGCCCATTTTAATGGGATCTGATGTTGTTTTAACATAAATGCCTGTCAGTTTGGAGGTTGGGAACACGAAACTTTTTCTCGTTGAAATTGTAATAATATTTTTGACAAATAGCCCTACAGATTTATTTTCAGGAAAAATTATTCTCCGAAAGATGGTACAAGACTATTTTGTCCTTGTTCTGTCTAGAAGGACTTGTTTCCAATGTTTTTTGACCCATGACTATAGCTACCCATCTAGTTTTAGGAAAAAATTTAGTGTGCAGTGTATACAATGGCCCATTCTTCCTAGTGACAGGCAAGTGACTCTTTGTTATTGTTAATTATGTCTCTAAAAATCTCACACTGTAAACACGAATACCAAACGGAAAAATGAGGATCAATGATTGTCTTACAGAACTTTAGGTAGATAAGTTCCCTCTTTCTTTAGAATGCCCTAATTTTCATCAGCATCAACTAAAAGTGCCAAAAATACAGGCATAAATCTATTGGACATGTGTGTGCATATGTGTACGTGTGTGTGTGGGTTGTGTGTGTGTGTAAGATGAGGTTAATTTAGCAGGATTGAGAAGCGGAAACATTGTTATTGGCTCCAAGGTGCTGCAGGAAGATTTTGACAGATGCTGTTTACTGTCATCAGAGATCTGACTCAAGCTTTCCAGAGAAAGGTCATTAGTGACACCCAACAAATCACTTTTGTGTTGTGGCCAATGTGAAAGTCAAATGGAAATTGTTTCTAAAAGTCAATCAGAGCCTGGCTCACTGTAAGTCTGGTTAAAATAACTTTTCCGAAACTTATTAGTTTATGTGCTAAAAAGCCATGACCAAGAGTAAAAGAATGAAAGAGGAAAGCTCTGGCTTTAGTAAACACTGTGGAAACAAAGGGCCAGGAAGAGAAATGTTTTGCAGGGCAGGGCAGATTTTCCTGAGCCAGGCCAGTGCAGCACCCTTCATCTCCATCTCAGCAATGTGGACGCTTAGCACAGAAGGCTGCCAGCTCTGCTGGACACAGCCTGCTAGCCACGGCTGCTAGCTCAAGCATAAAGACTGAAGAGAATTGAAGGCTGTGATTAGGAAATTGAAGACTGGCTGAAAACTTGAGATTTCCTGCACTTAGCTGGGGGGGACTCGTGAGAGATTTGATTAGAATGCACACAGAGAGGCCAACTCCTTTGTCTCTCCAGTTCCATATTGGACTGAAGTGGTAGGGTGCATTCCAGTGCCCTTATTGGATTTGTCTCTGAAGCTTTAAAGCATTCAAAAGTAAAATCCCATTGATCTGAAAGGTCAGGAGGGGCTGAAGAAAGATTACAGGTTTAATTTCCAGCTCTGGGTGACTTCCCATTCATAGTACTTTACCTCCGTGACAGTACCTCATCTCTAAAAATGGGAGAAATGAATGTAAAAAAAAAAAAAAGAAAAAAGAAAAAAGAAAAATTCCTCAGAATCAATACTAATGAAAAAAAAAACATGCTAAGTATTTCCAAAATAATTTAGTAAAAATGGGACATTTTTAATATTGTTTCAACCTAAATCCTATAGAACTTACTACCATAAAGAAGGAAAAGTAAGACAAGAAATTGTGTGTGGTAGTACATTCTGGTCAGTGTGGACATAAGTGTTTTTTAATAAAGGGGAAGGGGAAGTCGGGGCTTCACCATAACTTTAGATCCATACAATGAAATTCACATATCTAAAAGGAAAAATAAAATAAAGAGGTATAATTTTTATTGAAAAGGGGAAAAGACCAGGACTAGATAGGACAGATTAAAGAAAATTGGACTAAATTAGGTAGATGAAGACTAAATCAGAAATGCCAAGAAAGAGTCTACTGTGACTCTGGGTGGCTGGTGACAGGGATGTGGCAAGATGTGAGTGAAGTGTGTTAAATGTGGCTTCCCAATCTCTGGGAGCCCTGATGACAGCAAGATGCTTTCCTCTTCACCTCGCTGAACTTCCTCAAAGTTAGCCCTTTGATTAATTCTGCCAATTTAGTGTCCTGCCAGAGTCATTTTGATTTAGTGACATTTTAAATCCATCTCCCGTGTTTTCTTCCTCCTTCAGTCTAAAGTTAGCATAGCCATAACACTTTGATGTAGAGTTGCCCTGAGCTTCTGAGCCTCAGAGCCCCAGCAAAATCCCTAATGTGGCACATCTGATTTTCCTAATATAGAGGAAGGCAGAGCTGAAGCGCGTCTGTAATGGAAAACATTTTACATAGTAAATATGAATGGCCCTGCTCTCTCCTAGGTCACATTTCATATTTAACATCAATTTCATATGCTGGCCTTCCTTTCTTTTCTCTCCACTCGGCATTTTCGCATCAGGATTCTTTCCCATCATTTCTAGCTAAATCAGTTTCCACATTGGTGATGGCACAGTACTGTTTATGTCCTAACAGCCTATTTATAACAGGGTGGTGCATTGCAAAATGCCAGGAAAAAATGAAAAAGCAAGAAAAGAAGATGTATGCTATTCATAATTATGTCCCCAATGCCTAATGTTCCTGCCTACATTGCCCATCTCTGTGTCTGGCCTGCCTTAGGTGCTGAATACATATTTTTTTCCAATTGAACAATTTCATCTAATGATAGAAGTACCAATGACTAAAATTAATAACAAAACACAAGTTCCCAGAACCATTTTTTAAAAATTAGATGTTTCTGAATTTGGGGTTGGGGGAAGATATTTACAATCTGTGAGTAATAAGCACCTACGTTGGGGAAAGCTATGCTCTTCAATTTGGGGACCATCTCTGTTCATTCCATGCTTCTTGGGGTAATTACAAATGATGGGAAGAATTTCCTGCCTCCATTTGGTCAGTGACATTATCAGTGCTGTCTAATGTTACATTTCCCTTTCCTCCCTTTCCTGGTATTCCTTTTCATATTTAACAATGCTTTCTGTCTTTCAGCTTCTTATGCCAAAGCCATCAAGTCAATCCTATGCTTATTATTTTTTACTCTCACCCCCATCCACTGCATCAACCCATTCTATGTTTCTACCTTAAACTATCCAGAATGCAATTGATCTCTCCACGTCCACGGCTATGAACAGCGTTCACCCTCTCTAGTCTGGAAGATCACAGTGGCCTCCTAACAGGTCCCCATTCATCTTTTCTCAGCACAAATAGCCAGGGTGCTTCCTTAAAACACATTTAAGTCAGGTCCTGAGACTCTTCTGCTCAAAACAATTTACAGCCCTCCACCTCATGCAGACTAAAAGCCAGTTTTTAGAGTGGACTTGGACCAGGTCCACGTTTCCTGTGGGAGTTCATCTTGGACCTCCTCTACCTTGGTACCACACTTTCACTCTCCCTCGTCCCACTCTTCTCCGGCTATATTTGTCCTTGTTGGTCCATGACACGTTCTCCTATTCTGCACCAGCCACTCCTACCTGAATGCTCTTCCACATCTATTTCCATGGGGCTCCTTTGCCTCCTATAGGTATTTGCTCAGATATCACCTTCTCCATCCATCCCTCTCTGATTGCTGTATTTAAGATGGTTCCCTCCCGACATTCCTGTCTCTGCTTTACTATTTTTCATATCACTTATCGCCATGTGATATACTTACATTGTACTTATTTATATGTTAATTGTAGGTCTTCTCCACTAGAAAGTGAACTCCATAAGAGCTGAGGGCTTTGTTTTGCCTGGTATGTTCCCTGCTGTCTCTCCGGAACTGAGGAGAGAACTGACTCATTAAATATCTGCTGAATGAATGAATGAATAAATGAATACTTTCCCACTGTTTTGACCAAGCTGTGATGTTTATCTTGATTAATTTACCTTTTACAAGACAATTGGACTGTTTCCTTCTCTAAAATAGCTTAATAGTATGATTTAATATATGTTTAAAAGTATATGGCAGAACTCTACCAGGCCTGTCCTCCTCAAATAAATGCAGTTCTCAGTGTAATTACTTTAAGCTTCATGGGAATCAGAACTATTGATCTAGAATTGCACGCTTCTTTATCAAACTGCCTTAAAAAGTTATTGGTACTCTATTTTCTTTTTCTTTTTCTTTTTCTTTTTTTCTTTTGAGATGGAGTTTCGCTCTTGTTGCCCGGGCTGGAATGCAATGGCATGATCTCTGCTCACTGCAACCTCCACCTCCTGGCTTCAAGCGATTCTCCTGCTTCAGCTTCCCGAGTAGCTGGGATTACAGGTGACCACCACCATGCCTGGCTAATTTTTGTATTTTTAGTAGAAACGGGGTTTCATCATGTTAGCCAGGCTGGTCTCAAATTCGTGACCTCAGGTGATCCACCCGCCTCGGCCTCCCAAAGTGCTGGGATTACAGGCGTGAGCCACTGAGCCTGGCCTCTATTTTCTTTCTGAGCCAATATACTCAGACTTCTCATGCATGGAAGTATAGAGGAGTAACCACATGGCCTGGGTATCAGAGAGAAAAAGATGCAAGAGGTTATAAAAGTGGTTGAAAATATGATTATGGTAATACCTGTGCAGATGGAGTAAACTAGCTGTAGTTGATCTTTTATTATATCTAAGGTACATCCCAATTTTAAAAAATTATTACAATGTGTAAGCCCTGAAAGATATTAGTTAAATCATTATGTCAAAGGTGGAATTATTATGCAAAGGACAAGCATAAAGTCTTTCCTGAACACTTGTTGGCATTATTGGCTAACCAGAAAAAGCTGTAACAATATTTCTCATAAACAATAGTGACCAAAGAAAAGGAGACCCCTTCAAGAGCTGACTGCTCTTGAAAGCCCATTAAAGAACTTACTGCATACTACAGTCCACTAATAAGCCGAATTAATAGCATCCTATTTCAGTATTAATGAGACAACTTTTTGGCATTGTCTTTGGCCTTGTAACAGTAGAAAATACAAAGAACAATGAGATGTGAAAATTAAAAATAAATAATGCTTGCCCTTATTACTCAGCCCAAGAAACTTTGAAACCACCCAAGTTTTCTAGCTGAAAATAATTTAGTAGAATTAGTCACTCATGTGAACAAATTGTCTTTTATCTTTAAGTTGGTATAATAAATACTTTCATATATTTATGCTTATATGGACATTGGAATATACTCAAAGACGGTAAATCAAGCAAAATGCTTTATTTGGTATAGAAGTATTATTAGATGATCTCCTATAATCAGTTGAGTCACAGGTATTTTTATCTTATTTTATTTGTAAAATTATTGTTTGGGTATACAGTATTTTGGAATTCTATTTTAATTTCCTTTATAAAATACTAATTTATTGGGCTTATACCTTGGCAGGCTAGCATATTCCCGTTTATTTAGAATAATGCTAAATTTATTGTTTTTAGAATGCTATGATTTAAAAAACTATGGTAAGATGGATTAATTAAAAACAGATATTAGAATAATACTTTTTTTGCACTTTTCTAACTTTTCCATTCATATCACCACCAACCAATACAAGTCAGGGTTACACCTGCCCATAATATTTAGAGCAGCTTAGGGGATAAAGGATGTTGCAGATCTGGTACTCACACCTAAGTGATTAAATTTGTATCGCAAAATATGTGACCACAATGGAGCTGTGTGTAGAAAAGATTGAAACCCATTGTAAACCCTGAGAGATAGTGTCATGTTAAGAATTTGGCAAGGAGAGAGGGAGGGTTGCTAATGGATAGATATAAAAATATGTAGCCATTTAAAGCCAGTCAAAATTGTTTTCTTCAGTCCACTCTCATTTCCTTATAATGCTTTTGATAAACATTGACATGCAGAGCCAGTGCCTTTGCAGAAGTGAGTTTTTCTCTTTGCAAAACAAAAATAATTTAAAAGAGGTTGCTGTTGAGTTAAAAGCAAATGGAAGCCAAACAGCTGAGGTTCTAACCCCACCTTTGCCACTTACTAGTTATGTAACTTTGGGCAAGTAAATTATTTTTTTGGTGCCACAGTTATCTCCTCTGTAAAACTGGGATATCAATTGCATCTACCTTAAAGACTTGATGTAAAGATCAAATGCACAAATGTTTGTAATATGCTTAGAGCAGTACCTGAAATATGTTAATCTCTATTAAATGAATGAATGAGTGGGCTTTAAAGTCAAACATAACAGGGCTTGAATCTTTATTCTATTTATTAGCAATATGATAAGTTGTGCAACCTTTCTCAGCCTTGGTTTTCTCAATGGAAAAATTACAGAAATAATTTCTGTCTCCTAGAATTTCTGTACAGTATTAAATGAAATATTTTCCACCATCAAAGTGGAAAACAATAATACATTTAATACTGTATACTTTGAAAAAAATAGGAAAATGATTCATATTCCATTAGTATAAGAGTATAAATTAATACAACAATTTTAAGAAAACAATTTGGCAATGTGTATTATTCTTTTACATGCACATATCTTTGACCATCAGTTTTACTTCTAGAAGTTTATCTCATTGATAAATAAAAATATATGTGACAGAATACTTATTTCAATGTCATTTGTATTGGTAAATAACTAGGGACAACTTAGATGTCTTTCAATAGAGGACCAATTAGATAAATGATAATAAACCTATACAATGGAACTACATGTAGTAATAAAAGGAAAGAGATAGATATACAGATAAGGAAGGATGCCCAAGGTATATTCTGATATGAAATAGCTACTTGAAGAATAGTATATTGTAAGTGTCACATACACGCATGAATATATCTACGTGTATATGTATACACATATAGTAAGCATATATAAACATAAAATATCTGGTATCTTGTATGTAAACAGTTTGATATGTGTCACTATTTTGGTACACACATAGTCCATTTCTCTGATTTTTTTCCCACTAAGTGCTCAAATGTCCACCTGCCCTAATGAATTGTGTAAGAGTCCCAGGGTTTACGCTGTTCAAAGCTAGGGCGTCAGTCCAGCTCCCAGCACCAGGGGGAGCCAGCACAGCAGAGGCTGCTCAGTCCTGTCCTGATACCGCTTCCCCCTTTCAGTCTATGTTGTACTGACTGTGCCTGTAACCGACAGCCAGGTGACTCTTGTCCACAGCTGCTGGTTTGCCTCATTCCTCCAGGATCCCGGGAAGCTGGGATGGCTCATGTTTGTGCTGTGGAGATATAGGTATTTTCAGTTTGCACCCACAGGCTCTGCCATTATTCCCCCAATCACAAGTCCAGTGGTAGCTGTGTCCCCTGTTGGAGCGCGTCCATGGAAGCCCTTGGGTCCTGGTGATGGGCCAGTGTCCTTTTTCCCTTCTGATGGGGCCTCAATATCCTTTCTTGATGGACCTCCTGCCACCCAACCCGTTTCCCTAACTTAAGGGATAGGTTGAACTGTAGATTCGTTTCTTTCCCAGAAGACAATGAGGACAAGGGTTCTTTTGCACATTGATCTACCTCTTCTCCAAACTCTGCATACCAAGGATAGGGGTGGCTTTTGCTAGAGCACAAATGCATGAATTGGTCCTTTTACATTCTCATCCTAGGACACCGAGTGTCTGCTTTCCTTGTAACTGTGAGCAGCTACTTTTTCTTTGCAGAATGAAGATGTTTCCTTCAAGGTGACTTTCTGGGTCTTCCTATTCAGACTAACAGGTGGCATACTGGGGGAAATGGATACTTATCCTCGCATTACTAAACACCCCATTTATCTGAATATTCGTATTTCTTATGCACAAAGTTTTATTTGTTTGTTTGCTAGTGATACATAAGTATATAGAAACTTCCTGGAAGAACTCTCAAGAAGTTATTAATGTTGTTTATCTATGAGGAGTAAGCATGGTGATTAGGAAGAAGTCTCTTGTGTTTTTCTTTAGACCTTACTGTTTTGCTTGGGTTTAAAGAAAACTACTTTGTAATAAAACAAAAGTTAAGAAAAAGATAATTTTGAAACCGAGGGAATATATGTATATTTACCAGCATATGACAGGTATTAAAATATGGTTGGTTCCTTTCTCCAGCTGGCATTGTCATTTTTGTGACTTGTTATCAGAGGAAGAGAGGATGAGCACATCTAACATGTCCAATATTGGTGAAAGCATTTCTCTGTGGCAGAAATATGAGAGATGGGTCAGAAAAGATTTGAACTGTTTCAAAGTGGACTGGTGTCCACTATGTGGGTATTTTTACCATAATCTTTGCCTACAGGGTTGCTACGTAGAGTTATGTAGAATGTGCACTGAATAAGAGTATCACATCTAAGAGGTATGTTCATATTGCAGACACAGTCCATTGGTATATTTATCCATGCCTTTGTCTGAAAGTTACAAAAAGTACCCTGTTCAAATAAAATTATTATATTAGGACAATTTTATAACAGATGGAAGTAAAGCACATTGGCACTGTAGGGCAGGCCACTGCCCACTGCCCGAAATAATCATCTCTGGCAATGATGGAGAAGGTCATTCATTGCTGTTTTCTGACTTCATTCACCTTCAAGTTTTCTCCCATGTGTCACTGAATCCCTCTCCTCTGGAGGAAGGAGAAAAAAAACTCATACATTCTCTTCTTCCTCAAACCTTCTCTGTCTACCACAGAGTCACCTCAGAATTAGTGTGTGGGTTTATTGTCATTTCCTGTGAACCATGATAGAAGTTCTCCTGTAGTCCTTGTTTATATCTGGGTGCTCTTAAGTAAGGAGTAACTGAGCTTAAACTAGATAAAATTTTTGTATCTTCATACAAAAATTCCTCAACCTTCAATTGCTGTAGAAGGAGAACTTAAGATTGAGAATCTTTGTTTGAGGTTTTAGTATATTGCTCAAAACTTAAGAACTGTTGTTAAGACATTGCTTAGGACTTTCCAAAGCATTTTGAAAAATGTGTTAGTGTGTATTAATGTTTGTATATGTTAGTTAACTTTACAATTAATTTATTTGTAATATAAGCATTAATAGTTGTGCTTATGTGTCCATTGTGCAAAATTTGGTCCTCAAGCTCTAAAAGGCAAAGTGTTACATAAATCTCTAAAGATTATGAATTAAAAGGAGTAGTTCCAAGAGTCTGCCCATACAACTCTGTTGATCTTTTCCAAGTGTTACCGGAAAGGGGTCCCAATCCAGACCTCAAGAGAGGGTTCTTGGATCTCGCACAAGAAAGAATTTGAGGTGAGTCTATAAAGTGAAAGCAAGTTTGCTAAGGAAGTAAAGGAATGAAGAATCGCTACTCCATAGGCAGACCTGTGGCTTGAGCTGCTGGCCTCCTAAGGATACTTATAGTTATTTCTTGGTTATATGCTAAACAAGGGGTGAATTATTCACGAGTTTTCTGGGAAAGGGATGGGCAATTCCCAGAGCTGAGAGTTCCCCCTCTCTTTAGACCATGTAGGGTAACTTCTGGACATTGCCATGGCATCTGTAAAATGTCATGGTGTTGATGGGAGTGTCTTTTAGCATGCTAATGAGCAGTGAGGATGACCAAAGGTCACTCTTGTGGCCATCTTGGTTTTGGTGGGATTTGGCCAGCTTCACTACTGCAACTTGTTTTTATCAGCAAGGTCTTTATGATCTTGTGCCAACCTCCTGTCTCATCCTGTGACTAAGAATACCTAACCTCCTGGGAATGTAGCCCAGTAGGTCTCAGCCTCATTTTCCCAACCCCTATTCAAGACGGAGTTGCTCTTGTTCAAATGCCTCTGACACAAGTACAATTAAATAAATCCTCTGGTAACAATGACCCTGAGTAGGGTATTAAATAGAGAAAAGGTTCTATCAGTTGAAACTATTTCAATTGTAAGGGGTAAAAACTTATACTGACATAGGCACAAAAATAATTTATTGGCTCCTACAACAGTAGGAAAAGCTTCAGGACGGGCTTGACCCAGGGGCTCAAACAACATAAAGAGGGCACAGTCTTTCTCCAGGCCAGTTTCATTCTTCAGTTTTATATGCCAGCAAAACAACAACAAAAAGCTCTTGACATGCGCTTACCCAGGTTAAAGTCCAGCAGAAAAGAGCATGAGCTTTTTATTTCATCTTACTGTATCTCGCTAATTAAGACTAATCACCTGCCTATTCCTGAACCAATTCCTGTAGCCAAGGAATATGATCTTCTGACTGGCCAGGAGTGAGTCACATGCCTACTCTTAGAGCCTAGTGTTTACAATTACTCTATTATAAGCTCATTTTCTGGTTCTTAAAGGGATGTAGGGCAGGTTCTTAAAGGGATTTTGGGATATGGGTAACAGAAGAAAAGACACTTGGAGGCAAAAAGAAAAGGTGCTCACTCTAAAGGTAGAGTCATCTAATCAAAAGAGGGTGGGTAGTTGAGATGTGCAGATGAACAGTCCCCTTTAAGATGCATAAGAACCAAAATAAAGAATAGAAGCTTGACATGCCTTGGGAATGTACAGTGACAATGGTGGTTATGCAAGTCATTCTGGTGCATTGGTTGCTTATTAGATTCACTTAAATCTTAGTGGCCTTTTAATCTAGAGCTAATAGAAACACTTACATTTTTATTTTTAAGATGCTTTTTAAAATTAACTTCTTAATTTTTTTGTGTAGACTTTGCTTTTCTTTTATCCCAAATCACATATCTTTATAGAAAACTTGGAAAATGCCATAACATTAAGAAAAATGAATGAAAATCACTAAAACTCATCACCTAAAAATTTTCACTATTAGCATCTTGGCTTATTTCCTTTCTTCTATTGTTTTATTTTGCATCAAAAATTATAAGACAGATTTAGAAGGATTAATGAAATAGTAGCAGCTCCAGGCTAGATGCTTGGAATCTAGACATAAAGATTCAGATATAAAATGTTCTGAGGGCATTTAATGTATGAAAGCAAACCTCGGAAGACAACTGCATTTTCTTATGTTGCATTCTGTCCTGCAAGCAAGACATTATTCTTTCTCAGGATCTGAAAGGTTATTTGAGTGATATTGGCTTAAATCAGAGTCGGGTCAATCTGTCATATGTCCCTGAGTTTTTCCAATCAACAGGTTTTACAATATTATTAATCACATTTTTATGTCATTTTATCAGCTGTAGAGGTCCCGAATAGGGTGCCTATGAGAATATACAGTGTGTCATACATTTTTAATACACTTGATATTAGGCCTTCCACCAAGCTCTTTTCCATTCATATTGGTGTATTCTTATATTAAATCATTTTTAGAATAAGATGAAAGTAAAGCAAAGCAGAATGCTGCTTTTACTTCTCTCCCTCCTGTGCATGTGAACACCATATTTGATTAAATGTTGCCTAAGAGCAGGTCTCCCAGTTATGTTAGCCTTGGACACTCATGGCCCAGTTTCTCAGGGACGTGTGAAGGCCCTGGCTCCCCTTATTTAATGAACAAGATACAGCTCTCATGTTCTTTTCACACGATCTTATACTAATGGAGCTGGGCATGGTGGCATGCACCTGTAATCTCAGCTACTCAAGAGGCTGAGATGGGAGGATCACATGAGCCCAGGAGTTCAAGACCGGGTGGGCAACCTAGAGAGATCCCAACTCAAGAAAAAAAAAGAAAAACATAAAAATAAAAATAATTTTAAAAAATCAGTTCTATACTAATGACCTGTGGTTCCTTTCAGTTTTGAATCACGATTCTTAGGTTCAGTGACCACTTAAATGGAAGATATATATCATAAATATTCAAATTCGGCTGGGTGTGGTGGCTCATGCCTGTAGTCCCAGCACTTTGGGAGGCTGAAGCAGGAGGATCACTTGAGGTCAGGAGTTCAAGACCAGCCTGGCCAACATGGTGAAACCCCGTTTCTACTAAAAATACAAAAATTAGCTTGGGGTGATGGTGTGCATCTGCAGTCCCAGCTACTCGGTAGGCTGAGGCACAGGAATTGTTGAACCCAGGAGGCAGAGGTTACAGTGAACCGAGATTGTGCCACTGCACTCCCGCCTGGGTGACAGGGCGAGACTCTGTCTCAAATAAATAAATAAAAATAAAAAAGTAAATATTCAAATTCAACTACAATAAATTTCTCTGGATGCTAGTGGTGCCTTGAATATCTCAACCTCATTTGTGCCACTTGAATTTTAATGGTCACCTACTCAAATGCTATTCCACTCCCCTTTGTTCTTCGAGGCTCCAATAATTTATCCCTAGTACTACAAAATGTTAAGTTGGAAGTATCCTCAAAGGACGTCGAATCAGAATTCTTAAGCTGTTAGCCTTTACTTTCTTTTCTCTGCAAATTTCTCAGTATATGGCTTCACCCTCATCCACTTGGCCAATCTATAAAGTTCAAAGCCACCTTAGACTTCTTTTCTTCTGTCAGCCCTCTAATGGGCCAGTGGGTGTAAAGTTCTGTCAATCCCATGGCTATAGTGTTTTTAAATCCCTGCCCCCTTTTGTTTTTCAGTCTCACAGCTAGTAACAGTACTTTCTGTTCTAGTGGGAATGAGACCACTCTCAGTCTACATCCGTGTGGCTCAAAAGGGGAGGACCCACCTCACCTCCCACTTTTTAGGTCAAGTCATCCTCAGTCCATGGACTTTGCAGGACCCATGGTAAAGAGTCATTCCTCCTCCACTGAGGGTGCCAAACTGAAGCTGCTTTTAACCACTTTGCCAGCACCTGATTAGAGAATGCCTGAAAGCAGAGCTTAGCATGGCAAGAGGGGATTTCTATAGACATGGTGGGGTGCCTGGATTCTGCTGTACCAGCCTCTAACATGACGGAGTCATTCCAGTTCCTTCGGTCCATTTGAATGAGGTTTCTGTCATTGTAAGCCAGAGTCCTGACCAATACAGAGCCTACTGCATTAGATATGTTCAATTATAGTAGAATTCCTTCCTTGATCCTGTCTCTCCCTCAGCTGCTGTCCTTTCTCTCCTGGCTCTCCTCCTATAGCTCTGGCCCACCATTTTTAGTCTCCTTTTTGTGCATTTGCAAAGTCTGGGATCCTCAGGACTCTCTGCCAGATCTACTTTTTTTTTTTTTTTTCACTCTATACATTTGCCCTGAGTGATCTTATCTGCTTCTATGGCTTTAATCACCATCTAAATATGGACGGTGTTATATTAGTCAATACTCTTTGGGTTTCAACAGACAGAAATCCAACATAAAGAGTCTTAGGTTTAAAAAAAGATAATCTTTTGGTGTGCAGACTGGAGAAGTACAGTGCTTTACTTCCATCAGGTCTCAGTGTGCATCCTTGTACCCAAACATCAGCATCTGGGGTCCACTTCTTCTCGTCATCTCTAGGGCAAAGTCTCTTCAAGTCCACTTAGCAATCCTAGTGAAGAATGAGAGTTTTTTTTCCCCCTCATTCCCTGGAAGAATTCTGATTGGTTCATCCCTGAACCAATCCTTGTGGCTAGAGTGGTTAAGTGTTCTGATTGGCCAGGTCTAGGTCAGATGTTCATTCCTGTGGTAGCAGGAGAAAGGGGATGATGTCAGCTCTATTTGAACTGTATAAAATACATTCTCTTTAGGAAAGAGAGTTAGCTCTGTTATTCAAATACAGACAAGGAAATATTGGGTTGGTAAAGCCTTCAGTGTTCAAAACAACTCCCAAGCTTACGATTTCAGCTTAGATCTCTTTTCCAGGCCAGATTTCTGCCTAACCAATGGCCTCCTTGATACCTCTTCTTGGATGTCTCAGGCTCAGTTTAACTCACCCTTCTTCACAAATCTGCTCTTCCTCCCATGGCCCTTATCTCTGGAAATTTCTCCACTTCCACGAAGTTCTCCAGGTCAGAGATGTGTACCATGCCTGCTTCTTGCTCTCCTTTCCCCCATATCTAAAACCAATTCCTGTCTATCAGGCATCATAAATACTTCATGTGACCACAAAAGAGAGGCCTAGAAAATCACAGGAGCATCAACCTTGTCATGTTGGAACCACTACATGAACACCAGCAGCTGCTTATGTCCTGATTTCTAATTCTATGAGAAAAATAACTATTTGTTTAAGCCATCATCAGACTTTCTCTTACTTGCAGCTAAAAACATTCCTAATTGACATGGTGCCCTTGCTATGTTCTCTAATTTGAACATTATCATTTCATATAATGATATAATAATGTATATCATTTATATATTATTATAATTTATTATGTAATTATCTATCTCCTTAGCTTTTATTGTAAACATTAGTACGTATCTATCTTGATTGCCACTATATCTCCAAAATCGAGCAGAATGCCAAGAACCCAGTAGTAAATGATCAACAAATATCTGTTGAAAGAATGTGTGACTTGTACTAGGCCACATCTTCTCAGTAACCACAGCTCCTTAGCATACTAGAATCAACTTAAGGGAGGAAAGTACAAGTTGACTTATAGAAATTTTGATGAATCTGGAGTTACTATATCAAGCAATGACAGAAACCTATATAAAACTAGCTTCTATTCATGGTTTTGCTCTCAGTTCAAATGGCACCTTCTCAGGAAGGTCTACCCTAAACTTCTCCTTTCTTTGGGATTGGACATTTAATTGCAAAGCAGGTAACATAGATGAGCATGGTGAAATGATATAAGCAAATGAGCATCTTAAGCTATTCTTCCAACACAGACAATGTATTTGTACTGAAACCATGGGACAGTTCATGTTTCTGAATGAAACATGCTCTCTCCTATTTTTCTTGAAATGAGATGCTCTGTTATCTATCTCTAACTTTTTCACTTTTTCTAATTACATAGGTACAAAGACAGTGTTCTCTACTGTAAGAATAAGCAGTGGAAGTACACTGACTGTGGTCATTTACACTTGGCTTCAACATCAGTGACAAACTAGAAATGATGGAGACTATGAAAATTGTTACTAATGCCTCTCATTCAGGGGTTCATTCAATAATCTACTTTGGCTGAAAATGTAGGACCAGTTTTGCCAGATCTAATTTTTCAGTGAAAGGGAACATTTAGGTTTCTATGGGAAATCTCTTCATTTTAAACTTTGGATCTAATTAAAACAAACAATCAAATAAAATACAGCTGTGCTAAACATAGCAGAAGTTTAGCTCTGTCCAAGGCTCATGAGTTTGCAGCCTCCATCCTAAAGGATGAAACACCAGCTGCCATTATTTAATCCTCCACAGAGTGTATGGATGGGCATATGGATGGATGAAATATAAGTTCTTCTGATTTCTTCTCCCTTTAATCTGTCTTCTACATAGTTGCTGGAATGATCTTTATAAAATGCAAATTATATCATGTTGTTTCTAAAAACACCAGCACTTGATTTTTCATTCATTACCTTTAAGTACAAACCTGCTAGCATGGCCTCACCTGACTCTTCATCCTCCATATAACTCACGCTCCATGCGCATTTGCCTAGTCACCACTCCCTTGGATAGATGAGTCTGTTTTAATTTTGTTCTTATAATTCCCTCAGGCTAGAATGCTGTTCTCCTCATCCCTGCCATATTAAATCATGCTTATCCAGCAAGTTCCATATTAGTTGTAACTCCTCTATGAAGCCTTCATGGACGTGTGAGACAGAATTAGTGGCTCCCTCTTCTGTTCCCCAGATCACTTTTTTATATTGCTGGTATAGCATGGGCTCCATTCTAATATAGATCTGTTTTTAACTGTCTTGTTTCTCTAACTATGTTATGAGCCACTTCGATGTAGGGCCTGGGTTTGATTCTCTTCTTAAGTAATCTCCTGTGTCTTATTGCTATTTTGCTTTTTTAAACTTAATTTTTCATGGGCCTGTAAATGCCTTAGCCTCTCAATTAAATTAGAAACTCATTAAGGTAGAGACTGTATGGCTCATAAGACATCATACTCTGCTGTACCTAGAGTACATGTTTAATAAATATCTTTTTAAAATGTCTGAATGATTGCATCAAAGTCAACACCTTTTGGCAAAGAAAATAAAGATATTATGTAAGACCAGCAATGTGCTCTATACTCTCTTTAAATTAATTCTAAGGATCATTAAACTGGGCTTATTGTTCTCAATCAAGGGGAAGTCTAGTCCAATTTTTTTAAGTATAAAATCAGAATTATAGGCTTTGTAAAGAAATTCTATGTCACATTCAAGTACATGAAGTGAAAGTGCTTTTTGAATCAATCCGTCCACCCTACACAGAATTGTTTTATGAGTATATGAAAGTTTGCTGGCTTTCATGCTAAAGCAGAGCAAATTTTACCTTTGTTTGCATTATTCATTTGCTTTACAATGAATACTTTGTCCTGTCTTCTGAGGCAAATATCACTGGGGTATGATTACTTTACTGCAATGATTACTATTACACTGGAGACTTTTAGAAATATCTGTGGAACCCCTGTTGAACCATTCTATGACAGATTCTTGTGTGGATTCATCTTTTTAAAAAGTTGTATATCACGCCTGTAATCCCAGCACTTTGGGAGACCGAGGCAGGCGGATCATGAGGTCAGGAGATCGAGACCATCATGGCCAAAATGGTGAAACCCCATCTCTATTAAAAAAAAAAAAAATTAGCTGGGCATGGTGGCCTGTGCCTGTAGTCCTAGCTACTCAGGAGGCTAGGCAGGAGAATCACTTGAACTAGGGAGTTGGAGGTTGCAGTGAGCCGAAGTAGCGCCACTGCACTCCAGCCTGGTGACAGAGTGAGACTTCGTCTCAAAAAAAAAGTTGTATAGAATACCTATTATTTTCGTTTCTTTGGTTGCAAGTAGCAGAAACAAACTCTGCTCAATTTTTATTAGGTTGCCAGGCAGCTCAGAACCACTAGGCTTAGTAGGGAGTGGGGGTGCATGCCTTTAGTATCCCAACTACTTGGAAGACTGAGGTGGGAAGATTGCTTGATCCCAGGAGATCAAGGCTGCTGTGAGCTATGATTGTGCCACTTTACTCCAGCCTGGGTGACAGAGCAAGACCCCATAGGCTTGATTTTTCCTAGTTCTGGCAAGTTCTGATTATAGGTTATTTTTATGGTTTTTTTTCCCTTTAAAGAAGTGATTTCATGAGACAGTTTTGCCTTAATATCCAGCCTAGCAGGATATCTCATAGTTTCCTTATTTTGAGCATGGTAACCCTGTCTACTTCAGCCCTAACTTTATTCCTTTCCATTTTGTTCTCTATGAGAACAATTAAGTAATATCAGGAAAGAGGACATCTCTACTCTTTTAATAGGCACGATTGCATTCCAGACTGTAAATGAACTTCCATTCAAGATGAGTGGAAGGTCAAATTCAGAGTATTAATGAGAATCATATTTTTTCTTCCTTGGTGACTATTAAAATGACAGATGCCAGTGAAGTGAGCTAGAGGAAACCCACGCAAGACCTTGAATGTTATCATCCATCATTAAATCTCACACATACACGTGTCATCATACATGAGCGTGGTGCAGCCACACTAAGGCCGTGGCTGCTTTTCTGTCCTGTCTGTCACTAGGCTGTCAAATCCCAAGCAAACAAAGAAGGTTCTCTTATTATTGATTCAGTGAGGAACAGCAAGGGAAAGCTGGAGCCAGGTCTTGGTGGATGCATTCCTGAGTTGGGTTCAAGCCAGGTCAAAGGGCAGAAGTCAGGCAGCAAAACAAATTATCCTATGCAGAACATTGGCCTGAAAGGCGATCTGCAGAGGCAGAGCCTGTTTACCCAGATGGTCTTGATCTCTAAATCTTACCTTTCTGTCAACCGTTCTTATGTTTTGTGACAGTTTTAAGGGCTGCTGTTTTACGAGACAGCAGTCAGATCTAGTATTTGAAATTAGAGTGGGAGAAGAAAGGAAATGTGTATTGGGAAAGGCCAAATGAAAGAGTGGAGAGAAAAGAAGAAGAAGGATGGCTGGTTAACATGCCATCGATCCCTTGTCTCAGTTCATTTGTTCATTCATTTAGTCACCCAATTGACCTTTATTGCACACTTGTGTGCCAGATACCATGCTAAATGCTGGGTGGGTTGGTGATCCCCAGGGCTCCCCTCAGATTGGATGATTCACCAGAAGGACTCGAATTCAGAATTCAGAAAAGCTGTTACATGTATGTTAAGGGCTTACTACAGCAGAAGAATACAGATGAAAATCAGCAAATGAAAAAGACACATAGGACAGAGTCCAGGAGAGACCAGCTCAAGCTTCCAGTTGTCCTTTCTCAGTGGAATCACACAGACAGGGCTTAATTCTCCCGGCAATGGTGTGTGACAACATGTGTGAAGTATTACCAATGAGGGAGGCTCACCCAAGCCTTGGTGTCCAGGGATTTTATCGGGGATCAGTTCTGTAGGTGTGGAGAGCCCATATAGCTGACCGTAGATACTCAGTCTCTATCCCTCACATCCTCAGAGGACAAATTAATGCAGAGTGGCCTGGAGCTCAGGACAGCAAAAACAGGCATTCACAAATAGCATTGTTAGCATACACTGTCTGGTAGGGTCTGAGGCCTGGGGTACACAAAGCCACACTTATCAAGCAGGACATGCTAAGAGCTTCTCTCCCAGGCACTGGTTAAGGGCCAGGTCTTCCTCTGGAATGTTTAGGGTTTAAACACTCCAAGCCTGCTGAATGAACACTTTATTACACACTAGGGACAGGGCTCTTTCTCCCAAAGCCTGAAACTCTGACTGTGCAAACAAATACATGTAATGCAACACAACCAGTACTGTATCCTGGTACCTCGACTTGGCTTTATTTCTTCTTCTTCAACAACTTGAGTGTCTACTATGTGCCCATGCCTATTCTAGGTACTGGGGAGAAAGCAGTGTTTCAACCAATTTTTCTGCCCTCAGGGAGCTTCCACTCTAGCTGGGGGAGGTAGATAATAAACATAAATGTTAATAAATATATTATACATCAAATGTTAGGAGGCAAAATAAAGCAAGTAGGGAGGCAGAGAGAGATGGGGACAAGGAGCTTGGTGTTTTTTTTTTTTTTTTTTTTTTTTTTTTTTTTTTTTGAGACGGAGTCTCGCTCTGTCGCCCAGGCTGGAGTGCAGTGGCGGGATCTCGGCTCACTGCAAGCTCCGCCTCCCGGGTTCACGCCATTCTCCTGCCTCAGCCTCCCAAGTAGCTGGGACCACAGGCGCCCGCCACTACGCCCGGCTAATTTTTTGTATTTTTTAGTAGAGACGGGGTTTCACCGTTTTAGCCGGGATGGTCTCGATCTCCTGACCTCGTGATCCGCCCGCCTCGGCCTCCCAAAGTGCTGGGATTACAGGCGTGAGCCACCGCGCCCGGCCGAGCTTGGTGTTTTAAATGAGATAATGAGGGCAGGTCCCACTGATAAGGTGATATTTGAGCAGAGACTAGAGGGAATGAGGGAGGAAATCAAATGGATGTCTTGAGAAAGCATTCCATTCACAGAAACAGTGGGTATAAAGGCCAGAAGCGGGGAGCTTGTCTGGTGCTCAAGGAAGAACAAGAACCCAGTAGGGCTGAAGCAGGGTGAGGAGGGGAGTGAGGAGGGTGTGAGATCATGGAAGGAGTGGGGCTAGATGGTTACTCCAGGACACATGGGGAAGACTTTGGAGGGTCTTGAGGAGTAATATGATCCAAGTTATGTTTTCGAAGGATTTTTCTGGTTTCTGTGAGGAAAATAGACTTTATAGGGCAAGGAGATGAGATGGGAGGCTATTGTAATAATCCTACTCAACTATGTTGGTGGCTCAGACTGGGATTCTGGTGATGGCCGTGGAGTGGTTAGGAGGGGTCACAATCTATATCAATCTCAAAGGTGGAACTGCAGGATTTCCAGATGGAATGGATATGGAATGTGAAGGGAGAAAGAAAGGAGTGTTAAAGCAAACTAAATATGGCCTGAGAAGGACTCCTTGTGGATGAACCGTAATCTAGTTTAACAGGCAGACAAGGTTGGAAACCTAACTTAGGAGTATGTGCCTGTAACAGTAGCTGAGTCTTGGCCAATCCCAGCAGCCATAACTTCAACCACTCATACACTCCTGAGTGTTCAAACAGTGTTCAATTAAGGCAAACGCCAACCTGTAACTAATCTAGCTGCTTCTGTACCTCACTTCTGATTTCTGTACATCATTTCCTTTTTTTTGTCTATAAATTTGTTCTGACCATGAAGCATCCCTGGAATCTCTCTGAATCTGCTGTGATTCTGGGGGCTTGCTGATTCATGAATCGTTTATTGTGCAATTAAACTCCCTTACATTTAATTTGGCTGAAGTTTTTCTTTTAACAGGAGTAATTGATGACTTCACTAAGATAAACCATAGCTTCTCAGTCTCAGTTGCCACACCAAATAGTGTATGCTAACCATGTGATTTATGGCACAGACCTATTTTTGCTGACCTGAGCCCTGGGCCATATTTCATCAATTTGTCCTCTGAGGATGTAGTGGCTGGAGACTGAGTATCTAAGGTTGGTCACATGGGTGCTCCACACATACAGAACTGACCCCCAGAAAAAACCCTGGACACCAAAGCTTGGGTGAGCCTCTCTGATTGGTAATACTTCACACATGTTGTCATACATCATTGCTGGGATATTAAATTAAATATTTTAATTTCTAAGATATTTACCTGGTGCTTCAGGATAAAGCGCTCAAGGATAAAATGTTGTGAATGAACAGATATGTTGTGTTTTATGAATAATAGAATTTCATTTAATTGTTAAAATACTACATGGTGTATGAATTAAATTCCCATGTTATAGATGTCAAATCATGCAGAAGTCAAGGTCTAAGTATGTGAAATTTAGCAGGCATGATTGGTTCAAACCTATGTCTTACTTTTCATGTGTGACATCTTTGTTCTATCAACGCCTATATCTTTAGAATGCTTTTGGCTGCAAGTAACAGAAACCTGACTCAAACTAGCATATGCATTAAAGACATTTCTTACATTATAGAACTACTGCTCCACAGATGGGGCTATGCTGTGGTCTGGATGGTTTTTTTCCCAAAAAATTCGTACACTGAAATCCTCACCCCTAAGGTGATGACATTAGGAGTTGGGACCTTTGTGACGTGATTAGGTCATGGGGCAAAGCCCTCATGAATGGTGTTAGTGTCCTTAAAAAGGAGGATCAGCTGGGGTGGCCCATGCCTGTAATCCCAGTAATTTGGGAGGCCGAGGCAGGCGGAATATGAGGTCAGAAGATTGAGACCATCTTGGCCAACATGGTGAAACCCTGTCTTTACTAAAACACAAAAAATTAGCCAGGTATGGTGGTACATGCTTGTAGCCCCAGCTACTCGGGAGGCTGAGGCAGAGGAATCACTTGAACCCAGGAGTCTGAGATTGCAATGAGCCGAGATGATGTCACTGCACTCCAGCCTGGTGACAGAGTGAGACTCTGTCTCGAAATAAAAAAAGGAGGATCAGGAGAGACCTCTTTCCCCTTTCACCATACGAGGGTACAGCTAAAAGGTGCCACCTATGAACAGGAAGCAGGCCCTTACACGGCAAATTTTCCAGGAACTTGATCTTGGATTCCCCAGCCTCCAGGACTGAAATACGTGTCTGATGTTTATAAGCCACTCCCTATATGGGATTTTGTTATAGCAGCATAGATGAACTAAGACAGGCTTGTTCCAGTCATAGTATGATCAGGGCTCAGAGATAATATTGAAAACCTTGTTCTGTCTGTCCAATCTGGGGTCCTTGCAACTGGCTTCCTAGGAAGGAATTGGCTTCCTCTTTGTGGTTGCAAGGTTGCTGCCAGTGGCAATCTGAGCTTAATTGTTCAAGTAAGAGAGAAACTCATCCTTGAAGTGTGGAACAAAAATCCTTCCCTTCAGTCTGACTGGAGCAGTTTACCTCGCTAGGTAAACTGTCACCAGGCAAAGTAGCATTATCTGATTGGTTTATATTAGTCAGGATCTACCCCTGCATTTGAGGATAAAGTCATTGTCTTCTGATTCAGGCATGGGATAGAGAGTGGGAATAAAGTGGGGGTCTCAAAAAACATGCCTGTAACTTTCTAGAAATGACAAGAAAACCAGTGAGGCTGGAGGGAAATAAATTCGGAGGTAAATATTAGGAGGTGAGGTTAGAGAGTAACAGGGGTTAGATCGTGTAGGATCCTACCATTTGAACAAAATAGGAAGGTCTTGCAGGGCTTTGAGCAGAGGAATGCCATGATCTGCCTTATATTTGAAAAAGATCCCTCTGTTGTGGTGCAAACAAACTGTAGGGGAGTGAGGGGGCTATTAAGAGGCTAACACAGCTATCCAGGTGAGAGGTACTGGGGCTTTCATAAGGGTGATAACAGTGGAGATTGTGAGAAGTGGTTTGATTCTGGACGTATTTTCAATGTAGAGACTACAGAATTTCTGAAAAGATTGGATGTGGAGTGTGAAAGAAAAGCAGGGTTAAAGGTGTCTCTAAGGATGAAATTTGCATGAACTGTAATGGACAAGACTAGAACAAGTTTTGTGGGCCTGGGAGAAGTTCAGTTTTGTTTAGATACACTGAGTTTGACATGTGATTTAGATGCCAAGGTGGAGCATTGAATGGGCAGTCTTGTTCAGGGGAGTTAAGGCTGGCGATATCAATGGGAGAGGTATCAGCATATACATGATTTTTAAATTTTTATTACTTTTAAAGATGGGGTCTTGCTCTATTTCCCAGGCTGAAGTGCAGTGGTGCAATCACAGCTCACTGCAGCCTTAAACTCCTGGGCCCAAGGGATCCTCTTGCCTCAGCCTCCCAAGCAGTGTAGCTGGAACTATGTGTGCACAACACCATGCCCAGCTAATTTTTATTTATTTATTTATTTATTTATTTTTTTGGTAGAGATGGGGTCTTGCCATGTTGCCCAACCTGATCTCAAACTCCTGGGCTCAAGCGATCCTCCTTTCTCAGCCTGCTGAAGTGCTGGGATTATAGGCATGAGCCACTGCACCCAGCCATACATGATGTTTAAATCCATGAGACTGGATGAGATTCCTGGAGAAGTGAGATAGATGAAGAAGAGGGCCAAGGATTGAGCCCTGTGGCACTGTAAATTTTTAAAGATAGGGAAGAGATGAGAAATCAACTGAGATGTGGCCACTGACATAAAAGGGAAGTGAGCAGGATGTGGTATGCTGGAGCCAAGAGCAGAAAGGGCAGTATGGAGCGGGGCATGGTGATCGTGCCACATGCTGCCACGTGGTGGGCTCTGGTCACCTTGAATTGACAAGGTGGAGGAGAGGGGCAAAGGCCTGGTTAGAGTGGTTTACTTTTATTATAGGTATTTTGCTCATATTAACAACCTTTCTTAATTTCAGTACTCTTCTTTAGATATTCAGGTCTCTGAATGTTGCTAACTGCTTATAGCTCTCAACCTCGAAATAATCAGGAAGGATAATTCTACAGACCATTTTTCCCTTTTGTTGGAAGATTTTTCTTTTGGTGACAAATCCTGTATATATATTTTTGTGGTCAATATGGTCTTTGTTATTCAAAATAGCAACAAAGATGATAGATAAATAAAAGGTTGCTAATATTGAGGGCTAAAATATATTGAGAAGTTTGATAAACACATGAACTATATTCCTTTAATACTCATAACTTATGAAGTAGATACAACTATTGTCACCACTTTTGAGATGACGTAACTGGGATTAGAGAGGTCATGTTTCCTACCAAAGTTTTCACAGCTATAGATGGTAAGCTGGCAGAGCTGTGATTTTCATCAGGTCTGTCTTATTTTTATAATTAGTTCTCCTAATATTACAAACTATGGCTTCAATTACAACATTCGGTTTGTATAAAATGTAAAGTGCCTTATACAATTGTGAGCCCTTCAAAAATCCTGGTTGAATTTTATCGAATTGAGTTACATTATTAAGCATATTGAGATACCCAAGCCATGGCTGGCTTGCGGTCCTTTGGCCAGCTACCGATTTTTTCAGCTGATATTCCCCCACCCCACCCCACCCCACCCCACCCCACCCCATCCTTTTTCCCTGCTACACCAGGCAGACACGATTTCAGGTTGCCTGGTTTAAAAGCAATTATACCTCTAGAGAATCTTGTTGCCTCTGATTTCTAAGTGCTGGTTGTTTATAGAATTTCTGCTCAGATCCCTTTAGTTCAAAATGAACATGCCAATGAAACTGAAATGAGAATCTGCACTTCTAAATTGGATTATCTGCTTCCCTGGTGTACCAGTTTGCACCATTCTTCCCTCAGCAAAGTTGCCAGTGATTCTCAGCAGTTCAGTTTTATGGCTTATGCTGGATGGTTGGGACTAGGTGCATCTAGTTAACTTATTAGTTTTGCTGTGTCTTGGGGATGACTGTTGCCACAGTAACAGACCAATAGACTTTCCCTATCTGTTTAAATTGGTTCTACATCTTTTTTTTGAAAGCTGTATTGAGAGCAGGGTAAGATCCAACCATCAGTTCTAAATTGGTATGCTCCAAGGCAAAAATTAAAAAAAAAAAAAAAAAAAAAACCCTAAACTAGGGATGAATCCCTTGCTTCTTTCTCTCTCGCTTTCTTCTTGGGAAACCCTTTTCTGCCTTTCTTAGTAAAATGGAGTTGAAATCAATATGGCTATTTTGATATAATAGCAATTCATAAAACATGTTTCCACTGCTAACTATATTTGGCACTAGCATAATTGACTAATGTCAACAGCACTGGCGGATGAATTAGTATTTATCAGTTAACCGCTACTGCAGAGCTGTGCAGAGGACGTAACAAAACGCAGTATTTTCTTGTTTATTTCTTTTTTCTTTTGTTTTTGTCTTGTTTTGTTTTGTTTTTTGAGGCAGAGTCTCGCTCTCGTTGCCCAGACTGGAGTGCAATGGCGCGATCTCAGCTCACCGCAACCTCCGCCTCCCAGGTTCCAGCGTTTCTCCAGCCTCAGCCTCCTGAGTAGCTGGGATTACAGGCGCCTGCCACCACGCCCCGCTAATTTTTTGTATTTTTAGTAGAGACAGGGTTTCACCATGTTGGCCAGGCTGGTCTCAAACACCTGACCTCAGGTGATCCACCTGCCTTGGCCTCCCAAAGTGCTGGGATTACAGGCGTGAGCCACCGTGCCTGACCAATGCAGTATTTTCATGAACTTGATGAAAAGAGTGGGTGGGTGGCTTAATTTGCCCCTAAATGGAGGATTGGAAGAATTAACAGACTTTCTGGAACACAATGTAACTTTCAGGTAAGTCAGTTAAGACAGGTTTGAGTCTAAATTTAGTCAAGTCACCTTTTAATTTCTAGAAAAATATTTGACTAAAACATTTGTTGAAGAAGCATTTAAAAAGTACAGTTCCAATGAAGAACTACGCATTTATCATTATAGAGTATGAAACAAAGCTTTGCATTCCCAGGATTTTGAAAAAAAATTTAATTGTGAAAAGACAGGGCAGCCTGATGTCAAAGTTGAAGAAACCAAATGTGGGGATAGATATGTGACCCAGGAGCGGAACTGCTGGACCCCCTGGGGGACAAAAAGAAGGACACTGAGGGCCCACGTGCTGTCTTTGTCATCCTCTTGATTGTAACATCCTCTTTAGGGAACAATTTGCCTTCTCTGCCAAGGGAAATAAAAATATGGCAACACATTGGCAGCTGTTAATGAGAATGAAGGGGCCAAATGGGTAAAGTGGAATGCATTATATTTATTTAGCTGGTTTTGGACATTTTTAAAAGATACCATGTACCAAATGCCGCTCATCCTCCCAGACAGAGTAGAAAATGTTTTCACTCCTTAAGGGATTCTTTAAAAATAGGAACTAAGTCTTTCCGCTCACCAGAAAGCTTAGTCTTAACCATGACTCACCCACCTCTGCTTGCTAGCCTATCTCCACCTACACACATGATGAAGCTCTGGGCTCAACCTCAACTGCACATTAGAATCGCCTGGGTAGCTTTTGAAAATCTTGAAGCCCAGTCTGTACAACAGATCAATTAAGCAGAGGCTCCTGCCTTATTTGTTTTTAAATGCCCCAGGTGATTCGTATCAAGGTTTAACATCTCCACAGTGTGGAGACTATGAACCCCTGGTTGCCCAGAAGTGGAGGTCTCTGAAAGCATATTTTATGATGAAAGAAACAAGAAGACAATATTTCCCATGATGATTATGTACAATTTTTATAATCAGGAAAAATATTTTTAACTGAATTAAATGCTGAGTAGAAGAGGTAACCCTGACAAGTCCCAGTTATTAGCACCTAACATTGTGCAAGAGACATGATCGATACTTTTATGTGATATTTATTTAATCTTCATAGCAATTCTATGTGGTAGCTGGATTTATCCACTTGACAGATGAAGAAACAGAGGTTCTGGGATAAATAAATGAGATCACACAGCTGGTGGAGCGAGAGCTATACTTGGAGCTGAGAGGTTCCAAAGCTGTTTCTATCATATTCACTGCTCTTCCCCAAGTCGAACTTTAGAGAAACTTCTGAGCTCTAGGCTTCCTCTATGCATAGTCGTCTGTCAGAGTTGTAAGCAAGGGTGCTATTCCATATTATTTGAAATTGCCTCCATTTCCCTCCTTGTTAGTCCCTCTTCTCTTCTATTTTAGTTTCCTCTCTTATTACCTTCCCACTCTTTGCTTTCCATGCTAAGGCCAATGTCAGAATGTTTAAGTTGTTCATTGCAATAGCTATTTTCTGGTATAATGAATACTTTTTTCAGTCATCGTTTGCATACATTAACTCATAACACAAATTTTACTAAACAGATGGGGAAACTGAGGGAAATCAACCTCATTGTTTTTCTAAAACTTGAAATATTTTCTCCAAGGTAAGATTTTGACCACACATCTCCCATACTGTAAAACTACCGTTACCAAAAGGTGCCTCACTATCAAGGAAAGTGAAAAAGTGAAAGAAAAAAAACAAAACTAGGCATATGCTCTTGATTTCTATCGTTGGCAATTTGTGGGCCCTGGATAAGTGTTTGCTATTTGCATGTGTCTGGGGAAGCACCCTAGGATACTAAGGTAAGACCTAAAATGGCGATTTGAAGAATGATGTGAGATTGAGGTGGATACTTGTGTAAGTGGTGATGAGTAATGTCTTTGTCTGCAAATAGATGATTAGCTGCAACTGAGATTCCTGTTTTCAATATAGCTCATGAGAAGGCCTATTAAAATATCAATAGACTGGTTCCATTTATATAGCATTGTGGCAAATATAATTGGTGAGTTTCTCATGTTGCCACGTTCCTCCTCCCCGTGACTTATTTATGAGTGTTACATAGTAATGAAAAAGATAGGCTGTAATGAACTACTGCTAGGCAGAACATTTTCCAATGTTGCTAAGAGTTTCTTTTCTTTCCAACAAAATTGTTTCTTTTTCTCTCCCCATAATCATTAGTCTGTGTTTTGATGATAAAACAGAATTAGAAAGTTGGCTATTCATAATTAATACCTGTTTACTATACGAAATGGTATTTTTGCTAGAGAAAATAATGGTAGGAAACAGTACAAGGAGCGCTTCGGTTCTGTGACTCTCAATTAGCAAAGCCACATTAGTTACCTGCGGTAGGAGTGTGGTATCTTAAATAGCTGTAATGCGATATGGGACACCATGACAGAGTGTATCTGAATGACATTTCCCGAGATACTCCACACATTGACTGCTTTTCTTGTTTTTTACTTTTTGAAATAAATAAAAGATGGAAACAAAATTGTAATAAATTTTCTGAAACAATAATTATACTAGCTGCAAATTTGTAAAGCCAAACCAAACAAACAGTACAGTTGTCCAATTTGGCAATCCCCAATCCAAAAAAGGACTGATATTATCATTTTGGAACATTGACTATTCATGGTTTCTACCTTGAAAGGAGTCCAAATATTTTTGATGAAAATCAGAGATAATATGTGGCTTGTCTCAAGAATGATAGGTTTGTATCTGTTCCTAGAAATCATTAAGCGTCATCTTCTCTCTGCTATATAACCCCATGTTGTGCTGGAGCCATAGAATTTTCTTCCTGCTACTTTTTATTTGTGGTATTTATGTGTTTTATTGATTATGTGACATAATAAAACATAGCAAGTTGGAGCCGTATGTGCTATATATTTTGTTCAACAGCGATGCAGAATGTTAGGGCTCCACTCTCCACTCGAAACATCTTGCTGGGATATAAATAGATTTATAATGACTACTAGGCTCTGTGCCTGCAAAATACCCTGGTAAGTAGCTCATTATAGAGCTAACATCATTAATAAAATAGCTGAAAAATTTCACAAGTACAGGAATATCTTTTACATCAGTAGCTGTAAGGAAAATACCTAGCGTATGCATAATTTGAGACTCATTTTAAAGCTATAATTTATCATCATTATCTACATATTATAATGGCAAAACAGGTTTAATTGCTTTTGACTGGACTGGCATCATGATGAGGAGAAAAGTTAGTAGCAGATGGCCCCACTGTCAAAACTGCAGTCTCTTAGCCCAAAATAAAGTAACAGACTGAAGAGAACGTTTCTGGTTTCTAGCTCTATCTTATCTTGATAAGTATGAATTAGCATTTTCTGGTATTATAATTGTCTAGAGAAAAGTGGAAATAGTAATTATTTACAGAAGACTAAAATAGCTGTGAAATTCAACTTTAGCAGGTTTAAATTGTCTAACATTTTTGGATTAACAGAAATATTTACTTTTGGTATGACTTAGTGAGTTAAAAAAATATTTCCATTTTAGCTTTACAATATTAAATTGCTGGCATGTGAACACTTTGAATACATCTGTTTTGGAGTTGCATAATATTTGGTTTTTGCTCCTCCTACAAAGTTTTCTGCTCTTTTAGTAATGTCAAAGACAAAAATTATTTTATTTGGAATAACCTGCCTGTATATGAACAAATAATTTGTCCAGAGCTCTTAAAGATGCACAGGACTTATATCTCACTGTGTTCGAAATTTCAGTATTGCTGCCTCAGTTACAACATGGTCTGACCTCCTATATGAAACACAACACAGATGGATAATGTGATTTGCTTTAAAAAAAAAAAATTATACCCCATCCAGTCATAGAGTTCCTCAGCAAATCAAAGAATTTAAAATCAAATAATATAATAAGAATTCAAACTATGAAACTGCAAAAAGTAAGTCTTCTTGTTCATCTTTTAAGTCTTTGGTGGCCCAAGAAGAACACAACTATCAGGTGGTAGATTACACTGTGGCTGGTCAATGCAAGTAAATTAACTGCTTCAGCTGATAGAAAAGAAATGCCAACTATAGCAACTTAAATGAAGGTGACATGCTATCTGCAAAATAATGTGAATTTGAAAGTGCAGTTTAACCCCAAAGTAAAGGAAAGAAAAAAAGAAGAATGAAGCAATCTGCCAGACTAAAATAATGTGCGACAGAGAAATTATTCGGAAATGGAACTGGTTATAGAGATACAGATTTATTATTTGGTTGCTGTCATGATAAATTTGCCTCAGCTATGCCCATACATGTTACAGTATTCATGTCTGAGATGAGTGGAGATGTTGCAAAAGGTTTTGCACAATTGAAAATTCATTCTGAAAATATAATTGGGTAAATATTCTTTCCTAAGAGTGTGTGTGTATATATATATATATATAACCTTTAAATATATATAAATATAGAGAATTTTAAAATCAACATATATATCACACACATACAAATACACATATATTCATATTTTAAAAGAAAATGATCTGTTAGTGAATTGAGGTATCCACATACCATAAGGGATTTCAGACTACAAAATGAATTTCTTATTATCACCTATTGATATAAATGGTTTAGAAAACCATTTCAATGACTATAAAATAGATATTCTGATCTAATACAAAATAGTGACTTTAAGGGCTAGACAGTGTACAGATTGATGTTATTAATGAGTATTGTTCATTGAATTTTATAACACATTTAAGCTAAATAATTCAGTTTAATCTCACCAATGCTTTTGTCTTCACATATAGCAATTTTTGCAATCATATGAAATATTCATCATAAAGTAGGACTTAGCCAAATATTATGAGAAGCAGAAGATCTAGAGGACATGCAAATACTTTTGGTATAGGAGAGGAGTGTAATTTCTCACTTGGGATTCATGAAGCCTCTCAAAGCTTGGAAAGCTATATATTTTTTTGGCATGTTTGGTATGAAGATTCACAGTTTGTTTGGTAGACTTCCATTAACAAATTAAACTACAATCCTTCTTTCTACCAGTCGGTTTTCTCCAAGAAATATTAATGCAGATGGCTCTAGTTTGGACAGCTCCAATGATAGAAGGCTAGTCACTACTCTTTGAAATTCTCTGTTGAATGATTATTGTCATTCAATAGCCAAGTTCGACTTCTAGTCATTTTTAATATTAGAAATTTTTCTGGGGCTGTCTGAGACATCTTTGGCTTCACCATTGTCTCATCTCCTCATGTCTTCCTTCCAATTAGAAAAGTCTCCGAACTCCACTTTCTGCAGCTGACTTCTGTCTCTAACACTGATGCATTTTATATTCCTCCCACCTAAAACACTATATGTTTTCATAAAGCAATATAATGACAAAATATATTTTACATGTGTATGTGCTCTGGCTTCTAGTCACTGGTAGATTCAAACATAGTATTTTTGTGGTGCAAAATACTTGGTTTCTATGTCATTATTATTACTTTCTTCATCACTTCATCCTTATCACGTAAGCTTATTGACAGCTTAATGTGCAGGCGCTATGTCAATGCGCATGATGATATTTGACAGAGCAGCTCAGTGAGGTAGATACTTTTATGATTCCCCACTTTACACATCGGGAAACCAAAGCTTAAAGGGTTAAAGTATCCAAGGCTATGCAATTAATGAAAGTGACTTGAGATTGCAACCCAGATCTCTTACATTTCAGAATTTATGCTTTTAATCACTAAGTTTGTTGTTGTCTCAAGATTTCAGAATTTGTATTTTTTATAAAATAATCATGTATTGTTGGTCCATAAATGGTTTTCAGTGTCATCACTCTGAAGCAATACTTTTATTTTGTTCCTTTTATTTGCAAAATACATGCACATAAAGAATCAGTTCATTTTTACATAGATTCGGTATTTACAAAATGTTAAATGACAGATTTTTCTCCCAAATAGTATCTTTTATATTTAAACTTATCTTAAAAAGATAGAATTGTTTAGATTCCTTGAAATGGCTGGTGTTTGAAAGATGACTGAAAAAGTTAGAAATGTAAAATAAGGCCAATGAAAAGTAAGAATAGTAAGTAACATCCTTTTGTTTTATTAAAATGGGATTGTTTAATGTTTTGAACAAATTAGAAACAATAAAATTAGTATAAAGTAGAAGCTATCAGGGGCAAGGGGAGAAAGTTTTACTATAATATAATCTATATCATCTAATTCCTGTGTGATGATTTATAATATTCTCTTCTAGAAAAGTAAAAAAGAAAAGAAAACACTTGGAACTATGCTGTTGGAAGTGCACATTTCACTACTGCAATGTATCATTATAGCCTATGATAGCAGCTTGCATTATCCTTTAAATATTTATTCTCTTGAATAATTAGATTTAGGATATTTGAATTCATTTGGTGAATACGCTATTAACTTTTTATATATTTTGATAGTATATCAATCGTTCACTTGTCTAGCATCAAGTAAATGAAACTAAATAGTGTAGAAGTTTACAGCAAAATTATTCATTTTTCTGGATCCTGTTGTATACTTACATCTAAAACTGAATACCTATTACAAACTGGGAAAATACAGTTACTGACTTACTTCTGGTGGCTAAAAATTAATTCTATTGTAGCCTTCTATTTTACTTCTCTTTGTAGTTGAAAGTAATGGTTAAAAATAAATGAAGACAATATTACATCAAAACCATTCCAGAGCTCAAAGAGGTTTGGAGGCTGTTACCATGGTGCCCACTGTGGCGGCTCACCAGCCGGGTTTGGCATAGCTGCCTCAACAAAATGGGCCTAACTTTTGTTTTCTACAGAAACAGTGAGACTCCAAAGGCCTGTGTTGACAGGTAATGAGATTTAATTCATAAGAGGGGGGAAAAAAAGGAGAGAAAATATCCATATTCATTGCTTAATCAAATAAAATTCTTTCAGAGGATTCTGGGAATTCTCCCCAGTTGCTTCCAAAGCCTCCCTTTGATAGCTGTAAACAAATTACCTTAAGAATAACTTCTTAATCAGGGAAGAGAAGCGCTGTTCAATACTTGATCTCTCCCTTTGGGTGGTCCCAGCCAGAGAGCAGCCGTCTTCCTCCTGATAGTTTGGCTTCTGAAAAGCCATATAGCATTATGCTGACAGCTGTAGACCCCTTTTTTTGTTAGGATAACAAACACCCTGTGTTGAGGACAGCATCAAGCCAGCTTGCAGTATGCCCAATTAGAGAAGCTAAAATCTCATTTGTTGCACCATGGGAGCCCCCTGAAAGCACACCGTTTTGGCCTCATTACAGTATTTTTAACTTTACAAAAACAATTTCATTATGGAAATTAAAGAAGCTCATTTGGCCCTAGCATGTATGCTGAAGTTAATAAATTCCAGAAGTATTTCAACTACCGCAGCATGTAGTTTTGTCTTCACTTAATCACAGCCAATGTGTAGTTGCTTTTTTAAAAATATAGCGGGTCCATAGAAAATTATCATTTTCATTTGCTGTTTACTGTGTTTTGATTAAAAAGCAAACAAACCTGCAAGAAAAATATTAACTTCAACTGTGTTGGGAGATAATAAATTCCTGAAATTGGTGTCTTTGTGGGTATGTTGATTGCCTGAATGCATAAGTTCTGCATGCTCTGTTTATGTGTAACTCTTCGGAAGGTAACGACAACCCGAAGAATAAAATTGAAATAACATCCTCTATGCACTCAATGCCCATGGAATTCATGTTCAATGTTGAAGACAGTGCTAAAAATTTCCATATTTACTATTATTTGAAAAGGGAGGAATTTTCCTGTTTTGAAGTATGGTCTATGCGTTGCTTAACAATGGCAATACATTATGAGAAATGTGTTGTTAGGTGATTTTGTCGTGGTGCAGACACCATAGGGTATACTTACATGAACCTAGATGGTATAGCCTATTATGCACCTAGGCTATATGATATAGCCTACTGCTCCCAGGCTGCAAACTTGTACAGGATGTTAGTCTACTGAATACCATAGGCAATTGTAACACAGTGGTGAGTATTTGTGTGTCTAAACATATGTAAACATAGAAATGGTACAGTAAAAATACAGTACTATAATATTCTGGGACCACCATTGTATATGTGGTCCGTTAACTGAAATGTCATTACGCAGCACATGCCTGTAATTGGCTTTTGTCTTACCAACGACAAGGAAAAATAATACAGCAGGTAATTAAATGGTGATGGGAGTGTTGGATTTGAAACTCCACACAGCTTTATATAAGCTAATATCCCTGTAACTGCCTGAGTGATGGATATGCTGTGCTGGTCCCCAGCTGCCATAACAGGGGATCCTGAGCTGGGCTATGTGGAACTCAGTTGCTTTCTAAGAGAAGCTGTAGGCCAAAGCACAGCACATCTGTTTTTCCTTTTCTTCTTCAAATGTCAGCATTCTAAAGCAATCTCATCCAGATCAAGTTATAATTAACAAATTGATGACATTAGAAAGATGATCTCCAAAGTTACAATATTGAGACTCAGTAGATCATTAACTAAGATGTGAATACATACTTTTCTTTTCTCCATCCAAAATAAATGATGCATTAAGTTTTAAAAATTTGGGGTGAGTAGAGGGAGAAAACAAGGATCTATTTATAAGCTAGAGAAAACAATTGTCAGAAAACATTGCAATAGTTTGGTTTGGCAAAGAGAACATAATGAGCAATAATTCCACCTTTCTGGCACATGGAACTTAATGTGTTTGTGTGTGTTTTCCTTTACTATTTCTCTCTGTAGTTCATCCAACTCCCTTCCCTCATTCCGTCCCCTTTTTCTTCTTTCCTTCTTCCCTTTCATCTCTCTGTCTTTGTCTGTCTGTCTTCTATCTATCCATATCTGTCTGTCTCTTATCTATCCATCTACCTCTTCTGTCGGTCTATCATCTATCTATCTTCCATATTTATCTTTATTTGTTTATTTATCTTTATCTATTTGTCTATGTGTAACTCAGGACTTGTTAGGACTTCTTCTATATCTATCTGTCTGTCTATGTTCATCTATCTATCTCTATTATCTATCTGTCTGTCTATCTATCTATCTATCCATCTATCTATCTATCTATCTATCTATCTATCTATCTATCTATCTATCTACTCTATCTGGAGAGTAGTTGAGCAGTTACAGATAATGCTTTTTGTAACACAATATCAATCTTGCTGTATTTTATCAGTAATTGCTGTTCATTTAATGCCTCTTCCACAGGGATGTAGAAGAACTCATAGAAGCAACTATGAATCCAGGTAGGATTAGTGTTACTGTTGGATGGTATCTATCTTCCATGAAGATAACTTTGTTGCCTCATGGTGGAAAGTTCTATCTGTGTCTCCAAAAACATTATCAGCAGTTTAAGCTAAATATTCAGGACCATTCTCTCGTCCTCAAAAATAATGAGCAGTAATTTGATATTGTAGAAAAATTACTGGACTTGGAACAAGAAGACCAGAGTTCTGGTCTAGCTATATTGGTTAACTGTTGCTGTATAACATATTAACATATCATACCAAAACTTAGTGGCTTAAAACAATAATAAACATCTATTATCTTACACAGTCTCTGTGGTCAGGAATTCGGGAATGGTTTGTCTGGATGGCTCTGCCTTGAATTAGTTTGCTAGGGCTGCTATAAGAAAGCATAGCAAATGGGGTGGCTAAAACAACAAAAATGTATTGTCTCATAGTTCTTGAAGCTAGATGTTCAAATTTAAGGTGTTAGTAGGGCCGAGATCACTCTAAAACCTATAGGGGAGAGCTTTCTTGCCTCTTTGAACTTCTAGTGGTTGCTGAAAATTTATGGCATTCCAAAGATGCATCACTCTAATCTCTGCCTCCGTTGTCACATGGCATCTTCTCCCTGTGTATCTCTTCCATGTCTTCCCTATAGATGTCTGCTTCTCTGTCCAAATTTCCCCTCTTTATAAAGATAACAGTCATTTTGGATTGGGGCCCACACTAATGACCTCATCTTAACCTAATCACGTCTGTAAAGATGGTATTTTTTTTTTTTTTTTTTTTTTTTTGAGACAGAGTCTCGCTCTGTCACCGAGGCTGCAGTGCAGTGGTGCAATCTCGGCTCACTGCAAGCTCCGCCTCCCAGGTTCAAGCCATTCTCCTGCCTCAGCCTCCTGAGTAGCTGGGACTACAGGTGCCTGCCACCATGCCTGGCTAATTTTTTTTATTTTTAGTAGAGACAGGGTTTCACCATGTTAGCCAGGATGGTCTCAATCTCCTGATCATGAGATCTCATGATCCGCCTGCCTCGGCCTCCCAAAGTGCTGGGATTACAGGCGTGAGCCACCGTGCCCACCCAAAGATGCTATTTCTAAATGAAGTCACATTCACAGGTACCGAGTGTTAGGACTTCAATGTATCACTCAGGGGGTGGGACACAACTTGACCTCTAACAGGACTCTTTCATGAAGTTGCAGTCAAGACGTTGGCTTGACTTCAGTCATCTGAAGCCTTGACTAGGACTAGAAAATCTGCTTTCTTGGTGGCTGATTCACATGACTGGTATGCTGACGCAGATTGTGGCAGGAGGCCTCAGTTATTCCCCATGTGGGCCTCCCTACTGTGACACGTACCATAACTATTATTTATGGCAATGACCTCTGGTGCTTTGATTCTGTACAGGAAGAAAGGTTTCTTTTTTCACCCATCACTAGGTTCATCTCTGAGTCCACAACAAAGGACAGATCAACAAGAGAAAAGCATATAAGTATATTTAATATAGATTTTCTATGACACAGGATCCTTCAGAAAGATCCAAAGAAACAGGGAATCTTGTGTATTTTTTAGGCAAAGTTTGAAGAAGTGGGTAGTTGTGGAGAAGTGTGTTTTTAAAAGGGGGGTGTGATCTAATGGTAGTAAACTGGGGGGAACTTAGCAAGACTTATTTGTTAAGATTCTTCTCTGTGTTCTTGTGTCTTCAGAGATAATATGGTTTGGCTCTGTGTCCCCACCCAAATCTCATCTCAAATTGTAATTTCCACGTGTTGAGGGAGGGAAGTGATTGGATTATGCGGGCAGTTTCCCTCATGCTGTTCTCTTGATAGTGAGTGAATTCTCATGAGATCTGATGGTTTTGTAAATGGTAGTTTTTCCTGTGCTATCACGTGCTCTCTCACCTGCCGCCATGTAAGACATGGCTGCTTCCCCTTCCACTATGACTATAAGTTTCCTGAGGCCTCCCCAGCCATAGGGAACTGCGAATCAATTAAACCTCTTTTTTTAATAAATTAGCCAGTCTCGGGCAGTTTTTTATAGCAGTGTGAGAACAGACTAACACAAGAGATAAGAATGTTCCTTTCCTCTAGATGTAGAAAGGGCACCTTCCAAATGAGGTTTTATGATCTGCTTCAGGGGAGAAGGGCAAAAAGAAGGTGAGAGAGACTTTTCTGCTTCTGCTTCTGCAGCGTTTTCAAATGCCAGGGTGCCATTTTGGGGATTAGCTTCCCCTGAACCCCATCACTTCCACTATCATGACCCCGATTCCTTCTGGAGGATGTTTACATCCTTTCAGTGGTTGTTAGTGATTATGGGCCCCGACTTCCCACTCACTAACTAGGTTGCAAAATCTTTGAAGGCAAAGACCCTGATATTGTCACCACAGCACCTCCAGTTCTAACTGAGCGTTCTACTTATTTGAAAGTTTAATACACATTTGATGAATAAATGTAGGATTGAGAGTTGCTAGTGACTCTCCAGGCACCTCGGTGTCTTCTTGTTGGTGAGGACAGGGGCTGCAAAGCATTTCTAAGGAACAGAGATTTCCTCACTAGCAGGACCAATGCAGACGTAATTCTGCAGAGTAGTCCTGGGGAGGGCTGTGCAATGAAGAAACCAATTTTCAGCTCTCTCTTCTCAGAATGGCGTGACAATCAACTATCTGGGTCAATTTGGTTGAAGAGTTCTCTTATGGAGTGCCATTATCCCATACTTACAAATTTCACATGGCCCTGGATTGGTTTTTAACTGGCTCTTGATATCTTTTTTAATGGCATAACCTATTTACCTGTTTTTCTTTAAACTTATGCATCCTTTTCACAGAGTCTTTCTATGTATCAAAAGATCCTTTGAAGGAGACAAGGATAGTCATCCAGTCCAACTTTGTGACCCAGTGTTTCACTGTGAACATCATTAATTGCAATAATGTTATAAAAGTAACCTTTCTGCAAATAAATCCTCCTCAGGAGTATGTGCTTGGAGTGGTCAACAACCTAATTAATGATATTCCAATTTTTACTTCAAGTAAAGACCTTCTTCATCCTTGCTTTACTTCTAGACCCTGTGCCATTTTGCATTTGTGACTTTAGCAACCCAAAGAAAATGTGTTTCTGACTTCAAATGTGCCTGTTTTCTTGCTTCTCCCTTATTTAATGTATGCTGTTGTTGAAAGGGCAAAATAAGAATTCTAAAATTAATTCTGAAATGCACGCAATTTACACTTTAGATCGTATCAAAATAATTTTTCCCATTTATGCCACATGAATCAGATCTGTTTTATTTTTCTCTCCTACTTACTTGAAGCTTAGGTATTTGCACTGGTGGAGTTGAGGAGTAGCAGTCTGGCCTATGTTTTTGTGGCTGTATGTGTATGGGGGCATGGGGGAATGTGTGCACCCATGTAGAGGGGACTGCCCAAGAGTCATTTCTTATGAGCTGCATTTAAGTAGCAAGCATACTCCTTTAATTTAGATTGTCTCTTCTGTTTCTGGATTTCCAAGGACAGCTGGTGGAGATTTTGGAAGAAGTTATTCAATGCCCCTCCAAGCCATGTCATAGTGTATCCATTAGGAATTAGACTTCCCGCCCCCAGAAAAGCCATGCTCTTGGCGGGAAGAACTGGTCTTTGCAACTCTCATATTGATAACAATGTAAATATTATAATCTTAGAGTATTAGAGGTACACTAGACTTTAAGAGAATTTCCAGTTTTATTGTTTCATTTTATAAATGGGAAAACTGAGGTTGAAAGAGGTTAAGGGATTTATGATAGAAAAATAAAAAATATGGTTGGGAGAGTTGACCTATTTTTTGGACACCGAGGCTAGGCCAGTGTACTTTCTATTATAGCTCTATTTACTTCACTGTTAAAAGACAAAGTCTTTCACTGTCTTTTATTGCAACTCGGCAGTGGAAAAATTAACTCAAAAGGCCCAAGATATACTAAACATCAATAGTCTTGGCCCTGTGAATAGTTCTATTAACTCATTTAGGAGAGGCAGGCTATTGATAAGTGATTTGGCTTCTGCAGCAAGTGTAAATAGCTCCTTCATTGTCTTAGAAGTCAACGTTTCTTTTTAAACATTAGATGTGCCTCCTGAGAGATACAATTATCACTCTTAGATGTTACTGAATAATTTGAAGCTTTGAAGTAAGTTTAAATAAAAATCAAAAGGAGGAACTAATATTGTGCAGTAGACAGTCCACCTGGTATGCCATCTGATTCCCAATAGGAACATTGTTTTATAGATCAAGGGTTTTGTGTTCATTCCATATACACCAATAATCTGAAAAGTGAAGGTTTTTTTTTCCTCTAAACCGAGACTGATTTTTTTTTTTTTTCTTTTGAGATGGAGTTTTGCTCTTGTTGCCCAGGCTGGAGTGCAATGGTGCTATCTCGGCTCACTGCAACCTCCGCCTCCCAGGTTCAAGAGATTCTCCTGCCTCAGCCTCCCAAGTAGCTGGGATTACAGGCATCCGCCACCATGCCCAGCTAATTTTTGTATTTTAGTAGAGGCAGAGTTTCACCATGTTGGCCAGGCTGGTCTTGAATCCTGACCACAGGTGATCCACCTTTCAGCCTCCCAAGTGCTGGGATTACAGGCATGAGCCACCGTACCCAGCCAAGACTGATTCTTAAATAGGGACATTCTCATGATTCTAGATATTTTGAACAAAGTTGTACAAAATATCATACAAAGTGATCATCAGCCAAATGTGGGATTTTGACAAGTCATTTCACTTCCCTAATCTTCCATTTCCACATTTGTAAAACTAGAGTTCTTATCGCCTCTAAAGGAGAGGGAATAAATGTGACTTATTCATTCAGTCATTCCATCAACAAATAACTGAGGCTCTAGGATGCCTTTTATTTCTTGTTCTATATCTCACAAAATTCTCATTGTGTATTGTCTGTTTTCTGCCTGAACCTTACCAACTACCACCAGACTATAAGTTCCCTGAGGGCACGTTCTTTGTCATTCTTATTCACTGATGAATTCTGAATGCCCAAGAGGCTTCCTGTCACATAGTAGAGACTTAATGAATAGCAACCATGTGTGGAAACATGTCTGTAATGAACCTTCAGTGACCCAGCAGAGACAGAAAATCATAGAGATGACATTAATGGCTTTTGGTATGGGCTGTAAAAGGAATATAGTTTGAGGAGGCATAAAGGGGAGGCATTGACTCTAGCTTGGTGGAATTAGGGAAAGGTTCATGGAGAAAGTACTAAGTCTTCGCAAAAACTGGGATAAGTGCTATTCTATTCATTTGTATAAATGAGAAAAGTGAAGCTCCAGATACTTTTAAGACTCAAAGATCTTGGTCAGAAAGTACAGCGGTCCGTTGGTATGCACGGGGTATTGGTATGCACGGGGTATTTGTTCCAGGACCCACTGCAGATACTAAATTCCACAGATGCTCAAGTTCTGAAGTCGGCCTTGCGGAACTCGCAGATACATTAAGTCAGTCCCTCTGGTGTCCACAGGTTCTGCATCCTGCAAATATTGAATTTTCAATCTGTGGTTGGTTGAATCTGTGGATGTGGAATCTGTGGATATGGAGGGTCAGTTGAACTGAATCTGGGCCTTGTATCCAGGAATCTGCATCAAAACCTTTCCCCCCACAGCCCCTGACTTTGCTCTGTCTCTTCTCCAGAAAGTTCACAGGTCAGTCTTTCCTAAGGAAGTGGCCATGAGTTCTGTAAGCTTATGAATCATCTAGACGGAAGAGATTTTACCATGTGGTGTCTCAGCTGATAGAATAGTTCCAAGCTTATTCTCCTTTGTTCTCAGATGGTTTTCCTGAAGGCAGAGTCTGATAGGCACAGTGTTCTTCTATTTCTATTCAAAATTTTCCACGTAATGGCCAATACTATTTCAATTTTTTTTTTCTAAGACAGGATCTCACTCTATAACCCAAGCCGGAGTGCAGTGACATGATCACAGCCCACTGCAGCCTCAACCTACTGAATTCAAGCGATCCTCCCATGTTAGCCTCCCAAGTAGCTGGGACTACAAGAGCTTGCCACCATAACCAGATAATTTTCATACTTTTTGTAGAAACAGGGGTCTCATTATGTTGCCCAGGCTGGTCTTGTACTCCTGAACTCAAGCAATCCTCCTATCTTGGCCTCCCAAAGTGCTGGGATTACAGGCATCAGCCATTGCACCCAGCCTTACTATTTCAGTTTTTTACCTTCAGGTGTATATTGATTGATGGATCCATAAAGTACTCTGTACTTTTTGTCCTCATTTTATGATTACAAAATAAAAGTGTTTAAATTCCGAAAACAAGACAAGTGTTCTCACCCTCCTTCTTTTCAGTTGTACCTTCTGTTTTGATCCCTCATGCTCCAAACATCCTATCAGTGGTTTCAAAAGGTAACTTCAATACCATTGGTTACCAATTTAATGATGGCTTTGCAGTTTTCTACCCACTGGATCAAAATGTTAACCGACCTTTGTCTCTGCCATAAATCCCATCAAAGTGTTTACATCTACCCCAAAATCTCTTTTAAATGCAAATAAACGAGTTCAGCAGAGACACAAATACCACGTGGATCGTTAACTGCAGCCTGCAGACTGTTCTAATCATTAGCTGCAGCTTGCAGAGATTCTTGACAAAAGAGAAAAAAAAAAAAAAAAGAAGAAGAAGGAGAAGAAGAAAAGAAACAAGAAAAAAAGTGTGGAGGGTCTCTTTAATGAGGCTTTCCTTCTCATTTATCAAAGATGGTGTAGCTTTGCCAGCTGGCCTGGTTTGAACATTGGAAAACAGCTAAATCTGAATCACATACAAGCCCTCTCTACCAGGTGAAGTACATGCATTAAGGTGCATGTTTCTTTAATTTATTTATTTTTAAACCATGCTCTTAGGCATCAGCTTAAGGTCTATGACAGAGATGATTAAAGAACACAAAAAAATCTGGCCATTTGAGTAATTACTGAGCAGGCAATATTTTTCTTTCTGATTATTTCTCAAATATTCTCTCAGTCAAGGTTGCTGGGCAAGTATTAGACTGGAATTATAGAGCTGGAAGACCCTTAGAAATCCTCCAATTCAGACCCCTTATTTCATAGGTGGGAATCCTCAGGTACCCATACTGACCTAGTGACTTGACCACTTTCTCACAGATAGTTAAGGGCACTTGTGCAATCAAAAGCAGGCCTTCCTATTCCTGATCAGAATCTTTCTCTACTACTTTTCAATAGTAAGTTAGGCATGGGAAGAATTATGGTATGCTACAGACTGAATGATTGTGTTACCCCAATACTCATATGCTGAAACCCTAACCCCCAGTGTGATGGTACCAAGAGGTGATTAGGTTATAAGGGCAGAGTCCTGATGAATGGGATTAGTATTCTTGTAAAAGAGAGCTGAAAGACCCCTTAACCCTTTCAACATGTAAGGACACAGCTAGAAGGTGCTGTTTATGAGAAAGTGGGCCCTTACCAGATACTTTCTGCCAGTGCCTTGATCTTGGACTTACCAGCCTCTAGAATTATCAGAAATAATTTTGTTGTTTAAAAACTACCCAGTCAGTGGTATTTTGTTATAGTAGCCTGAACACAGACTAAGACATGGTATTTCCTTCTTTGGAAGGTGAAATATACAATACAGTTTTGAATTTCTTTGGGACAGTCTATTCAGGTAGGGATGCACAAAAAGCCCATTCAAATGGACGTAAGTGAGAAAATAGAACTCAGTGGCTCATGTAACTGCAAAATCTATGGCTTAATGTAGACCTGGTTCTCTTTTAATTTTTGGACTCTGATTTTCTCCATTGTGGTTTCATTGATGGCTGCATACAACACCAGGGCAAAATATTTCCACATTCAAATTCAGGGCAAAAAAGAATTCCTCTTTTCCTGAGCAATTTGAATTAGCACTTATTGGCTCAGTTGCGTCACATGTTCATTTGCAAACTTATCATCATAGCTCAGGGAAATGCGATGCTTTCCTTGGTTGGGCCTGAATCACATGCTCTCCCTTGGAGCCAAGAACATGATCAAGTCTAACAAAGGCACTGAGAGTGGGGGAGAAGGTGGTTCACTAGAGGAAGACTGGGGTATATTTACCTGACAAAAGTTGAGTGGATGTGGACAGTACAAGCAACAAATAAAAATTACAAATGGCATTTTATGACAGCCTTCTCAGAAGTCAACATCTTCCTTTCCTTTGTTCATTTGTAAATTTCTTTCAGCTTTAGCCCAACAGAATCATAAATATGCAAAGAATAGTTAAAGTCCTGTGGGAAAGAATATGCTTGAATATGATAATGATCCTTTCATTAAAATGTAAGTCCTTATATTTTAGAAAAAAAATGGAGTGCAATTTAAAGGAATAACCCAAGTTGACTACCGATAGGCTAGAAAACTTGGGGCACCTAGGCAGAGGCCTCTGGAAGACAGGGATTTCTCCAAGCTTGGCTGAGTCTCTCTTTCCTACAGCTCACCCACTGTGTTCCTCAATGAATATTGCCTCAGTGTAGCAGGCTTCTTAGCATTCAATTGCTGCAGAATTTCCTTCTCATTATTCTAATATTCCTACCGCACATAAAAAACAAATCACCACTTACTGATTGAGAAATTTTCAGTCTCTCCTTTCTTTTCTCTCTGGTTGGATAGTTAAAAAGAATTTAAATTTAGTTTGACCTCAGAGAAATTGAGCGGGCTTGACGGGAGTCTTCTTAAGTTTTCAAATCCCTCTTTTGTAGTGTCTTTCAGATTTCCAAGTCTCTTCTGGTGTGCTGAGGTATATTTCAATGTCTTCTCTCCGCTGAGGATGACAGGGAGGACTCACGTAGCCACATTGGCAATGTTCTTTCAGAAGCACTATTTGGGAACCTTGGAGCCTCTGGAAGATGAACACCATACCATCCACAATGTCAGGATGAAAGTAGCTTCACTTCCCTGGGGTTCACGCCGTGGACAGTGCAACCTTCAGATGCAAGGCTGAGCATGATTCATTTAAATCCCACCTGGAACTATTCAAACAGGTGTGTGTCTATGCTGATTAGTTCTCATTTCCACACTTAGAGAGCCCTCTAGAATTGGAATGGGTATAATAGTGGTATTCAGCCCATTCAAATGTCGATTAATTAGCAAGTATTCTGTGCACTTATACTACTATATTCTCGTGTGTTAAGTAAGCTTGTATACACATAATAACCTCCAGCAAAATTGACCTGTGAAGGAGAGGTTGGTTAGAAACTGAATTCCACAGTAGCCACATGTGTCCAAAGTATCCCTTTTTCTGTAAAATCCCTCATTTGGGCACAGCATGAATATATACTTTTACTATTCAGCCAAAAGTGGGAGATTTGCTTGAAGCCTTTGATTAATGCAAATAATTGCTACACTAAAGCAGCTCTGATGCTTGGGAGGCCATTAGCGGTGCACAGCTGCCATCAACTAGGAACAACCTGCGCATACAAAGATGATTCATGGCCCAATTCGGTAGCTTGAGCATACTGAGTGTCCTAGAATTTAGTCCATATAACTCTTAGAGTTGAATAGTGTGTATGTGGGGGAAGGGGAATGCAGGCGTCTGGGAGAAAGTGCCAGCAGAGGTGGTAGAGCAGAATGGGTAAATAAAAGAAGATATCCTCTACAGGGTTGGAAAGGTGTGATACCTTTCTTCACCCACCATAAGGGTTACGACTGACACTCCTATAAAAAAAAAAACACAGGTAATAACAGAAAAGCATAACCACTTTATTTAAACACAGTTTTACATGACACAAAAGGCTTTAGAAATAAAGACCCAAATACCCAGGAAAACTGTCCATTTTTATGCTTAGTTTCAATGTGGAATGCAGCTATGTAGAAATGTGAATGAACAAAAAAAGTATCACCTAATGATAATACACTGGCCAGGACACCAAGCAAGTTCTGCCTGTTCAGATTCTTCTTGGTCTCTCTGTGGCATCCCTTCCTCCCATGCATAGGGCAGGGCCCCTTCTGAAATGAAGGTCATATGCCCTACTATCAGACAGTGTAGGTCACAGAATGTCTTTGTGGCCAGCTCCTACACAGAAAGGTAGGGGAATGTTAGAGTAATGTCTCTAGGGTTTATGTCTGGGTTTTGGAGAGAGGGGTTCTAGCTTCTATGGCTGACATTGGGGAAAAGGAACTCTAGTTTCTATGACCTGCCTTGGTGGAGAAAGGGGAGCAGGAGAAAGGAGGATAGGAGAAGGGCAGAAAGATACTTTCCTTCTGAGGCCTTTTAAATGTCCTTCGATTCAAAGTACTCAGCATGCCCAAACACCACACTTATGTATTGTTTTCTGAGCCCCAACACCTCAATAACAGTTTCTGCTATTTCTCTGGCACTGGGAATTCACTGGAATAGCAAAGGACAACCCAGACCCCTGAGAGGAGAAGGTGATCAAGCAGCACCGGTGACAGCATTCAGCTGATAAATGTGAGTAAAGCCCCAGTACATGGGAGAGGCAGTCTTCCTCTGGGACTCATCTTTTTACTAGGGATTTCTGTACCCCAGAACATGGGCAAGCACCCTGTTTCAAGCCCTACAGCTAACTTGGGAGAAACTGAAAGATGGAGAGAGGGAAAGACACTGGGAAAAGCTACAGGCACTTTTCCCAGCCCTGGCACTGAGAGGAGAACATCATTTTAAATCTGGGCTCATGCAAAGTCAGACAGTGCTTGGTGACCTGGCAGCCACTGCCACAGCAGGCATTTTAGTCTCAGGTCAGAATTTAAAGTGCTTGCTCTGGAATGGGGAAAGGGTTCCCACAGCCAGAATGAAGTATTGAGTGTGGAGAGTGCCCCAGCAGTTGGTGCTAGAATTAGGCTCTCTCCCATCACAGGGTTGGTATTCCTGAGAGAGGAGAAGAGAAAGTAAGCAAACTGGAAAACATATTTGAGGATATAATTTAGGAAAATTTCCTTCATCTTGCTGGAGAGGTCAACATACAGATAAAAAAAAAAATCCAGAGAACTTCTACAAGATGCTATACAAGATGACCATTCCCAACACAATAGTCATCAGACTATCCAAGGTCGACTTGAATGAAAAAATCCTAAAGGTAGCTAGGAATACATCTAACCAGTGAAGTGAAAGGGCTCTGTAAGGAGAAGTACAAAACACTGCTGAAAGAAATCATAGACAATGCAAACAAATGGAAAAGCATTCCATGCTCATGGATTGGAAGAATCAATATCATTAAAATGTCCATACTGCCTACAGAAATCTACAGATTCAATGCTATTCTTATTAAATTATCAACATCATTTTCCACGGAATTAGAAAAAACTATTTTAACATTCATATGGAACTGAAAAAAGAGCCTGAATAGCCAAAGCAATCTTAAGCAAAAAGAACAAAGCCAGAGGCATCACATTACCTGACTTCCAACTACACTACAAGCCTACAGTAACCAAAACAGCATGGTACCATTTCAAAAATAGATACATAGACCAATGGAACAGAATAGCGACTACTGAAATAAAGCCACACACCTGCAATCAACTGATCTTCAATAAAGTCAACAAAAATAAACAATAGGGGAAAGACTCTATTCAATAAATGGTGCTGGGAAAACTGGCTAGCCATATGCAGAAGAATGAAGATGGACTCCTATCTCTGACGATATACAAAAATTAACTCAAGATGGATTAAAGACTTAAATGTAAGACCTCAAACTATAAAAATCCTGGAACAAAACTTGGGAAATACTCTTCTAGACATTGGCCTAGGCAAAAAATTTATGACCAAGTCCTCAAAAGCAGATGTAACCAAAACAAAAATTGACAATTGGGACCTGATTAGACTAGAGAGCTTCTATGCAGCAAAAGAAATGATCAACAGAGTAAACAGACAACCTACAGAATGGGAGAAAATATTTGCAAACTCTGCATCTGACAAAAGACTCATATCCAAAAGCTGTAAGGAACTTAAATAAATAAACTAGAATAAAACAAATAACCCCATTAAAAAGTGGGCAAGGATATGAACAGACATATCTCAAAAGAAGACATACAAGTAGCCAACACACACATGTGAAAAAATGCTCAACATTCTAATCACTAGAGAGATGCATATTGAGACCACCATGAGATACCATCTCACACCACTCAGAATGGCTATTATTAAAAAGTCAAAAAATAATAGTTGTTGGTGAGGTTGCAGAGAAAAGGGAATGCCTATACACTGTTGGTGGGAATGCAAATTAGTTCAGCACCTATGAAAAGCAGATTGGAGACTTCTCAAAGAACTAAAAATAGAATTACCATTGGACCCAGCAATCCTATTACTTGGTAAATACCCAAAGGAAAATAAATCATTCTACCAAAAAGACACCTGTACTTTTATGTTTATCACAGCACTATTCACAATAGTAAAGACACAGAATCAACCCAGGCACCCATCAATGGTAGATTCAATAAATAAAATGTACATGTAATCGTGGAATACTACACAGCTCTAAAATAGAATGAAATATATCCTTTGCAACAACATGATGCAGCTGGAGGCCTTTATCCTATGTGAATTAATGCAGAAATAGTAAACCAAGCACTGCATGTTCTCACTTATAAGTGTGAGCTAAACATTGGGTATACACGGACACAAAGATAGAAACAATAGACACTGGGGATTTCAAAAGTCGGGAGGTAGGGGGCCAGAGGTTGAAAAACTGCCCACTGGGAACTATGTTGACTATTTGGGCAATGGGATCATTAAAAGTCCAAACCTCAGCATCATGCAATATGCCTTTGTAACAAACCTGTATGTATACCTCCTGCATCTAAAATAGGTAAATAAAAATAAATAAAAATTTAAAAATAAAATGTGATGACTAAAAATAAAATAAAGGATTTACTCTGTTTTTAGAACTATAGTTCATCCCTTACTGTTGAGAAAAACCTCTTTTTTACCAAAACATCAGCAACAACCAAAGCAAACACTGTCGCTATACCACACACAGACAGACAAATGTAGAAAAATGATGGCATTAGAAAATCATCATTCTGCAGCCTCCAGTGAAATCCTTGATTTAAACAAGGATCATAAATGGATATGAAAACCATTGAGTGAAAAGTTGTTGGTGTATGGGATATTCAAGTGTTGCCAAAGGATCAAGCCACAGGTTAATTGCTTATTGCAAAGGGAGGACATACTTTTATAATCAGGAGCTGTGGCAAGGGTAATAAACACATATCCTGACTATTGGAACAACCTAACCTTATGTGTCTTCATGGTGATGCAATATGAAGATCCAACATACCCTATAAGTATTCTTGACCCAAATATTTAACCTTAACCTAATCAAGCATTTAGAACTAACTTCCAGTTTACAAGCTCTTCTGTTAGATTTTATTTAGTTAGGTATAAATAGCATTAATGACACCAATGATAGTGCAGATTTCTGGATTTTTATGTCTCTATTACAAGATTTGTTTCTATGCCTTTAGTTTCTGGGTAGGATGAGCTGTGGGGGAATATGTTCTTTAGTAACACTGGTCTGTGTTTTGTTATTCTGTTCGACTGTCATCTTTGAATCCTAAAGAAAGCCTGTTTAGCCTTCACTTTACACTGATCAAGTTTGAAAGAATGTCATAGCTCTTCTCTGAGACCTATTTGAATAAGTATATTTCATATGAAAGAAAGCTTGTTTGTAAAACTAATGCTACATTTGAGCTATTATGCTCCATTTTGAGGTTTGAGTAAGTGCACCGCCTCCTTTTTTTAGTGGGTTTATTACTAAAGTGATTTGGTTTAGGGATCCAATGAGAGGGAAAATATCTTTGACAATATATCCCAGAAAGAAGGCAGACTAGGATTTAGTTTCATATTGTCTCATGGGCCTTGGTGCAAATCTGACACTAAGTTTCTGCCCTAGCAAATATTTGTGAGCACCATGCATTAATTAATTTCTTGCATGTGATCTGTGTGTGTGTGTACTTGTGTGTGTATCCATATGTATCCTCTTCCAAATGCTTCTCCTTACCACTCTCCCACCCCATTTCAGAACTTTCTCCCTCTGTCTCCACAACCCCCCTTCCTCTCTGTGCAGCTTCCCTTCACACAGCTGGACTCCCACTGTCAGTCATTAAATGCTCAAGCATTTGAGAATCTGAGCTCCTGTCTTGGCATGGCTTTTCTGTCACTCAGCTTAGCTAGGGGCTGGACTTCTTGGAGAAAATTGAATCTACTGACAATCCAGAGGAGCATGTTTAGCCCTGTTATAGCTGCCCCGCTGCTTTGATCCCCCCAGCAAAGGAAAAACGATTTAGAGAGGTAGAACCTCTGGGGCAGATGCGCAGAAGTTTTCAAGTGAAACCTAACAGTACCTACAAAAGGAGCACTATGAGGAGGAATCAAGAGGTAATTTTCACTTTAAGAAAACCCCAAACCAAAAAATAAAGACCAGGTTGTTGATATAATTTTATTTAATTACAAGTAGTTATTTGCTTATATTTGCAAAAAAGAAACACTAAAAGATAAACCAAAAACCCCCATCTCTCATTTAACAATTTTGTTTCTGAAAACTCTGTTGCTAAATGAACAGTTATTAAATAAAACATATTTTCCTATTAATATTATCTGGAAAAAAAATTGTGATGCATTCCACCTAACCCAAAATGTCCAAACAATATTTACAGGTAAAAAAAATTATCAATTGAGCAATATATATAGACAAGTTCCTGTAATTAAAAAACAAGTTGAAATAAATACCATTTATATATAAAATATGTAATGTAATGAAGCAAGAGAAGAAAGGTGGATGGGGAGAGGGAGAGGGTCTTTTGAAGGTGGTAGAGAGTCAGGTGGTCAGTTTCTAGGCAAACAACCTTCTGCGACTGCAGTGTATCTTGCTTTCAAGCTGCATGTACAAATGAAGTAAAGGCACATAAAAACCTTTAGGGCAAAATCAAGCCTGAACATGAAAGAGTTTAACACATAGAGATCATACACAACATAATGGAAAGTCATAGAAGATGGAGTCTCTTCACAACTTTGTATGAATGCAAAGAAAAGTGTTTGGGGTTTATTCAAATGAAATGGGCCCAATAGTCCCATAGACAGTTGTGTTTTGGATAAACATAGAAATTGACCCTTCTGGTCTTAAAAAGCTTGAAACCTGTATTTGTTTTATCTGACTTCCTTCCTCAGGAAATGACCTTTAGGCCTCTCACATAAAGTATCAGAGACCTAAAACCAGATTGTGGCACCAAATGCCAGACCCCTCATTCACCATGATTGCTTCCTTGCCCCTCCCAAGTTCCTGCTTTCTTACACATTGTTACATTTCCTGCCTGTTATATAAATCTCTGGTTTTAGTCAGCCAGGGAGATGGATTTGAGACTGAGCTCCCATCTCCTTGGCTGCAGCACCCAATTAAAGCCTTCTTCTTTGGCAATACTTGTTGTCTCAGTGATTGGCTTTCTGTGCAGTGAGCAGAAGGACCTAGACCAAACCCCTGGTGTTTTGGTAACACAAACATTGCACGTAATATAAATTCACTCTACTTAATATACTTTGATTAGAAAGTACTATATTGTGTAAATTAGTGGCTGTGTCTTTGCCTGGAACCATAGTGTCAAGATAGCCTTGAGTTGTTCAAAGGTGGTATAGTATTTCATGATCCTTCATAAAGAAACTCCTTAACTCAATGGCTAGAATGTAGATGTATTCTCACATAACACATAATGACATTTTGATTAAAGACTGGATATAGAATGGTGGTTCCATAAGATGATAATGGAGCTGAAAAATTCTATTGTCTAATGACACCTAGATAATCCTGACCTTGTGTAGACCTAGGCTAATGTGTTTGTGTGTCTTAGTTTTTATCAAAAAAGTTGAAAAGTTAAAAAATTTAAAAACAGAAAAAAGCTTATAGAATAAGGATATAAAGAAAGAAAATAATTTTGAACAGCTATACGGTGTGTTTGTATTTTAAGGTGTCAAAAAGTCAAAAAGTTAATAAAATTGAAACATTTATAAAGTTAAAAAGTTACAATAAGCTAAGGTTAATTTATTATTGAAGAAAGAAAATATTTTAAATAAATATTTTAAATAAATATAGTGTAGCCTAAGTGTACAATGTTTATAGTCTGTAGCAGCATACAGTAATGTTCTAGGCCTTTATGTCCACTCAACACTCACTCACTGACTCACCCAGAACAACTTCCAATCCTGCAAGCTTCATTCATGGAAAGTGCCCTGTACAGGTATACCATTTTTTTTTATCTTTTATACCTTGTTGTGTTTTTACTCTACCTTTTCTATGTTTGGATACACAAATACTTAACATTGTGTTATGATTGCCTATTCAGTGCAGTAACATGTAATACAGGTCTGTAGCCTAGGAGCAATAGGTTATACCATATAGCCTAGGTATGTAGTAAGTAGGCTATAAAATTTAGGTTTGTGTAAGTACATTCTGATGTTCACACAATGACAACATCACCTAATGATGCATTTCTCAGAACATATCCCTGTCGTTAATTGACATGTGACTGTGTGTGTGTGTGTGTCACTCCTGGTAAGAGTATGTTTCTTAGAGTTTGTTCAACCCAAAATTTTTTTTTTTTTTTTTTTTTTTTTTTTTTGAGATGGAGTCTCGCTCTGTCACCCAGGCTGGAGTGCAGTGGTGCGATCTTGGCTCACTGCAAGCTCCGCCTCCCAGGTTCATGCCATTCTCCTGCCTCAGCCTCCCGAGTAGCTGAGACTACAGGCGCCCGCCACCATGCCCGGCTAATTTTTTTGTATTTTCAGTAGAGACAGGGTTTCACTGTGTTAGCCAGGATGGTCTCGATCTCCTGACCTCGTGATCTGCCCGCCTCAGCCTTCCAAAGTGCTGGGATTACAGGCGTGAGCCACCGCGCCCGGCCTGTTCAACCCACTTTTTAATTAACTCTGTAACAGAGAGGAAAAATAATTTTCTCTCTGCCCTCCTAAATTCTTAGTTGAGGCTCTCTGATACAAAAGGCAGATTAACAAGAGGAAAATAAAGGGAAGTTTAATAACATGTATACCCTATATACATGGGAGATACATAGGAAAATCTCAAAGAATAAATTCTCCAAGAGTAACTATAAAGAGTAGATCTCGAAGAGTTGTATTACTTTTCAGGCTTAAATATGATCATCCCTTGAAACAAAGTAAGAAGAGTTTGGGGGAAAGTCCCAGTTATAGGTAGGTGGCCAGGAAAAAACACTGTAAACAAGAGTAAGATTTGTTATGGAGATTTAAACTGATGCTTTTTCCATTGATGGGTTTTTCTAGTGATTTAGTCATCCTTCTCTTCCTGATGGAGAGAGGGAAACACCCTTATAAATGGAGATTTCCTTTATAGTTGTAAATTTCTCTTACAATAGGGTAACTTCTACTCTTCATTTCAGAGTTTTTTTGTGTGTGTCTGCAGTTTCTCTAAATAACCAGCTCAAAATAGTCCTCATTCCAAAGAGGCATATTTTGAGTAGTATAACAGTAAAAGGTTTGTTGCTTGATGCACGTGGCAAGTCAATATGCTGAGATACCAGGCTGCGGCAGAGAAACAGGTTTAATTGCAGAGCCATTGAATGAGGAGATGGGAGGAAACCTCAAATCTGTCTCCCTGGGGAGTTTGGGCTTAGAATTTTTAAGGGTTTTGGAGAGGGCCAAAGTGGGGAGATGGTTATTGGTCAGAGAGAACAAGGTGAAATCATGGGGTAGGGAGATGAAGAAACTGAATTCTCATGCAGTTTGGTTCTTCTTTTGGGGGTCTTCAAACTGGTTGTCATCAGCTGAAACTTAGAATTTGAAAAATATGTTAAGGAATTTTTAAACAAAAGCATATCAGAAATCCTGTCTACAGAAACAATGGGGATGCAAGTGGTCAGCATCTAGTGCTCCATGACTTTTGGTTACAAGGAAGCAGGCCAAAGTGCAGCCTGATAAATGCTTAATTATAACCATATTTCTGTCCAGAATCCTTGTTAACCCTGTGAGGACAGCTTTAGTAGCATATTCTGGTCTCCTAGTCATGTTTTAAAATGGCATTTCTCAACCTTATGCATTCAGAGGATGATCATTTATCATTTCTCTTCATAAGATTAAAATTATATATTCAGAAATATCTCTATCCAGAAATTTATCTCAACCAGAAGGCCCAAGTTTCCTTTACGTTGGTGCACATCAACATGAAGGAAACCAAGAGAGTCCCGTGACCAGACTGTTAAGTTCCCAGGGCAGAGAGTGGATATCAATCATCTGGGCTTCTTCACTGGTTACCTGTGTGCCAAAGATACAGCAGCACTTCCTCCTCCTCTCAGCTTCGTGAATGAATGAATGGGGATAGGCCACGGCTCTTGCACATACTTACACATACTCACATGCCTGGTCTTCTCAGCTTCTTTCATTGCCCTTCACCACCTGGGCCTCCTGTCTGGTGGTGACATAATAAGAAATATATGTTTAGTCTCCCGTTGGAATTTCCTGAGTGATGGGGTGAGAGGAGCATTCTTAGTTATTCATAATAAGTGCTTTCCAACCACACGTGAGTTGATGTTAACACTTGGAGGATGGGAACCAGGTGTCAGAGGAACCAACTGTGTGATTAGGGGTTGAAACTTTCAGCCCCATTTTCCAACCTCCAGGGAGGGGGAAAAAACCTGAAGATTGAGGTCAATAATTTAATCAACTACGTAAAGGACCCTCCATAAAAACCCTAAGCAGTGGGGCTTGGACAGCTTCCAGGTCAGTGAACACAGTGAGGTGCTGGGAGAGTGGCATGCCTAGAGAAGGTGTGGAAACTCTGCACCCCTCCCCCATATGTTGCCTTGTGTATTCTTTCCACTTAGCTGTTCACCTGTATCCTTTGCAATATCCTTTATGTTGTTAAAGTAAGTTTAGCCTAAAGCTGCCTCACATATTTTAAGTTCAGCCTAAAGCTTTCTCTGTACATAGTAAACTGTAACCTAACTGGATGTGTAAACTAACTGTACCACACTCTTGTGCCAATCACTGAGTTTTGGCAAATCAGAGGTGGCCAACTGTTCAAACCAGGTTCAAATAATGCAAACACTGAGCTCTAGCCCATCTGGCTGTTTCTGTAACTCACTTCTATTTTCTATATGTCACTTTCCTTTTTCTGTCTATAAATCTGCTCCATTACATGATGCTGCTAGAGCCTCTCTGAACCTTTTCTGGTTTGGGGGCTGCCCAATTCATGAATAGTTCTTTGCTCAATTAAACTGTGTTAAATTTAATTTGTCTAAGGTTTTTATTTTAACAATAATATATCAGTAAACGTAAGTAAATATTTCCCTGATGCTTGTGAGCAGTTATAGCAAGGTATTGAACATGAGGAAGGGTTATAGGAATCCCTGATTTATAGCCAGTTGGTCAGAAGTACAGGTGACAACCTGGGACTTGTAATTGATTTCTCAAGTGGGGGACAGTCTTTTGGGACTGAGCCTTTAATCTGTGAAGTCTGTACCAACCACAGGTAATTAGTGTCAGAATTGAGTTAAATTGTAGGGCACTTAGTTGGTGTCATTAGAAAATTGGAGAATTGCTTGGTGTGGAAAGCCCACACATTTGGGGTCTGAAGTGTTGTGAGTATAGAAAAACAGTTTTTCCTTTACTGGTGCTATGAGTGGCTTTGCTACTTTCTGCAACTCAGAGCTGGCTGCAGGGAGCAAGAGTAGCTTTGTTTGGAGTTTCTGCTGCATAGAGAAGATTCTGGAAAAAGAAACAAAAATCAGCACTTCCCATTGTCTTTCTAAAACATGAATATCCAACAGACAACTTTTAGATCCAGCCAAATTTCCATCAGACATTTCCAACTCAGCATATCAAAATCTGAATCCATCATCTTCTCCCTTTCTTTCCTATTCTACCATGTTCCCTATCTGGGCAAATGTCATTATCACGTACCTGGCTGCCTTAGCCAGAAACCTGGGAATCATTCTTCCCGAATACTTCCTATCTTCTTAATCTCACTATAATTCAATTTCTGTTGATTCTACATCCTAAGTATCTCTGGTACCCATTTCCAATTTTCTTCCTCCATGTCTATTGTCCTTGTTTAAGGCTACCTCAGAATTACAATAGCCTCTTAAAAGGTCTCCCTGCAGCCTCCTTTATTCTATCTTTCCTTAGTTCATCCATTTACTCATTTATTCAAAAATATTTATCGAGGATCTACTATGTGTAGAAATTATTCCAGCCATGGGGCTTGTAGAATTGAACAAAGACAAAAATTCTTGTCCTCATGGATCTTATTTTCTAGTAGGAGGAGATGATAAAATACATAAATAAGTAATATAGTATATTAGAAAGTGAGGCTGGGCATGGTGGCTCATGCCTAAAATCCCAGCACTTTGGGAGGCTGAAGCAGGAGGATCCATTGAGCCCAAGAGGTCAAGACCAGATTGAGCAACATAGGGAGACCCTGTCTCTATAAAAAAAAAAAGAAAAAAAAAGAAAATGATACATATTCATAAAATAGACAAAACAAGGGAGGAAATACGAGTGCTGGGGGAGGGAGATGAAGTTTTAGATAGGGTGGTTTCACTGCAAATGTGGCATTTTGGCAGGGTGTTGATGAAACCACCTTTGCAAAGATTATGACAGCAAGAGGAGTGTAGCATACCTGACTTCATCTTGCTTCTAGCCTCACAGTCTGGCTGTCTTTGTTCGTTCCTCATTGTAGGCCAAGCTAACCATGGAAGGAATTTAGGTTATACTTTAAAGCAAGAATGATAGTAGTCCCCCCATAAAACTGATCCCTCCTTGTTTGGCAACTGAAACTACCTTTGTAAGGCTGATAAAAGACCACAAGATTAGAGTTAAGGGAGTGGCCTGAACTTGCAAAGATATAGATGTAGCTAAATGATAACCAGCCATTGTCCCCTATTTTGTTTTTCTATAATCCCTTACTGCTCAGGAGTCATATGGCCAGAGATCCTAAGATTTGTGACTTTCCCAATTGCTCATATAGATAACATCACCATTACATTAGGTTGGTGCACAAGTAATTGCAGTTTTTGTCATTAGAAGTAATGGCATCTACCTAATAGAACCTAAGATTGGTCTTTGGAGATGCTTTTCAGACTTTTGCATTCTAACAACTGACTGACTCCACCTGGACCCATTACTGTGGCCCCACTCAAAGGCAGGTCAGCACAAGAGGACTGTTTTCCACACCCCTGTGATTTCATCCCCAACCAATCAACAGCACCCATTCCCTAGACCCATGCCCACCAAATTATTCATAAAAACCTTAGCCTCTGAATTTATTAGGGAGGCTGATTTGAGTAATACCAAACTCCTGTCCTTTTGCTTGGCTGGTCTTGTGTTTACTCTGTTTCTTCACTGCAATACTGCCATGAATTGGCCCTATCTGTGCAGTAGGCAAGATGAACTCACTGGGTGATAACATTTAGAGGACTAAGTAGTGAAACATGCGGGATCTGAGTGACAGGTGTTACAAGAAGGAAGAGCAGGCACAAAGTTCTGGAGGTGGAACTGTGCCTTGCATTTTCTGGTGGTTGGAGAGAAGTGGAACAGGCAAAAGGGGGACAGCAGAACCAGAAGAGGTAAGGGCGTGACTGGGAACCAGATCATGGAGAACTTTGCAATCATAGCAAGTACCTAGGCCTCTGTTTCTCTGATATGTGAAGCCTTTAGAGGTTTTGAGCAGATGTCATTATCTAGGTTACATTTTAACAAGATAAGTCTGGCTGCTATGCTGAGACCGGACTGTAGGAGGATAAAGTCAGAAGAAACAAATGGTTAGGAGGCTGTTACCATAATGTCATCCTCCGACGCAAAATTCTCCAATGATTTCCCAACACAGATAGAATAAAATGAAAACCCTTTTGAATAGCTTTTAAGGTTAGTCATGATTTGGTGCCTTCTGCCATTTTGGCCTCATTTCTTGCTCCTACTGCCACTCGCCTCCCCATCATTCTCTTGTCTGATTGATAGCCTGGGGAATGCTTATTGAGTTTTCAAGTCATGGTTCAATTGCTTCCTCCTCCATGAAGATGTCCCTGTTTTCTCCTATGCTCCCATCTCATATGGAGATGTGAACACTTGTTTCTTTCAATGTTATGTTTTTGGCTCTCTCCCCACTAGAACATGCACTTCCTAAGGTTAAGGACTCTGCTTTGCATCCTGCTACATAGAAATGACAAAAAGAAAAAAGGTTAAATTGATTACTTTACCATGGAATATGTGTTGGCTTTTTTTTTCTGTGCAGTACTGGTTTGGGGGGCAGTGATGGAGGGGAACTATTCAACTTTGACACCATGTGAATTCTTAGAGTCTTTTCCACCTTCCTCTGAAAAAAAATCTAGAAGTCACTGAAGTTCTTTTTTTGGGATGGCAGGGGAAAGAAGGCAAGGTGCAAGGCTTTATTAATGCTGCCTGTATCTGCTAATGTCATCTCCTTTAGTAAACAAAACCAAGAACCAGTTAAACCTGCTGGGTACAGTGGCTCATGCCTGTAATCTCAGCACTTTGGAAGACTGAGGCAGGAAAATCTCTTGAGGCCAGGAGTTCTAGACCAGCCTGGAAACATAGCATGAACTTGCCTCTAAGAAAAATTTTTTTTTTTAAATTAGCCGGACATGGTGGTGAACCTGTAGACCCAGCTACTCAGGAGGCTGAGGTGGAAGGATCACTTGAGCTTGGGAGTTTGAGGTTACAGTGAGCTATGATCACACCACTGCACTCCAGCCTGGGTGACAGAGTTAGACCCTGTTTCTAAAATAAAATTAATTAGTTAACTAAATCCCTTTCTATTGTTCTTTGTAGCAATCCTATACCAGAGTTCTGCCACAAACATGCCAAAAGAAAGAGCAAAAGTGGTTGGGCGTGGTGGCTCACACCTGTAATCCCAGCACTTTTGGAGGCTGAAGCAGGTGGATCATGAGGTCAGGAGTTCAAGACCAGCCTGGCCAAGATGGTGAAACCCTGTCTCTACTAAAAATACAAAAAAATTAGCCAGGCTTGGTGGTGGGTGCCTGTAATCCCAGCTACTTGGGAGGCTGAGGCAGAGAATTGCTTGAACCTGGGAGGTGGAGGTTGCAGTGAGCTGAAATCATGCCACTGTACTCCAGCCTAGGCAACAGAGCAAGACTCCATCAAAAAAAAAAAAAAAGAGCAAAAGTGGAAAAGGTAAAAAGTGACTTTTATCTAGTTGCTACTCTATAATGCCCTGTGGTTATTTACTTATATATTTGCTTTGTTGGGGGAAGGAATTGCCCTGGGCATATAGGTTAGGCATAACCTTAATTTCATGGTTGCCATAAATGTTTATTTTATTCAAATCTCCAAGAATGCTATTTTATAAGGCTTAAGAAATGCATTTCCTCAAAATCTTGCAAAGCATTTTCCCCCAAATATCAGTGCCTAAGCTGTTTCTTCCCAGTTGTTTCTGCATATTTATTTTCTCACTGCAAACCTCTCGGTTGAGACTGGAGTTCGCAGCATCTCTCCACAGTTTCTTCAATAACATTCATTAAGATACTCTTTTGTCTCATAGTGTAGATCATTACTGAAGCTGTTAACTAACACTAGAGTTTCATTGATTCCTGGGGCAGGGCTATGAGACACCTCTGTAATGTGATACATCGCATCTATCCTTTGTTTCGATGTCACCAGCCCTCAGCTTTCAGCCTGTACAGAATGCTAGAGTCCAAATCTAATTCAATTTGAATTCATTTTGCAAGTAAGACTTTATTAGATACTGTATTAAGTGCTTTACCAAAATTGGGTTATGTTACATCTTCGTTTTCTCTCTCTCCTTTATTAACATGCAATTCTCACTCCCTTTTTAAAAAGAAAAAAAAAAAGGCAATTAGGTTTTCCCAGCTTGGTTCAATCTCAAAATCCAGGCTGCTTATTGCCCCTGGTTCCATTATAATCTAAATGCTTACAGATGCTGTCAGCCTCCCTGTCTCGCTTCTCTATGAAATCAGTGCCACATCAGTTTCTATCAAAACTTTACACCTCCTTAGTCCTCAGTTATTTTAGGCTGAAAGTTCCAACTGATTAATGATGCTTGGAGCCGGAAGTTTCCCCAGAGGCGCTGAATAATGTGATTTTCAAAGTGCTTTTCATGAAGTCCTATTTTCCCCAAAGATGCCTTAGGGACCACAAGGGAATGATAAGGTGGACGTCCAAAGAACAAGGTTCCTCATCCCTGTTTTAACAGAGCAATAAATATCGTTTTCATCTGATTTATGTATTAGAGCTCCATGAGGGGCCACTGCTAGTCCACATGGAGCCCTTTGTGCAAGCCAGAAAAAGTCACTCTTCCTCAGGGCAGACAGTCCTTCAACAGGGTTGCTATCGTTTTATGTAACATTTGATTTTGAGAAAGGGACTCTGATAATAAAAATTAAGTTGGAGAACCTCTATCCAAGGCCGGCCTCTTATGTTACCCAAGAAAAAAAGCCAAAATCAGTTAAGATTGACTTTTCACCATTCTACAGTTGAATATTCATATTCAACGTCTTCCACTTGGGTATGTAAATGTTTTTGTTATTTTTAGTGGACAGACACTCCTGACTTGACCATGCATTCATGCTCAAAGATAAATGAGTTCATTCAAAATATTTATTAAGTACTCACAAGTCCACACTCTCATGGAGCCTATATTCTCGAGGAAGAAGATAAGTGATAAAAAGATAACACTGCACATAAATGAAATGCCAGATAGTGGAAAATGCTACAAAGGAAAACAAAGCAGGAAGAGAGCACAAAGAATAAAGGAAGAAGAATTCTATTTTAGATATTCCACACAATAGCAATCTCTGAGAGCGTTAGTCTTCTTGTTGTGATGTTTTCTGTTACAAAGTAAACAAACCAACCAACAAACATAGACCCTCTCCACGTTTAGTATTTACAATACACTTAATAAGTCAATAAATAAATCAAACATACAACAATGTTTTATTCATTTAATAAATTTTACTGAATAGACACTAAGAGGAATACATGTAAACAAATAAAATATGTAATAAAACATATTTCCTGCCTTCAAGGGACTTGAAGTCTAGTGAGAGAATAGGATATACATTAATCTCATGATAATATATTTCATAAATAATTATTCACAGGTCTTTCAGAGCATAATGGCGATAAGAGGCTGGTGGGAAGGGGCAGATAACATTCAACAAACAGTTGTGTGTTTGTATTTGATGAGTGAAGGTGGGTCAGAGATGAGAAGGATTTCAGGAGGAGGCCAGGGAGAGATGGAACAAGCAGAGACATGAAAGCTGGTCTGAAACACAGAGTAGCCTGATGAGACAGAAATGTGGCAGTGTGTGGAAGATAAGACCTTGAATTTCATGCTAAGGAGTTTTGGATTTATTCCATAGGTGATAGGGAAAAGTGGAAGAATGCGATGAGAAAAGTGCGTGGCGATAAAGATTTGCATTGGTTTTGTAGCATATTAGGATTCTCCAGAGAAACAGAATCAATAGGAGATTAGATAGAGACAGAGAGATGGATAGATGATAGATAGATATAGATAGGCAGATATAAATATGTGATATTATATATGAGAGAGAGACAGAGACAGGGAGAGATTTATTTTAAGGCATCGTCTCACACATTGTGGAGGCTGGCAAGTCCAACATATGCAGGGTAGGGCAGAAGGCTGGAGACGCAGGGAAGTGTCCATGTTGCAGCTCGACTCCACAGGCTGTCTGCTGGCACAATTTCCTCTTCCTCAGGAGAGGTCAGTCGTTATTCTCTTAATATACTTCAGTGGATGGAATAAGACCCACCCACATCATGGAAGGAAGATAATCTCCTTTACTCAAAATCTACTGACTTAAATGTTAATCTCAACTAAAAAAAATCTTCATATCAACATCTAGATTAGTGTTTGACCAAATATCTGGATGATGTGGCCTAGCTAAACTGACACATGAAATTAACCATTACAGACATCTTCCCACTATCTTGTCTGTGGCCCTCAATAGATGCTCAGTAAATGATTCCACCACTGGCCTCCTCAGTGGCAGGTTTGTGCAGTGTAAGTTGTGTCCTTAGCCAAGCCATGGGAATGGAGGAGGGCTCTGTTGTATTGCAAGAGAAGGCACAGTGCTGGAGCTTAGTGCTTTCCCCATACTCACATGCTTAGGAATCACGTGGACAGCTTGTTAAAATGCAGATTCCTGTTTGGTAGATCTAAAGTGAGGCCCAAGATGGACATTTTTAACAACCATCCAGGAATGTCAATGCTGCTAGTCCATGGTCCACACTCTGAGCCGAAAGGCAGTAGAATTTCTGAAGCTCTGGTTTCAGCAAGATGGGTGGGAGGTAACTGTATCTCTGTAGAGTGAGAGGTGACCTGAGGGGTAGCCAAAATGGCCTCTAGTGTGTACTTGAAAGCAGTGGACTCCAAAGCTTTTTTGTTCCTTACAGTCACCTAGAGAGCTTCTAAACCACAGATGCTCCACCTCTGGGGAGTGGGACTGAGGGAATTCAAGGCTCAAGACTCCATGTTACTCTTCAGAGTTACAATACTCCCAGGTAATTTTGATGCAGACCTGAGACAACTCTTTGAGAAACACTGGTTTAAATTTTTAAGGCTTAGAAAAACTGCAAGTATGTTTTCTGGAAAAAGTTCTTAAGGCACCTGCAACCACATTTTCTTGGGGGACTAAAATGCTGGAAGGGTAGAAGGCAAATTTTGTTTCATTTAGAGTTTTACTGAGGCTGAGAGGTTACATAGACCTAGGGAATGGTAAGTCTATTACACAGGGAATAATTATATATGGAAAAAGTATTTTTAAATTCCTAATCAAACAAGACATGAATGCCTCTTCTGCTCCATGTTTACCCAGGGGAAGAACAAAGAATGGGCCATATGACCTGTGCATAGATGTAGAAAATCTCTTACTGTATGGCTGTGATATTTAGGATTGGTTGAGCTGTTATATCAAAAATTCCTGGAAGACTATACTTTCAGGGATCATTTCCATAGTTTACTAGAGAAGTTTATCTGAACATGTAGAGCACCAGCTCTCTGGGTCCCCTAGGAAGCCATTTCTGCCTTGTCTCTCAGAGGTCCTTGGGGAGGGCTGCCAGAAGTACTGGGAAAAGGCCACAGGGAGAAGGAAACCTTCAGCTGAATTTTGTAACAATTCCAACCAAACAAGAAGTCTCCTGGCCAGAATTCGGGGGAGGGCATGAAGCCAGTGGGCAGACCCCACAGGTGGGGAAGCATGAAAGCCCTACTTGTTTTTGTAGCTGGGAATCTGGTAGCCTGGGGCAAGTTCTCAGCCCTGCTTGCCCCCTGCCTGGAAACAGACTCAATGCTGCCGTGGGAGGAAGCATGGTAGGAGTGAGATTGGCCTTTCGGGTTGCATGGGAGCTGAGTGAGGCCTGTGATTGCCAGTTTTCCCCCACTTCCCTGACAACCTGCATGACACAGCAGAGGCAGCCATAATCTTCCTAGGAACATAACTCCATTGACCTGGGAACCATACCCCCATCCTCCACAGCAACCACAGCAAGACCCACCCAAGGAGATTCTGAGCTCAGACATGACTAGCCCTGCTCCCACCTGATGGCCCTTCCCTACCCACCCTGGTAGCTGAAGACCAAGGGCACATGCTCTTGGGAGTTCTATGGCTGCACCCACCACGTGATCCCATACTGTCACAGCTGATGCTCTCTTGAAAGCACCACCTCCCAGCAGGCGGCCAACCAGCACAAAAATAGTGTATTAAACAATCAAAATTAAGGACTCTCACACAGTCCATTTCACTCCTCTGCCACCTCCACCAGAGGAGGTGCTGGTACCCACGGCTGAGAGACCCACAGATGATTCACATCACAGGGCTCTGTGGAGACAACCAGCAGTGCCAGCCTGGAGCCTGGTAGACCTGCTAGGTGGCTAGATCAAGAAGAGAGGTAACAATCACTATAGCTCAGCTGTCAGGAAGCCACATCCATAGGAAAAGGGGGAGAATACTACATCAAGGGAACATTCCAGGTGACAAAAGAATCTGAACCACAGCCTTAAGCCCGAGACCTTCTTTCTGACAGAGACTACCCGAATGAGAAGGAACCAGAAAACCAACTTTGGTAATACGAGAAAACAAAGTTTTTTAACACCCCTCAAAAATCACACTAGCTCACCAGCAATGGATCCAAACCAAGAAGAAATCCCTAATTTACCTGAAAAAGAATTCAGAAGGTCAGTTATTAAGCTAATCAAGGAGGCACCAGAGAAAGGTGAAGCCCAATTTAAGGAAATAAAAAAAAATGATACAAGAAATGAGGGGAGAAATCTTCAGCGAAATAGCATAAATAAAAAACAATAAAAACGTCAGGAAACAATGGAGACATTTATAGAAATGCAAAATGCTCTGGAAAGTCTCAGCAATAGACTTGAACGAGCAGAAGAAAGAAATTTAGAGCTTGAAGACAAGGTTTTACAATTAACCCAATACAACAAAGACAAAGAAAAAAGAATAAGAAAATATGAACAAAGCCTCTAAGAAGTCTGGGATTATGTTAAATGACCAAACCTAAGAGTAATCTGCATTCCTGAGGAAGAAGAGAAACAAAAAAGTTTGGAAAACATATTTGGAGGAATAACTGAGGAAAATTTCCTGGACCTTGCTAGAGACCTAGACATCCAACTACAAGAAGCTCAAAGAACATTTTGGAAATTCATTGCAAAAAGAGCACCACCTAGGTACATTGTCATCAGGCTATCTAAAGTTAAGATGAAGAAAAAAAATCAAGAGCTGTGAGGCAAAAGCATCATGTAACCTGTAAAGGAAACCTATCAGATTAACAGCAGATTTCTCAGCACAAACACTACAAGCTAGAAAGGATTGGCGCCCTGTCTTCAGCCTCCTTAAACAAAACAATTATCAGCCAAGAATTTTGTATCCAATGAAACTAAGCTTCATAAATGAAGGAAAGATACAGTCTTTTTCTGACAAACAAATGCTGAGAGAATTTGCCACTACAAAGCCAAGCACTACAAGAACTGCTAAAAGGAGCTCTAAATCTTGAAACAAATCCTGGAAACACATCAAAACAGAACCTCTTTAAAGCATAAATTTCATAGAAGCTATAAAACAAAGTACAAAAAAAAAAGGTATACAGGCAACAAATAGCATGATGAATGAAATAGTACCTCATATCTCATACTAACATTGAATGTAAATGGCCTAAATACTCCACTTAAAAGATACAGAATTGCAAAATGGAGAAGAATTCACCAACAACTATCTGCTGCTTTCAAGAGACTCCCCTAACTTATAAGAACTCACATAAACTTAAGGTAAAGGGATGGAAAAAGACATTCCATGCAAATGGACACCAAAAGCGAGCAGAAGTAGCTATTCTTATATCAGGCAAAACAAACTTTAAAGCAATAGCAGTTAAAAAAAGACAGAGACATTATATAATGATAAAAGGCCCTGTCCAACAGGAAAATATCACAATCCTAAATATATATGCACCAAACACTGGAGCTTCCAAATGTATACAACAATTACTACTAGACCTAAGAAATGCGATAGACAGCAATACAATAATAATAGTGGGGGAGCTCAATATTCCACTGACAGCACTAGACAGGTCATCAAGACAGAGAGTCAACAAAGAAACACTGGATTTAAACTCTACCCTGGAACAAATGGACTTAACAGATATTTACAGAACATTCTACCCAACAATTGCAGAACATATATTCTATTCATCAGCGCATATAACTTTCTCCAAGATACAGCAGATGATAGACCACAAAACGAGCCTCAATAAATTTAAGAAAGTTGAAATTATATCAAGCACTCACTCAGACCACAGTGGAATAAAACTGGAAATCAACTCCAAAAGGAACCTTCAGAACCATGCAAATACATGAAAATTAAATAACCTTCTCCTGAATGATCATTAGGTTAAAGATGAAATCAAGATGGAAATTTAAAAAATTCCTTGAACTAAATGACAATAGTGACACAACCTATCAAAACCTCTGGGATACAGCAAAAGTGGTGCTAAGAGGAATGTTCATAGCCATAAATGCCTACATCAAAAAGTCTGAAAGAGCACAAATAGACAATCAAAGGTCACACCTCAAGGAACTGGAGAAACAAGAACTAACCAAACCCAAACCCAGCAGAAGAAAGGAAATAACCAAGATCAGACCAGAACTAAATTAAATTGAAACAAACAAAGAAACAAACAAAACATATGTAAAAGATAAACAAAAAGCTCGTTCTTTGAAAAGATAAATAAAATTGATAGACCATTAGCAAGATTAATCAAGAAAAGAAGAGAGAAAATCCAAAGAAGCTCAATAAGAAATGAAACGGGAGATATTACAATGGACACCACAGAAATACAAAAACTCATTCAAGGACACTATGAACACCTTTATGTGCATTAACTAGAAAACTTAGAAGAGATGGATAAATTCCTGGAAATATAAAACCCTCCTAGCTTAAATCAGGAATAAGTGGATACCCTGAACAGACCAATAACCAGCAGTGAGATTGAAATGATAATAAAAAAAATTGCCAAAACAAAAAAAAACTCTAGGACTCTGGCTTAATTCTACTGGACATTCAAAAAACAATTGGTACCAATCCTATTGACACTATATTCTACAAGATAGAGAAAGAGGGAATCCTCCCTAAATCATTCTATGAAGCCGGTATCACCCTAATACTAAAACAAGGAAAGGATATAACCAAAAAACAAACAAACAGACAAAAAACTACAGACCAATATCCCTGATGAACACAGATGCAAAAATCCTTAACAAAATACTAGCTAACCAAATTCAACAACATATTAAAAAGAGAATCCACCATGATCAAGTGGATCTCATACCAGGGATGCAGAGATGATTTAACATAAGCAAGTCAATAAATGTGATATATCACATAAAGAAAATTAAAAACAAAAAAACACATGATTATCTCAATAGATGCAGAAAAAGCATTCAACAAAATCTGGCATTCCTTTATGATTAAAAATCTCAGCAAAATTGGCATACAAGGAACATGCCTCAAGGTATTAAAAGCCACCTATGACAAACCCATAGCCAACATAATGCTGAATGGGGAAAAGTTGAAAGCATTCCTTCTGAGAACTGAAATAAGACAAGGATGCCCATCTTACCACCCTCTTCAACGTAGTATTGGAAGTCCTAGCCAGAGCAATCAGACAAAGAAATAAAAGCCATCCAAACTGGCAAAGTGGAAGTCAAATCATACTGTTTGCTGATGATTTGACTGTATACCTAGAAAACCCTAAAGTCTCATCCAAAAGCTCCTAGAACTGATAAAAGAATTCAGCAGTTTCAGGATACAAAATTAATGTACACAAATCAGTAGCTCTCCTATATACCAACAGTGACCAAGCTGAGAATCAAATCAAGACCTCCACCCCTTTTATAGTAGCTACAGAAAAAAAATTAAAATACTTAGTAATATACCTAACCAAGGAGATGAAGAGGAAAACTACACAATACTGCTGAAAGAAATTATAAATGACACAAACAAATGGAAACACTCCCATGCTCATGGATGGGTAGAATCAATATTGTGAAAATGACCATACTGCCAAAAGCAATTTACATATTTAACGCAATTCCTGCCAAAATGCCACCATAATTCTTCACAGAAATAGAAAAAACAATTCTAAAATTCATATGAAAAGAAAAAAGCCCACATAGCAAAATAAGGCTAAGCAAAAAGAACAAATCTGGAGGCATCACATTGCCTGATTTCAAACTATACTATAAGGCCACAGTCACCAAAACAGCATGGTACTGGTATAAAAAGAGGCACATAGACCAATGGAATGGAATAGGGAACCCAGAAATAAACTCAAATACTTACAGCCAACTGATCTTTGAAAAATCAAACAAGAAATAAAATGGGGAAAGGACACCCTACTCAACAAATGGAGCTGGGATAATTGGCAAGCCACATGTAGGAGAATGAAACTGGATCTTCATCTCTCACCTTATACAAAAATCATCTCAAGATGGATCAGGGACTTAAATCTAAGACCTGAACCTATAAAAATTCTAGAAGATAACATTGGAAAAACCCTGGTAGACATTGTCTTAGGCAAGGATTTCATGACCAAGAACCCAAAAGCAAATGCAATAATAACAAAATTAAATAGCTGGGACTTAACTAAAGAGCCTTGCACAGCAAAAGGAAGAGTCAGCAGAGTAAACAGACAACTCAGAGAGTGGGGAAAAATTTTCACACTCTATATATCTGACAAAGAACTAATATCCAGAATCTACAATGAACTCAAACAGACCAACAAGAAAAAAAAACAATCCCATCAAAAAGTGGGCTAAGGACATGAATAGACAATTCTCAAAAGAAGATATACAAATAGCCAACAAACATATGAAAAAATACTCAACATCATTAATGATCAGAGAAATGCAAATCAAAACCACCATGTGATACCACCTTACTCCTGCAAGAATGTCTATAATCAAAAATCAAAAATAGTAGATGTTGGCATGGATGCGGTGAACAGGGAACATTTCTACACTGCTGGTGGGAATGTAAACTAGTACAACCACTATGGAAAACAGTGTGGAGATTCCTTAAAGAACTAGAAGTAGAAGTACCATTTGATCCAGCAATCTCACTACTGGATATCTATCCAGAAGAAAAGAAGTCATTATACGAAAAAGATACTTTCATACACATGTTTATAGCAGCACAATTGGCAATTGTAAAAATGTGGAACCAACACAAATGCCCATCAATCAATGACTGGATAAAGAAACTGTGATATGTGTGTATATATATATATATATGTACACAAACACATACACACACACACACACACACACACACACACACAATGGAATACTACTCAGCCATAAAAAGGAATGAATGAATAGCATTCACAGCAACCTGGATGAGATTGGAGACTATTATTCTAAGTGAAGTAACTCAGGAATGGAAAACCAAACATTACATGTTCTTACTCGTAAGTGGGTGCTAAGCTATGAGGATGCAAAGGCATAAGAATGACACAGTGGACTTTGGGGACTCAGGGAAAAAGGGTGAGAAGGGGTTGAGGAATAAAAGACTACAAACAGAATGCCGTCTATACTGCTCTGGTGATGGGTACAGCAAAATCTCACAAATCACCACTAAAGAATGTATTCATGTAACCAAACACCACCTGTTCCCCAATAACCTACCGAAATAATTTTTTTTTAAAGTGACTGAAATAACAGTCTCTTTACTGAGACCTATTTTCTTCTCTTTCATGTAAAAGAAACCTGCAAGTAAGTCATGGTGTGGTGTAGGTAGTGTAGTGGTTCCAGAAAACTGTTAGCAGTACAGACTTCTTCTGTCCTTAGCATATGTCTCCTTGGTCCAAGATGACTGCTGGAGAACCAGCCATCACTTCCACATCTTTAGTAGCAAGAGGGAGGGAGGATTCAGAAAGGGCATATGTTTTTCCTTTTAAGAAAACTTCCTAGAAGTTGCATGTAGCATTTACTTTTATATTTTAATGTTTATAATTTATTCAAATGGCCAGTTTAGCTGGAGTATGAGAAATGTTTCTTCAAGCCCACCCTGTATCAGAATTCTCAGCTAAAATTCTTGTTCTTTTATGAGAAAAAAGGGAAGACTGAACATTGGGGCCAGACAAAACTCTCTGCCAGAGGAGGTGCTGTGGGTTGATCAGTCCACAGAGGTGCCAGGCTGGTGGGTAGGGGCAAGTAAAGATTGTTAATAGAATGACCTAGGATGGAACAATATAAAAAAGGGAGAGGTTCCACAGTTAATTTTGCAATCATGCTGGCCTTTATTCATGTATTCAAAAAATGCTGGTGGAATTCCTTCTGTGTGCCAAGCTCTGCACTGTTCAGTGATACAACCATGAATGAGATATACTCATGAATGAGATACACTCCTGTCGTTTAGAAAGTTAATTTCTATGGAGAGTTAGTGATCATTTACAGGCTATTACAATGTTTCAATTGCTACATTAGTGCTAAACATAGATGCAGAGATGGCTCATAGGAATGCCATCCAATCTAGTCTTCAGAATCAAGAAAGAGGTCCCAGGAGAGATGAAGGGTGCACTGAGAACTGAAGAGTAGGGCCGAATTATTAGAAGTGTGTGTGTGTATGTCTCTCTGTGTGTGTATCTTTGCCCAAGTGCACATACTGGGGCAGGGTGTGGGGTTGGGGGGGAGTATTTCAGATGCAGAGAAATCTCTTGCACTAGAAAAAGATGCGAAAGGGATCCAATATGGCAAGCTGAAGAGAAAGTTAGCTAGATCCTCAACCGCAGTATACAGGCACATCCAAGCCAAAAGCTAAGCCGGTGAGTGTGTGCACCGACATGCTTGTGTGCTCACTGTGTTTTTTATTGAAAGGCGAGGTTTTGCTAGGAGTCAGGGGAAGAGAAGCAGTTATTTGCAATACCATGTAGCCAATCATATTTTCAACATTCTCTACACAAAATAAAATATTTTGCTGATGATTTTTTTCCACATATAAGGGGTCATGATAGTATGATCGTGACAGTACCATAAGGAATTGGGGAGATAGAGCAAAAACCAAACCTTTAACCCTGTACAGGTTTTCTGCATATGTGCAGAAAGACTGGAGTTATTCTCCTAGGGTTATTTGTTTGAAAAGAGAATTTCACGTTCTAAAGGGCAGAAAGAGCCATTGAAACCAAGGATTCTTTTTCTTTCTTTCTTTCTTTCTTTTTTTTTTGGTAAAGATACCAAATTTGAAAATTTGGCAAAAAGTGCTTAGATGATTGAGGTCTCTCCGATCCACTAGAGTGGCTCTATCACAAATCCTGGGAAACCAGGATGGAACTTTAACATGCTGATAAAACTTATCCACAACCCCAAATATGCTGTCATAATTAAGAAGTTTTTGTTTCTCCTAATGGAGTTTGATGGTCTTAGTTTATCAGCAACCTTTGAATTGAATTAACAACACGAAACTAATTAATCCTGGTATACCCCAGCAATCCACTTAGAAGCGGCATGCAAAACTCAATTAAATCCTCTTGCCTTTTTATGAAGCATGCACACTCAAGTAGCTTGGGTTTACAGCTGAGAATTAGGTAACAAAAAGAAAGAGCTTGTCATGTTTTTCAAACCCAACTTTTGAAATTAGACAATGGGTTTTAGAATTCTCCCCTGATTGGGAAAGTTGGAATCTAAAAGGACAGAACAAAACCTTCCCTGAGCTAATCAACTCTTTCCTCTCTCACCCTTCTTAGATCAGAACAGAAAGATGGTGGTATGCACCTCTGTCTCACTGGCCCTGGTTGGTCACCCGAACCTTATAGTGTGGGCTTGATTTTTGAATGCTTTTTTTTTTTTTTTTTGGCAAACTCTCCTTTTCCTGGCTTCTGGCATGCTCTGTGCTGTCAGTCTTATTGATTAAAACCCTTGGTGGATTTCAAGACCTTCTTGCCCTGTATTGTCACAGATCTACTTAAAATGGATTTTTTCTTTTTGCCAGACCTGCATTCTCAGCCAGTCCAGCAGATGCAAAGCAGGTGGTACTGAGATTTCAAATAGAAGCTGTTTCTAGTTATTGGGGGATAAATGGTGGCATTATAACTTCTTTATTTTTTGTCTCTTTACACTTCTTTTATCTAAAAAAAAATCTTTATACCTCTGAATGTATACAGTTAATTCAAACAAGTAGCATTTATTGACATTACTAAAAGAGTATTTGGCAGGGGTAATAATCTGAGGCTTGGGATATCTGAAACACAATGTGAAAAAAATGTGACAATGCACTACAAAGAAAGAAGTGTGTTGTCGTGTGTACTGCTAGCTGCTTGTCTCACAATTATTTCCCTCTTTCCCCTTCTCAACAGCTCTTGACCCTGGAAAAAATTCATGGAACTTGGTAAATTTGTTTCAACTTTTCTCTCTTCATGTTGGGAACCCATGACATAGGATGTGTCAGTCAAAGCATTTCTTCCCCTGGCTACATTGATTAGTTCATAAGCACACCAGGCTCTAAGAAGGAATGAATCTCAGGACTCTTGCTTGGAGTGCTGGGATAAAGGCCCTCCCTCTTTTTCAAGATGAAATATGCAAAGTGAAGTATGCAGATAGCAGGACCAGAACTTCTGCAGCCATTTTGGCACCAAGAGGGTGGCTTTGTCCCAGGACAAAGCTGACACATGAAAGAGTCCAAAGGCCAGAGGCATGCTGAGAAATTTGTAGAGATATTCATGTTGAACATTGAACCTCTGGGTACAGCTGTAGCTAAAGCTGAAACTATTGCTGGCCTTTTCACTTTGGTGGAACCATACATTTTAAAAATGGTTATGACAGTTAGGGTTGGGTTTTATGTTAACTTAAAATTGAAAATATTGTGACTCTATGAGCTAGCTTTTATTGCATAATAAAGCAATCCCAAACTCAATGGCTTATTAAAAAATAAATAAAATACTTCATTCACATAGTGTGACTGCCTTTGGGTTGGTTGGGGTCAGCTGATCTAGGCTCAGCTTTGCGAGTTGCTCTGCTGATCTTGTCCAGGCTTGTTTATGAGCCCACTGGGGGTCAGCTGGTTTGTTCAGCTGGCTGAGGATAAACTGGGGCTGTGCTTGAGTCTGAGCTGGGTCAAGGGAGCTTATCTGGGGCAGATGAGTCGTACATGTCTCTCATTCCCTGAGGACCAGCAGGTGAACATAGGTATGACTGTTTTCATGACAGGGTAGAGGCACAAGAGGGTTAGCATGGACATGCATGGCCTCTGGGGGCCTGTGCTTGTTCCTGGCACAACATCATTTCTCCTTCATTCTATTGACCGAAGCAAAGCACATGGCCAAACCCAACATCAGGAGGTCAGGAAATATACGTAACCTCTTTGGGGAGGAAGTGAAAAGTCACACGGTAAAGAGCAGGAAAAGAGGGAGGGATGAAAACATGGGACGGATAATATAATCTGCCACACTAACTGATAATGTAATCAAATTCAAGCGCAAACACTTGTTATCTACATAGCTCAATATCGTTAGAACACTGGGTTGTGAAACTATATAGAAAGTTGTTATGCCAGATGTGGCAGCCATTTGAAACCTAGCTTTGGTGAGCTAATCTATATTCACGTTTATGTTTTTTTTTTAAGTGAAGAAGCAAAATTTAACTTTGAATTATGCTTTGGTTTCTGTAAAGCTGATCTCTGTTTAGACATGAATTAATCAGACTCTACATTTAAAATATTTCTCCTCCTTGCATATACTATTGAGTTGATAATTCTAAAAAAACCAACCATTTCTTTGTAAAAATTACGCTTGTGTGTATGTATGGAGCTAACAGTTCCCCTTTATGTATGAACATATTTTACTTATTTCACTGGGAAAAGGTACAGGTATTGAAAGCCTGAAACTTTTCACTTTCCTCATTTGATTTAGGCTTGGATATTCTCTTGAGATTATGAGTAATAACGATAATGGCTAATGCATATGTAGCGCTTAGTATGGGCCAGGCACTGTTCTAAAGTACTCTACATAAACGACTTCATTTAGTCTCACGACAACCTTACTACACATTATTATCATCCTCATTATACAGACAGGGAAACTGAGGTACAGAGTCAGATACCTGGTAAATTTCAGTTCTGGGATTCAGACACAGGCTGGTTTCAGATTTCATGATCTTATATGCTAATATATGTCAAAACTGCCATTTTACTATACCACCCTATGATATTTTTTATTAATATTATTATCTTCCTGGGCTGTGAATTCCTAGAGGCTATTTAGATATGGTTTTATTAATTTTTGTTTCCCCAGTGCGTAGCACAGTGTTGCGTACAAGGTACATAGTCAGTGAAGGTTATTGATACACATTGGGTCCAGAAATACATTTTGCACTATGAAAATAAGTAATTTTTCTAATCTCCAGTTCATTTTTGTTCTTGTTTGCCATGCTACCCTGATATGTGCTTAATCTTGACTCATACATTCTGTGCTATTTTTGAGGGTAAATGCGTTCTTTTCCTTCCTTAAAATCACAGTCCTAAATACCTCAGTGGTGTTAGTCTGCTATTGACACTGACAGTCAACAAAGCTTCAGGATGCAGATTAGAATGAGAAGTTGCTTAAGTGTGGAGTTTCTTTTCTGTTTTATGTAAGGAAATATAGACATCTGTCTAGAAATGAGAATTATTTCATCTAATTAATGAATCATTTCTTGAAAAGAAATTAAGCATCAAATCTCTAACTGTGATTAACTCTTCTAAAACATGTGGTATCAACAGCAGGATGTTCCTTCCTCCAAGAAGACATTCTGGTTTCTAGCAATTAAGTATGATCTCTCCTTTGAACCTCTGTAATGTTTTATTCCTTGACTTTAATTTTGATTATTTGTGCTTTTACAGCATCTCCATTATTGTTTTGGACAAGAACCTAAGTTGTAGCCCATACACATTCCGTACCATGCTATACTAGCAGTCTCAAACATTCACAGAGCTGGGAGGGAACCTAGAAATGGCTCATAGTAAACAGGTCATATGTTTTCGTCTCCTTTAAGTTCAGTAATTAACACAAATATAACACAATAGAGTTGGCTTCATTTCGTTGATACTATATTTGCATGAATGTTGATGGATTAGACCTTGAACCACACAACACTATTAGATTATAAGTTTCTTGAAGGTAAAGTTTATTTCTTACTTATTGACATACCGCCAGAGCCTAATATGGTGGCTGGTGCCTAATAGTTAGCAGTAAAGAGATGGGTGATGGATGGATGGACGGATGGATGGGTGGAAAATTATCAAGGAAGTAAGAGTATAATTTTTATAAGGTATATATTAGTACCCTCTGATCTCAAGGAGATATTTTTTACTCTATATGCTTATGGCAGCTGAAACTCTACTGTTCTCACCCAAATTAGTAACAACAGTCATAACACTGATTATTGAAAATACAAAGCAAAGCAAAAAAAAATTGTTTTCAACCATCCGAACCATAAATTATACTTCCAATTGAATGCAAGAGAAGGCAGGTTCCTTATTTAATCTGACTTTGCTGCCTTTGGTCACAATATTTTTGCAATTTTCTTGAAGGAGATATCACTCTTTTAGCCGTATATTCCAGTGTGCATGTTAAAAGTCATTCCCATTATAGTTACATGCTCACATTTCATTAACGTAAAAATATGACATCTAGATAAACAACAGGTGACAGAGGTAAAAAGAAAAAAAAATTACATTTATTGAACTAATGAGATAATATGGTGATCAGCTGGGCAATTTGATGGCAAAACAAGTGTTTCAAAATATTCTTAGAGTCCTTTGCCACTGAATAATGATGAAATATGTCAATTATAAGACCAGGCCTCCTCTGCATTTAGCTGTCAAAGACTGCATTTTAAAGGGACTGATTTCTAGCTGTTGCTTCCCTTGATTTATGTTCCACAACATTTAAGTAGGTGGTTAGATGAAAGAGTTGGAAGTGTGCCTCGAGCACCTGACTATCATTTTACAGCCTCTTGCATGAACTGTTTTTAAAAACAAGTATCATTATCCTGTGTACCTTCCTGACAAGGACATTTTGACATTTTCCTGATAAATTATTGATAAGTTCATTGAGAGAAGGAAAGAGCTATGCAACTGCTGTTACCTAACTTTAAGCATCCTGTAGATCATTTTTTATGCCAACTATTATTGTATTTCTTTAGATCACTTAAACTGTGAAAATTCTGTCTTTATTATAATTTATATCTAAGGGGATCTTTGATCTTTGTAGGCTTCTGTGGAAAGTATTGATTACCAAGGAGGAATCCAGGGTTTTTAAATCTATGTGAAATTTTTATTTTTCCTTTCATGACTATTTTAGAGAACCCCTGCTCCTCATCCTAGGATAACGATATCAGAGACCTAAAAATGTAATTTTCCTTTTTGATTGCTGAAATCCTGAGATCATTGTTATTCTGTTATTTATATCACAGTTACACATATCATAGTTATAACTGTGACTCTTGCTAGCAACTTCCCTTCTAGGGCCTTCTTTTTTCTCTTGAGCACATTTCAGAATATTTTGGCCGAACTATCCCCATCTCCTTGTAGGAAACCATGTTCTATTCTACATTTTAAATGCGCCCCATGCAGCCTCTATTTCGCTGTGGTAAACTGTAACGTTCCAGATTATTAAGACTGAAGTCACAGATTTGTGTATTTGTTTGTGTATTCCAATTTCCTTGTTTTACTTCCAGGAAGCCGTTGCCTAAACTTGTCCAATATTGTATTTCTAGATCTTTTATTACTGATCTACCTTTTCTTACTTACAAAGATATTCCTTTCTTTTTCTACCAAGATCTTAAGAATTCTAAAAAGATGTGGGAAAAACATAACAAAACCTTCTGGGGATTCAGTGTAGACAGGAATTTGATTTAACAAATAAATGCAACTTTAAACATGATGAATAATGTGGGAAAATAAAAAAAAGATTATTTTCTATGATAAAATTTTGTCCCCCTCCCCTGCCATGTATATGGAAGTGTTATAATAAAACAGAGAAAGTAATCATTTTTTTCTAAATACTGTCATCTTGTTATTGCCATTTTAAGTTGTGGGCTTGTCTGTAACACTGGCAAATAGTCATAAAATATGTTGGATTAGAAAGAGAGTGACAAGAGCCAGTGAAAAGACCTTGGACGCATCAAGGAGAGAAGCTTCTAAAAGCTCTGCTGTTTGCAAAAATAGGCTTTTGTTAAAATGGAAATCTCCAGTCATCTCTAACATAATTGATTGGCAAATACAATGAGTGACCTAGCTGAACCAGAAAGAATTTATACAGTACCAACAACAAAATCCTAGCCTTTTAGCCAAATATGTTTTCTTTTCATTGAAATATGATTGACTCATAATAATGCTAATTATGCCTAATTATCATCTCAATTATTTTACCCTAGCAAGAACATTTCGTCATTGTGGTGCTTATTTGTTATCTAATAATAATTTATATTGTTTCCACTTTTTTCAAAAGAAAAGTTTCACTCATTTAAACATACTACTATGGTTTGGTGAGATAGATAATTATTATTATACTGTATTGGCTTTTATTTGATTGTTGACCTTTGATGAATTAGAATAAACTTCTCTAACCTCTTCTATAATAAGTTCTACCAGGAGACTACTTTAAGTGGCATAATTATAACTGGACCTCTGTGGGAAGGTCACTTGTGGCTTTACTGATTAATTGGGGGAATTGAATTACATTATCTTTTTGTGGGGCGAATGCGGCCAAGGACTTAATACAGAAGCAATAAGAAAAAGTTTAGACTACTACTATAGCCTCAGAGTTGTTTAAAAACAAAACAAAAAACTAAAATTTACAGACCATTAAATGGGAGAATTCCCTTTTAACATTGCAATCATGTCTTCAGCTTGTCAGCCTTTGAACATACCCAGATTTGACGAAGTCAGTTCACCAAACAGCCCGCCTCTTCCATCTGTGGACAGTCCTTCTCCACTTTGAACAGAAATGCTGTAGCTCTTAGTTCTGCCTCTACCTCTTGGGGCCACACAGAATGCATCCAAAACCTCTTCTGCATGACAGGCCTTCAATTTTAATAACGATGCCTTGCATTTGTAGAGAATTTGCTAGTACATTATCACTTTTAATCCTGTCAATTGCCCTGTGAAATAGGCATCGTTATCCTCCATTTCACAGAACATTTTCCTCACAGCCTGTACCTTTCTCCAAACCTGTCTTGCTCAACCTTCCCATCTTGAAATACCCTCCTGTTCTAGCTGCTCTCCTCTGAATTCTTTCTCTTTTTTCTGTTTTTCTTTGGCCTAAAAATGTAGCTCTGAGAACTGGATGGGCTACTTCAGGCCTGATGGTCACCAACAGTGGTTTAAACTATTGTAAAGACATTCTTGTCAGGAGATAAGAGATTACATTCCTGTTTTTGGCAATGCCATCCTATGGTAAATTAACCTGGACTTGTCCTCAACTTTAATGAGTTTTAATCATGCAGATGCTAAATCATCTTCCTAAGTCGCTTTTTCCCATCTCATACTTGTGAAGGTTTTAAAATGTATGTATCATGTGTTTGTAGTGTGTTTTCTATTATTAATTGTTTCTCAAGGGCAGGTGCTTTGTCTGTTTTCTTTACCAATGAATCTGCAGAGTAAAGAGCTTGACACATGGGAGCAGGAAGGAAACACGTATTGGATGAATGAGTGGGTGATCAATCTAGGCTGGCTTAGATGTGATTGATGGTGCATTTCCTGGCTTTTGCTCAGAACTGGGTAGAATGGCTTTGTCTCCAGAGGCCCTGGTCTATACAGGTGGTGAGGTTGTGTTCCACTGAAGGTACCAGGTGTGGAGCACTGGCTTCCAAAGTGGACGATCACCCGGGGTCTGCATGAGATCATTTGACAGTCTCCTGGACCATCCCCTTGACCCTTGGGGGACTCAGATGTCCTTGACCAGCCTGATTATAGGAATGCCGGCTGTTCCCACCTCTGGTGTCTTTCCTTACCCTGCATCATAGAAGGGTCCAGCCAGTCTTCCACCTTGTGAAGGTTTTACTTTTAGAATAGCACCAATTTACTCCTGTGAGATCTGGGGACAATGGTACTGACTACTAGGCAAGGGCGCATGTAACCTGAGTTCAAATTCCTGCTGTACCACTAATTCATTGTCTTTGCATCTCAGTAAGTGGCAACCCCATCCTTCCAGTGGTTCAGCGCAGAACCTTGAAGTCAGCCCTGACTCCTCTCTTTAAATCCCTGCCAGTTTCACCTTCAACCCCTCTAGAAGTTGATCATTTCTCCCCACCTCCATCATCACTTCTAAGGTTCAAGCACCATCAACTCTTGCATGGACTGTTGCCATGGCCCCCTCCTGAGTCTCTTCACTTCTGCTTGTGCCCCACTATGGCCCATTCTCAATACGCCAGCCAGAGAGATCCTTTAAAATCATGTTAGAACATGTTTTTCCTTTGCTTAAAATTTTCCAGCATCTTCTTGTTTAACTCAGTGCAAAAGGTAAAATACTTAACAATGCCTACGGGGCTCCATACAATCCCTTTCTCCCCTCCCCCTCCCATGATTCTCCCCTTGTCTCCCACTATTTCCCCGTGGTTCATTCCATTCTGGCCACCCTGGACATCTTGTGCTCCTCAGACTAAGTAACCTCCCTTTTTAGGTCCTAGCCACTAACTGCCTCCACATGAAACCCTCTTCTACTAGATTTCTGTCTGCCCCATTTCCTCAGTGTTATCAGGTTTCTGGCCAAATGTTCCCTCCTCAGAAGTCCCTTACCTTACCTAGTTATGGAAAATAGCATGCTCAGTTCTCTTTAGCCTACTGCCTTTTCCTCCGTAACACTTGCCACCGCCTGCCGTGTCACTTATTCATTTGGTTTCTTTACTTATTGTGTCTCCCTTTATTAGAACAGAAGCTCCTTATGGCCAAGTCTGATTTGTTTACTGCAGAATCCCAACATCTAGAATAATGCCTGGCACATGGTAGGGACACAACAAAGACTTGTCAAATAAAAGAATTTTTGGAAAACTGCCACATTTCTGACTTTGGTTCCTTGTTTGTGAAGAAAAAAAAAAGTATTTGTATTAGTTTTCTAGAAATTAGTCTCCTAGTAAAGTAACAAAGTGTCACAAACTTGGTAACTTACAACAACAGAAATGTATTCTCTCAGAATGAGTACAAAGTCAAGATGTTGGCAAGGTTGGCTCCTTCAGGAGGCTCCCAGGGAGAATATGGTCCACATCTTTCCTTGCTTCTCAGACTTCTGCCAACACCTCATGTTCCTTGGCTTGTCAATAGATCACTCCAGTCTCTGTCTCATAGGAACTTTACCTTCTCCTCTGTGTCTTATCTCCTTCACTTGTCTTACAGAAACTCCTTTTTTTTTTGAGACAGAGTCTCACTCTGTCACCCAGGCTGGAGTGCAGTGGTGTGATCTTGGCTCACTGCAACCTCCACCTCCTGGGTTCAAGCAATTCTCCTGCCTCAGCCTCCACAGTAGCTGGGATTACAGATGTGTGCCACCATGCCTGGCTAATTTTTGTATTTTTGGTAGAGATGGGGTTTCACCATATTGGCTAGGCTGGTCTCGAATTCCTGACCTCAAGTGATCCGCCTGCCTCAGCCTCCCAAAGTGCTGGGATTACAGGTGTGAGCTACCATGCGTGGCCTTATAGAAACTCTTGTCATTGGATTTAGGGCCCCCTTCATCCAGGATGATCTCATTTTGAGATCCAAAACTTAATGACATCTGCAAAGACCTTTTTTTCTAAATAAAATCACATTCACAGGTTCTGGGTGAACATATCTTTTGGGGGGCACCATTCAACCCACTGTAGTGCTATTGTGAGGACTACACAAAATAAGGTTTGCAGAAGCGTTTCATATAATTTAATGTAGTATTCAGATATGAGCCATTATGCTAAAACACTTCGTCCTCGCCAATCTGGTCGACTGTTTTAACCTATTGAAATATGTTTAAATACAATTTCTAATTTACAGTGTATTCATTGGCCTTCCTAACTCCAGGTCATTAGTAAAATTGCTGAATTTGTGTTCTATGTCTTCATCCCAGACATATTGACACACTGAGTAGAGCAGAGCCATGGAGAAATCAGTGAGCCTGAAGCCAGCTGCTTGTGTAATTGGCATGAATCAGTTAATCATGACCCTTTGGGTGCAAGGGCTTCCTCCAGTTATGAATCTCCCTCAGGTGACTTCCATCTTTCTATATCACTATATTATCTACAGGGATATTATAATATTCTGTTGAATGTCTTATAGAAATATAGATCCAGCTGGCCTATTCTGTTTCATGTATTTATTTGTTGTCTTATTTATCTAGTCATTCAATCAGGCATCACTGAGTGCCTACTAAGTGACAGGCACTGAGGAGTTGGCAGTGAACCAACAAGATGCTGTCTCTACCCTAAGGGAGCTCATTGTCGCTTATATTCTGGTCTAGAAACTTGATTTAGAATTTCTTTTTTTTCTTTGAGACAGAGTCTCACACTGTCGCCCGGGCTGGAGTGCAGTGGTGCAACCTTGGTTCACTGCAACCTCTGCCTCCTGGGTTCAAGTGATTCTCCTGCCTCAGCCTCCTGCGTAGCTGGGATTACAGGACTCTGCCACCATGCCCAGCTAATTTTTTTGTATTTTTAGTAGAGATGGGGTTTCACCATGTTGGCCAGGCTGGTCTTGAACTCCTGACCCCATGATTCGCCTGCCTTGGCCTCCCAAAAGTGCTGGGATTACAGGTGTGAGCCACCGTGCCCGGCCAATTTAGAATTTTAAAAATGTGTGTGCATTGGAGAAGGGGGCTGGAAATGAAGTCAGCCAGTCATGACTTTTTGGTCTTGGCCATCACCGTTCCTTTTCTAGGAACCATCCAGTTAGCGGCTGTGTTCATGAACTCCACTTTTCTCCTATTCTTGCATGATAATTAGAAGTGCATTTGCTGGCCTTCTGTTTCAGGATGTGTGTTTAGGTTTCTATGATTCTTTAGATTCTGTCCGTAGAACTTGAGCAATCCCTTTGGAAATTTCTCTTGGTTCGGTGGGGTAAAATTCATGGAAGACATCAGATCTGAACCCCTTCAGAGAACTCAGATGCCCTTATTATAACACTATTATAAATATTAGTCCTTTTAATGACAACAACCACTACTATAGTTTGTTCCGCAACTCCACTTACTAGTTTTTTAAATCCTCACAATTTCTCTCATGATGAAAGCATTTTACCTTCATTTTGCAGGTCTAGAAGCTGTGGCAGTGAGGGTTTACGTGACTTGCCCAAGGTCACACGGCTCTTTCAAACCCAAGGCTCAAATTCTTTTACCACTAGGCTATGCTGCACCCATTCTTTGCCTTTAATCTCAGAGCTGATGAACTCCCTTAGGCTAGTGTTCTTTCTTGCTGATCTGTACTCCATCTCCCATTTGGTCTGGAAATCCCCTCCTTTTTAATAGCCATGTTCTTCTTTCTCCCAATTATCCATTGAATTAGACCACCAGTTCAAGGCACAAACCTGCTTATTCTTGTCAACTTCAAGTTCTGAACAAAACTGTAAGAGCCTCTTCCGTTATTGCCCATCATTTTTTTTTTTCTCTCAAGCCTCAGTTCCCCTGTGGCTTTGCCTTACTAACACAGTTCTTATGTGGCCAAGCCTCTTTCATCTGCTTAAGAGTCCTTCTTACCATCTTTTGAATATTTCCACTTTAAAACTCAAGCTTCTCAAAGAATTACCCTCTTTAGGTGCTGCTTTTCTTCATGAAGGGATTTATTTGCAATTGTATGTAAGAATTACTTTTTTTTGACAACCTCCCATTTTTAAAAAGTAATCTCTTTTTTAGCACTTTATAGTCTCAGCATCACCAGCCAAAAAGTTTTGCATACATACCATGTGTCAATCACTGTGTTCAGTGCAGAAGTCTAAGAAAGTAGTTCCTCAATCTTAAGGGAGATCTTATGATATAATATGCATGACAGCATGCATGTGAAGTGTCAGATATATAGTTACTCTTTAAGTGGTATAGAATGGGTTGGGGGAATAGCTGTGGGTCAGAGCAATAGAAGACTTCACCAGAATAAAAGGTATTTGAAGGATAATGATAGGATGTATACAATATTGTAAATCTACTTAATTCTTTCTACAACCCAACGAGTTAAGCTCTTAGAGCATTCTCATGTTTTAGATAAGATAATTGAGGCACAGAGAGGCTAAGCAAATTGTCAAAGGACACACAGCTTGTAAGTGGCTAAACTGGGACTTGAACTTTGTGAATATGACTGTAGGTTCCAATTCTTAAACTGCTCAGTTCACCTGGAAAGCTTCTAAGTAAAGAGAGAGAAAGAAAGAAGGCAGATCAGTTGAGGAAATTTCAGGACTTGCTGGGGGCAAAATTGAGAAGAGTTTTGCTGAAGAATCTTTTTTTTTTTTTTGAAATTGCTTTCAATTTTAAAATTTTCTATCTGTCTATCTCTCTCTCTCTCTCTCTCTCTCTCTCTCTCTCTCTATATATATATATATATATATATATATATATATATATTTTTTTTTAAATATAGAGTCAAGGTCTTGCTATGTTGACCAGGTTGGTCTTGAACTCCTGGTCTCAAGTGTTCCTCCCACCTTGGCCTCACTAAAGTGCTGGGATTACAGGCATGAGCCACTGCACCCATCTGGATCTTGACTTTTATTTAGAAGAAAAGGATGAATGTTATGACAGCACAATACCTTAATAATAGAACTGAAAGCCAACTGAACCACAATGTGCTCAGAGGAAATATTACCAGCTTTCACTGAAGCCTAGTTTCAATAGCACGAACAGTGTAAAAAGAAGAGAGAATCATTCTGTGAATTAAAAAAAAACATTGGAGTGGCAAATGACAGCAAGCAGTGTCAATAGATGCTCCTTACAACTAATCAAATACATTCAATGTGAAAAATCTTTAGAGTACATTTTGACATCCTGGACCGTTCCCACACTCAGAGATAGCTGTATTTTTAACAATATTGTCATTGAAAAGGAAGAAGAATGATACACATAACAGGTAAAAATAAAGCCATGTGAAAGGTGTGGAACTTCTCAGAAAAAAAAATGAACTTAGAGAAAATTAAAAGAAATACACATTTGTTCCAGCATTCAATTATTAAATACCTTGAATGCAAAAACAGATGACTTTGAATACCAGTAGGCTATCTTGCCAGCTGGTGGGACCTACCCCTAGTGGGTTGCTCTATGGAGATACTACTCCTCTTGTGATCTGCCACGATTTTTTTATGGAGCATTAAGTCACTTTCTAAAGATTTCTAAATATGAGGATGCTGAGTGGTGTGATTATTAACAACCAAATCTTCCTGTTCACAAGTGTAAGGGTTGCAGTCCTGGGAATCTGGCTAACTTCCAATTGGGTAATTACATATGGAAAACCTTGTTGAATCCCCCTTGGAGTTCTAGTTATGAAAGCCATTTATAGGGTGATTTGTAATTGCACCTGTGGCTGGAAAAATAGTGTAATGCACCAAAAATAAAATAAGCAATAGTCTTCCCTATAAGGATAGAAAGCAAACCACCATGCCTGCTATAGAAAGCTAATGGCTACCTTCTAACCTATAGACTTAAAACAAGGAAAAAAAAGTGAAAATGATTACCAACAGGACCAACATATAATGTAGATGAATCCTTTTATTCTCTTAGTTGTGCAGAATGTAGTTAACTACCAAGTTACAGCAATAGCATCACAGAGCGCTTTGGGGATGACAAAGTGTTTGTTTTTGCCTCATCTTTCCTGAAGATGCTGTTTCTTAGGAGACAAATGAGCTTGAAGCCCTCTTAATTATTTTTTAATAAAATAAAGCAAAAGGCATTTTCTTTTTATAAATTATATTATCATAAGCTTTGCATCTAGTAGATAAGAATGCAAATAACTTTTTTCTTATTAAAAGACGTGATAATCTGCATTTGCATGTTGTGAATCACTGAAAGGCAAAAAAATAATAAATTCAGGTTCCCAGGCACAATATATGACCTACTTAATCAGTGGTTGGAGGTAGGATTTGGCACTTCGTATTTTTCAAATCCCCTTCTGGTAGCTGTGATGTGCAGCTAGGTTCGAGAACATCTGATAAACTCCATTCAGCTTTTATAGAAGTGCTTTCCTAATGAGCTAGATGTTTTTAATTTTTAAAACAATCCTTAGTGGTGACCAGGATAACTTCCCACTCTAAGGAGAACCAGGAGCTCTGGGGATTAGTAGTGGATGCTGGGGGCAAGGACATCTGAAACCATAATCTCTTTTGACGTGGCCTCAAAGTTGGCGATGAAGGTAGACATTTTTTAAAAAATCTGACTAGTGTCTCATTATTATTAGACAAAGATCACCAACCACTGAGGAATTCTTGTTTAAATGCGTTTCACAGTAGCTCCTTGAAAATATGCCAGTCATCTTCAAAAATAATTTCTTTTTAAAAAGAGTAAGTAGGGAATTGCAACATTTTCTGTTAAAGTCTCAAAGGGAAACCAAATAAAAGTTCCTCTATTTCTCTTTCAGAGTGCATTTTTTTTTGTTCTGATATTGATGGGGTATTCATAGAACTGATAAAAGCCACCTAACTTAAATTGACTTTGTTTACGAAAAAAGTTTATTTTTTGTGATGTGGAGAAACTCCAGTGTCTTAGGTTGAACCATGGCCGTCTCAATTCATCAGACCACCTATAACTCAAAAGAGTTGTATTTCTCACACTTCACCAGTTTATTGGCAATGGAAAAGAAAAGTTTATTCATCTTGTTGGATTAGATGATCTCTAAGGTCCTTTCCATCTCTGAAATTCTATTATTATTTTCCATCCCAACAATAGACAAAGTATAGAAATTCATCACATCACTCTGGTGTAATAGAAACTAGTAGGATCCATAAATATTTTAACCCTAAAGTGTTGGTCTTCTTTTGTATTTCACTGGTGAAGCACCTCATACAATTTTTTTTGATCGTTCAAAAGTAGAAATTCATCAGTATTAGTGGTTACAATCAACATAAAGGTGCTGACTGGTTGCCTTAGTCCCTGTTCTGCTGCTTATAACAAATTATCTGAAACTGGGTAATTTATAAAGAAAAATAATTTATTTCTTATAGATATGGAAGGTGAGAAGTCCAAGGTCAAGGGGCCATATCTGGGGACGGACTTCTTGCTGGTGGGGACTCTGTGGAGGCAGCACAAGGCATCATGTGGTGAGAGGCTTGAGTATCCTAAGTCAGGTCTCTCTTCCTCTTCTAGAGCCACAAGTCCCACTCCCAAGTATTACCCACTAATCCATTAAACCATGATTGAATTAATCTATTTATGAGGGCAGAGCCCTCAGGACCCAATTACCTCCAAAGGCCCTACATCTCAATACTGCCACAGTGCGGACTAAATTTCAACATGAGTTTTGAAGGGGACAAATATTCAAACCACAGCAATGGTGATTGTAAATAGTACACTCATTACTGTTCTCTTGGATCTTATTCCTAGCTGATGATGAATAATCTTTAAGATATATAAGATCCTCTAGGATATTAAATTACATGAAACCTATGGAATATTAAATAGTTATGGCTCTGTCTTTGGTGCTCCTATAGTTTTTATACATCTGTTAACATTTATCTCACTATTTTATAATGCTTTCATTATATGTCTATCTCATCTCTTCTTTGAGGGCAAGAACAATTTACATTCCCAGGACCTAGTACAGTGCCTAGCATATTTTCAGTTGATATTTGATTGGATATCACTAGAATATTAAATGAGTTCAACTACTTTCAAATAACTGCTTAATTTTTTGAAATAAAGCTCCTAAGATGAAAAAATTCTTTTGCAAAATCTATGATGGAACTTAGAAGACAAGCCAGAAGAACCTCAGGTACCTAGAAAATGATAGATCAAGAGAAGAAGGCTGGCACATTTACTTATCAGGTTAGCTTTTTCTCACTTCTTTCCCAGTGGCAATTGGTAGATTAATTCAACAATTGTTATATTTTCCTTCAGTTTAGTGTCTTTTAGTGTTCAAGTCAAGTGACACTATATGTACCATCTATTTCATGGGGGAAATTCTCCTTAAGTCAGCATGACTATTTAGATATATAGTGGGTAGCCTTGGAAAAATATTTAACCAGTCTGAACCTCAGTACATTGTTTTGAAGTGAAAAAGTTAAAATATATCAATAATTTTATAATATTATTAATAGAGGAAGACTTTTTTTCTTTAAACACATACTTATGTTAACACTTTATGTAAAAATGATACATACAATGCTGTTTAGCTTGAAGGGGGAATGTATTAGTTAAGATATTAACACTAATACTGTAACAAAAAAACCTTGAATCATAGTAGTATAGAAATACAGTGTAGTTCTTACTCATATAGTCAGTCTATTGTCAAGAGTTAGGGTTGGAATTAGACCTCCCTCCAGATAATCATTCAGAGATCCTGGGAGACAGAGTCTCTGCCACCTTCAACATGGGACCTCCAAGACAGCTCTAACTTTTGACCCCAACTAGAAAATGGGGTGAGAGAGAGGATTACCTAAGTTAGGGTTTTATGACTTAGGTCCAGAAGTGAGTACATCAGTGCCATCATCCCTAACTGCAAGGGAGGCTGAGAAGTGGACTGTATACCCAGCACAAACAAGACATTGGGTTTAGTAGGAAGATAGCTGGGCCTTGCCACAAGGAATGGGGTCTGATGGGGTTTGGCACCCAGGGAGGCTTACCTAGGACTTGGAAGAGCACAGTTTGCAACCCCTGGAGAAGGTGATTCCCCCAAAGCCCCTTCATCTTAAATGTTCGGTAATTGTACCACTTACCATGCCTGACATACAGCAAGAGTTCATTAACTGCTTCAACTCCTTCATGTCGTTGAAAGAAAGTCTTTAATTCTTTTTTTTTTTTTTTTTTTTTTTTTGAGACGGAGTCTCGCTCTGTCGCCCAGGCTGGAGTGCAGTGGCGGGATCTCGGCTCACTGCAAGCTCCGCCTCCCGGGTTCACGCCATTCTCCTGACTCAGCCTCCCAAGTAGCTGGGACTACAGGCGCCCGCCACTACGCCCGGCTAATTTTTTGTATTTTTAGTAGAGACGGGGTTTCACCGTTTTAGCCGGGATGGTCTCGATCTCCTGACCTCGTGATCCGCCCGCCTCGGCCTCCCAAAGTGCTGGGATTACAGGCGTGAGCCACCGCGCCCGGCCGAAAGTCTTTAATTCTTACTGGATCATTTAACTTAGAGCAGCATTACATGAGCCATGTTTTGGCACCTCCCTTCTACTGCTGTGATCCTGCAACATGGTAACACTCCATGTAATTTCAATTGGGCTTCGAATTTGGTTGCATGCACAGAGTATGTGCCTGTGGAACTCTCTTAATTCTGACGTGAACTTGTGCAATGGGCCTAGCTATCTTACATTCAAATTAAGAAGGCCTCTTAAGATATAAATGTAGAATTTGACTCACCTATATCACATAAGGATTGAAATTTATGTGATTCCTGAGATACCAGTTGTTCTTGCCATGTTTGATCACCATTACAAACTATTGGCAAAATCTTCTCATCCTCCCAACGCCTGGCTGTTGTTCCCTAATGGATCAATTATTGCATCACCCCTCCCACCATCCCATCTCTTCACTGTATGTATCACCATCTGTGCTTTCCTTAAGCAGGCTAACCACAATCAGGGTTTTGATTATTCTTTGATAAACTGTTTACTCAATCCACACTGCCTATTTGTGCAGATCAATATTTCCCCATTTGGATGTCTCAGTGTCGTCTCAACTTCAAAGTGTCCATGACCGAAATTATATCCTTCCCCTTTCTCATAACTCTTCCTCTGGAATCTCAGTCTTGGAGGATGGCACCATCATGGACCAGTTCATCCCATTCAGAGGCCGGGGAGCCATGGTCTGTTCTTGCTCTTCTTTGTACTCATTTGAATCAAAATATTCACAAAGTTAGCATAATCTGTCTCTGAAAATTTTTTTGAAATTGTACCCCCTCCCCTTTATTTAAATCACCGTGGGAACCAAACTCCCATCTTCTATTTCCCTTGCCTCTTAACTGGCCTCTCAGCCTCCAGTCTCTCCCCTATCCACTCTGTCCTCTGCGGTGCATCCAATTACCTAACACCTGCTCCCTATGTAAACCCTTTTCATGGCCTGTGAGGCCCTTCATCACCTGGCTCCTGCTAACTGGCTTTATTTACTGTCCCTCTTCCACATGAACAGTTCACTGCAAACTGGGTAGCAGTAGTTTGCTACCTCTCATTCTCTTTACTGTGCTTCTGGTGCCTCTATGCCAGAGGTTCGAAACAATAGTAGATGACGAGTAAACAAGTGGATATGGCTGTGTTCCAATGAAACTTCGCTTACAAAAATAGTCAAGGGCTGGGTTTGAGCCAGGAGCTGTAGTTTGTTGACCCTTGCTCTGTGTCTTTGTATCTGTTGTTCCATCCGCCTGGAATACCCTTCTCCCCCCTCATTGCTCATCTCATTGTCTGCACCCCTACTCCCATTTCGAACTTCTAATTTTTCAAATGTTTGTTTAAGCATATTTTCCTCTTTGAACTGCTTTATTAAAATAATCTAATAATGCTTACTCCCAGATCACATTATACATACAGTCTTTTCTCTCTCTTTTTTTTTTTTTTTTTTTTTGTGGTAATCATAGTCTAGAGAGGCACAGGGAACACTACAGGGTTCCTAGGAGAAACATGGTGTTAGGTGCCTGTGAGCTTATGCTCACACACTTTTGCCAGCTGATCAATGTATAACCCTATTTTGTGTGTATTTCTGACTACAGACAGCTTATTTACTATATATTGTTTACTCATTAGCATTAAACTCACAATCAACAGCACTGTAATTCATGCCTGAAGGAAGCTTATCGAATGCACATATTTTCTTCATCAGATACATCACAGCCCTTCTGTGCTTAAGAACACCAGACAGCACTTCAGCACTATACTTGGGGCCCATTTTAAACATCGAAATCACCAACAAAAACACAAAAATGCAAAAAAAAAAAAAAAAGGCACTAAATAATCTGCAAAAAGGATGCTTGTTTATAGTATGAGAACTGAGACAAGCAGGCAAAGTTCACCTTAGCTGAAAATGTGAGCATCAGGCAACTTTTCAAATTTTCCACTGCTCTGCACACGTCTATGGATGCATTGTGAGTATTAGTTTTGGGTTTACAGATAAAGTTTTGTAAATAGGGGAATTTGCAAACACAGAATTGGTGAATAATGAGAATTGACTATATTGTGTAACAACAAAGTCAACACATTGGACAGCTAGGTCCTTGTCAACTGGTTAATTTGTCTTCTTTTTTATCTCCATGGCCTTTGAGCTTAAATGAAGGTTTTGAATATTCGTATGCATGAATGAATTGAATGAAGTACATATAGCTTAAGATTTTTCAGTGTAGGTTGTATATATTGCAGAAAAAACTTTTTTAAAATGCTTTCTTCAGCATTCGTGAAGTGATTAGTAATTCAACTGCAGTACATGGGGAAGGATGTTGCTTTCTTCTTATTTAACATCTTCATTAATAATCTGCAAAAGGCAGTAAACAATAAATTAATGAAATCTGCAGGTGATACTAAATTAAGAGGTGTTGAAAACACCAGCGAGAGTACTGTTATAGCAGAGAAACACTTAGAAAAGTTAAAAATATGAAGGAAATCAGGAATGATGGAACCAGAAAGATACAAGCTAAAAATCCAGCTGTGAAAATTTTAAATGCCTGGGAAACCTGGACACTAACACTTGTTGTTTTTAGGTTGCCTGTCTGTTCATTTAGCAGGTATTTATTGAGTGCCTACTATGTGCCTGGTTTGGTGCTATGTCCTGGGGATGTCAAAGTGAACAGGACAGTCAAGTTCCCTGACTGATTGAGTCTATGTTCCAGTGGAGGATAGAAAAGAGGACTGAATAATCAAGAATCTCTAAGGTAACTTGGGAGATGAAATTGGAGTTGAAACGTGAAGGATGAGTGGAAGAAAGAGCAAGGGGTAAGACTGCTCAAGAGAGAGCAATCTCAAAGACAAAGGCCTGGAGAAAAAAAAATAGTTGTGTCAGGCACAAGGAGCAGAATAGGAGGATGGCTGGAGCTTAAGGCAGGTGGCCCAGGGGATGGGGATGTCTTGTGACAGGTGAGAGAGCAGGCTGGGGACAGATAATGTGGTGCTCTGAAGGCATCGCAAAGGAATTTGGATTTTATTCTAGGTCCGTGGGAAACCACTGAAGAGTCTGGAGAAGAATAAGAAATATTATTTGGCTTTCATTATTGAATTGAAGTGGGGTGAATATATGTGTTGCAAGGAGTTCAGTTAGGAGTTTGTTGCAGTACTTCTGGCAGGAGAAGTTGGTGGCTTGGACCAAGATCTGGAGAATGAAAGTTATAGAAGGATTGGGACATAGTTTGGGGGTAAAACTGCCAGGACTTGCTAATGGATTGGCTGAGAAAGGTGAAAGGGTGAAAGAATAGTGAGGAATCATGGGTGACTCCTAAGTATTAGGCATATGCATATAAAGACAGGTCAGTTAATAGAACATAAGCAGAATGTCACATCAATGAACCTCAACGCAACTGGCATCTTGTAAGTGCAAAAAAATGGCAGATTCTCTTGGTAGATGTGATGTGAAAACAAAAATACTGTATTCACATGTGAAATAAACATTTATGAGATGTCTACCTAATGCCATATATATCATGTATATGACAACACTGAGGTTTCAAGTATTAAATAAGATAAATCTTTGCCTTAGGCGTGGAGATGGGGTATGTCCAAATCTGACAGACAATGGAGGCCTGCTTGCTAAGGGAAGTGAGCCCTGATTTTAGACTTTGAAGATGAATAAGAGTGTCCTAAGTAGACAAAGGAGGCCAGAGAATTTTAAGCCTAATCACCAATACCAGTATTTTAGTAGCATCTAGTAAGTGGTAAAATATTTCGGACTAATTCTTTCCAGTGGACAGAAACTCAGGAGCACTTTTAAAAATTGAGTTGTAATTTACAGACAGTAAAATTCTCAGATCTTATGACTACAGTTAGATAACTTCTGACAAATGCATACACCTCTGTAACCCACACCCATATTACGATAAACATTTCCACCACTCCAGAAAGATCCCTTAGATCCCTTTCCAGTCAATGCGCCTCCCCACCCAAAGGCAACTATTGTTCTGATTTATTTCATCAATAGATTAGGCTTCCCTGGTCTAAAAAATCATATGAATAAAATTATACCACCTATATACCCTTTGTGTCTTTCTGCTTTTTTTCACTCAGAATAATGTTTCTGAGGTTCATCAATTTTGTAGTACCCATATTGGTGTTTTTTAATAATTAAAATAAAAATAGAGATTGGGGTCTCCCTATGTTGCCCAGGCTGGCTTCAAACTCCTGGGCTCAAGCGATCCTCCTGCCTTGGACTCCCAAAGTGCTGGGGTTACAGGCGTCTGCCACAGTGCCCCGACTGTATTGGTCTTTTGTTCCTTTTTATTCTGGAGTAGTAGTCTGTGGTTTGAATATAATCTCACTTGCTTGTCCATTCTTATGTTGCTGGATTTTGGGTTATTTCAGTTTGAGGCTATGTTGAATAACGCGTCCATGGGCATTTTTGTACAGTCCTTTGTGCGTACATATATTTTTTATTTTTCTTGAGTAAAGACCTAGGAGTGGAATTGCTGGGTGATAGGGTAGGTAGATATTAAACTCTGTAAGAAACTGCCAGGACAATTTCCAAAGTGGTTGTTTACACTTCCACCAGCAATGCATGAGAGCTTCGCTTGTTCCACAAACTCCAATATTTGGGGTGTTCAATAATTTCAATGTAGTTACATTAGTGAATGTGTACTGGTATTTCATTGTGATTTTATTTTGTATTTTCCTGATGGCTAATGATGTTGAGTACTTTTTCATGGGGTCATTGCTCATTCATATATTTTATTTTACAAGGTTACTGTTTAAGACTTTTGCCCATTTTTATTAGGTTATTTATTTTTGCTAGAATTTATGAATGATTTTTGCTTCTGTGGTCATGAGAAGTTGGTCTGCAGTATTTTTTTACTTGTCTTTGTCTAGTTTCGGTGTCATGGTAATGCTGACTTGTGATTTGCTTATTAGTTTTCATAATGTATCCCTTGATGAGTAGAGGTCATTAATTTTGATAATGTCCATTACATATTTTTTAATTTTTTTAAGTTTATGATTAGACTTTTTTGTGTCTGTTTTAGAAATCTTTGCCTATTTCAATGTCACAAAGATATTCACCTATCCCTTTTGGAAGCTTTACATCTTTAGCTTTGATATTCACTCAAGTGTATATTTGTAGATGGTTTAAGGTATGAGTCAGGATTATTTTTTTTCTATATCGACAGGCAGTTTTTCCAGCACCATTTGTTGAAAAGACTGTTTTTTTCCATTGAATTGTTTTATTGCCTTGATTGAAAATCAGTTGAACATGTAATGTTGATCTACTTCTGGATTCTATATTCTGTTCTGTTGATCTATTCAACCATCTGTACCCTCAAATCCCATTGTCTAGATTATCATACCTTTAGAGTTAGTCTTAAAATCCACGAGTGTAAGGCTTTCGACTTTGCTATTCTAAAGGACTGTTTTGACTATGCTAGGTCCTTTGCATTTCCATATAAATTTTAGAATCAGCTGTCAATATCTGCAGAAAAGCCTGCTGGGATTTTAATTGGAGTTGTGTTGAATTTAAACATGTGTCATTTAACAATATTGAGTCTTCTAATCATGAATATCGTAAATCGGTCTTTTATCTTGGTCTTCTTTAATTTTTCTCAGCAATATTTTGTAGTGTCTTGCACTGATTTTGTTAAATTTTTTAAGTGTTTCATGTTGTGTTGATGCTATTGTAATTGGTACTTAAACATTTGTTTTTAATTGCTAGTTACTAATATATATTATATGGCCTTATATCCTGAAACCTTGCTAAATTCACTTATTAATTCTAATTTTTTTTTAAGATTCCTTGGAATTTGCTACATAGTCATGCTAACTGCAAACTGCAAATATATATATTTACTTTTCAGTCTAGATGACTTTTTTGGAAGGGGAGGTTATATTGCCAGTACAATATTGAATAAAAGTTCTGAACTTTACTTTGTTCTTGATAATAGGTTAAAATCATTCAGTGTCTCATTGTTCAATATGATCTTCTTAGTTGTAGATTTTCCGTATATCATCTTTATTCGGTTGTCAGAGGTTTTTTCTATTCCTAATGTATTGATAGTTTTTAACATGAATAGGTGCCAAATTTTATTCAATGTTTCTCTGTATTTCTTTAGGTGATTGTTAGGTGATTGTATGATTTTTTTAATTCTGTCAATGTCGTAAATTATATGGATTCATTTTCTAATCTAAACTAATCTTTTCGAGTGAAAATTTCCCTTTGGCCCTTGCATGTTAAGCTTTTAATTACTTAATTGTAATTAATTTTATGTTAATATTTAATTTATTACTGTATTAAAATTGCTAATATTTTATTTATGATTTTTCCTTTTGTATTCAAGAGGGAAGTTGGTTTGTAGTGTCCTTTTCTTATAATGTCTTTGATTTGGGGTTCAGGAAATGTTGGCCTCAAACTGAGTTAGGATGGGGTCCCTCAAATGGCATTTCTTTTTCCTTAAACGTTTCATAGAATTCACCCAGCGAATTCATCTGGGCTTAGATTTTACTTTGAGAAAATATTTTTAATTACAAATTTGGCTTATTTAATTGGTGTGGGGCTGTATTAGTCTATTCTTTCACTGCTATAAATAAATACTTAGACTGGGTAATGTATAAAGAAAAAAGGTTTAATTGGTTCACAGTTTTGCAGGCTGTATAGGAAGCACAATGCTGGCATCTGCTCAGCTTCTGGGGAGGCCTCAGGAAACTTACAATTACGGTGAAAGGTGAAGAAGTGAGCACCTCACATGACTGGAGCAGGAGGAAGGGGGAGAGGGGGAGGTGCCACACACTTTTAAACAACCAGATCTTTGGAGAACTCACTCACGATCACAAGAACAGCACCAATGGGGAAATCCACCCCCAGGATCCAATCACCTCCCACCAGGCCCTACCTCCAACACTGGGGATTACAATTCAATATGAGATTTGAGCAGAGATACAGACCCAAACCATATCAGGGCTACAGGGCACTTGCTCTTTCCTTAGTAGTTACCCTTTGCCCAGCTCCCTGGAGTCTTCCTGTGCAGATGCACAGCTTTGTATTCAACCAAAGACTCACGGGGCTCCCGATGCGAATTCATAGAACTTCTTCACAGCACTGGTCTAAGTCTCTCCATTACGTTGCCTGGTAAATACAGCTGCCTCAGCAGCTCTGAACTTAGAGATCTGTTTCCGTAGCTGAGCAACACCACTGTGCTGTTATTTGAGCTCCCTCACTCTGCATTACAGAGTGGGAAGTGCCCCCAGGAAGGTATGCTGGTGCTGGTGGGGCTCCTCTTTGTTTTCTTTTGCTCCAGGATTACATACCTGATGCTCAATGCCTGAAAGCCGTTTCTCTCTCTCTCTGTGTCTCTCTCCATCCATCCGTGTGCGCGCGCACACCCACACAGACACAGACATACCCACACACACACAATACTACTAGAATATAAATGTAATATATATATTCTAGTATATATATATTTATATATGTATGTGTATATATATTCATAGTCTAGTATTAAATATGAATGTGCATATATATTCATATTCTAGTATTAAAGTTGTTTATGGTAAGAGGGCTAGCTGGTACCAGCTACTCTATCATGAATGAAAGTGGACATCTTAGGAGCATTTTAGCTGAATGGACTGTAGTAAGGAGTCAAAAATCCCACAGAGACCAGAAAAAGTGTTCACATCAGAGTCTAAAGCCCATTTTCATGAACAAATTGTGCCACCCCAATATCTCCTATTTTCATCCTTATATTTGCTTTAGTATTCTTTAATAAAAATGACAAATGGAATCTGATTGCAGTCCACTTTTTAATGGTACTTTAAATTGTAAATGAGTCATATGTTAATTCTCTTAAAGTATTGCTGAGAACCTATCCAATGTTTTAGATATTTTATTGCTCTTCAGTAAACCTATGTGTTCAAAACTATTTATCAAATAAATAAATAGTAAAAAATTGAATGAGGCAATCAAGGAACATTGAATGGATATTTATTGCTATCAGAGACTTGTTTTTTTTTAGGTGAGATAATGTTATTTTTTAAAAATAGTTCTTCTATTTTAGTATTACATGCCGAAATATTTACAGAAGCTATAAAATGCTTTCTGGGATTTGTTTAAAAATTATCTGGGGACAGAGGAGAAAGTGGTTAAGTATTGAGATAAAACAAGATGGCCGTGAATAATTATAACTGTTTAAGCTATTGCAATTATTAATAACTTTCAAGTTATTGTTACTGGGTGTACACACACATATACCATAAACTTATGGTGCTAGGAAGTATATTCATTGGTAAACAGAGGCTGATATATTCCCTGACCTCTGAGCTTAAATAGCAATAAAGCCATTAATAAGACAGAGACAGTCTGTGACCTCAAGGGTCTTATGTGTTCTTGGAGGTATACTGGCATTGAAAAATAATTGCACAAATAATTTCTTACCATTGCATACGTCCTACAAAGGACAATATATAGGGGGATGAGACTCAGAATGACATGGTTGAGATTAAAGTCAGACTTCATGCCCTGATTAATATCTAAATCTGGAACTGACAAAAAATAGCTTAAATGTTCATCTCTCTCCATGACTTTACTTGAAGTACACTTACATATAATTTTTTGACATATCGCTATTTCTCTTTATGAAAAAAATACATTATGGAGCCATTTAAATGTTCAGAAATAGACCACAATGGATAAGCCAATAACAATAACTTTTCTTAGAAACAAATAATATGATCCTGTTTAATACTCTATTTTATCATGGGAACAGACACTTTATATTTTCCCTAGGGCTGGATTATAGAACCAGAGTTAGCCACAAAATGTCAATTCTCTCTACTCAAGAAAATATCTCAATCTCCAGGAGCCTTCCTAACCTCCTCATTTCAGTCCAGCATTTTAGAATGATTGCATCCGATCTCTAATTGTGTTGGGCAGAAACAAGCACTCCTAAATGTACATGACAGGAGGTAGCAGTGGTGGCAGAGGCTCTTTTCCAAAGCTGTGTGATTGTCTGGAGTACTTCTTTGGGCTACCCAGCCACGGCTGCTCTGATTACTTCCTTCTCCACATTTTTTATCTTGAGTTCTTTTAGCTAAAAGTTAGCTTCATTTTTTTAAAGTCTCTGAACTCTTCTTGATTACTTAAATGAATGTAAGTGGCTTCAGTATCTACAAACTCATTATATGCTGTACCAAATTTATTAATAAATTAACCATAATTCAGCTTGCTTCTGTATAATGGAGTTTTTGCTGGAGGTGCTGTAATTGGAAGAACACCACCAATTGCTTGTTATTTAATCTAGTGATTTATACAGATTTTTTAAATGCATATAATGGGAAACCAATTAGCATTAGTTGGGAGATTTATTTCTCAACTTATTTTTGGACTCAAATAATTAAACACAGCTACCTGAAATAACTGGTAATGAGCTGAAACTAGATGAAACTGTAAGTTATTAATTGACTCATCAACTCATATGACAAAAACTGTTCAGTTAATATTTTTAGGGATTAAACAAATTTCTTTGGGGGAAGAGGATAGACAGTGGTCCTAACCATAGGCAAGAAACTTCAATTTTCTCTTTCAATATAAACTTTGTGAATAGTTTTAAGCTCAAAATATCTAAAATTCAAAAATAGACTTCGATAAGGGTGGCAAATGCTGGAAGCCTGTGCTGTAACAATGCAGGGAGATTTTGTCAAGCCATGCGATTTTATCACAAAAGCCCATGTCTTGCAAAGGAGGGCAGGTTTCCATGTTTGTCTTTTGGTCAGCTCTTTGCATTGTTGATTGATTCCCTGTAATGCTGTTGTCAGTATTTTATCAAAAGTCAGATAGATCCCATGACTGGCATTTTGCCTTTTTAAAACATCCCCTTTGCCATTACAGAGAATTGAAACCTCGAAGCCAGCTGGGAATGGCTAGTAGCCTTTTAATTATTATTTATGAATTCATCAGAAAGAAATATTGACTTCTAATTAAAGCCAGAAAATTACTCCTGGAATAAATTGATAAAGGTCAGTTTCTTTGCAAAGAACTTCTCTGTGTGTCTCTATGTGTCTTATGTTATCACTATTATAAATAAGGCAGCATTCAATCTGTCTGTAAGAATAGGTGAAGATAACTAATTGTTATATTAGTTCTTGCTTTTGGTATTGAATTTCAATTAAACTTTTCTATTGCTTTTGCTCTTCTCGGTATTTTTCTCTTCTGAGGCTGAGAAAAACTGCTCTGTTTTAAAAACAATTAGAATGTACCTTTTTTTCCCTGAGAAAAATAATTTGTGTGGTTTTGGTCTAAGAGAATTAAAATGGTAAAAATACTTTAGAGTCCTACTTCCTAACAAAAGAGAAAGTCTTTCACCGATTATAGAAAGTTCTAGGAAAAGCACTGGTCTATTTTGGATTAGGAAACTCAAAGTAAATCAAAATACTGCAGTAATCAAAAGAAATAATCAAAGAAATAGCCTCATTTGAGATTTTGGCACAGTGAATAGATATTTAAATATTTAACAACTCTTTTTATCTCTACCTGTTCACAAGTCATACACAGGGAGTTGGGATGAAATTTAAAAACTGCCTATTGACTTTGAAATTAAAGTAGGTATTATGCCCAGGTTTTGAATAATTTCCCTTCTGTTTGTCAGTAGGCTCTGCTCTCAGTTTTCCTGGGGTGAAATTAATTGTGTGCCTAAGGCAGTGTTTATTATGTTGTATTGATGCTACATATACTCACTCATATTTTTAGATTATTGATCAAGTTTTGAAATCTATCAACCTTGAAAAAATATCTTGGGGATGATTTCTGGGAGCTTGTTAATCAAATTTAATGAGAAATTAAAAATCAAAATCTTTCTAAATTAAGCATTTTAGAGTAGAGGTTTGCAAATGGGGGTGAGTTTAGCAATGGCTGAAGATGTTTTGGTTGTCACAAATATGGGGGCAGGTGCTACTGACATCTCGTAGGCACAGGATACTACTAAACATCTTACAACCTACAAGGCCACCCTCAACAAGAAAGAGTAATCTACCCTCAAATATTAATAATACAGGAGTCAGGAAACCCTAATTTAGAGAAATATGATAAAGTGTTGTTCAATGATAATGGTGACTCAACACTAAAACTTCACACTGGGAAAAAGAAGTTTAAATAACAATGAGATGCCTTTTTCCCTTAGAGTAACAAAAATGAAAGGAAGTGACAGCATCCAGTCCTGGCTAAGATGGGAGGAAGCAAACATCCTCATTGGTGGAAGTAATCTGGCAATCTTTATTAACCATGTAACTTTCCTTTGACTCAGTGGTCTCCCATTTGAAAACATCAATATAAAAAGATAGAGCTTTTTTGTTGTGTTTTAAAAAATACTGAATGGCTGGGCAGTAGCTCGTGCCTACAATCTCAGCCCCTTTGGGAGACCCAGGCAGGAGGATTGCTCGAGCCCAGGAGTTCGAGACCAGCCTGGGCAGCATAGCAAGGCCCCATCTCTACAAAAACTTTAAAAAATTAGCCGAGTGTGGTAGCACGTGACTGTAGTCCCAGCTACCTGGGAGGCTGAGGTGGGAGAATTGCTTGAGTCCAGGAGGTTGAGGCTGTACTGAGCCGTGATTGTGCCATTGTACTCCAGCATAAGTGATGGAGAAAGACCCAGTCTCTAAAATATATATATGTATATTCCAACACACACACACACACACACACACACACACACACACACCCCTATACATATATATGGGGAACAAACCTCAACTTTAATAAATAGGGGAATGGTTTGTGGGGCTTGTATAATATAGATTATTATGCGTTTATTAAAGTGAGTTTCATCTATATCTAATGACTGTGAAGGATATCTATGATGTTTTACTGGGTGAGAAAAATCAGTTTCACAGTAACATGTATATTTGAAGCTCATTTTTATAAAACAAACAGCAAACATTTCTGTATGTATGTGTGTATACTATTGCATATTTTTAATGAGCATGCAGAAGACAACTTGGCCAGTGTTTGATTTGGTTATCTCATTGGAAGAGAGAAGAATGAAGATCACTGGGAGTTAATCATGAAGTTTTCTCTCTTTTGATTTCCTTTTCCCTTTCCAATTTTACGTTTCTATATTACCTTTGTATGTACAAACAGTGTAACAAAGAAAAGCTTAAGAAAAGTTCTTATCACCCTTCAGCAACTATTTTATGTTTAGTATTATTGTCTTGTGAACCTCATGGAAATTTATACTATGCTTAGTGTAATTACAAGAAGGGTAGTTAGGTTTTATTTTTGGATTTGTTTTTCTCTTTGTTGATGGATAATGCCGAAACTTAAGGTATTGAAAAATGTATATCTCTATCTACTTTTTAATACACTCAGCACATACTTTAGATATAATATACAAAATAGACTTCATATGATAAAAATAGCTGCAATGATGGCATACAAGAAAGGTGCAATCAGACCTGCCGAGCCACTTCCTGGCATGTACTCATGACCATCCACTGAGAACTGCCCAGGGACCTGTTGACGAAAGGGCATTGTTGTTTTCCTTGAAGTCAACCTCAAAGGTTAGGAACCTTTCCTGAATCTTTTATTATGTCTATGCTTCGGATAGTTTTGATACCTCAATAATGTAGAAATTGTTGAAATTTTGAGAATAGTGATGAAATTATTTTCTTATCTTGAAAATTACATGTAAACACTTTGGTGCATAAATTATAGTTAAAATATGCTATGGGCTATTGTTAGCAGAGGAAAAGAACACTGGGAAAACAAGGGTCAGCAGTCTTTTCAGACCTTAATTAGGCTAGTACAGAAACCACAACAGGAAAGTGTTAACTGATCCTCTTATCCTGGCCCCAACCTACCCCGCAAAATCAGCCAGCATTGCTGAGTCCATATTATGTCTCTGATCTTACTGTGCTCAGTTCATACATCTTGATTATTTTAATCTTAATGACAATGAGAATGTGCTATCTTCATCCTTATTCTATATAAGAGAAAAGAGACACAGAGAGGTTAGGCAACTTGCCCAAAGTCACATAATTACCATGGGACAGCCAGAGCCAGAGCTCCAGCCAAGGAAGACTGACTCCAGAAATGGTATAAGTAGAGTGGAAATTTAAGACTATGGAAATTGAAGTGTCTTATTATTTTCTTCCATGCATGATTTTTAAAAACAAACAAAAAAATCAGTACATTCTAATTCGACAAATTCTTAGCTTTAGTAATAGGTTAATTTGGTTAAGAGGACCCTTATGGATTAATTTAAGAATTGGTATCACCTACTATGTTATTAACATTTGATTTTACCTAGAAACTGGTCATAATTTTAAATAATGTTGTTTATTTGGGCCCAGTAAATAAATAATATAATTTTTTCAGCTTCTTCTCTTCTTTCAAATGAGTATGTGCATATGCATATGTTTGTGTAATTGATTTGGAGATTAGTTTATAGGCAATCCAGTCTCCTATAAATAAAAATATTGAAAGTTTAAACCATTTGGGTCATAGACCAGTCTTACTGGCCTGGTGATCTTGTGTCTGTGATAATGAATGCAGTTCTATTACCATTTAATATCTCCTTCAACTGAATTGTGACACCAATACATCACAGAATGTAGGTTATTAGGTGAATAAAAATAAATGGTTTGAGAGTGCTTTCTCACATTTGAGGTTTAATTCTCTCTCTGCTGGGAGTGTTATATTGAGAAGGACATATTTTGCAGATCTTTCAGCCTTTGCAATTTCAGTCTCAATTTCTGTATTTTTCCCCTTTATAATTTCCATGTTCCTATGCAGTTCTTCAGTTGTAATGCCCACCACTAGATTACTGGCTTTGGGGGGTAAATTTTGTGTCTAAGTTTTCTTGTCACTAGTGGGTATTTTTTCCCTTCTCGTTTTATTGCATAGATTTTTCACGTAGCACATAAAGCACATGTCCTAAAGTGAAAACACTGGGTATAGTCCATTTTTAAGAGTCTGACCCTCCCCTTCCCCCTGCTTTTTTGCCCCAAGGAAGAGAAAACTCAAGACATGAAAAATTATAACAACTCATCCACTGGTTTTGATGAACAAACATTTGTACTGACAAAGTGAAAAAATATATAAGTGTGAAGATCTTTGACAAGAAGATTTCTGACAGTTGAGGTTATCTGAGCTGGGAATGAACAAAGAGGTGGGTGAGAGGGTGGGGAGAAAGAGAAGTGGTGGTGTCTCACATTCCTAGAGAGGACTGTGACACAGCCGACTGCTCTAAGGTCAGGCTCCCTAAGGGATAATTCTTCATCATGGCACCTAGCATGATAGAGGATGGGTGGGGTAATATCTGCTATTCCTTCTTCTTCATGCTTTCCTAGAAATAAAATCAAATAATGTAACTACCCTGAGGAAGAATCAACACAACTGAATTAATATATCATGGGGTTCTCTTTAAATGAGGGTGATAATTTTGGGAACAATGTATCCTATTGAACTGGGGTACTTCCCTTTTGTTCATCATAACCATCTCTTAGTTACTAGATATGGTCTTTTGCAGAGAGTGAATAAAGTCAAATAAGATGTGGTCCCTGCCCCCTAGGGGTACGTGATCAATCTATTATGTAGACAAGCATTCCCAGAACTTATCTAGAACAAATCAGATTGAAGTAAGAGCTATTATAAAGTACATGAGTTATGTGAGATTGAAAGAGAATGAGAGATTAATTATAATCAGGGATGAGAAATCTAGGAAGACTTCCTGGAGGAGGTAGTATGTGAGCAGGGCTCTACACAAAGGTTAGGACTTTGGCAGGAAAAAAGTGGGAGATAAGTGGGAGGAACAAAGAAGAATGCAAATTGTGCCACGTGACTACCTCGAGATGGTTGAAGTAGAGGCTATCAGAGAGGCTGTAGTCAGATAAATTAGGGATCCAGTTAAAGGGCTCTTAGCACTACTTTGTAGATAACATGGAACGGCTGAAGATTCTTCAGGAAGGAAGTGACATGGTTGTATTGTGCTTTAGAATATAATTTTGTTTGCTCTCTAGAATAGGGCATTAGAATCCAGATACAGTCTGTTCGCTTTGGAATACAGCAACTACCATTTCTCTTAATTAACCCCTTGGTCAGTAGCCATTTCTTCGTAGCCTCCTTCTTGAACTTCCCTTGCTCTGTTGGTGTCTTCAATGTTTGTTTCCGAGGCTCTGTCCTCAGCCCTCTTCTTTTCACTGTTTTCTCTGGCTCAGTAAATGTATCATAACATGCAATGGCTTCAGCTACTGCAACATGGCTTCAGCTACCAAAATATGCTAATGATTTCCCAAAACACATTTCCATGTCTCTTGTCTTTCAAATGCCCCAAACCAGCATTTCCAGTTTACTTTACATGACCTGGTATTTTCAGCTATGTCCCCAAATGTAACTTTGTATCTTTTTCCCAATACCTGTTCTTCATTTGTGCATCATTGCCATCTACCCAACTGTCCAGTGAAAATGTTGAAATATCCTCAATTTTGTTCCCGTCTATAGCTGACAATTGCATCCAATTAATCACCAGTCATAAATTCTACCTGCTAAATATCTCTGATATCTCTTCTTTCTTCATATCCCCAAAACCATGTCTGCAGTTTAGACCAGTGCTTCTCTGCCTTTAGCATGCCTAGGGATCACCTGGAAAGTTTGTTAAAATGCACATCATGATTTTGTAAGTCTAGGGTGCGGCCTGAGAGCGAGCATGCCTCCCTTCCTTCCTTCCTTCCTTCCTTCCTTCCTTCCTTCCTTCATTTTTTTGTTCCCCCCACCCTAAGAATATACCTTTCTAACAAGCTCCCAGGTGGTGTTGTTACTCGTATTAGTCCATTCTCACACTGCTATAAAGAACTGCCTGAGACTGAGACTGGATAATTTATAAAGAAAAGAGGTCTAATTGACTCAAAGTTCCACATGGCTGGGGAGGCCTCAGGAAATTTACAATCATGGCAGAAGGGGAAACAAGCATGTCTTACATGGCAGCAGGTGAGACAGAGCAAGTGAACAGGGAAGAGCCCCTTATAAAACCATCAGACCTCATGAGAACTCACTCACTATCATGAGAGTAGCATGGGGGAAACTGCCCCTATGATCCAATCACCTCCAACCAGGTCCCGTCCTTGACATGTGGAAATTATGGGAATTAACAATTTGAGATGAGATTTGGCGGGGGGACACAGAGCCAAACCATATCAGCAGTACTGTTCCCAGGATCGTACTTTGAGTTGCAGGGGTTTAGAATAACATACATCTTTTGTCTGGGCTACTGAAGCAGTTTCTAGTCTTTTTGTCTTCTAGATCATTTCTCCACATTGACAGATTCCCTCATTTTAACGGTTTTTTGGTTGTTGTTTTCTAGAGCAGGTGTTGACAAACTTTTTCTGTGAGGGGTCAGTTAATAAATACTTTAAACTTTGTAGGCTTTATGGTCTTTGTAGCAACTGTGCAACACTGCTATTGTAGGGACTAAGGAGCCATAAATGAATGATTTGGATTTTGCCCATTTGTCATAGTTTGCCTATCTCTTGCCCTGATGAGGTTTAAATTTCCTAATGTGACTTACAAGGTCCTTTAATTGGCCCTAACCTAGAATCCAGCCTAATTGTCTGTCTTCCCCATGCAACTGTTCTTTGCATAAAAAACACTCTGTGATGGGTCACACTTCCATGCCTTTGCAGATGCTGTCCCATCTGCCTGGGATGCAACCTCAGAGTTTAAGCTCTAGCTTGACCATCACCTCCAACCTGACAGCTTCCTTAATTGATGGAGTCTCTTTCTCATTCGTGATCTTGAAGTATTCTGTGCATATCATTATTTTGGCACTTGGTGCATTTCAATTACTTGCTTTCATTCTTACTTGAGTCCGAGGCCTCCTTAAGGGAAGAAACATCTTTGCATAATGCATTGCCCAGCACTCAAGAGATGGCCAATATATGTTTTTGAATAAATGATGAGTTCTCAATAACTTAAAGAGCTCATTTAAATCTGGTGCGTGCTTAAGTTTCTTTTGGCAATAGTAACTTTCATCCATTGTTGATGCGAATTTCCATCATTAATCCAGTTCTAGGCAGTGTGGGTTCCGATTTTAAATCTTATGCAAAATGAAACATTGCTTTGTGACACAGCATTATGCATATAGTTGTAAATACAGAACGAGTGGCACTTGACTGCAATGGGATTAATGCAGTCTCTCCATTTGTTTGGCCAATTTGAAGGAGACAAAACACTTCTGCATTCAGCAGCACTACCCCCAAACACTATAACTCTTGGCATTAAAAAAACTGATTATAGAAGCCTTGGCTACTCCATCTTTTTCATCTTTTCCATCTTGGACATTGGATTGAAGGGGAGGAAGCCTCTGAATAAGGTGAAACAAATCACGTCAGAGTGATTGATGGAGGTTGTGCTTGGCACACCCCAGGTGATTGTGTTGGGTGGAAGAGTCATCAATTTGCTCCCCCAAAAGGATGTATGGTGGAGTCATATTTCACAAAATGTGGGGTGACATCTGCTTTCTTGTTTACTGAGAACAATGCCTGCTAGAATGTTCCTCCTCCAGACAGTTGTTCCCAGTTCTGATCTATCAAAGACTTATTTACCTGCTGATGGGAAGTGTTGCTATTTCTTACATTTTCCTTTGAGTTTTCATTTTGATTTTTGACAATTGTATATTCTTCAGAGGCTGAACTATTTTTTTTATTATACATTTTGCAGGTGGCAAAAGAAAATATACACTCTTGGTTACAGGTTTGAAATAGTTTCTAAAGGGCAGGGTCATTTTTCACGTATTGGTATTTTGTGATTCGAGAAAAAGAAGCTGAGTTCTTGTAACATCACAATCGAGAAAGAAATCAGGATGCACTTTGGAATTTTGGTTGGACTTCTGTTACCGCTTGTACGTATTCATAACAGTTTATATTTTTCAAGGTACTTTCATATACATAACTTCCTATGATCATCACAAAAGCCCTGGAATCAGGGAAGCAAGAAAAAAATAAAAGAAAAAAATTTCAGAGAGGAGCGAACCAAACCTCAGATAGGGTAAGACACTCACCTGAGTCTATACAGCTAGTTAGTGGCAGACCTAGGATTGGAATAATGACTCTTTCAATAAAATTCTTACATATACATAAAAGGGAGTCTTTAAAATGGTGTGTCTTTCTGGCCTATGAATTATGGTATATATGGACCATTCAAGAGGCAATAAAGGTTTAAAATCATAGTTGAAAATGCATTTTATTTATGTTATTTTGCCCTCTTTGCTGTTAGGAGAAATTGGGCCAAGAGCAGGTGGAAGTGAGTGATTTGTTGAGGTCATGAAGCAGGTCACTACAGTTACTATGGGGAAGTGACAAGACTCCATGATTTTGTAAGTTCAGCTCAGTCTGTTCATGTTGCCATTGAAGTCTCTTCCTCTTCATCCAGATAATGAAACTGCAGAGGTGACAGTGCGTGTGTGATCACGCGGTGGGTCTATATGTGAACTGTGGTGTCCTCTCCCCCTGCTGTCATTGTTATGTCCTGGAAATGCATCGCCTCTGCTTAGTGAAGGATTCCAGCCTTTGTTAAAAGCACTATAACCCTGAGTTACTGAGAGGCCAGGCTGCACTCAGTACAGTTTCCAGTAGAGGTGAGTTCCTATCAGGTTCCTGATTGTAAGCACTAGCAATTTGGTTTTTGTTTTAAAAAGTTCAGAATAAACACTGGAAATGGTTTTGAAATGTAACTTAATGAGATTTCTGTGGTAGCTAAGCATCAAAATGGGCACAAATCTGAGGTTGGTTTGATTGTAATATTGCCCCTACTCTTGGGGCAATATTAAAAGTACTTTCATATATATAAACAAAATGCAGCTTATGGGTTTTTTAAAAAATAAAAAATTGGGAGGGGCATAATACTGAGAGGAGATAATGTAAAACATCATTTATGAAGTATAGATTTTAATTTTCTCTGCCTTTATGGTTATAGGCATATATGTGTCACCACGTAAATTTTGAGAAGGTATTGAATCGTGTTGGTGTTTATTTCTGGTTGGATTGTTTTTGTCTATGCTATTAATGGGAATGTATTCCAAGTCATAATGGGACTTGGAGGATGAAGACACAGTGCCAACCAGAGAGGCTTATTCTTGAGGACAGCAAGGAAAAGTAAGCCTAGACTAGGTTTGGATGACTTATCCATCCCTGCCCTCACCATTCACCACTATAAAAATAAACCAGTGCACAGGCCATGGTGTTGATGCCCTGAGGGACACTGCAGAGCTAAACAAAGAAACAAAGGCAAGTGGGTCCCAGTGCCAATGGTTCCATTAAGCCACACCTGAAGACAGAATTATCCCTTGTTGGAATAAGCTGTTGGCATAACTTTCCCCTTTTTAAAATTGTTTGGAGATATATTTTATTATTTTGTACTTGCTGACGCCATTGATGACCAGAGTTCTTCCTGTATCTGTCTATAATTGTGAAACTTATTAGGTGGTAAGAAGAGGACATCTTTTTCTTTTTTCAGCTCTCTATTTCTGGTGCAATAGAGAGCACATGGAGGTTGATGACTTGGTTGTTGACAGCTCTTGATGAATACTCTCCCCAAGATGTGATTCATTTCTCTGGGTTAATTTTACAGTTTGCATTTGAGTTAGTCAAGAAAAATAGTATTCTACCAACTGCCATCCGTTTATCTTCTCCTTTTCTCTTAAAAGGAAGCAATTTTTCTCAAGAGGACCTGGTTTCATGCCTCAGGATATTGTAAATTCTTCTGAAAATACTTACCCCCACCCCTCACCCCAACACACTTCCGTCTTCCTCTCTAACAACCCATTCTCTGGCCTTTGTCAAAAACTACCTCTTACAGTAGGTTTGCTTGGCCCTACTTTCTGTAATTCCTCTTTTCTTCTAACTATTTTATATAGCATTGGTATGATAATAACATGTGCCTGTACATTGTTTTACAAATTGGCTTAATTTTTTTGGACTTAATGAAATATCCTTAAGATTGATACCTTTATCTTGTATTTACTTTGTATTTTCCTTTCCTTCCATGCCTGGTAAAATCTTGACCTCAATTCATTAACAGCATTGATCACTTGAAAATGTAAATAAAAGTGTGTTTGTGTAGTGGTTATGAGTGCAGACTCTGGAACGCTCCAGATAGCCTGAGTTCAAATTCTGGCTACTTATTGGCTCTGTGACCCAAGACATATTATTTTACCTCTCTGGGCCTCAGCGTTCTCACCTATAAAATGGGAATAATTTTAGTATCTATATCAGAGGGTCATAATGGGGGTGAAAGAAGTAAAAAGAGCGAAAGTATAAGAGTTCTACCTTATACCAACATATAAGGTAAAACAATGCCTTATACATAATAGTTGCTGAAGAAACATAGGCTATTGTTAATAATGTTCTGTGATTGATTGACTTTCAACGAACTTTAAAGATTGTCAGAGGGTCTTTTAAATTTCTACTTCTTCAGTGATTGTTAACCCTTGAAAAACAGAAACGTTCCAAATAAATTTGAATTCTTCCTGTTTCAAGGACACCGCTTATCTCATATTCTTTACACATTTATGTATATATGGGCATATGCATCTACATACACAAATTGTCTTTGTAGATCAAAGCTAAAAGACAACCATCATATAGACTTTGTTCAGTAAAATAATGGCCATATACCATTCTCATACAAAGAAATGAATTTGGAATGCATAATGTTGAAAGCCAGGGAATGAAAATTACCTATATTTTTGATATTTTATTATGTTTAAAAACTATACTTTACACTTTCATCACTTATTAAGCATATGATTTTATTCTCCCCGACAAAGTATGTGAATAGCAAGTACTATATTTACTGGTTTGTTTTTTTTTTTTTTTTTTTTTTTACCAGTGAAGAAACTGACGGATGAAAAAACTGACATTGGGAGGAACTTGTCTAAGGTCCAATGAAAACAGCTGGCCTGGACAACTCCTATTCACTCTCCTTGTTCACAACCACTTTGTGATTCTTACTTAGTTGGGCATTCTTGTTCACAATGCTTTTGTAGTATGGTTGGCCAAGTTTTCTAACATCTCCACAAAATCTAAACCAATTCGGACAATTCCAGGATTGGGAGTGATTAAAATTTTGAGGGGAAGAGAGGGCTCATCACATAGGAAACGCCTATGAACCAGGCACTGTGTGGGACACACATTGTTTCTAATGGGCACAGTACCCATGTGAGGTAGGCATTATTCCCCCTGTTTTATGAAGAAATGCAGAAACTGCAGTGCAATATTATAAAATAATCTATTCCAGGTTGAACAGCAGAGCTGGGATTTGAACCCAGTATTTTGTCAGTATCAAGCCCACCCCCTTTCTCTTGCACAATTCTGCTTCCAATATTTATAAAAAGGATCATTTAATACCTATTCTCAGCATTCCCATACACTTCTAATGGATTAGGAGAGCTTATGTAAAGAGATTTGGCAGTTGGTAAAATCTGACCCTACCCCATAGAGAAAATATATATATATATATATATATATATATATATATATATATATATATATATATATATATATATATACACACATACCACCACAGAAACTATTTCTACTGCTTTTTAACCTGTATGCTATTTTAAAAATATAGTGGGCAAGAAAAGGAGAAACTTTTCTAATATTCCTTTGAAATCTACATATTCAGCGAATTCTCTTTTAAGTAGAATATGATTAATTTATCCTCTCATTCTGAGGAATTAAAAACCGACATTTCTCTTGCTTATTCAATGCTTGTGAATAACCAACAGCCAGTATGTTAAGGGTGGAAAAAAGTGTGACTATGATCAGCCAGGTTCCTATTAAACAGCAAGGAGCTTACTTGGATCATGGCATTTGCTCTGATGACTTATTTGGGCATGTGTCCCAGTTTTTAAAATCTCTTCTTTATAGTCACTAGTGCAGTCTATTGGTTTAGGAAGCAAACGTGACTCTAAAATTTGCTGTGTGACTGTGAACAAGTCATTTCTAGCCTCTTAGGCCTTGTTTCTGCCTCTGAAATTACACATAATTATGCTCACAAAGGGCTTGGGGGAAGATTCATTAAGGAAATTACCACTTATTTAGAAAATTGCTGCTCAAGTTCATAGAATGTTTCCCCGGTGGGCTTAATGAGCACATGGCCCTCCTCAAGGTGAATGAATCACTTCTGTTTCTCTGGGGAGGGGCTTTTCTTTTCTTCTAACCTCACTTCTTGACTCAGGGTATCCAGGGCTAACAGTTTGGTTTTCTTAGAAAGAACACTGACCTATTTACCCAATCTTTAAAAAGAGCTTTGTGTCTTTAGAGCCATCTGGTTTGTTCTGAATATTTTCTTCCAGTTCATTCTATAGTTATGAACATGGGGGATTTAGAAAATGGCCCCCACAAAGGGGCATTAAGACAAGCCCCCTTGATGTTTCCATAATCAGGAGTGATTATTCACTCTTGTAATTTTCAGATATGATTGATTAGTCACGATAAACACTATTTTGTGCCTAATGGATTTATAAAGGCACATAAGAGTGGCACGCCAGACAGTTCAACAATCTTACCCACTGTTAAGAATTTTATAACCTCCTGTTCTCAAGTCATCAGTGATGACTCGGAACAAAATGCCAAAGACAGCCTGACTTGTTCAGTAATCAGGCGGGTAGTTGAAGATGTCTGGTTAAAATCCTCCTTGCATATTTGACTGTATGAACAAAATGATGAAGTAGACATTGCTATTATATTGGAGCTGATGGATGGAAAGACCAGAACATTTGCAACTTGTCTTTTTTTTTTTTTTTTTTTTTTTTTGCTGTTCACTGATAACTTCAGGCTTCAACCATACTCCATTCCCCATCCTCTTCTTGAAAGAGAAAACACATAAATTATTCTGATTGACTGGGAACATTGGCTGATAGAATATTGTTCTTCTTGTCTATTTCTAGCCCTGCTTGTCCATCACATAATGATCACTGAAATCAAGGACTGGGCTGGCAAACACTGTAAGCAGAGGCTCCTCTGGTGAAGCCTCTGTGTGATAAAAAAAAATTTGCCTTCATCTTTTCATTGATTTGGGAGCCCTCCTGTAGTTGGCTGGAGGCTTTCAGTAGGGACTACAAAACCAAACGCCAGGTGGCTTTGCGCACTCGCAGAGTCAGCTTCTTAGGTATATTTTTCCTAATTTTAGCATTTCTTGTGTTATATAAAATTTATAGGAGGCCATTGGTTTGGACTGAGCTCCTGCACTAGGCCCAACAGACTAAACCAAAATCGAGTTACACATGCTAAGGTTCTATATCATGAAGCTGAAACTAAGTTATTTATCTGATCTTCCAAGAAATCAAGGGTAGGGGGTGGGGGGTGGGGGGTGGGGGGGCCCGCGGAGAGAGAGAAAGAATGAGAATAGCCAAATCCCCAATTCAGTCAGCTTGACAAGGAAGTCTTCTCTACTTTAACCTTTACAGGGAAAACCACTTTGAAACAACCAATCCACTTATTGTTTTTTGTTTCTGCTTTCCTCAGTCCTTCTGTTTCTAAAACCAAACTCCTCTGCTCAGCTTATTATGTTCATTTGTTCTATTTTATAGGTGAGGTTTTGTCCAATTCTGGAATGCAAAAGCCAATTAAGATGTTTAAATTTCTTGTAATGTTGTCTTTTGACACTTGGTATTTCTCTTATATTCCAAACTCAAGCATGAGGAAATATAAGTCCATTTATACATGCATCAAATGAGGGTTTCATTGAGACTTTCTATATGATGATATCTATATGACCCTGTCTATATGATAAATATCTGTATTGATCTAGGGGAAAGAAAAAGATGTGGTTTATGAGAACCACTTCTTTTACTTCACTAAGAAGCAGAGTTACAGAGAGGGGTGTGTGTGTGTGTGTGTGTGTGTGTGTTTGTTGGGAATGGGGGAGGAGGAACAGAGACCAAAGCCTTATAGAGACATTGGCCAGTTTGTCTCTTCATTACAAAAATATTTGTTTTAAGTATTGAAGAAATGATGGTGACAGGGTCTCTGCTGTCATTCTCATTTTATTGAGTTGACAGTGTGAAAAGATAATAAATCTTGAGACCCCCAAATCACTAAGCTAAAGGGAAAAGTCAAGCTGAGAACTGCTTAGGGCAAACTTCCATTCTATTCAGTCATCGCTCTGCTCATTGAGATAAATGCATATGTGACTGCTTCCTTTGGAAAGGCTAATCAGAAACTCAAAAGAATGTCATTGTTTGTCTTTTATCTACCTATGACCTGGAAGCCCCCTCTCCACTTGGAGTTGTCCCCTCTTTCCAGACGGAACCACTGTACATCTTACATATATTGATTGATGTCTCATGTCTCCCTAAAATGTATAAAACCAAGCTATGCCCCTACCACTTTAGGCACATGTTATCAGGACCTCTTGAGTCTGTGTCACAGGCATATCCTTCACTTTGGCAAAATAAACTTGCTAAATTGACTGAGACCTGTCTCATATATTTTGAGTTCACAATAGATAGTTTGGAAAATTCTACTTTAGAAAATTTATTTAGGTTCTTTCAGTGATGTTCCCGTACTTGATAAGTAATGGAGGTTCTTGCAGGTCTTGGATGGCTTTGGGACCAGGGAAGAGGGGAGAAAGAAGTAAAGGCTAATTTATCCTATGCCTCCTGTATGCAAGGACCCTGCCAGGTACCTTCACTGCTGTCATCTGAGGGATTCCACAACTACGCAGGGTAGGTTGGATTCTCCATGTTTTAGTGACAAGACATCCTCAGAGAAGTAATTCAGCTTCTATGAATGAGGAAGAAAAAGAAAGAGTAAGTACCCGCATGGCAAAAGGTATGTCATAATTAACAAGTGCTTCTGGATCTTGGCTGCATGTTAGAATCACATGGAGAAACTTTAAAAATCCTTGATGTCCAACTGCACCCAGACCAATTAATTCAGACTCCGAGGGTGGAGCCCACCGTCAGTAGTTTCTAAAGCTTCCCAGATGATTGCAATTGCAGCTAAAGTTAATAATGACTGAATTAGTAATATTTAAGGTAAATTACAGTGTATATGCTTGCTTCAAGATTCAGAATCAAGGAATGCTAGGGCAGGAAAGAACCCTAAAGTCACTTAATCTAATTGCTTAATTATACAAAGGAAGATACTATAGGTGAGATAAGTAAGGTGACTGACAAAATTCATATAGGTTAATCAGGACCAGAGCTGGGTGTCCTCCTTTAAAGTTGACTTGTTTGACTTCTCAGAAAGGCTCGAATACAAGAACATCCATAGAGTTAATGCAAGCGGTTGCTTTTGGGGCTTTATTACAAATTGCTCTTGAATTTTCTTTTTTACTTGTGGGAACTATTCCTAAACACACCCCTATGTATTAATACCGTATTTTAGTATTTTAGTATCAGTTTTGATAGGATTTTGGGGGGTCGCTGTTGTTATTGTGATCTTTTCCACCCAAACAAAGAATATCCAGAAGGCTATGGCAAGAAAAGTAATTTAAATTTTATCAAGTTTTTGCATAACTGGTGTATCTTTGCTGTCTCAGACAAGGACTAGGGAATCAGAGGTCAACTTGAAGCTCCTCATTTATATGATAATTACCAGTAAGCGGTGGCCACTGATTCATGATACAAATCATTTGTACCTCTGGGACTTGTATGTTTACTGGGCAGGAAGTATGTGATTATGTCGTACTAATTAGTTTCTAGGTGACAGAGAGAATGTAGCACAATTGAGACTAAGTTTGGTAATTTTGTGCTGTTTAGTTTCTTTATTTACTTGTTATGGCGGAGTTTTTAATTTAATTTTTAATCCATAGGCAGTCTCACAGTGAATACACACCTGAATGACTGGATACTAACCTTCATATTATCACTTCCATAGTTTATAACATGCTTTAATATGCTAATCTTATGTAATCTTAACACCAGTCCTCTGAGGCACATATGATTATTATCATAAAACTCCCTTTACATGCTAACAAACTGAAGGCAGAGACATTGCGGTAATACTTGGAGATCCTACAGCTAGAAATGTAGCACCTAACTTGAAATTCACATCTCCTATGATTAATAATGATAAGGAATGGTAATGAACCACCAGAAATGATCACAGTTTAGCTTGATTTTCCTGATTTTCTCAACAACTAAGAAAAAGGCTCTGAAGATAGAAGATAGTGGGAAACTGTTGTTTTAGGGGTGGGAAATATAAATAATGTAGATCTTGGTGGGAGGAGAATAAATTCAGCAAGGTTATGTTTTCACAACAAAGAAAAAGAGCCTTGGTGGAGGAAAAGCTGAATGAAAAACAGTGGAATGTTATTTGTAGTCTGGCAGAAAAGAGGTCTGAGGAAAAGAAGGAGGAGGTGGTAAGAGCAGGCTTTAGAACAAAGCGCCACAAAGAACAATAATAAGGAATAGACAGGGAAGGACAGAAGAAAGTGAAAAATATTAAACAAATGTGGTGAAAAAGGAGTCTGTTGTTAAACCAAGGGAAGATAGGAAATTAGAATTAGATGAATCTTAAGTTTGGTTTTTAGTGATTTTTCAAATGTTCCAGCAGTCCAGAAACACTCATTTAAAGAGTAGACAGAAAGTCGTTATGATCTGAAATGAAACAAGGAGAATGGATAGGAACCACTTCTACCTACAGCATACTATTCACTGCATTTATCTTCCAGGCAAATGCTTCCTGAATATGTATGACAGAGCCTTTCTGACAATAATACAGAGAGTTATATTACCTGAAATATGGAAGAAACACTAGGTAGCATGGAATCCAAAGGCCCTCAGATATGGGTGATGTCAAAAGAATATTATCTCTGAGACAGCATATTTCACTACGTTTATAAAAAGCCTTGGGCAAAATGTAGATATTACAAGAACCGAAAACTATCGTTCCATAGGTGAAGTGTTCCATGATCTGATAGGCAAAATGTTGTTGCCATAGAAGAATAAAATTCACAAACTCTAAGAGCATCAAGTTGGATGTAATGCCTTTGTAAATCTCTAAATACTTTTCTGAAGAACATTTTCATAAATTTGCAGTCAAAAAAGAATTTGGGCCAGAGGTATGCTATGTATTGCTACCTGCCTGCTAGGTCTCTATTAAATAAACTTCCATCATCTTAGGCCCTCAGGTGGCCCATCATGAGAAAATCTGAAATAACTAGTGCATTAGTCATGGCTTTCTGGAGAAACAGAACCAATAGGAAGTGTGTGTGTATATATATTTTATGTGTGTGTGTGTATATATATATATATAAAATATATATTATATATATTTTATATATATACTATATGTATATTATATATATTTTATATATATACTATATGTATATTTTATATATATTTTATATATACTATATGTATATTTTATATATATATTTATATATATAGAGAGAGAAAGAGAGATAGTGACATATATTATATATATAATATATACACAGGGAGAGAGAGAGAGAGAGAGAAAGAAAGAGAGATAGTGAAATATATATATATAATATATATATAATATATACACAGGGAGAGAGAGAAAGAGAGATTTTTTTTGAGGAATTGGCTCATGCAATTATGGAGGCTGGAAGCTCCCACTGCAGGGTGGGCTAGCAGGCTGGAGACTTAGGAAGAGCCAGTGTTGCAATGAAATCTGAGGGCTATCCAATGGCAGAATTCCCTCTTTCTCAGAAGAGGCCAGTCTTTTGTTCTATTCAGGTCTCTACCTGATTAAATGCAGCCCACTCGCATTGTGGCTCATCCAATCCACTTTATTCAAAGTTTACCAGTTGTCATGTAAATCTCACCTAAAACACCCTCAAAGAAATATCCAGAATAATATTTTTATCAAATATCTGGGCACTGTGACCCAGTCAAGCTGACACATAAAATTAACCATCACAACTACACTGGTGAGATTTTTATATTCATTGACTCTTCCACTACCTGAATTCTCTTAGATTAGCTCTATAAGGGGTGTGTGTGAGTGTGCATGCGTGTGTGTGTGTGTGATCACTTTATTCCCAGCAGAAAGAGAGACATTGACAAGATAAATCAAAACTAGAGTTTTGACTTTTTACTGGTGTGTCTGGAAGCCCTAGAATGAATATGTGGGGTAGGACACAACTTTTGACAACAGATTCCAGTAGCTTTGGATGATGTTATCTGTAGAAATTACTATGTAAATATGAAGCATAAAGATGTGCATTTCCATTTCAATGGAACAACCTTCAGGTATGTGTAATTATGGAGAGTTACAAAAGTCAAAAGATGTTCCAAAGAATGAGACTTGACTCAAAAGAAAGGTACGTTATCACCATTGGTTTATGAAGTAATAATAATAATAATGGCTAAGTGCTTTACATGCTTGCTTTTTATCTAATCCTCAAACAGCCATTCTTACAGATGAGGAAACTGAGACACAGAAAAGCTGACTAATTTGCTCAAGGTCAAACATCAGCAAGTGTTGGGAAGGTTTTTGGGTAAGGAGGGACTTTATCAGTGGTGGGTTGCTCTTGAACCCAGTGGCCAAGTCCTCTTAACAGACCTGGTATATGGCCAACCTGCTTTTGCCCAACATCTAGAGAGACTGGTTACTGTTTATATCATTTTTGTAAATCAAGAAAGAACTGCACTGAGATGCTTGTTTGTGAGTGATGACCTACATTTCTTTCTAAGTCCTCCAGCTACAGTTAGGCCCACCATGCTACTTGACCATCATGTTTCTCATCTCTGGCTGGGGGCTTTCTCCATTGCCTCAATGGCTATTTCGAACCTTCACCGTGCTCCTCAAGGCACCTTACCATCCCTGGTCAATCAAGGATAATGATTACACTGACTGCCTCACTGATAATCTAGGGGCCAGTGGACATGCCCTCTCAAAACTTACCTCCTCTTCATCCCAAAATCATCCCCAATTGTACCCATTATCCTTCTTTTCATCCCTTAGTCACCTACGACCTTTACTTCAAGCTGATCAGTTCAGGGCAATCCAGGACGCAGTTAGGAATTTCATATGGAGATGAGAGGAGAAATTCTTAGTGAATACTTTCTGTTATAGCTAATTCTTTATTTTTTAATTTTTATTTTATTTTTTATTTTGTTGATAATAGAAAGGCCTTGGCCTCCCAAAGTGTTGAGATTATGGGGGTGAGCCATAGTGCCCTGCCAAAGTCTTGAACTTTCCAATATAATCTTTTCAAACTTTACCCACCCTATTTTTGAATTTCTTCATTTAAGACTGTTTATCCTATTTTATACTCATCCTTCAGATTTGATGCACAGGTTTTCATTTTATTATAATTTTGGCTTCTTTCCCAATCATAGTGATGACTTGCCTTCCAGAAATTCTTGTTAGAATATCTAGAATAGAATGTTGGCTACATAATAATAGTTAACACTTACTAAATGTTTACCATATGGCAGATACTATTTTAAGTGCTTTACAGGATCCTCCTCATATAAACATACTTAACCTATTTTCTGTCACTAACTCCTTTGAGAATCTGGATCTTCCCCCCAACCCCCAAAAATATTTGCACTCAGAAGCACCCACATACCCTCCATTTTGTTATCTCTTACTGTGAAACAAACCATCGGATGCAAACCCAAAACAACAGCAGTGTTTTGTTTTGCTTTTTCTTAATTTCCCATGATTTTGTGGGTTGACAGGTGATTCTTCTGCTTCATCTGGTTTCAGCGGGAACACTGGGGCAGCTGGAAATTCCAAAATGCCCTCGCTTGTATGGCTGGCAGTTGGAGCTGGCTGTTGGCTCTTGGCCAAGAGCTTCATCTATCTTCCTCATGGGCCTCTCCATGTGGCTGCTTGGACTTCCTAACAGTCTAGTGGTCTCAGAGTAGTTGGAATTTTTACATGGCAGCTGGCTTCCTTCAGTGTATAAAATCTTAAGACTTGAGCCAGAACTGGCACAGAGTCACTTTCTCTGAATTCAGATTCACAGGGAGGAATCTACACAAGGGCATGACTACTGGGAGGCGTGGTTCATTGCAGGCCACCAAAGTTACAGCCTACCAAATACACAGGCAATTTAGTATAATTTCAAGAAGTACACACACCCCATCAATCCATTTAAGGATTTTAAGAAGGATATAAACTTTAGGTTAAAAACTCATGACTGAGGATGAAGCTGGGGGAAACCTTTAGCTCAACAAGCCTTGTGTAGAGAAGAATGGGGACCACCCTCACTGTAAAGGGAATTGCACACACACAAGTACATTGGTGGGACTGTGCATGGCATGTTCCAGGGACAAAGAGAGATCAGTTACCTACAAGACTAGGAATGAGGACTGGAATTGGATTATGTAATATTTTAAGAGGCAGCCTGTGGAGCTTGAACTTCATTCAGTAGGCACTGGGGAGCAATTGCAAGTTTTTTTTTAAAACAGGAGTAACAAATACAAATGCTGAAATAATTCAGGAGAATTACAGGAATTAAGAAATAAGGAGAATGGTGTAGAGGGAATTATGTTAGGGAGCTTTACGAGGTTGTGAAGTTTTAGCTCAGACATCAGTTTTAAAGTCAGGACTAACAAAACCGCCCTAATAAAGAATGAAAGCATAACAATTTACTATAGAAAAGGGTGTTGTAGTGCATCATGCAACAAATATATAACAATATAGGAAGCATTATATACTAGTATCATTTTGTTTGATTGGAGTAACAAAGAGCTCAGTCAGCCTTTATGGCTTTGGTTGATATGAAAACATAATCGAGCAGGGAATTTTTGGAATTACTTTCCACTCAGAGTTAATAGGGTTCTTGAGTATGGCTATAAAGGATAATGAGTCTAGAACTAAGACATTCTCATTTGGGTCTCTAAGAATAAACAAGAAGCCTATAGGGTCAGAGCCACTCCTGAACGTTAGCAGGTTACTTCGCATTAAGAGAGAGTGTAAAAACTACAACAAAAATCCTGGAGGGTGGAAAACCACAGTAGTTGTTCAATTTCTGTTTGCTCTCCCACTTGCCCTAAAATGACAGCTGCAATGGTATTTAGAGGATATATATCAGGGCTTGGGTAGGGGACACGTAAAAGCTCATGTTTATTTCAGGGGTGAATCTGCTTCTTGCTTTCTGAAGCCAACTCTGTTAGTTTTCTTTTGCATTCGGCTTTTGACTCCCTTGGGACCTGGAATGGCTCTGCCAAGTGAAGGGATAAATCATTGCTGATCTGTGCACCTTGACATTGGAGGTTCATTAGGTCTACTGGCCAATATTTGAGGGATTGAACAGGATGGAGCTGGGAGTGCTATCTAGGGGTATGGAATTAATCAAAGTCAATGAGGCCACAGGGATTTCTCAATATCAGTGGCTTCTCAAACTTAAGAAAAAAAAAGTCCATGCTATCTTACCCCCAGAAATGTTCATTTAATTTACCTGGGATGCAGCCTTGGAATGAGAAATTTTAAAAAACCTGACCAGGTGATTCTAATGGGCAGCTGCTACGAAGAGCCACTGCTTGATACCCTTTGCTTGTTAGTATTAGGTTCTTACCTATGGTGCTAACCAGCCATGGTTTTTGATTTTATAAGTATTAAAATCACTTGGGATAAACTGTTCTCAAGCACCTATTAGGAAATGAAGGATGGCAATAATAAGTACTGTATCTGTGACATCCAAAGTTATGGGCATGGGAAATGTAGATAATACTGGAATATTGTTTAGAGGATTTTTAGCTTTCTGCTTTCCTAACAGGTTTCTGTGGTGGATGCCACATAAAAACCAGCCTGGGAAATTCAGTGGCAATAACACTTGATCCAAGAATGAAAGAAAAAGAAGAAACAAACCCCACAGTTGTCTGATTTTATACTTAATGTGCCCTAGTGTTGGTGGAGTTTACATCTTGTCCTCTTGCCCATGCATGATTCAGGGAGTTCCAGCTTCTCTTCTCAGTAGTACATTATCACCTCTGGATTTTCATCCTCTCCTTAGCTGTTTATAATTATCACTTCCTTATTGCAATGCATAGTTTCTGACCTTCAATCTGCTAATTGTGCTTTTAAGCTCTGATTCCATTTTGGCTGTTCTGCACTGAATCTGGCCTTTCACCTCTCAAAATCTGTTTTCAACACCCCTCAGCTAGCATTGTAATCAATCAATTTCTCTCTCTCTCAATCCCCACCCCTTGATAATCCCATTTCATCTCTTCTTTTCTTCCAGCAACATAAATACAGCCTCTCAGGCAAAAGTCACATTCAATAACTTTTTGTTTCTATTTCCTATATTAGGGAACACATTTTTTTTTCTCCTCTCAACAGCAATAGTCTCTATGCTGACATAGCAAGAAGTTTGTTCTCAATATAGGAAGAGCTACAGATAAATGTGTGTGCCTGTATACGTAGACATACTGGGAGAGGCAAAGAGAGAAAGGATTTATCAGCTGAAATATGGACAAAGAGAACAGTCTATGCTGGGCTTGAAAACTATTTGGACAATCTGTCTTGACTTTGGTTGAAAACTTTTTGTATTGAATTGCCCTCTTGGGGTTTGAATCTATTCAAATTGATCTTTTCTATGAGTAGGCACATCATTTTAGAAATGTTTCTGTGAAGATGTGCTGTTTTCATGCTTAGGGAAGCACACTGCATGCTGAGTGAGACCGAAGGAAATGCCAAATTAATTCATTCTTTCTGTGGCAATGTTCTTTTCCCGGGAAAGGACTGCTTTAATAAGGCAGGTGGCTGTGTGTGCCATGGCGTGCCTGCCTCCGTAGGAAGCTTGGTAATCCTCTCCCAGGAAAACACAGCCTTGGTGTTTGTTGTGTGAGGCTCTTGAATGTAATATTAGTTTACAGTCCCACTCCTGGCCATATTATATAAACAGTGGGAGAAAAATGACAATGGAAATTTTGGCAGAGAATGCTTTATTTAAGCCTTTCAAAATGGACATTGTTGCGCATGGCTGTGGGTCTGTTGTCAGCGCCCTGCCTGAATGAGTGAATGGCTGCTGTTTGCAGCCAAAAGCAGGCGACGGTGGGGCCTCTTCAAACCATCAGTGCGACAATGTTATCAAGCGGCTGAGTCCCTGCTTCTCGTCAGTAAGCCATCATTATTCCTCATGAGCCAACTACAGGAGAGGGCCACTGTGACAAATACGCTATTATGTTGCATTTTAATGTGTGCCAATCAGCTTAATTCAAGCTCTGACATTCCTCTCAGGTACTGCTCTTTTCCACCGCAGCTGCCTGCATGCATCCTTCAGTTACAGTTCCGGAAGTTTCTATAAGCGTGAATAGGCACTGTGAGCAGCCACCTCCAAATAAATAAAAAGGAACTCAGCCCGTGGGATGGTTGAGCTTTTCCCAATTAAGCTTCATGATATATTTCAAAGTACTGTAAACATTGGTGGCTGAACAATTCTCACGTTCACTGATATATTTGGAGATCCAATACTGAGACATCTATCCAGTCATAATGAAATTCCATTGTCAGAGTTCGCCAAAGAGTCTATTGGTTTTTGGAGACTTTCAGGTCCTGTGAAGGCTTAATTTTGTTCTTTAGGGAGGGATGTAAAATGTGGTTGTGATATTTGCCATCACTTGACATTTTAGGCTTGGGTTTGGAGCCTCCAGAGATTGGTTATTTCCTCAGGGGCCTCATAACTTAACCTAAGATGGCCACTGCATAGTGGTGTGATCCCTCTGGGTCCCAGCAACCTGCCCTCCTGGGAGAAGATATGTCTGGGTCAGTGATCTTAGCAACATTTCTGTCCAAACCATGACTGTTCTATGGGGGGAATGCAGAAGAATTTCATTAAAATGTCTGAGCCTGATAGTCACTATATTTTTAAAAGTCTGAATGTATACTTCAAAACAAGGCTGTAAGAAACACACAGACTCTGGTAATAGACTCTTATCTTCAGGTAGTGTCACTGATACATCTGGACTTTATAGAGAAATAATTCACCTTGAATTTCCTAAATGAGATAGGACTTCCTTGGGATATTCTAGGCAGTCTTATGTCAAAAGACTTTTAGCTCGTGCTCTACTGGGATGTCCCTTTAGCCCAGGGTTTTCAAATGGCGTGATGAACTACCAAGAAGAGAGAATAATACGGACAACATAGTGAATATTTCTTAAGAATAGCTTTATTGCCAGTCATGGTGGCTCACACCTGTAATCCCAGCACTTTGGGAGGCCGAGGAGGGCGGATCACGAGGTCAGGAGATCGAAACCATCCTGGCTAACACAGTGAAACCCCGTCTCTACTAAAAATACAAAAAATTAGCCAGGCCTGGTGGTGGGTGCCTGTAGTCCCAGCTACTCACGAGGCTGAGGCAGGAGAATGGCGCGAACCCGGGAGGCAGAGCTTGCAGTGAGCCGAGATAGCGCCACTGCAGTCCAGCCTGAGTGAAAGAGCGAGACTCCATCTCAAAAAAAAAAAAAAGCTTTTTTGAAATTAAAGTTATGTTTTTTAATTTTGAAATTATTATTTTTCTGTTGAGGTTGAATTGTTCTTTCTCTATAAAATAATGATGATAGCATACAGTGATTTTTTTTTTTTAGTTTAATGTCCTAGCTTGACAAAATAAACTTTACTGTCTGTGGCAGTATATTCAATCACCTATTCATTCACCTACCTATTTTTGTTTTTGAATTTTCATTTTTCCTGGTTCTTAACATCCACAAGTCTAGCAGCTACTGTTTCACCAAATGAATCATAAATTCTGAAGAGATTTAAAATGTCTACAGGCTCTTTCAACTGCCAAATAAAAACAAAACAAAACAGTGAGCCAATTAGGTAGTAATACAAGATGTAAACCTATAAAAGAGTCAGATTTTTTTTTCTTAATTAGCAATCTCTGTTCACTGGTTTCTCAATTCCTTCAGTCTTCTCTCTTATTAAGTATCTAGCTAATAGATTTTACCAATTAATATGCATCAAATACAATTCTCATACTTAGGCATGAAATGCTCACCATAGTGTTGTATGTAGCTTTAGCAACTCTTACAATATGTGGGCTTTGACAGAGATATCTGACATAGACCTTAAGAAGTGACCAAATTCCAAGCCTATTTTAGATTTTAATCTTTGAATGCTAGGGCCAAGGTTTTAAACAAAGTTACAATGAGTTTTTTTTTTAATGATGGTTGTCTATACTTTTAAACTTCTACCAGATGTCACATAAGACATTTTAAATTTCTCCAGCATTTTTGCATGAGCTTCCATGGTGAGTGAGAGCCCACAATGAACATTTGAATTACAAGGTTAATTCTTTTGACAGTTACATCCTAATGTTAGCTATTGAAAGTCTCATAAAAATACTTCTTTAACATCCTGTGTTTGTTATCCATTGCTGTGTAACAAATAACTACAACGTAGTGGCTGGAGACAATACAAATCATCTCACAGTTTCTTTGGGTCAGAAACTTTGCTGGCTTTGCTAGGTCCTCTGCTTCAGGATCTCTCACAGAGCTGCCATCCAGGCTGTCAGTAAGGGCTGGGTCTCATCTGAAGACTCAACAGGAGAAGGATCTGCTTCCAAGTTCATTTGTTTATTGACAGAACTCCATGTCTTCAGGGCTATGGGACTGAGGGCCTCAGCTCCTAGCTTACTGTTGGCTGAAGGCCACACCAGTATTTTGCCATGTGGGCCTCTTCAAAATGGCCACTCGCTTTCTCAAAGCCTGCAAGGAGAGAAGGCAAAAAAGAGTCAGGAATCAAGACAGAGTTCCAATCATATGCAACATAATGATGGAAGTGACATCCCACCCCAATGCCGTAGTCTGCTGGTTAGAGGCAGATCACCAGTCCTGTCAACATTCAAGGGACTAGGAGTAAACAAAGGCATGGATATCAAAAGGCAGGGATAATTGGGGGCAGCCTTAGAGTCTGTATGCTACACATACCCCTAGACTTTGGGAATTTGAAACCTCAAAGTCAAACTTAGTTCTTCACTTCCATCCCTTCTTAGAGAAAAGAAGCCTTTAAGATCATTTGAGGAAAGGTAGTCTGAAATGGTGAAAGATTGGAATTGTAGAATAGTATAAAGATGTAATTATGCTGCTTATTTTAGAGAATGTCTTAAAACTAATGCAAATAAAATATTATCAAGGAAAGGTCCTATGTGGCTTTCTTTAGTAACTGCATTATATCCATTTATAATCATCATTTTGTTTTCATTCTAGGCAATAATTGAGGAAGCATGTCTTGTGTTTCCAGTACATGATAAATGTGGTAGGGAATGTAAATTAAGATTAAGACAAGGTTTGTTCTCTTAAGAGGTTTATATTTAGAAGCAAGGGTGGCGAGAGAAGTATAAAACATACACAATTGTAACAGGGAACAAAATAAAATTATACAATGAAGTTCTAACTACATTTAATAACACCCTTAACTGGTACAGAAAAGAGAGAGAGAGGGAGCAATGTTGGGTGAAGTTACTAAAAGCCTCAGGGGAAGTAGAACTTGAAAGATGAGTGAGGGTAGGATGAGAAGTGAAAAAGGAAGGAGAATATAAACAAAATAAAAGAAGAGGAAGAGCCTGGAACTCATAGAAAAGACTGAAGAGGCTTCAGTGAAGGGAATGGAGAGCAATAAAAAGTAACATTACAGGCTAGACAGCGCAGTGGCTCGTGCCTGTAATCCCAGCACTTTGGGAGGCCGAGGCAGGCAGATCACTTGAGGTCAGGAGTTCAAAACCAGCCTAGCCAACATGGTGAAACCCTGTCTGTACTAAAAATACAAAAAATTAGCCAGGCGTGGTAGTATGTGTCTGTAGTCCTGGCTACTCGGGAGGCTGATGCAGGAGAATTGCTTGAACCCGGGAGGTGGAGGATGCAGTAAGCTGAGATCACACCACTGCACTCCAGCCTGGGTGACAGAGTGAGACTCTGTCTTGGAAAAAAAAAAAGTAACATTAGATGGATATGGCTTTTGGAGGGTATTGAATGCTGGGCTGAAGATGGTGACTTGATGGGCAATGGAGAACTATTCTCGATTCTTCAGCAAAGGATAAATGTATTTGGGGAAGATCTGTCTGGTGGGTATGTGCATGTTAGATAATAAAAAGAGGGCTTAGAAGAGAGTGGCTTGAGTGACAAAAATCTAGGCTAGGCTGGTACTAGTGGAAATGATACATTGGAAAATATTTATGATGAAGAATCAACAGTGTGGAGAAACTGACTGGATATACTAATAGCAGCAGAGTGTAGGCTCACCCCTTTCTCTCCATTTGAAATGGACAGCAACAAGGTGCCTATTGGTCTAGGTGGGATTCCCATTGATCAGTTGGCTGCACTACCTAGTTGGTATCTCTTGGCTTTAAATATTTAATTCTTGGAATATTTGTTTGTTAATAAAGGCCTCAAAAGTTTAACATCCTCTAAGAGCTGTTGAGATTTTAGGTATTACAAAAGGGGTCAGAAGGGACCTTTATATATCCCTCAAATCAGCCAGATATGTGATCACATGTAGCTGTAACTGTGCCTTCTAAGGTGCTCCACAAGAGCTCCATAATATTTAACAAGTTTTTTGAAAACAAAACAAAAAAACAAAATTGTATGTATGCTGTGAAAAGGTCCATGGTCAAATAAGTTTTGGGTTAAAAATTTAAAAACTCAAGTTCCAATGTTAGTGAACCACCAAGGGGAGTGTGGGAGGAGCTATAATCAAAAGCGTTTTCCAAACTCTTTTACTCTTTTGATGATGAAATCGTGTGTGTGTGTGTGTGTGTGTGTGTGTGTATTATGCATGCACACCATCTTTAGAACTAGCGCCCTCCCCAACACACTTGGGCAAATACCAGTGTTAACAAGTAACACGTTTTCAATAAAGGTCATAGCATATCAGGAACTCATTTTTTTGGCTTGTGGATCATCAGTTTTCTTGTCATAACTTTATTTGGTATTTTATAAAACTGCGTTTCAAAGCTATTTCCTTTTCAGCAGTACCTGTGTCAGACATTGGGCAAGAAAAAAATGAGAAACACAAATCAGCTCTCGTGCTTGATGTTTCTTGTGTTTTAAGAAAAGGGCATAGGAAGGGAATAATCCAAACTAAGGCTTCTACCTGCCTGGGATATCAAGCTGTCCAACTTCCAAAGTATCTTTACTTTCTTCCACCTTCCCATACTCAATGGGCAGACCTGGGATTAAATATTGCTTTGATAATTCTCCACTTGTGGGTTCCTGGATAAGTAACTTAACCTCTCAACTCCTTCTATCTTTCTCTATTTTTTTTCTCTCCATTAATGTATACTTTTCTACTTTGTGAACTTTGCTTTTTAGAAGACAGGTTCCTTAGAAAGAGCAAATAACCCTGTAAGCCCATAATTTGGAATAATTAGCTATTTATAGCCTTACTAAATTTGGATTCCAGATTATGTTATTAGTTCTATGATGCTATCTATGAGAAACCATTATAAGAAGGGGTGGTTGGTAAATAGATTGATGTTAGCCTAAATGGACCTGCTTTAAACATATTTTCATCTGCTTTTGTCATTCAAAATGTACTATTTTGTTTTGCAAGGTCGGTGTCATAGTAAAACATGCTTTTTATGCCTGCATCATGTCATGTTTGTGCTTCATTGCAAGATTTGCAAGGTTTCTAACATGATTTAGGTCATTTAACTTTTTTGTATGTGTCTAGTTACACACACGTACAGAGAGAGAGAGAGAAAGAGACAGAGGAGAAACCACTATTGGTAGAATACCAAAATATTTGTGACTTATGGTTCTAATTTCTGTGCCCTAAGCAAAAACTCAATGAATGCTATATAACAAAATGTATAGCAAAATATTGCTAAAATTAAATTCTCCCTGCAAAACCTACATAATGTGTGTTACCATAGTCATTGGAATTAATTTATTTTCATCATTTGGATGTTCCATAAATCTTTAAAAAAAAAGTAGAGCTCATAAGTTGTGTTCCTATAATAGTTTTTCTTGGCATGTAAGCATTTGGAGGTCATCTACATATATATTGTAGTTAAAACCATGACAAGAATGAAGTGCCCCAAGGAGAGTGTGTACTTGCATGTTGAACATAAGTTCTAGGAATGTAAGTTTTCTGTGACATTCCTAGTTCAAGATTTTTTACTTAGCCAGATTTGTTAATCTCCATGAGAGAGCAAACCTGATACAATGAAATCTGAGCTCAAGAGATGATAGCTTTCATTATCATAATTTATTGAGCACCTTCTATATGAAGGTGATGAGAATGCAACTGAGAACAAAGGCACTAGATACAATAGCACTGGTCTAGGTCAGAGAACAAGACAGGAATGCTGTTTCCTCAAAGACACACACACCAGATTCTTACTCATCTTTAAAATGCTGACTTTCAAGGCATCTAGCTGCCCCAGGAACTAAGGTTGACTCTACAGGGCTATGTCTTGCCATGTTAGAAATTCTTTAATTATAAACCACTGAAAGGACAGTGTACTTTATCCATTTCTTTTTGAGTGCCCTTTCCTCTCCCAGTTCCTCATGATTGTGGAATTAGCTGCTAATGAGAATTAGCTGCCTATTAAAATTCTCTAGTTTAAGGTTTCTCTGTCCATTCCATTCTGAGCCTTTTAATACTGGTTAAGATGCACCTTAACTTTTACATTTCCAACCGATGGAGTTCAAATTCTGTCATTTTATCATACTGCCTGGGTGAAATCTTCACTGACCTCACACCCACCACAGATGGAGCCAGCCACTCTCTCCCCTGTTCTCTGCCTCTATTATACCCCTATCACACAAATGGCATTTCATTGTTTAGATGTTGAACTCACAGAACACAGAAGCTGTACATTAATCATCTCTATGTTGCTATCACCTAGCACAGAGTCTAGATCATAAATATTAGTTGAATTGAACTGAACAGGCACCAAAAAATAACACTGCCACGGATCACAGATAGGAATGCGTTTCTGGTCAGCCTTTACCTTGTCTCCAGGGAACCATATTCACAGCTGGGGAGGAAACCAGGTAAGTGAAGCTGCATTCAAGAAATTCCAGTGAGTGTAGCCATGGCTATTAGAAGAGAGAACATTCTTTTCTTGCTTCTTTTGGTAAACACTTATGAGAAAACCTTAATAGGAAACAATTTCCAAGGGTTCAACAAAGGTAGGACATTTTAAATACATTTAGTGGCTTGTAAATATTTATTTTTAAAGGACATGAAGACAAAAGTGGAATCTGAATGTGTATGCTGAGGAAGAGGAGAATTTGCCATTCTGACAACCTGCTATAGATTATAACAATATTTGAAATATTTTGTTGCTAATTAGCCAATTTGATATTTGGCTGCTGCCTTAGGGATTTTACAATGACCTGTCAACAATTTAACACTAGGCCAATTAGGTAAAGACTTCAGTTTCCTGGAAATGCCTAAGTATGTGATAGAAGGAAACAATGGCATCATACTTAGGTAATTAGAGGTTAACCAATCCCACAGAGGGGATCTGAATAAGCTTCCCAGTGACCGCAGTTCCATGGCTCAGCATGCATTTACATCCTTCCCTATCTTGCTGGGGGTGATGGTGGAAGAAGGAGAGGAGAGGGGAATGGAAGGGGTGGGCTTAGTTCTTTCTGCAAGAAAGAAAGAAGAACTCTTTCTTTCTTCTCCCCCTACCCACTCCCACGGCCACTCATGCTGCCATTCCAAACTGCATGCTGTCCAGTTTCTTCCTTGGCTTCTTAAAAAGTCTACTTGTGCTTGAGTTTAGTAACTTTATCAAAGAGTCAGGGAATGGGATAGGGAATAAATAAAAGGTTCAGTCATAGGGGATGTGTCTTAGTCTGTTCAGAAAACTATAACAAAATGCCATAATCTGGGTTTCTTATAAACAACAAAAACTTATTTCTCACAGCTATGGAGACTGGGAAGTCCAAGAACAAGACACTAATAAATTTAGCATCTGCTAGAGGCTCCTTTCCTAGTTCACAGATGGAGCCTTCTTGCTGCATCCTCAGGTGGTGGCTCTCTGGAACTTCTTTGATAAGGTCACTAATCTCATTCATGAGGGCTCCACCCCCATGATCTAATCACCTACAGAAACCCCATCTCCTAATCCTATCACCTTTGGGGTTAGGATTTCCAAATACAAATTTGGGGGTGACATGAACATTCAGATCATAGCAAAATGTGACTGTCTGCCTTCTTGTTACCACCCCCTACCACTTGTCACCCTCTGTTACATCTCCAGTACCACTAAGTAGTTCCCTTTCCCTCATAAAGAAAAGTTCTATCAACATTCAGAATTCATATCTACTCTAAGGCGGCTCATCAAAGTCTCTTCCCAACAAAGATAAGGGTTTTCTGGAAATGAGTTCTAGAACCAGCAGCTGTATTTTTCCCCATATTGTTATTCCTATAATTTTTTTAAATAAGTTTGTGTTGGTCTACTTTAAAAGTTATACCTTGGATTTTCTTGCACTTGTAGGTGGTTTGGGGTGGGGCTGAGGCAAGGGGAGCCTGGATTACAAAAGTTCTGCAATCAGCATTGCTCTGAGCTCCGTACTACTCATTGAAGTATCTTTTTTTTTTTTTTTTTTTTTTCATATTCTTGACAAACCATTTGTGAGCACCACTGGCTGGTGTGTGTCAGTCAGGGCTCAACCACAGTAGCAGAACCAGTATATATATATATATATATATATATATATATACATACACACATATATATATCTTATATATATTTAATAAATCTCATATATATATTAGGAGATTTATTTTAAGGAATTGGCTCACATGAATGTGGGGGCTGGCTAAGCAATCTGAAATCTGTGAAGCTGAAACTCAACAGGTATGGGCCAAAGCTTTTATCCACAGACAGACTATCTTTTCTTTTTGGGACAAGCTTCAGCCCTGCTTTTTGAGTCTTCCCACTGATTGAATCAGTCCTACCCATAATATACAAACATAAATCCTGAATTTTTTTTAGACTTACCAAATTCAACTGGTTGTGGACTGAATTACATCTGCAAAAGGTCATCACAGAAACAGCTGGATTATCATTTGATTGAGTAACTGGGGGCTATAGCCTAGCCAAGTTAACATATCAAAGTCACTGCAGATGGGTGAGTTGAATAAAATCTTTACCAAAGATGATGCTTAGAATGCATTCCAACAAAAGTTTTAATATTTAATGACAGAAAAGGAAATATTATACATACCTAAAAGCTTCCTCCCTACTGTATTAAACTCTCCACCAAAGGATTTTCTGAAGGAAACACTTGAAGGTATTGATGACAACTGTATAAATAAAAGAGTTATTCTGATTATTATTGAGAGATATAATGCTCATTTTATTTATTACATTTGGAGAGCTCTAAATAAGTTTGTAATTATGGCCTGTAAAAGAAAAAAGTGTTAATTTCCTTTTAAATGGACAACTAAGATTTTTTTATAATATTGAACTCATTAGGCCAAAACATGCATTCATTTTGGGATTATTTAAATGAATTAATTCATTCAACAGATATATAATTGAAACATAGTATACAGAAGACATTGTGCTAGATTCTGGCGATAAAATGGTGAATAAAACCAAGACTGCCCCTCCCTTCAAGAATTTTATGATTTAGTCATGGAAAAAATACATTAATCAAATATTGACACGAAAAAATTATCACAAACTGCGATAATTCGTGATAGTATAGTTGCAATGAGTCTATGTTCAATGATTCTTGATTTTTTCTGTGTGTTAGAAAGCTTACCTGAGGAGCTGGGATTTAAAGAATGAGCAGAAGATACTTGAGTAAAGAAGATGAAGAGATTTCCAGGCAATGAAAGACACTTACCAAGGCCAGGGAGGCTGGAACACAGAAAGTGACAGGGAACGTGGCAAAAGACTATGCTAAAGCAGTTGGCAGGAGCTAGCACTCTGAAAACAACATTAAGAACTCTCTTTGGTCTTTATCCTAAGAGCAACGGAAGGTATTAAAGGATTTTAAGGTTTTGAGCAAAGGAGTGACACAATCAATGGATAGCTGCTAGTAGGACTTTGCAAGATAGTTCTACTTTAGCCACTAAGGCAGGGATAGCAAAAATTCAGCACCCAAGTCAGTGACTCTTTGTGCCTTGTCTGCGGCAGACATCACTAATCAATCATGGTCATTTTTTTTTTTCCCTGACTGAACCAGACTTGACAGTCTCAGAACTTTTCTGACAGCCAATACCTATCTGATCTGGCACTTAAGACAAACTCTGTATCACCACTTTTTTTTTTTTTTTACTTTTCTCAATAAATTACATTGCTTGAAATGCAGTTGCCAGGTAGAATTCAGGACACCCAATTAAATTTTAATTCAAATGAACAAGTATTTTTTTTTAGTATAAGCATATCTCATGTAATATTTGAAACATAAATTAAAAATTATTTGTTGTCTAGGTAAATTCATATTTAACTGGTTATTTTCCAGACCTGGCAACACTAGTTTGGGGAAATTTATTGAACTATCAAAAGTCAAAAAAGCCCACAGCACAGCATCATGATAAAGACGTGTCAGTGTATAAGAAGAACCAAACAACTCACAACAAACAACCTTGATAAAGGTAAAAATAAACTAATAGTAATTTTAAATTCAGAAGGAATAATAGTAGCTATTCAAATCATGACCAACTCGAGAAAATTTCTGATACGATGAAAATAAATTACCCCTCCAGAATTTTGTGGGATGTCCGGTAATCTGCAAGCGCTCATATGCAATAGAAGTTTTTCATCCCTGCCAAGCACCGTGAGGTAGACTTTGTAGAAGAATATTGTATTATATTTCTCAATAAATTCTAGGAGCTTCTTAGTTTTAGTTCGTGAACGCCAAATTTTAGTAACCATTAACAATTGGTTTAGGAATTTACTAGAAAATAAACGTTGGCTGTTTGTATAACCTAAAGCCTACGGATTTATGGATAATTCACCCAAAAGAACCAAAGCAGGGAGTTGCAATTATAGATCAGTCTGAGGGTCATTAAGTGGCCCCATGTAGCCCACACTTTGAAAATTACTCATCCTGGCAGAGATAGTATCTTTTTCCGGCATTTGAATGCTGAACTAGGTGGTAGATATTACAATGTTTTGACGTATAAATTTATGTAAACCTTATGTAACAGAAACAATCATTTAAGCCTTCTAATTTTGTCACCAGGCCTTGGGAAAAATATGGGTTGGTAAAATATTACAAGGCACTTGAACCTATTGGGTCCGAAATATAAAGGCACATTATCTGTTGTATCTCTAATTAATTCTAATATCTCAGTGCCTCGAAGCTGGCTAGAATCAGCATTACCTTTCTTCTGAAAGAATTTATATTACAAGCTTAACTACCATCTTTCTTCATGGGATTTGTCCTGGGTTGACCATATTCATATTATATTCAAGATGGATGTTCTTCTAGCTCCTTTGTGGGCTCGCCCAGATCCTTTTCAATAAGGGTCCTGTAATTAAGGCTGGGAGGTGTGGTTGTTGACTGAGCACTCTGCAGATTGCTCATTAACATGCCATCTGAACAATTTAATCACCTTTTTAATTAATCTAAAATTGGCATGTCCCTTTTCAGGCTACAGTGCAGCTTTTGCAAATGTTGGTCTCTTGGTAGTTCTCAATTTAGCTTATTATTTGAAACCTAAATCTGCCCAGGCTAATAAGCATGACCAATTCCTCTTACCAAAACCATGTAGGAATCTCCATCTGCACTTCACTAAAGGATGAGAGGAACAGATGTCTTTGGGTGGTATTCTTGTTCTTGGCTTTTAAAAGAAGTTCCTCTCAGTCTAGAAATGAAAGAAAATAATTTACAGAGTGACTGAAAGCTTACTTTTTGCTTTCACCTTCTTTTTAAAAAATTATTATTATTTACTTTCAAGTTTGATGCTTTAGAATCTTTATTCTCAATTTGTTGTTCACACTTTGGTGCTAGACATAATTTGAAAAAATTTAATAGTTTTTAATAATTTGATATCGTGTACCTTAGTATTCCTAAAGAAAATGGTATCCTCACGGATTTAAAATCTATTATATTTTGGGCAAGGTTGAGCTTGTACTTATTTATTTACTTATTTAACTTGTAAAGATAGGACTAAGGAACATTTACTCTTTAAAGCTTGAAAAAGATGTGTGCGTGTATGTGTACACGTGTGTGTACGTGAGTGTGTGCGTGTGTGTATATTTCACCTGGCCACAGTCTTCAACACTTGAACAACTTTCCCCAGTACACACAGATTGCCCCTAGTTGTTTCTAGAGACCCAAAAAGGAATGCTTCCCATAGGTCTCCTCTCTGGCCTGTCAGTTGCATTCATTATGCTCTATGCACTTTCTTTTTTTCCACTTTCAGACTTACTTGCTTCTGCCTGAGACAAAAGCTCCCAGCTGCCATTGCTGAGAATCCTAACCATTCATTCTTACAACAAACATTAGTTGAGTACTGATATATGCAGGCACTATGCTAGGAATTCATGAAAATCCAGTGTCTTTGCCTAGCCTGTTATCTCCATACATTTGCCAAAAGGCTTTTCTTGGGGTAGGGTAGTGGAGCTTCAGTCCATACAGGGAGGTAGAATGCCCTCTTTCCAATCTGATGGTCCCCATTGATACCAGAACTTTAAAGCAGGTTGGCACTTGCTGTCACACTCATAAAAATCTCTTAAAAATAGCCCCCACTCCTTGCAAAACAAAGGAAGTTTTGAAATACATGTTTTCCAAGTTATACTCCCTCCATCCAGGGCTCTGAGATTTTAGCATGAGAGTTGCCTCCCTTTAAGCTTTGGGCATCCTCCTGGGCAGCCACCTACGTGAGAAGAAAACTTATCTCAAGAGCATTGCCTGGAAATGGAAGCTTAACCCTGTGATATGGAAGTGGGAGGTCCCATATCAATTAACTTGAATATAAAATATTTTGCATGTGGAAGTGCCAAGTTCTATCAGAGTTTGCCCTGGCCTAGTCACGCACTGTTACATTTCACTTAACAGGATCAGCAATTGAGAAGGTAGCTGTGATGATTTGCTTGGAACCTTCCACCATCTCCCACAGACCTTGAAAAGCAAGTCAGGCGATACCCCAGTGGTATACCCCAATGCAGCACTGGGACCTCCATGTGCTGAAAGAGTGAAATAGCCAACCCAATCCTGGCCCTCTGGTGTTGGCCATTTCACTCTTTCGGCACATGGAGGTCCCAGCCACCATAATGCCCTGGGTTCCTGCTCCCAAGTACAAATGTGGATGCACTTCACAGAAGGTGAATGAAGACCAAGCCCAGCTATTGGTGGACTGGGTGGTGGAGCTTACTGCTACTTAGAAACGGGAGGTTGGAGCCTGATTCCACTTGAACCCTACTGAAGCTTGGATTATCTGTTTTATATTATGTGAGATTATTTTCTTGGTGCTTGAAAACCCTGAAGAAGAAACTGCCACTCTTACAAATATATCAAATGGACTCACAGGCCAACAGATTGCCTGTGTTTCACATCAGCTCCAAGTGAAGAACCACATTTCTTTTAGCCACACTCCACATGCTCATTGCCACTTCCATGCATGTCTCATTAATATGAATGACGGGCTCCATCCCACCATCAGGCTTCTTGTAAAACGTTGCTGTGAAGTGGTTCTCCTTTCCAGTGAATTCCTCTATTCTGTCTGTCAATGGAGAATGAGCCATGTAACTGACAGCAGAAAGTGCTAAAGGGTGTGTTCTGTAAAAAAGATAAATAGAAGAGATCCTTTTGGCATATCTTTTTAATTGGAAGGAAAGGTAGGCTTTTGAGTGACCATATTTGCTAGGTATTTCTAAATATAGCAGCTTTAAAAAGCCAGAGAGGCAACAGGTATATGGAAAAACATATGGGTGTTGAATCTTCAGTACCTAAGATGTGTCCTTGGATGAAATATTTAACCTCTCTAATTCACAGCAGCTCCATCTATAACAATAAGAGCATTGGTATGTTGAAGAATTAATTATGATAAAGTGCATAATTCATAAGAAATATAGTTCTCTTCTTCCTTCATCCTTTAAAGGCTAGAAAGAGAAGGAAAGAAAACCCACTACAAAGGGCTTACCATTGATCTCCATGACTCCTGCACAAGAATTTGTGCATAGAAATGATTTCTAAATTGTGCACGGTGAGAAGATCTGTGCTTTTTCTCCTTCAATCTCTTCCTCACTGCCCCCTCTCAGAAACTTATTGATTAAAGTCTACTTCTTGGCATGGAGGAGGAGACAGGAGGGGCCACACTTGGCAGAATGTCAAGCTGACTTCTGTGCCCCTGTTTTTGTCAGCAGAAGCTCCGCTTGGGCAAGCTCCACTCTGCGGAGTGTTTTTCTGTCATTTTTAAAAGGAGAACAGCAAAGATGCAAATTGCCGAGCCCGCTCCAGGAGACGGGCACACAAAGAGGCAATTCAGGCAGACAAGCGTGCAGGGAGGGCGGGTGGCAGAGGAGCGGGGAGCATGCGGAGGCGGCATGACTCTGGACACTGGCCTGCAGGGAGGGGGGCAGAGGCAGGGCGCATTCTTCAGGTCCTTTCTTCCACTCTTTGTTAGCAGATTTATTGGACTTGTTAAGAACTAAGGAAACCCTGTGAGGCTCGGTGGCCTCTGAGCCTGGGAGGTCGTTCGCAATTCCAGACTCCAGGCATCTTGGGGCTCTTCCCCTCCTAGGATCCCCTGAGAACACTGGAGATGGGCTCCATAGAAATGCAGAGACAAATAACATCTTTGCATAAGGTGGTAGGAATATGACACTGTACATCACACAGGCAGGTGAAAGTCACAGCCTCCTGGTGGCCGAGACAGCCACTCCCCAACCCTGCCATTCCCTCGTCTGTCCCTCCCCACTCCCACCCCAGACTTCTTTTTCAGCTGTTGGTCTCCTCCTGAACGTGGACTGTGCCTCCTGAAAGAAATTCCCACCCAAGCTGCTCGGAGTAAAAACACAATTCTTGTCCTGGCCTGTTTTTCCCCTTCAACTGACCTCAAGTGCATGTCCTCTGGCGGGTGGGTTTTGATTCTGGCAGAGGCAGGGCACTGTGGTGGCTGGAGACCTGGGTCCCAGTCCCAGCCCTAATTGGCATTGTCACTCTGGGATCTCCCTCTCTGGGCCTCAGTTGCCTCTTCTGTAAAATGAGGGGGTTGGGCGAGGGGGGTCTTCAGAGCCCCGTCCTGCTCTTACAGTCTCAAACTCAGTGGCTCTAATTGCCTCATTAGAACACCAGGGAATGCCTTTCTAGTAATTGTCTTCCTGGCTCCTGTCTGACCCACTCCCTACTGGGCGCTGCCTCCAAGGAAACAAAAGCAGCTGCTGTCTCCTCTGGGCTTTCCTCGGCATCCGCGAGCCCTTCTTGACAGCATATGTGCACAGGCATTCTCTGTCTGTCTTCCCTACTTGGTCTGAGGCCTATTTCTGAGGGCCAGGGAGGGCAGGTGGTGCCTCTTTTAAGCCCGACTCCTTTCTTTTCTGATTCTTTTGCTAGCGTAGCTGGCCTGTATCCCAGGTGAGATTAAAGTTTCATTTGTGACTCGCCACCCGACTCCTGGATTTGGTGAGAGTGCTTTACAAGCAACCATGTGTGTTGTGGCTGATCAAAGCGCTCAGAATCCAGGGGAAGGCTGAGATGGCTCCGGAGCAAATGGCAGTGAGTGGATGGAGAAGGTTAATCTCACATAACTGTCTCTGAAGAAATACACATTCAGGGATTCAACAGCTGCCCTTTAGAGATGGCCTCTTTGCTATGAGCCAGGAGATTCCATTTCCTGCATATTAAGAAGCAGGCACAAATAGAGTTGATAATGCAGTTTAAAAATTAGCTAAATGAGCTGTCTCTTATGAAACTCTTAATATGTTTAGGAGTGTGCTGTTCTTCTCAGGAGTCAGGAAACAATTTCTCTGCAGTCATCCAGGCATGCGCAATGCTGGCCAGACAAGAGATCAGACATGTGGAAGGGGCCTGGTAGAAAACTCAGGTCTAGTTAGAAACCAAAGAAATAAAGTCTGGAGGAATCCAGAATATCAGAGGTCTAAACACAGAGACACTGAGTCTAGGGAGACAGCCACAGAGGGAAGGGTCAAGCACAATTGGGGAGGTCTTGGCAGGTGGCAAATAGTGACCAGCAAGGCAGAGACTGTGGCCCCAGCAGACAGGAGACACTATAGTGATCTCTGATCCTGGAGAAGAGCAACTGCTGTCTACCCTTCTCAACTTCCCTGTGGCAGGTGGGTGGTCATGGTTGGTGGGTTTGTATTGAAAGCCAGAGCTTTGTGGGTAATAGCTGCTCCTGATTTATTCAATAGACTTTGTTCAGCCCTGTCATGTGAGGTTGAAGAGCATGGGTTCTGGCATTAGATGGAAGGGTTCAAATCCCACATCTGCCAGTTTACTAGCTGTTACCCTGTTCCTCAGTTTCCTCATCTGGGAATAATAATAGCAACTGCCTCCAATGGTGATTGAGAGGGTTAAAAGTGCCTGGAGTATTCCTAATAGATGGGAAGATTCAATAATTGTCAAATACCATTAATTTATTTGACATTTATTTATTGAGATATGGAATAAGAGCCAGAGGACAGAAAGATTCTTAACATACTTTAGCAGGCCTGAGAATCACCTGGAGGACTTGTTCAAATATGGATTGCTGGGGCCCAGCCCCAGAGTTTCTTATATACTGGATGTGGGATGAGGTCTGTGGAACATACTTTGAGGACCACTGCTGTATATCCTGTACGCAAGACCTGTGCACAAAAGAGGCCATTATTTATTTAACAAACACCTAAGTAGCACGTACCATGTGCCAGACTTTGTACATCTACACAATATATAGTGACAGGAATATTGACTCATTTACTTCTTAGAGCAACCCTCTGAGGCAGTTCCTATTATGCCCACTTGATAGAAGAGAAAACTGAGGCACAGAGAGATAAACAACTTGCCCAAACACTCTCAGGTGGTAAGTGACTGTGTTATAAAAAAAAACTAAGTAAGTGCCACAAGAGATGTAAAGATGCAAACCCTTCGATGGGAAGCACAGAGATTTCAGGGTTTCCAGGCAGTGTCAGTCTCCCGGGGTTTGGATTTGAACAGCTAACCTCTGCACACTGGCTTAGGCCCTAGTCAGAACACCCTGTTGTAGGTTCAGTGAAGGGAGCAGAGACTCTGGAGCCTAAACAGATTAGAGTACCAGTGCTGCCCTGTGTGAGCTGTGTGCCTTAAGCAGGAGGATTCAGCTTTCTGTGCCACATCCTTCAACTAAAAGAAGAAGAAAAAAGATGAAAATAATAACTTTTCACTAAGGGGTTTTGCCAGGAACAAAGTGAGGAAGCTCAGATTAAGTCCTTGAAAGAGAATAGATGCTTATGGAAGGAAGATTAGTCTTTTTCATGTTTTTCTCAACTCACTGGCCCCTCATCTTCTGTGCCATCAATGAAGGCTTTTGGTTGATGGTGATAAGTATTAATTTCACCCAGATTATCTTCTCCTCCACCTGATTTCAGTGTCTCTCTATCAATTTAAAGCATCTTAGGATGTTAGAATTCAAAAATACCTTAGATCATTTATTCCTGTGTATCCAGGTCACCTGGGATAAAAAAAAATTACTATTTTTTTGGCATCCTGTGATAGATTGGATTATTCTTCAAAAATATTCACTCCTTTCTGCTAACTTCCTTGGGAAGAACACACTTCCTCCCTCTAATATTAGCCTAGGCATTGTTTTGGCCAACTGGATGTTAACAGACATAATGTAGTAGAGGCATACAATGAGCTCGTGAATTAAAGCTGGCTCTTTTGCACCTCCGCTGTTGCCATGAGAAGATGTGCCCAATCTAGCATGTTGGTCCCTGCAGTAGGATAAGATACATATGTATTCAAGCTGAGCTACTCCTGCAGAATCCAGCTCTCATCAGACAACTTCCAGCTGACCCCTAGATGTGGTTGAGCCAACCAAGACCAGCAAAGCTATCTGGCCCAGGCAAGGTGAGTGGATGTCTGCAAGTCCACAGACTTCTGACCTAAATACTTGTGGATGTATGTCACTGAGACATTGTGGCTTTCATTAAGGGCTTGATGTTGGCTCCATCCCTAGATATCCTGAGTAACAGGTTGGAAGCCCAGAAATCTGTGTCTCTAAAAGTTCCCCCAGGTGCTTCTAATATTCAGCTAGATTTGGAAACCACTGATCTCATTGAATGCCCTCCTTTTTTAGAGGGAGAATCTTAGCTCCAGAGAATCAAACTGACTTGCCCAAAGTCTACAATACCTGGCAGGGTTAGTATTAGAATCCTTGATTTTTAGATTAGTTCTCTTTCTACTATATCACACTGTTCCCATTAACAAAAATTAACATGGAGGAAGAACTTTTTCATGTTCCCATAACTTAGATACTTTGAGTAGGAGCATTTCAACCCCATACTGACACCAACCCTTTGAAACCCATTGATGAAAGGAAATGCGTGACAGAAAAAGTATATTGACTTTGGTTGTAATTGTATTTACTGTGCCAAACGATTCAGCTCAAGTGAAAATGCCATCACTAGATCATGTGCTTTAGAGGGAATTTAAAGTACAGTATTCTTTTTCAACTTGGGAAAGTTTATGCTATTTCTGGGCAATTATTTCCTGCAGGAATGAAAGTATGTGTTACTCTTTCATCCTCTTCCTCTTGCCGCAGTTTCTCCTCATTAGTGGTCTCCTTCCTCTGGAGCTGCAGTAATACCCTCTAAGTACTGAATCTATTATAGCTGAAGTTCATTTTATAGACCTGACAGAAATACAGATCGGGAAGCTGAAATGTCTATCTCGATTCAGACTCAGATTCAGACTAGTATTTGTTGAGCACCTGCTATGTGCCTAGCTCTATGCAAACTGCTTTCACATACATTATTTTATTAAATGTCCAGGAATTGCAAGGAGTGGGTGGTTATATGCAGACTGTGCGGAAGGAAAAGACAAGAAAAGAGACACCAGTGGCTTGAGGCTGTTATTGCAGACTCCTCTTGTGACATTTCTCTATTTGCCAACACTCTCTTGTTTAATCTCCCCCATCTGTTAAGTAGTGAAAACTCAGCTCTTTCCCATATCAGCCCTCTAGCCTAAACATCACCTTTTCCCACTCTGTTTGCTATCCCAGGGACTACTTAGGTAAATAAAGCCAGACAAGGTGTTAAATATTTCTTGGCTCAACCAGGCAGAAATAGGGACTCTTTCGTAGTCTAAGGCTCTTACTGCTTCCTCTGTGGGTCATTACCCTGTCCTCCCAACTCTTCTTGCTACCTGTTTCTCCCCTGCATAATCTCTCTTACCCAATTCAACTTTAAAAATGCCATACCCCCAGGACCGCAACTCTTGAGGGGAGTCATTCACTGTCCATCCTTTATTAAATTTCCAGACTCCCACCAAACTCCCCCACTGTGCCCTGAACAATGCCTTCCGTCGCTTCTGTCTTATTTTTCTTTCCTGACTGGAACTGTAAACACACACACACACACACGTGTGTGCACACAGCCCCACACACCCACACATGCTATACTAATCTCTGCTTTCATGCCTTTCCTCATGCTTTCTTCCTTACCTCCACATTTAGATGGGTGTGAGCAATAGGGAATGGTGGGGAGCATGACAAACTGGAGATGGCACACGAGGTCTAAAGGGCATGGCCACCTCGAGGCCCTTGTGATTGGACACCGCCATGCCACAGTGTGGTCCAGTCTTGACATATCTTCTGCATTTTTAGATGCTAGAAATCTAGATTTTATATAAACTCTCCAGATTTTTAAGGATGTGGAAGAAAAAACAAAAGCCAATAAAAACTTTGTGCATCAAATAAGACAAATCCTGCTGTGTACCTTTTGCTATTCAAATCCCAAACTTAGAGCCCAGCTTAGGCCTTGTGTCTCCTGAAGCCTTCCTTAATTAACCTGACTGCTGTGCTCTTCCCTAATTCCTCCAAAAAGAGATAGCTGGATGGTTATAAGCACAAGGTCTAGAAGCAGAGCACCTGGAAGCAAAACCACCTACTTGCTGTGTGGCCTTAGGCAAGATAATTAATCTCTCTGAGCTCAATATCCTTATCTCCAAAAGAGTGAATAGCTATAATATCTGTTTCACAGACATGTATTAAAGATTAAAAGGGATTAGGGATATAAAATACTCAGCATGATGTCTGACACATAGTAAGCTCCCCAGTGAAAGTTAGCTATATTTATTTATGTTCTGTAACCATAGGCATCATCACAAAATGGTTAAAAGAGAGGGTTCTAGAGTCTGTATTCCAAGGTTAAAAACCTAGCTTCACCATTTTACAGCTTTTGATTTAGGGCAAGTTATTAACCTGTCTGTGCCTTAGTTATATCATCTGTAAAATGTGGACAGTAAGACCTACTGAGTTATTATGAGGACTAAGTAAATATCTGTAAGTCCTAGAATAGTGTCTGGCACATATTACCTTGTAAGTACTAAAGTAAACAAAATGTATTTGGTTGGTGCAAAAGTTATTGCAGTTTTTGCCTTAAAAATGCTAATTATGACATCATACATTGCTCTGAAATTGCTTCCTGTGTATCAGTTTTGTGTATACCGGTGGCCCATACACTAAAACTTTCAGAGCAAATTTGGCCCTTTGCTTGTTTTCATAAATAAAGTTTTATTGAGACACAGATACACCTATTTATTTAGGTATTGTCTATAGCTGCTTTTGCGCTTCAGTGGTAGAGCAGTGTGACAAAGACTGGCCTGCAAAGCCTAAAAATTTCCTATATGGCCCATAACCGAAAAGGTTTGCTGACCCCTGGTCCATATTACTAGAGTGTGGCTTTTCAGAGGTAGAGATGTGAAATAGTCTGTTTATATTCCTCAAGGTACCTACGAGATGGATGAATAAAAATGAAAATTATAAAATCTTGTAGTTGGTAATAACCTTGAAGTCATTTGGTCAACATTTCTGCCCAAAGCAAGAATATGTTCAGCAGTATCTCTCACAGGTTAATAGGTGTATAGGTTTGCTATTGTCAAACTGGCCAAAACTCAGTGGTTTAAACAATATTCTCATGTGTGAGTTTGGAGGTTGGCTAGGTGGCTCTGGTTCACGCATCTCTTATGCTCTTATTGGGACCTGTGGGCTAATCAAGGCTTTTTCTTCCCATGGAGATGACAGAAATACAAGAGGGCACATCCAGCCATGCAAGCACAATTCAAGCCCAAGCAGAAGTTGCATTATATCTACCAGATTCCAACTGGCCAAAGAAAGTCACATAATTAGGCCCAACTTCAAGAAGCAGGGAAGTAACTATTCACTATGAGGTCATGGCTGAAAGGCAAATGCAGTGTCGGGAAAAGAACTGGGGTCAATTATGCATTCTGCCATGTTAGATCATGGCAGAATGACCTAGTCAATTAGTTCAATCATGGAGGACACCATCTTGGCTTTATTTCTAGCATTTTAGCTGCATCCATGTTTCTTGTAGAGCATAGCAGCATGTTTTCTTGGAGTGTCAGGGACACATCTTAGCTCAAATACTTTTTCTCATCATTTGCTGTACCTGACAGCAACATGTGATAGCTACCATTCATGGAACACCTACTAATTTTCAGGTACTGTACTTGGTGTTTTATATAATATATTGCTTTTAAAGCTTGCAATAAGCCTTCAAGGTAGGTATTATTAATCCTACTTCTACCTGAGAAAAGTGAAAATCAGAGAGGCAAAGTTACTTACCCAAAGTTACACCACTTAAAAGTGACAGAGTCTGAATTCTAAGTCTGTTCAACTCCAAAGCCATCATACCATGTTGTCAATGTCACAGATTGGTGAGGATTTTATAAAGGGAAGGATGGCTGTGTGTGGAATATGGAAAGACAAGCTACAATTTATCAAGGGAAGAGCACTCCAACATCACGTGTTCCCCTCTGTAGTCTCAGAGCTTGAATACCCTACCCTGTGCCCAGTAGATGCTTAATTAAAAGTTCAGACCTCTGAAGGATTACTTCTGTTTTGGAAAATGCCATGCCTCTTGAGTCATTTTCATTCAGCTCAAGTTGCTCTTTTTTTTTTTTTTTTTTTTTTTTTTTTTGAGACAGTCTCACTGTGTCACCCAGGCTGGGGTGCAGTGGTGTGATCTCAGCTCACAGCAACCTCCACCTCCTTGGTTCAAGCGATTCTCCTGCCTTAGCCTCCTGAATAGCTGGGATTACACGTATGCACTGCCACACCCGGTTAATTTTTGTATTTTTAGTAGAGATGGTGTTTCACCATGTTGGCCAGGCTGGTCTCGAACTCCTGGCCTCAAGCGATCTGCCCTCCTCAGCCTCCCAAAATGCTGGGATTACAGGCGTGAGCCACCGTGCCCGGCCGAGTTGCAATTCTGTTCTTTCTAACCTTGTGCCAGTTATCAGTGTATTGTCTGTCAGCTCCAAATTCAGCCTTCTATTCCTCTTTTGACGTCATGGACTGCGGCGCTATTTCTCCTTTTCAGAGAGCATGATGTTAACCTTAGCCAGTAGAGGGCGCTGGAGGGACCCTGCAGGAGGAGGGGGCTTCTGGTTCTGGTGCACATCCTTTTCCTTCTTGATGCTTGCTGATGCATGGCCCATCAGCAGTGGCATGAGGGTGGGAGCAGGGTTTGGGGGTTGGGGGTGCATCTGTAGTTCAGCTCTGTCCCACCCATGTGTGCCCAGAGTGTGCAGTTCATTGGCCACCTTGCAGCCCTGGCCTGGGCCTGGTAACCACCTTGCTGTGGCCCTCCCAATGTAACTTTGTCCTCTTAAGGCTCACGTTGGGATGCCCCACCTACCTCTGTGTGCCTGCCCCCAGCATCAACTCACCTGCTCCCTGGAGGGTTGTGTCCCGCTTACTTCACAACTGTGAGCCAACTCTGGCTCTGGGAACCCAGCAAACTTCTCGACCATTCATGTTCTCTAGTGAGGTCCAATCCTGCAGTGGGTACCCTCCCTCAGCCCTAGAGTACCCTTCAGAGTGCTCCTTACATCTTTGTATTTACTCTCTTATCAGTAGTTTAATAATTTTTATATTAAACTTTCTCTGTTTAAATTACCGTGCAATTACTGTCTCTTAATTAAACCCAGGCTGTTACATACCTTGAGTCTAAACTTCCTCTTTGGTAACTCAGATATTCTGGTTATGTTGTTTTCTCTAGATCTATATACACTATATTTGTTTCCTTTCCTATTAACATGCTATTTGGTGCTTAAGAAGTACTTATTGAGATGACTTGAGATCACATACAGACTGGATAGATGTGTTTGCAAAGCCTTTTTATTTGAAGAGATTATGTGGGTTGTGAACTAGACTGTTGCTTCTCAACATGCAATATGTGCTAAAGGATCCTTTTTAAAATCTAATTTCTAAATTTGTCATAACCAATGGCTTTGTAATCATAATAAAGTGCTAGAAAATGGAATTTTAAAATGACATAGAACAGCAGCTCATTTCTTTTAGTATTAGACTCCACAAACATGTAATTACTCTATCAAACTGCTATAAAAGTTCCTAAATGTTTACCCTCAGTTTCGGTACTTGTGTTGCCGTGGGCTGGTAACACAGTCTGTGGACCACACTTTCAATAGCACTCATCAGGGCTGTTCCACCAATGCCAGGAGTCACACTGTATTCTACTCCCTGATTCTCACATCTAATCCTCTTGTTGCACCTTGCTTGCCTATGAAGGGGTTGCTTTACAACTTCAGGGAGACAGTGACAGGAGTCTCATCCATCCTCCAGTCTGTCCATGCACCTTCTCCATCCAGCACATGCTCCTACTCAGCATTACTTCCATGAGTCCGTCCTAACCTATTGTAATGTGGGTTTCTTTCTCATACCCACAGTCCCTCTTCCATAGATCAGATAGTAGCGGTGGCAATGAAGTGTCCCCGTATTTCCCTGGGCTCCAGGCCACTGAATTCAAAAATAGACACAGGACCACTCTCCCTCCCTGCTCCCCACCCATTATGTTTGCAGCTGATAAGAGCTAGAAGCTGAGGGTTATTTGCATATGTAACTTGTCTTGATAGCATGGATTGCACCTACTGGTAGAGCCAAAAGCCATGTGTCAGAGCTTGAATTCAGCCAATCAGGCAGGAAAATACAAATGAACTAGCTGTGAGGTCCAGCAAAAACACCATAATTGTAGCTTTGAATGTTGAAATAGAGGTGAGCTATAGTTCCTAATCTCTCTGTCCTTTTATTCTGATGTGGGCATAGCATCCTCCTGTCTCTTAATTATTGTCATTATACCAGTCTATCTAAAACTATATTTGTAAAATCCATGGTAATTTCACTGAGTTTATTTTCTCTGGGTTTGCATCCTGCCTTCCCAGCTCAGTTTGTCAGCCAAAGATTTATTCTGTATTCAGTAGAGCTTCCATCCCATTGTTGGTGTTCACTAGATTGTAATAGAAATGCCATGCCACCAAATTGTGAAGAGAAGGTGTATTACATTGATACTGCCCCAATTTTACAGATGCTGCTCAGTGCCAAAGAGCTTTAATAAAATGCCCAAGGTCACAGAGCAAATCCATTGTAGAATCAGGGGTGGAACCAGCTGTTGTGAATTTGGAGCCCACATCTCTTTTCAGGGTCTCAGACTGCCTCTCAGAGCCACAAGAGATACTCTTATCAATGTTGTTTGGTGGGTGTCCAGTTTACTGCAGTCGATACTGCCAAATGAAATCTTCAAATGCCAGAAGTATGCTGTCAGACAGTCTTCACCTTTATGAACTTCAGCGTTATAAGCAGCAGCAGCACAGACACAGCCAGGAAATCTATAGCCACAGTTAATGCTGATTGTTAAAAGTGTGTCTGCTTAGAAGTTGTTTTTGCCTGACAATGATTGATGCTAACATTCATTAAAACAACGGTGACAAAAATAACAAAAACCACAACCCACCTGAAACAAAATCTAAGCTACCAGAAAGGTGGTCCATGGCTTCTATAGGGAACCTGGAAATCATGTCCCAATTAACCCAACTAATCTAATACAAAATGATAGTCATGTTGAATATGCTGTTTCCAAACACTTCTTCCTTCCTCCTTCCTTTTTTCTTCCTCTTTTCCCCAGAATATTATGATGCCTTGCCCCTCACTCTACCCTCCAGTCATTGGTGTTGGGTCAAGGCCTGTTGAAGTAGGAGTATGGAGACCTGGATGAAAAATAATTTAATGTAAATTGAGAGCATGCATTCTAACATTTAAAATATACTAACTACTCAGGGCAAATACTGTGATGGAGTTTTAGCTACCTTCACCCTAATTCTTACACTACTCTTACAAGGCAAATTTTATAGATGAGGAAACCAAATCTCAGAGAAGGTAACTTGCTCATCATCTAGATGGTATGTGATTGGATTTCAAACTTGGGTCTTTCTGGCTCTAAATCTTATCCTTTTTCTGCCCTACTCCTCACCTTCCCTTTAAGAAATGGTAAGTTACATTAACTAGTAGTAGTGGCTTATTTATTTATCTTTAACACCAACTATTGGTGTTTGGTTGGGGTTGCAATAACAATCAATGTGAATTGGCCAAAATGTGAGCAAACCCTGGGTACTGAAAGCAGAAAAAGTTAAAATAGTTAAAAGTCAGTATTCTGACTCTGCTGTATAGGTTTTGTTTTTAGATTACCAGTTGCTAATCATAAAGTCAAAGGAAAATAAGAAAGGAATCCTAACTTTCCTGGCATTTTAAGTCATTTGTTTTTCCATGACTTTAAAGCTTGACTGTTGACATGAGAAGGAATTTGAGCTGGGGATGCTTTCTCGGTGAGATTGAGAAGCTTTTCTTGTTCTGCCTTCATCCCCTGTTCACCCCTCAATTCCATGGTGCATGAAATCCCAAATCCGTTCACTTTTTTACTAAATTAGATGGAGCAAAACAGATTTGGGAATTCATCTTGTTCATGGGCTTAGTGGATATCTTTGTCTGGGGATAATTTAATATAATGTAGAGACAGTAATAATCATAAGGATATCTTGAATATGTTTGATTTCTTTATTTCTATGAGATCATGGCATTACAAAGGCTTACTCGTAGAATACATCAGCACTTAATTCTTTTAGAATCAGTAGGCAGCAGTTAATGACTTCATTTTGCAGATGGCAAGACTGAGGCATATGGCCACATTAAAAGACCTGCCTGGGGAAATGTAGTCAATGATGGGGAACATAAGCCAAGAGCTGGAACTTCTTAATTCTTCATTTGATGTCAACTTAACAATACATTAAACTTGCAGATATCGCTGGCATTCTTTTCATTGCAACCATTTTAATTTCATAACAAATTTCTGGCTGAAATCTATAGAAGTATCATTGAAACAATATTTCTGTGGTGGAATTCTAACAGTGAGTGAGGTATATTCTGCTCCATCAGCAATGAATATGTGAGAAACAATATTCTAAATGAAGCCAAACAGAGCTTTAGCTTCTGTGAGGACACTAGGGAAATATGAGACATGATCCTACCTTAAAAATATTCAGGGTCTGATTTGAGAAAATAATTGCAGTCTCATGAAGTAATCACAGCACAAAGTATGTGGTGCTGACAAAAATAGCAAGAGGGATCAAGGGAACGTAGAGATTGCCTAGGAGATGGAGGGTCCATGGAAACAATAGTTGTTGAATCTTAAAGGGTGGAAACATTTCAGCAAGGACAAAAAGAGAGAAAGGAAGAACATCCCATTCAACATTTGTGTTGTACTTTTTAGTTGGGAAAGTACCTTCATGTTCGTCATGGGACCGATCCCTGTAAGAACTCTGTAGGAGATATGATGATTATTCTGCATTTACTGGTGAGGAGTCTGAAGCTCAGAGAGGTTAAGTAGGTGTTCTAAGATGACACGGCTTGGTGCCAGATTCTTGGAGGGTCATAAAGCCAGGCAGAGAGGAATTCGTGTTCTGCTTAGACCAGGAGTAAAACATGATGACAATGAAATCCAGGAGGGTTGGAGAGATAGCAAACAGAGAGATGAGCCAGGGATCTCCCCCAGCCACCAAAGCACCGTTCTACTTCTGTCATGTATGCATTATACTTGTTTGTTCTAACCTGTCCATTCTGGTCTGTCTGTCCCCTGACTCTGAGCTCCTGGCAGAACTTCACCTTTGATATCAGTCAGGTCCAACATAATGCTCGTCTTACAGGAGGTGCTAATAATATTTTGAATGAATGAATGAAGTAGCCATGGCTTTGATCTTGGCATGGAGTAATGATAATCTGGTGACCACAATGGAATCAGAGCAGTAAAGGTGAACCCAAGGGAACCAGTAAAGAAGTAATAGGATTATAAAGAAGGAGGCCACAGGGACATTTAAAGACCTCCTAATATTCTTTTTCTTAACCTGGGTGGGTAGATACATCGTTATTGTTCATTAAATGGGACCTACACATTCATACATTTTATATTTCAAAAATAAAATGGAAAAAACTGAAAATAGAAAATATAAGTAATATTTGGTGAGAAGTTTGATATGAAAGATAATGGAAAACAAAATAACCTCAAGTTTATTAGTTTGTGTATTAGTCCGTTTTCAGGCTGCTGATAAAGACATACCTGAAACTGGGAAGAAAAAAAGGTTTAATTGGACTTATAGTTCCACATGGCTGGGGAGGCCTCAGAATCATGGCAAGAGGTGAAAGGCACCTCTTACATCACGGCAGCCAAGAGAAAATGAGGAAGATGCAAAAGTGGGAACTCCTGATGAATGCATCAGATCTCATGAGACTTAATCACTATCATGAGAATAGCACGGGAAAGACCGGCTCCTGCTAGGTCCCTCCCACAACACAAAGGAAGGCTCCTTGCTACTTATGCAAATTTCTGCAGCCAGCTGGAATTTCTCCCCAGAAAAATGGGTTTTTCTTTTCTATCAAATAGTCAGGCTGCAAATTTTCCAAACTTTTATGCTCTGCTTCCCTTACAAAACTGAATGCCTTTGACAGTACCCAAGTCACCTCTTGAATGCTTTGCTGCTTAGAAATGTCTTCCACCAGATACCCTAAATCATCTCTCTCAAGTTCAAAGTTCCACAAATCTCTAAGGCAGGGGCAAAATGCCGCCAGTCTCTTTGCTAAAACATAACAAGAGTCACCTTTACTCCAGTTCCCCACAAGTTCCTCATCTTCATCTGAGACCACCTCAGCCTGGACCTTATTGTCCATATCACCGTCAGCATTTTGGGCAAAGCCATTCAACAAGTCTCTAGGAAGTTTCAAACTTTCCCACATTTTTCTGTCTTCTTCTGAGCCCTCCAAATTGTCCCAACCTCTGCCTGTTACCCAGTTCCAAAGTCTCTTCCACATTTTTGGGTATCCATTTAGTAGCACCCCACTCTACTGATACCAATTTACTGTATTAGTCTGTTTTCAATGCTGTTGATAAATACGTACTTGAAACCGGGAACGAAAAGAGGTTTAATTGGACTTATAGTTCCACATTGGCTGGGGAGGCCTCAGAATCATGGCAGGAGGGAAAAGGCACTTCTTCTTCTTCTTTGTTTTTGTTTTTATTTGAGCTGAAGTCCAGCTCTGTTGCCCATGCTGGAGTGCAATGGCACAACCTCGGCTCACTGCAACCTCCGCCTCCTGGGTTCAAGCTATTCTCATGCCTCAGCCTTCTGAGTAGCTGTGACTACAGGTGTGCACCACCACCACGCCTGGCTAATTTTTGTATTTTTAGTAGAGAGGGGATTTCACCATGTTGGCTAGGATGGTCTCAAACTCCTGTCCTCAAGTGATCCGCCATCCTGGGCCTCCCAAAGTGTTGGAATTACAGGCATGAGCCACAGCGCCCAGCCAAGGCACTTCTTACTCGTGACAGCAAGAGAAAATGAGGAAGAAGCAAAACTGGAACCCCCTGATAAACACATCAGGTCTCGTGAGACTTAATCACTATCACAAGATTAGCATGGGAAAGACTGGCCCCCTGATTCAATTACCTCCCCCTGGGTCCCTCCCACAACATGTGGGAGTTCTGGGAGATACCATTCAAGTTGAGATTTGGATGGGGACATGGCCAAACCATATCAGCTTCACACACTTAAAGGATACTGCCCTGCCAGAAATGGGGTACTCGGAGGCAGAGGCAACAAGTTCAGTTTTAGGCATTTTTAGGGGGCTGTGCACCTGCAAGTCAAATGTTGGAGCCACTTCTTCATCCTGGGAATTCTCTTATTCCCTTTGCTTCTAGGCCCCACTCCCTGAGGATTTGACTGTCTTCTTTTAAATATTAGCATCTGCTTGATGTTAGAAGGGTTGCTTCTCTCTCAAGACAGATTTGGTAGTTGAATGATCTTTTTAGACTCTCTCTTCATTAACGTTCCCCCAAATAAACTCATAGATACTTTTATTTAGAAATTTTATTGCTGACATCTGTAGAAGTATAGTTAAGGGTGAGCAAGATAAGTGCTTGAGGAGTTAAATGTTTGCAGAAATCTTACAAAACTGTGAGTAACAGTCCCAAAGTAGAGTTTCTGTCTCCTCTTCCTAGAGAGTTCTCAAAAGTTTCTCTTAGTTGGTCCTGGGAGACTTTCTTAGATTATTCTAAGTGATAGTCTAAGCTCTTCCTATATACAACTAATCCTGGTTATGTGCTTATGATGTGCCAAGCAGTATTCTAAACCCAATACCCATAGTATCTCATTTACACCTCAAAAACCAGCCCTAGAGGTATATACTATTATTATCCCCGTTTTACAGATAAGGATATTGAGGCATAGAAAATGTAAACACTGAGCTCCTAGTAACACAGCTAATTGGTGGCAAAGTTGAGATTTGAGGCCAGGTTGCCTGATTTCAGAGCCTGTGCCTACTTGTCTTTTAGTGTGTATGCTGCTCGGATGTAGCCCAAGAAGGGCTGAGGCAAGAAGCTTCTAGAAGTTTGCTGGAATCTGTGGTTCCTTTCTGAGTCATTCATTACAAGACAGACAACTTGGGCTCAGGTTGTCATTCCTGCCCTTACACATTCCTCTCCTAGGCTGTTGTGCAGCAGTATCAAAGATGCCTCCCTGTCCTCTCCTCTAGCTGGCCCCTAGAAATTCAGCTCTTGCCCCAGGCTCGCTCTCTCTCTTTCATGGAAAATCCCTTCAATATTCAGTTTCCCCAGATTTTTCCCCTGGGTTTTAAAATCATTCTGCATGGGCTTGCAATTATCTCTCCTTTGTCCTTCATTCACTTGTTCATTCAACAAAATGTTCAACAATATATTATGTGCCAGGTAAGATGCTAAGACTCCGGAGAATACATAGATAAATAATTCATCACCCACATCCTCCAAGCTATTCATAGTCTTCAGGATATATAGGCATAAAAACAAATTCAATTCACTGCAGTAAATGCTAGGGAGGAGGTATGTGCAAACAGTGATGGGAACATATTTGGAGGTTAACCATGTTAGGGAGTCAGTGAAAGTTTGCATCAGAGTTTACTTTGGATGGGTGGAACATTTCTGGATTCATCAAGATAAAGGCAGATCATTCCAAAGAGAGAAAAGAGCACATGCATAATATACAATGGCAGATAACAATGAATGTAAAGATTTAACTCAGTGATTCATTTACTCATCCACAAATATTTATTGTATATTTTGTGCAAAGCCTCGTGCTAGGTGTTCATGAGGCCACATAAATGTAGAGCTCCTTGCCCTCATGGAACTTTCTATCAAATAATTATTCTCAGTGAGGGAAGGCACTGCCACCCTAGTAGGTATTTGGAAATGTGAGGGTGGTTGTCACAATAACAATAGGCATTTAGTATCTAGATATTAGGGATGCTAAACATCCTGCAAGAAACTTGGAATTTCCACACATTGAAAACTACCCTTTCCCAAATGCCAAGAGTACCCCTGTTGATGAATGCTGTTGAGGAATGCTGTGAATAGCAGAAATTTCACACACATACATGCACATACAAACATACGCAGACACATATGTGTATACTTGCATGTATACACGTGTACAAATACACATGTATACACATGTACAAATACAGATGTGCCCACAGGATGAACTGGGATTCCCGATTTAGTCAGCCAAGGATAGAGAATGTACCAGAAGCAAATGCAGGAAATCTTGAGTTGGTTTTGGTTTCCCCTTTTTCCACTATAGTGTGTGTTGCTGGAGAGACACAGTTTGCATGGCTATGAACACATTCTCTAGTGGCATAAGTTACCATTCTGTGACACCTGATGACAATAAACTGCCACCTTCCTTTAAAAAAAATTATAAAAATTGGTTCTCCTGGGTCTTGAAGAAATCCCTCAGCTTCTGCAAGGCCACATGCTAATGAAGGAGAAAGCAGAGACAATACCCACATTTCCCTGCAATCTCTCTCTCCCTTGAGCGATTCTGTAACCTGAAAAACCCACTTGCCTGCGCAACCCTAGGAGAAACTAAAAAGGCAGGTTGGGCGAAATTTTGAAACTCCTTGGATTCAGTGCTGAGGATTTCAGACTTTACCTTGAGAGCAATGGGGAGCCACTGAAGGCTTCTAATTAGAGAAGAAATTTTTAAAACTAAAAAGTGGGTATCTTAGAGAAGACTTTTGGAATTTATATTTTTAGAAAAGCGAATCATTCTGGCTGGGTTGAAGAGGCGGGATGAGAGAAAGGGAAAGACTGCAAGTAGGGAGACTAACGAGAAGACTGTTACATTCTTCTGGGCATGAGATGATGAGGGCTTGAATTTTTGTTTAAGCAGTAGTTATGAGAATGGATTTGAAATAAATGTAGGATAAAAGGGAAGTAAACTCAGCTGATGATCAGCAGGTGAGAGAGAGAGAGAGGAGTTGAAGTTTATGGGGAAGTGAAAGTCGTGCCAGGCTCTGTTTATAAATTAATTCAGTTCTCACAACACTAAGATGTACATATTATCCCCATTTGTAGATGAGGAAACAAACTCAATATAATTAAATAACTGACAGTTTAACTCAATAATATGTGTAATGTGCCTCACTTCTGCTAGGTGTTGAGCTTACAAAGATGGGATAAAAAGTGGGGGTCATCCCATATTTATTTCTTATTTTCATTGCTTGGTTCCCGGACTCATATATTCTACTTATTAAAGCCACAGAACTATATAATGGCCATTGATTTAGAATGTTGTATTAGTTCTCTATTGCTGCTGTAAGCAATTATCACAACACAGGTGTGGCTTAGAACACAATTTTATTATATTGCTGTTCTGGAGATGAAAAGTTTGAAATGAGTCTCACTGGGATAAAATCAAGGTGTCAGCAGGGATTTGTTCTTTTCAAGGCACTAGGGAAGATCTATTTCTCTGACTTTCTAGCATCTACAGGCCACCTCTATGTCTTGGCTTATCGCCCCTTCCTCCATCTTCAAAGCCAGCAGTGTAGCATCTTTCAGTCTCTCTCTGACTCCCCTCCCTGCTGTGTCATTCATTTCTTTATTTGCCTCTCCTACCTCTCCCTCCTTCACTCATAAGGACCCTGTGATTACATTGAGCCCACCTGGATAATCCAGAGTGATTTTCCCTTTCCAAAGTCCCTTTTGCCATATAGGGTAAATTATTCATAGGTTCTGTGGATTTGGATATAGACATCTTGGGGGTAGGAAGGTCCTGATTCTGGCTACAAGAGATGTATCCTATGTTCTGGAGAATAGCCCACATCCTTGCAGGATGACATGCTAAGCTGTTTTCTTAGCTGTGCCTTCCAAGGGCCTTTCCATAGCTTTATCAGATTGGCAGCTTCTGGTGGGTGGGATGTAATAGGGAAGTGGATCCCATGGTTTCATGCTGACTGATGAAAGAGGCCAGTTCATGTCAGTTGGCCAAGTTGGTTGTTTGATAAATGCCTTTTACATCATGGATGTTCCCATAGGTCTATTTACATGAATTCTTCCAATAACTTCTTGTCCCTGATTTTCAGATCTTTGTACTTCCCAGGGCCATGATCGACCAGCCAAGCTATTCAAAACTGTCCAAGAGTCTACACATTCTTTTACCTTGAACCATTTCTTAGTCCTCACAAAGCAGACGGCCAGGTATACCATTCAAAGTTTCGTCCGATGAGAGGATTTTCTCTCATTGCTGTTTTTCAGGGCTGCAGAAGTCCATTTTGGTTTGCATTTACACACTGAACCAATTCATTTGGAAACTGAGCTTAGCGTTTTTTGCTCTGTCATCAGCTGAATATAAGGGACCCCACCATGGGATCATAGGTATGAGCTGAGGGGGAGGTGATGGTGCAACAGTGGTGACATGGGGGTCTGGGTCATGTGCTTGTACAGCATACTTGTGCCCTGTGACCCTGCTTGTGCCTCACCGCAGATGTATTATTTCAATCTTATCATGAATTGTTATTGGGCGTGTCCAAACTTATTATTCAGGGTGTGTATGCCAGTGCCAGCTCCTGATGGGGAGTTCTTGCTTCCTGGTCACATGATTCCTATGCTCAGACACTCAGTCTCCAAGGCCTAGGAATTGTTTTCTGGATAGTATATGCTAGCATACTAGGAATTGTTTTCTGAATAGTATATGATATAGTTTGGCTGTGTCTGCATCCAAATCTCACCTTGCATTGTAATAATCCCCATGTGTCAAGGGTGGGGCCAGGTGGAGATAATTGAATCATGGGGGCAATTTCTGCCATACTGTTCTCATGATAGTCAATAATTCTCACGAGATCAGATAGTTTTATAAATGGGGGTTCCCCTGCACAAGCTCTCTCTTGCCTGCTGCTATGTAAGACATGTCTTGCTTCCCCTTCACTTTCTGCCATGATTGTGAGGCCTCTCCAGCCACGTGGAGCTGTGAGTCAATTAAACCTCTTTCCTTTATAAATTACCCAGTCCCAGGTATGTCTTAATTAGCAGCATGAGAAAAAGACTAATACAGTATATAATTATACAATGCAGATGGCATGGCTTTGCTTAAGAATCCTAAGGGGTCTACACTGTAGATCTCTTATTGGGCCTTTTGCCGTATAGCTCCATGTGAAGAGTTTAAGCCAACTAAAAAGTTAGAGGAAATAGTTTCCACAAGACTGTTCTCACTTTTGACACCAACTGGATGTTTGAGGGGTTTCCAAAACTAACCTCAGTTTTGATAATTCAGTAGAGGAACTCACAGAACATGCTGAAAGTGATTACACTCATAGTTATGGTTCATTACAGGGAAAGAATACAGATTAAAATCAGCCAAGGAAAAAAGTACAAAGAGCAGAATCTGGGGAAGTACCAAACGTGGACCTTCTGTTATCCTCACCCTGTGGAGTCAGGACACATTACTTTCCTGGCATTGGTGTGTGACAATGCCCACAGACCATTGCCAATCAAGGAAGCTCACCCAACCTCGATGTTCAGAGTTTTTATTGGGCTCCATTATTTTTGGCATGATTGATTCATCTTAATCTCCAGGCCAACTGATACCATGTGACTCAAAGTCCCTACTCTAATTCACATTGTTCGTCTTCCTGGCATAGCCAGCCTCAACCCTAAAGTGTCATTAGCCCCATCCGAAACCACATTGTTACTGTCTGGCCAGCCCAAAGTCTCCATACGAACAGAGATTATCTCTCAGGAGCCATGGACAAAGGCCAGAGCTTATTTTGTGCAAGGTTAAATTCTTTGTTGCATACTACACATATTGGTTTTTTTTTCCTTTCGCAAATATCTCTATTACCACAGGAACTGGCAGATTGTAAGGCCCAAGACTGTAAGGCAGGACTGCTTCCCCTGCAACCTGGACCTGCTCTGGCAGCTTGCTGTGTCACTTAGTGAATGGACTGGAACAGAATATCCAAGTGTAGAATATGCTGCCTCAGGAGCACAAAGATGTATATGAGATGTTTTGCTCCCTTCCTCATGCTGTAGGCATGAGATGCCTTAATTCTCCCTTTAGTCTGGAGGGAGATGTTCTGGTATGTCCCAGGCTACTGGGCCCCTAAAATCTTCACTAAGGCAGGGGGCCCTTGAATCCTCATGGAGTTACTAATGCCTCTAGTCAACTTGCCACATACTGCTCGTCCTATCTGATTAACAAAATGTCATTGATATAGCCGCCCAATAATGTTGTGAAGAATGTCTAGATGGTCTAGGTCGTTTCATGTGATACCATAACAAAGGGATGGGGAATTTACATAAATCTGAGATAACACCATAAATGTATACTTTTTTTTTTTTGTCCTATGTGAATTCAAATGCATTGATCCAGATGTCCCCATCCTAGGTTTTAGGTTCCATGCCTTCCCAATTAAAGGTCTCTGACTTTGGCATAGCAGACTTGCTGAGGTTAAGAATTTAACCTTCACTGGAGCATTTGTATCCTTATACTTAAGTTCTGGTCTGATTATCAGCTTTTTCTGCCCCCTGGCTTTTTGTGCTGCCAAGTAGGCCTTCTGGCTTTCATAAGTCACCTTAAATTGGAGATAAAACATCCTTAGACCTTCATTGTCTTTCTCCATTGCACTGATGTCACCCAATAGGAGTCACTCAATTCCATAGTCCTTTTAATGGCCATTTCCCCAGCACCTCTCAAGCTCTTTAGATGTTGTATCTGCCAGTGAATTTTCTTTTACTACTATCCCACCATGTTTCACCAACAATTAAAAGTTTAAAAATTGTACCACTGAAGCCTGCCATGGAATATCTGTACTTCATCTACCAGAAGTGTTGGTATTTTTCTTGCCAGGCTGACACTCAGTTGGTCCGTCTTCAAAATCCCATTTTGGATTCGGCTTCCTAGGTCAACTCTTAATACCAACTCTCTGAGGTCTAATTCCCCAAGAAATAGAATGTGAGGCAGAGAATTTCTTGCTAGCATTCTGTTGATAAGAATTCTCAGGAATACCACCTGTAAAGGAGTGAGGGAAACAGGATTGGAGAAGGGGAGATGAACTGTGGTGAGGTTGTGTTACAACAGAAGCCTTGGCCAATCCTTTATGGAGCTTTGGTGTTTGATGGCCCCTCTGAGTTGTTCTCATTTGAGGCAAGAGATCTGACCCTCTATAGCTCACACCATCCTGTTATTAGATGCAGGCTGCCCTGGGGTTGGGACATACCCTTGTGGGTGGCACCTCTCTTTGGCTGAAGGCAATAAAGGGTTTCAGCTGTAAGCTGTCAGCAGTCTACATCTTGGCTTCTGGGAGAATGAGCACCTCAGTCCTGAATGAGAAGTCTCTGAGGTGAACCACAGCACCCTCTATACTCAGCTATATGGTCAGTAACATTCTAGATGTGAAGTTTCTATCTGGGTCTCAGAGTGACCATGTGTAGCTGACCAATGTTAGATAGGTTTCTCTGTAAGAGAGAAATCTTTGCTTTGTCAAGCCCTTTAGATTTTGGCATTCATTTATGGTCTTAGTATATTCTGGCCTTTTCCAGGCAATATATCATATATGGTAGCTATTATTATTAACATTTTTATTATTATTTCTAACCAATATATTCTATATAATAGTTGTTATGATTTTCAAATGGCACACAGAGAAGTTAAGTGACTTGATTAGCATTACAAAATAACTGACAAAACCAAGATTCAAGCTCAGGTCTGCATGACTAGGGAGCTCTGCATTCTTTTTTGCAATATCACATACTCTAATGTATTGGAGTACTTCATTAAAATGTACTCTACTCTGTGAAAATTGAAGATGTCCTTGAGATGGGTTATGCACTTTATCTTATCAGCCAATAATACCTACAAATGTGTTTATCCATACTTTTCTGAAAACAATTGAGAACAGATATTGATAGAGTAGAAGGAAGAAGACATGCCAAGGCCTAATAATCAAGGGACATGGAAAATAATCACATTGTGGAGCATAAAAGGACAACAAGAGGAGAGGAGAGGAGCAGCCAGAGCCTGACATAGCAGAGGAGAGTCATCTACTCTTTCTTTGGTCCTCGACTTGTGATCAAGTAGAGAGGTATTTTTGTGACCTCAGGGTAGGCAAGGAATTCTTAAACAAAACCCCTAATCACAAACCCTAATATTGATGGATTTGATGACGTAAAAATCAAAGGTTTCTGTTCAACACAGGGCATATAGACAATGTTAACAGTGGAAATAGAAATCTATATGTTCATTATCAATAAGAGGTTATTATCTGGAATTAAAGAAGATCATTGTAAATCAGCAATAAAAAGTAAGAAAAATGGGAAATAGAGATAAATAGGAAAAAGAGTAAAACTGGTTGTTTAATAAACAAATATATAACCAAAATACTCAATCTCAGTAATCAGAAAAACACAAATTAAAGCAACATTGAGATATCACTTTATATGCAACAGATGGACAAAAATTAGAAAGTCAAATCATATCAACTGTTGGCAAAGATGTGGGGATGCAGGCATCCTTCATGCACTGCAGGGTGAAGTATAATCAGAACAGCTGTTCTGGAGGGAATATGGCTTGTGTAATACAATTAAGCATGTGCATATCTCATAACCTAGAAATCCAGCTCCTGAGAATAGACCTCTGACAAGCTGGCTCAGACCTATAGCAGGCACTTAGGAAGATATTCATTGCAATGGTGTTTGTGGAATACTAAGAACAGGGTCAACCCTGTGATGTGTTTGTTGTCAGGGGAATCAATAAGTAAAACCAAGGCAAACACAACTGAAAACATTAATGTTCTTACCTCTCTCTGTGTGTCTCTCTACACATGAGTGTGTGCACTCACAGACACACAGCCATGGAAGGTGAAATGGAAGAATATACATTGAATTCTTTAGAGTAGAAGTGAAGGAAGATGTGGGTGATTAACTAAACTTTATGCATTTGAGGTCTTTAAAAAGAGAAAAAAAGAAGCTAATAAAAGATTAGCTATAAAATTGGTTTATATCAGTGGTTTTTGTTATTAATCCATGAACTAATAATTCTTATTATTTAGCATTACGTAGAGAATTTCTTCTGATTCCCACTTTTATCAGTCAGGATTCTCTAGAGGGACAGAACTAATAGGACATTATGTGTATATGAAAGGGAGTTTATTAAGGAGAATTGACTCACACGATCACAAGGTAAAGTCCCACGATAGGCAGTCTACAAGTTGAGAGAAAGGAAGCCAGTGGTGGATCAGCCGGAGTCTCAAAGCCTCAAAAGTAGGGAAGCCAACAGGGCAGCCTTCAGTCTGTGGCCAAAGGCCCAAGAGCTCCTGGCAAACCACTAGTGTAAGTCCAAGAGTCCAAAAGCTGAAGAACTTGGAGTCTGATGTTTGAGGGCGGGAAGCATTCAGCACAGGAGAAAGATGGAAGCCAGAAGACTCAGCAAGTCTGCTCTTCCCTCTACTCCTGCCTGTTTTATTCTAGATGCGCTGGCAGCTAATTAGATGGTACCCACCCAGATTGAGGGTGGGTCTGCATCTCCCAGTCCACTGACTCAAATGTTAATCTCCTTTGGCAACACCCTCACAGACACACTCAGAAATAATACTTTGCATCCTTCAAACCAATTAAGTTGACACTCAATATTAACCATCACACCACTCATAATTCCATCCAGCCTTTGGGGACTCTCTTTGACCAAGACTTTAATTAGCACTTTCTTAAGTGTTTTGCTCATGTGGTGACCCTCATGGCAGTCCTCTGAGGAAGAGACCTCATTTTATAGTTGAAGGGAAGAGGCTCAGAGATGTTGAGCTATGGCAGAATGTCAGTGGATTTGGAATTAAGGTGGATCCAACTCCAACAATTGCCTTCTTTCCTCATCACCCGGATTACCTCAAGTCTCTGCGGAATGTTGAACAAAAGCAGTTGTAATTCTTACAGCTTTAGAGTGCTTAAGCTGCTGATAGAAAAAAAAAAACCTGAAATTTTTATTTATTTATTTATTTTTAGTTTAGATACATTTCAACCTTCCACTGAGACCAGAGTCTTTTCGGGCTCAAATATCCAATGAACCACACCTGACAAAGTTCAAACTTGATGTGAGGAAAATGACTTTCTCTTTGAAAAGTGCTACAGTTGGCCTTTCAGCTCTTCAGCTGATTTCCCTTCTTAGGAGCTCTCTGTTAAGAATTAACTTGCTGGCCTAGAGAAATATGATCTTTATAATCTCCTCAGCGTCTAGTGCTGTTGTCTGTGTGTCCTTTTTGTGTCCTTTGTACTTTCCTCGAAACACAGATAGAATCAACCTTGGCTAGTGATTATCCGATACTGTTACAGGGACAACAGCGATCTGTCTAGTGCTTTACAGTTTGCAAAACGTTCCACTCACATTATGTCACTGCATCCTTGAAACAGTCCCAGAGGTTTCATTCTCTCCATTATGCAGAAGAAGAAATGAGAATTCTAAGACATCACTTGTTTCACCTGAGGAGTGCAGCATGAAAATTGAATCTCATTCTAAATCCCATGCTCTTTTCTTTAACCATGTCTCCTCTCATAAAAGCCTCAAAATAGTCTTTATCATTTCCAAAGCCCATTCCCATACTTTCACCCGTATCAATGCTTGCACAGTTGACCCTTACACAACACAGGTTTGAACTGCTTGGATCCAATTATATGCAGATGTTTTTTCAACCAAATGCAGTGTTTGCAGGATGCAAACCCTGCGTATATGGAGGGCTGAACTTTTGTATATGCAGGTTGACCGTGGAACTCAAGTATGCAGAGATTTTGTTGTGGGAGTTGAGGGTATGTGTCCTGGAACCAATCCCCTGCGTATGTTGAGGATGACTGCACAGATTGGATGACATGCCCAGCATTAGACCATTAACTGGGGTGGAAGGGCGGGATCTGAAGCTGGGGGCTGTGTCTTTATGTCCCCACCACTACAGAAAATTATACTCCTCGAGTTTCATGCATGGTGTTTCTAATGTGAATCAGAGATTGTGCCAATAAAATAATCCTTCAAGGTGATGAAGAGCACCACCGCTTCTGTGAGACTCTGAGGGTGAAGCAGACTTTTCAAAAGAGAAAATAACCTGTTGTAAGTTACTCAGTAGAGCCAGAGCTGCCAGGTTCAGCCTCTTTCTCAGTGACCCTTAAGCTGAAGAAGAAGAGTCCACCAGGGAATAAGTCATGAGCTCTAAGATAGAGGAGCCTTAATGAAGGTTCTCACAGAGCCTGATAAGACAATTGAGAGGTGAAAGATGGTCCAAGGGATCTGAATGAGTCAGGAGAGGATTAGTCAACGGTGCTTCCTATCAGCTGCCCTTAGTTCTCCACCTCCCTCTGGGCCTGCCTGCCTGCCTTCCCTTCCACATTTTTATTGTCCATTAGCACTTCCAAGGAGGGTGCTGGAGGAAATGAATACTAGAGCTGCTGATTCACTGCTTGGATGAGTGTAGATTTGGGGGTGTCTAGGAGTTCTTCCTCAGGCCTCTCAAAGTCAATACCCCCATATCCCCAGAATAGCTCTCCAGACCCTGGGGAAGAGTATGTTGCAAATCAGCCTCTGAGGATCTTCCCAGAAAAGATCCAGCCTTTAAAGTGAGTGACCAAGAGTTGGTCTTTCTTGGAATCAGAGGTAAGATGGAAAGTTATGTAGAAGAAGAATTAGTCACCAATGATGCCCTAATGATAGGCTGGGTGGCCTGAGAGGCAAAACACAGAGAAACTGTGCTTTTAACCTGTTCATGCTGTTCCTAACCCTGGTCTCTTATTTTATTTATAAATGCATATAGGTCACAGGGCGACTTGGTAGATGGAGTTTTGATAATTAGGGCCTCTGCTGTTAACCCTGGTGGCTAAACAACACTGAGCTCATATTCTGCTCACACTCTCATGGCATTATCTCTGTAAGTTACAAGACAACTCTGCCATATCACTACAGTATAAACCAATTAGCAGATCAGTCTCACAGATGGAACCACTGCAGTGTCCCTGGAATCTGTCCTCTCCTCCCTGTTTCAACAGCTGCCACACTAATTCAGATCCTTCTAACCAGGCTACACGCACCAGCTCTTACATATCCCCCTGCCCCCTGCCTCTTTCCCTTGCATCCACCCAGCCCAAGGTGTTCAGATTGTCTTTCCAAGGCATGGCTTTCTATGTGCCACTTATGGGCGATGACTCTTTCAGGAATCCAAATAGCTGCATCCCTGCCTCCTCTGGGCTTTCAGAATATTTTGTTTTTACTGTGTTACATAAAGACTTTCATCTTGAATCCTTTTCAAGCTGTTTTATAAAAATAAGTGAGCATGTGCATCTCTCCCCTTAGATAATGAGCTGCCCCTTGAGCAAGTCCAGCCTTCTGAATCTTGTGTGCTCCACAACCCTAGCTGGGTGCATGGCCCATAGGAGGGACCCAACATATGGCTGCTGAATCCAAATATTTTGTGTGAATGCAAGTTTTATATATATCTAAACACATGTCCTGTAGCTTCTCCTAGAGTAGGGTGTGGCAAACTACAGCCAACCAGCAACCAACTATAACCAAAAACAACTGCCTGTCTTTGTAAATAAAGTTTTATTGTAACACAGCCATGTTCATTCATTTGCATATTGCCCATGGCTTGTTTTGTACTACACCAGTGGTCCCCAACCTTTTTGGCACTGGGGACGGGTTTTGTGGAAGACAATTTTTCCATGGACTGGGGTGGGGTAAGGGGGTAGGAGGATGGCTCAGGGATGAAACTGTCCCACCTCAGATCATCAGGCATTAGATGCTCATAAGGAGTGGGCAACCTAGATCCCTCACATGTGCAGTTCACAACAGGGTTTACGCTCCTATGAGAATCTAATGCAACCACTGATCTGACAGGAGCCAGAACTCAGGCAGTAATGCTCACTCACTTGCCACTCACCTCCTGCTGTGCTGCCTGGTTCCTAACAGGCCATGGGCCAATAGCAGTCCATCGCCCAGGGGTTGAGGACCTCTGTACTACACAATAGAATTGAGTAGTTGCAAAAGAGATTGGCCTGCAAAGTTGAAAATTTTTACTATCTGGAACTTTACAGAATCTAAAGTATAAGTACTCTGAGGGCAGGGATTGTGCTTTGTTTATTTTTCTAGTCTACTTAGGAAGCACAGTCCACACTTATTGAATAAATTAACTGGTGAATTAATATTTGGTGAAGAACTATAATTCAAAAATTTGTCTTGTTTTAGATAAACTATGCTGGTTAACTACCTGAAAAGGGATCTATTCTTTTCATTCATTCATTCAATGATTATTTATTGAGCACCTACTATGTGTCAGATACTATCCTTGGTGTTGAGACAAATGGTGAGCAAAACTGACATGGTCCCTACTCTTATGGAGTTTAAGTCTTTGGTGGGGACATACATCATTCAAATGTCAAGTGTATAGTATTCATTGTAGTAGGGGAAGAGAGGTATATGGGCTGCTGAGAGCCTATTCCTTTGGGATTAGCTCCAGTAGGGAGGTCAGAGAAGGTTTCTCTGAGAAAGTGGCTTTGGAGGGATGTGTATGGGTTAGTTTGGCCAAGAGTTAAGGGAAGAGTGTTCCATGATAAAGGAGTGGCATGTGGAAGGCCTTGTGGCAGAAGGGAGCCTGGTGAATATGAGGAATGGCAGAGTAGGGTGGTGAAAGCCCAGAGAAAGGGCACGTGATATGGCTGGAGGAGAAGACAGTGGTCTGGTTGAGAGCCTTCAAGGAATTCTCTCTTCACCTTTGGAACAAAGGAGGACCACTGAAGGGTGAACAGGGAAGTGCTGCTAGTGGAAGGGGAGTGGGAAGAGGTGAATTTTAAGACAATTGTATTTTACAAAGATTATGCATTCTTTGGATGCAGATTTTTTGGTGACAGCTGCTTTCAATGATTGATTGCATATTTCTTAATAAATCAAACTCAGGAAAATAACAGTTATGTTCGTCTTAATGTTGTGATAGTAATACCTTGCATTTGTTTAGCTTTAAAAAAAGAACCTCCGTTTTCACATTTAATGCTATCTTTTATTAAGTATTGCACATATGGTACCACAAGCTAGAACATTTTAGCACAATCTACGGCGTCACCCTCCTGGTGAACTGCACACAAGATCACATTAATGGAAGCCTTTGGGCATTGGTTTTAGTTCCGGGGCTGATGTTTCCGGATCTTTTCAGATCGAAATCTCACAGCCCAGGCTAGCTGCTTAAAGAAAAAATGGGCTTAAAGACCTTGGCACTAAACCCTTCAGAGCTTGGAAGAGTCCCAGTAATGGCAACTTGCTGCTGCATTTTGTTCTCAGAGTTAGAAAACTAGTGATTTTTCCTAGCTCTAGTAATTTCCTCTGTGCTAATTGTTCTGTATCTAGGCACTCTTTTCCCTCCTTGGCTTTTCTTTTTTCTTTATTGCCTTTTACCTTTACTTAGTCATTAAAATTTCTTTCTGCTGTCTTGCCATTCTTTTTCCTAAAAATTTCCCTTTACTTCTCAGCTGCAGGAGATGCCTGCCTTACTTTTCTGGGAAGGGCTGGGAGATGGCTCATGAGACATAAGGTTGGAGCACAGCTGCTAGAAGCACAGGATAAGCCAGGACAGAAAATCAGGACAGAGCCCCCAGTCTTTGTTTGTTTGTTTTCCCTTTAATTGAACCAGGGTGGCTAGATACTTGGGCATGTCATATAAAATCATGAGAAACTACATTGGTAAACTGGGTCTCCTGAGAGTCAGCGGTAGGAGATCTGAGAGTGCTGCTGGAATCAGGAAACCACTTGGCCAATGTGTTCCTTTTTGAAGCAGCTGGATAATTATGAGGAATGTCATGGTTTTCTCTTTGGTGTCATCCTATTTCACATCATTTATTTTTTATTTGATTAAGACATTTGAATGAAACTGTAGCCATTATTCAGAAATACAGGGGTGTCTTTCATTTCTGAATCCAATTGTCTTTGCAATATTCACTTCAACTCAGACTTGAGCTGAGTCTAACTTAGAATCTGTTTTAGCATTTTAATTGCAATTAAATATGAAAGTTGAAAATGCTGTAAAATAACTGCAATAAAGATGCTGTAAAAACATCTTTTCTGTTTGAAAGATTCCCTTTGGGATTAAACTATCTCTCTGGAGGGTTTTTTTTCCTGGTTTTTTTTTTTCATTATTTATAAGTGTATTTGATGCTGAAATTTGATCACCAGATCTATACTTCTATTCACTTTTCTTCTTAGGCATATTTTTGTCTCATTATATTTTTTCTTTGAAATTTATTTACTCATTTATCATTCTTTGGTTCGCTAGGTTCTTTTTCACTCTAGCCATGATTTCATTAATCTTTTGGTCCAGAATGAAATAGTTGGCTGTAGAGGGAAAAAGGAGAGAAAAACAGATTCAATTTGGGAGCTACCCTGATGATCAAAGAAGAGATGAGATCTGTGAACCATGAAAGATAAGAACTCAAAGAGGTCTGATATTCATGACTTTGCTCTATGCTAAGTGTCCAGAATGTTGTAGTTAGTAAAATTACAGTAGACATCATCCTGTTCTGATCAAAACAAAACAAAAAAGAGACAGAAGGAAATGCTATTCTGTAAACTGGATTACAAGATTTTGACCAGGTCTAAAACTATTTAAGAGACTCAGATTTTTCTATCTTTCTCTAAGCAGATCTCATCTTGAATTGATTACATTTCCAATGTTTCTCAGCGTTAGTGAAATAAAAACAAATTTGCAATTTATTTTCATTTAAGATCCCATCTAATAAAAGGCAATTTTTGGTTACATAAAAATATAACTCTACCTATCTGGTTTTGGAATGCCCTGTGGACAGAATACATTGTTCCATTCTTTATATCAGGAGTGGTAATGCCAATTAGCTATGTACTATTAAGTAAACCACAGATGAAATGCTGCAAGCCTACCCCAGCCAGTGGGATAGAAAGTGAGACAAAGAGCTTTTCCCACCTTCAAGTTGGTTGGGATCAGCTGTTTGAATTATCTCACAGAGGAGTTAGAGTAACCGACTGATTCACAAGGTAAAAAAAAAAAAATAGTAGCGAATCCTTGGAGGATGCCATATGCTCTGTGCGTTGTGGCAAGCTGCTGACAGCATACAATTACAGACCTGAGATGCGGCACCACCCCAAAATCCAGTGGACAGGAATCTCTCCAGGCTTTTTAATCACTAATGGGGGCACACTCCTTCATTTCTGATATTTATCAGAAAGTGAATTAGTTAAAATGCAAATTCTTTCTGCCTGAAGAAGTCTGCATGTGGACTGAATTAATAAAACACGATTTAAAAAACACTGTGTTGAAGTTATAGTTAGAATCCTTCTTTCCTCTCTGCCATCATGGCCTGGAGACTCTAACCTCATTCTAAAGTCTGGGCCCTTTCAACCTAACCTATTTGACTGCAGCCCAAGTCTCAAATGAAGTTGTTGTTCCAGAAACTTCTTTATAAATATTCATCTCAAAAGGCAAGGGTGACAGTGTTGTAACAGGACATTTTTGCATACAAAGCAAGTGTATGAGGCCTGTATTGTTAAAGGCATTTTCACTTCCTTTTCTGTGTGCAGGAAATCCTCATGCCGGTAATTACTAGCTAGTAACATTGCTCCTGCAACGTGGAGCAGTTGGCCTATTGTACATGCAGTGATGGATGTGTACCATGTGCCGGCAGAAGAAGCATCTCCTTTAACAGCCATGGTTTGCTGCATATTTATTATGTATTATTATAGTCTTCATTGTAAGCTAGCCCAGAGTGAAGACTGCAGTGTGATTTCCATTGTAATTTCTTATTTTCATTCACTCTCAGCTTTGGGAAATGAGGTGAATTCGTTCATGAGGGCATTAAAGAACCCTTTTGTTGTACCGTGGCTATTCACCTGTCTTTACCTGACCCATGGAGCATAACTAGAAAGGCGCTAATATATATTTCTGAAAAATTGGGAGACAAATTCATGAGTCAATGATATTTTATCATGGCTTTTGCATTTTATTCACTCTCTCTCTCTCTTTTTTTCCTGCTGATAGTTCTCTCTATTAGCATGGAAATTTGTAGCACAACACAGCATCTCATTGAGTGCTCACTCAGGATCTGGTCTGCCTGCTAGTGATTGGACAAAACAACAGGTTAAAGAAAGGAGAACTTAGGAAGGCCAGGCTGAAGTGGGTGGGGGCTTTTCTGGCCATTTGTAACAAAACTCTTCTTATTTGATCATTGCTTCAGTTACTCTCTTTATCTCTTTAGGATTTTTGTCCATTGCTATTAATTCCATGTTTCAGAAAATTTAACTTGGTTACAAGGCTGTTGAACCTGAGAAGAAGAATGCACAGCAAACAGTGAGGTGCTGGATGGATGGATAGAAAGTGGTAACATAACCAGGAAAACATTTAATAACACCAGATGGCCGGGCACAGTGGCTCATGCCTGTAATCTCAGCAATTTGGGAAGCTGAGGCGAGTGGATCACCTGAAGTCAGGAGTTCAAGACCAGCCTGGCCAACATGGTGAAACCCTGACTCTACTAAAAATACAAAAATTAGCTGGGCTTGGTGGCATGCACCTGTAGTCCCAGCTACTCAAGAGGCTGAAGCAGGAGAATTGCTTGAACCCGGGAGGCAGAGGTTGCAGTGAGCTGAGATTGTGCCATTGCACTCCAGCCTGGCAACAGAGTGAGACTGCATCTCAAAACAAACAAACAAGCAAACAAACAAACAAGCAAACAAACAAACACACTGAGATAAGGGCAGACAAAACATAATGGTATGACACAGGACATGATTAAAATATGAACAGAATAACAACATTATTAGTTTGACTTCTAGCCAATTGGAATGTGGCTTTTTGAGCTCTCAGATGAGGCTTTGGTCCTCTATATCTGACCATGGTGCAGTGTTGCTGGGCTTCTGGAATTCAGGCTTTGGTGGACAGTAGTGGTTCTCAAAGTGTGATCTGTAGACCACTGACAGCAACATACCCTGAGAACCAGTTAGAACTATGAATTATTAGACCCCACTTCAAGTTTCCTGAATCAGAAACTCTGGGGGTGGAACCTGCAATATGTGTTTTAACAAGTCTTCCAAGCGAATTTGATACAGAACGATTGCTTCCAAAAAGCTTGAGAACCACTGGCCTAGGGCCTAGACACCAACATTTCAATCTTAAGATGTTAAGAGCTACTTAGAATTTAGTGCCCTTGACTTGAATTCTTGTTTATGATTTAAATGTTTTGTTACCAGCAATTGGTCAAACCAAAGGTGGAGAACCTCAAATACCAGTGTTCTTTTGGTTGTACTATCAGGCAAATGGGTGACTGACTTCCAGATCAACAGCCAGATGGCTATTACCTAATATGATTGTGATTTTGATGGCCATATTATCACTAGAAGAAGATGACAATTTTTTTCCCCTAGTTTTCTAAGGGAATTATCTGTTGGTTACTCTAGTATTGTTAACTAGACAACCAGTAGACTCTTCCTTAGGATACCAGTTTCCTTTTGTCTCGCTTTGTCACCCAGGCTGGAGTGCAGTGGCACCATCATGGTTCACTCCAGCCTCAAACTCCTGGGATCAAGTGATCCTCCTGCCTCAGCCTCCTGAGTAGGTGGGACTACAGGCACACACCACCATACCTGGATAATTTTTAAAAAAATTTGTAGAGACAAGGTCTCACTATATTGCCCAGGCTGTTCTCAAACTCCTGGCCTCAAGTGATGGCCTCCCAAAATGCTGGGATTACAGGCAGGAGCCACCATGCCTGGCCATTTTCATTTTCTGTGTGTGTATGCAAGTGGAATACCAATAAACACTGACTTTCTAATTTTTTTTTAACCAGTATATGTATGTAGAGAGCAAGTGTGTAATGTCTCAAAGAATGTATGATGTTATTGGTTATTTTGTACAATTACCACAGAGCACAAAATTTAGGTAAAGCTGCTTCCTCCTTTAGTTGTTTTGCATTTATTAAAATTTGGTAGTCTAGTGTACCTGTTATTAGTGACCTCTGCTGTCCAGAAGCAGTACTACAACCATACAAATAGATAACGGGAATTTGATATTGTCCTACCTTGCAAGAAGGAATGGACTTATTGCAGTTATATAGAAAGAAAAATGGCATGGCTTACTGAAACATTATTTGGCCCTATGCAAAGAAAAATTCACTGCAGTGATGCCTGATCTGTCTTGAGAAAAATTATATTGTTTTTCCTCCATTGTCAAATTACCAAATGTCACCTTTGATGGCACTCCTCAATAGGATAGAGAACTTTTTAGAATTAGGAAGTCAGCATGATATTCTAGCTACCAGGATAATTCTCAGTCTTTAACATGTGACATTATTACCTATCACTAGTTTGTCTCTGATCATCTGAAATTAATACCTTATAATTCTTAAAATAAAATAAAAAATTATTTTATCTACCTTTAAGTATCTTACCATGAATGGTGATATAGGGGGAACAAAGGTTCTTGATATCCAGTAGGTGATCAATATTTGTTCAATGAATATCTAAGTATTACAAAGTTAAGATGCTATATTGTAGCATCTAAGACAATCTTGATTGCTTCTCTAAAATGCAGGATCTGACCGGGAATTAAAGGACTGTCATTCAAATAATGGTATTTCCTTTTTTCTTGATGTGTAAGCTTTGCCAGTGAGTTAAGAACTTTAGGGACAAGTATTAACTATTATATGTTCCTTGGCTAATATTTTATAAACTAAGCCATGGGATGCTACTGCTATGCTAATAAATTTAGAAATATTTATTGAATACCTTTAAGGTACCTAACTGTATAGTATGGTAGGACAAAGATGAGCTTTGGAATCAAGCAAACCTTAGCACTGATACATGGCTCTTTTACTTATTTGCAGTCACAGACAAGGAACTTAACTACTCTGAACCTCAGCTTCCACATCTGTAAAATGGAATAAATAATACCTACTGTTACAGAAAGCTTCCAAAACAGGAAATAAGGCAGAAAAAAGATAAAGTTATCTTTTAATGCTGTGCTAATAAAATTTTCGACAAAGCCCACTTCAAAGCCATCTGACTATTTAGGGAAATGTAAATTTACATAATTGATTAGGTTCCATATATTTTACAATTCTGTAAAACTGCTGAGATGTGATAATACATATTTCTGTCCGGTGGAGAAAATAGCTCCTGTTAAATAAAATTTATAAAAGGCCATTCATTGGTTTGGGCTGAGCTCCGTACTAGGCCCAACAAATCAAACCAAAATGGTGTCACTCATGCTGTAGTTCCCTGCTGACATGACGAAACTAAGACCCTTATCTGACCTTCCCAGAAATCAGGAGAGAGAAGAGAGAGAGTGCGCATGCGCAAGATAGATACTAGCCAAATCTCCCAGCAAGCCAGTTTTAGCCAACACAATAAGGAAATCTCCTCTACTTTAACCTTTACAGGAAAAATAACTTTGAAATGACCTATCTGATTGGTTTTTCCTATTTCTGCTTTCCTCAGCCCTTTTCTGTCTATAAAACCAGGCTTCTCTGCTGGGCTCACTGGAATACTTATTTTACTTTACAGAATGAGGTGTTGCCTGACTCTAGAATTGTAAATAAAAGCCAATTCAGATCTTCAAGGGAAATTTGTTTTAATTATTGTCTTTTGATTCCCCCAAATTATGGGTTTATTGCCTTGTAGGACATTAACTAATTTTGCAACTAACTTAGCAATAATTGCTCAGCATTCTTTTTTTCCCCTCTCCCCTACCTGGTGCCCTATCGTTCTTGTTTTTCCTAATTCTTTTGAACTGAGTTTGTCATCCTGCTAGTTTTCTTAATAATGAGTTATAGAAAATTCAATACATGCTCATCATATATTTGTATAAGAAGAAGAATGTTTTGAATATTTTGAAAATTATGCTTTGACATACTACCTTCAAGAGTTTTTGTCCAAAGTGAATGAGAACACATCAGGGAAACCTCTTAGCTCAGTGGCTGGCACAGAATATGTTTATTTATTTTGCTATTTCCTAAGTTAAAGATGTTTACACATGGTTCTTGCCCATGAAGAAGTAAAGCTCTAGCTAGAAAAACACAATGATAACCTGATGGGGTTCAGATCATCCTACCCCAAAATATGGCACCCTGGCATTTGAGAAAACGGTAGAAGTAGGAAGAGCACTCTCCTGTTCCCCTGCTCTTTCCCTTCTGAAGAAGGTCATAAGACCTTCATTCAAGAGGTACTCTTTCTACTGCAGAGGAAAAGAATATCCTTATCCTCAAAGACACAGATATGCTTCACAGAATCTGAATAAAAAGTCTGGGTGCGGTGGCTCACGCCTGTAATCCTAACACTTTGGGAGGCCAAAGTTGGCAGATCACTTGAGTTCAGGAGTTCGAGATGAGCCTACCCAACATGGTGAAACCCTGTCTCTACAAAAGTACAAAGATTAGCTGGGTATGAGGCAGGATAATTGCTTGAACATGGGAGGCAGAGGCTACAGTGAGGTGAGATTGCACCACTGCACCCCAGCCTGGACGACAGAATGAGACTCTGTCTCAAAAAAAGAAAAAAAAAAAAAAAGAATTGGAATAAAAAGTCCTTGCTAAGTCTCCCCCAGTTTATTGCCATGTCATACCTGCTTTGTCCAGTCATACTTCCCCGAGACTGTTCACTCTTCATCAAACCTAGCATGGAAATACACAGGTTTCCCTGATTTGGGGGGTCTTTATTTCTGAAGGCTCCCATGTTATGTAAACTTACATTAAATACATTTGTATGCTTTTTCTGCTGTTAATCTGTCTTTTGTTATTGGTGTCTCAGCCATGAACATAACGTTGGGTGATGTTAAAATAAAAACTTTAGGAATTAGATTTAACGGAGTTTTAAGTGAGCAAAGAAAAATTTGAGAATTGGGCAGCCCCAGACCAGAATAGGTTCAGAGTGACTCCAGGGCTGCCACATGGTCAGATCACATTTATGGACAGAAAAAGGAAAGTGATGTACAGAACACAGAAGTGAGGTGCAGAAATGGCTGGATGGGTTACAGCTAGGTATATGCCTTATTTGAACCTGGCTTGAATAGGTGGCTGCCCGTGGTTGACTGAAGTTTGGCTGCTGTGATTGGCTGAGACTCAGTGTTACAAGAATGGGTTACAGGCTGTTTATATGTCATGGTAGGTCACAGTTCACTATGTACAGATAAACCTTCAGTCTGAACTTAAAATATGTGTGGAAGCAGCTTTAGGACAAACTTAATTTAATGGTGAGAAAATAAATCTTTTCTTCCCTACACACCTAAGAGGTAATGGGAGAATGTTTATAGACTGGGCTAAGAAGGGCCCACTCTGAAGGCAGAGTTCAGAGAACAGAGAGATCAGGGCTGCAGAAAGTTATTAGCGAAGATCACTGCATGCACTTGGATTTGATAAGGCTGATTCCTATGGGCTCAGGAGCATGCATTTTAAATAAATATCCCTGGTGATGTGGGTTATAATAGTTTAGGGGCACGATAACATGGCAGAGAATAGAGAGGCTAAGGTGCCCCCCAAACTAACATTTCGAAAGTGAGGATACTTGATGACAGACAGGATATTAGGGTTGAAGGAGAACAAATCCTGGAGTCAAACAGACTCCAGCTGTTTGAATACAGAGGACGAATACGAGGTATGAATCTTGGATCAAAATATCCAGTGTGCAAGAAACTTACATTTTTTTTTTTTTTCTGTAACTAAACGTATTTTTTATTCAAAGTTGTCTGTCTGCCAGGATGCAGAAGCCTAATCTCTGACAATAGGAGAGATCCTAGGGCTTTCTTAGGCTAGTCATGTAGCTACAACTTGTTGTGTGTTTGTTCTGGGCGTACCCACTAAGGTCCAAGGAGCCTACAGAGACCCAAAGCATTAGTGGGAGGAGGTGGCTGGACTTTTGATTTGTGCCATTATCTGCCAGGACTGGCATCTGCTGAGTTGATGAAAACCTAGTTGGTTTTCATTTTGGGTCTCCTTAACCACTAGGGGTCTACAAACTTCTCAGAGGCTGGTGAGCGATTTTCAATATTTTGCAAGGTTTCCTTACCAGGTGTCATTCTCCCATTCTTTTCTGCCAACTGAATCCTTTTTCTCCCAACAATCCAGACTCTATCCTAGAGTTCTTAACTCAGGTCTTCCTACAAAGACTCAGGAAGTCTTTGAAATGTAGATGTATCTTCTGGCAGTCCTTTGAGAGCTCAGAGACCTAAGATCAGCATCTCTGAGTGGCTTCGTTTTCCTTTTCTGCATTTAAAAGTGAAGGCTTCACCTGGGGCTGGTGCAAATGGCTTAGGTGGGGGTAGAGTGTGCTTTAGTGGATGCAGAGTTTTTCTCTTCTTTTCACTTTCCCAGCCCTCCAATGTAAAAGATTAAAAAAAATTATTAGAAGTAAGTGGAATAGAATGGGGAAAGTAAAGCAAAATGCCTTACCCTGGGGCCAGGAGAATTCTTGGGGGAAGAACAGGTTCTAGTAACATTTTGAATAAAAGGGATCCTGGCTACTAGTATTTCAACCTTTTCCCCCATCACTCCTTCCTAACCCTTATCTCCATAAGTGTCTACCTTTGCTGTACAATTTAACATCAGAGGTTCTGTTCCCACTTTGTTTCTAGTCCTTGTCCAGCTGGAAGAGGAGGCATTATTCTTTACCCAGAGCCTATTAATACAGAGCACTGTGTAAGAAAGTGGGCCCCCTGAGGTCCTCATAGCTGTGGTAAGTGGGACAGATGGAGGGACCTCCTGCCCCTGTCAACTGAAGAATCACGAGGTTCATAAATGTGGTTTATGGTTTATGATGTGGTTTATAAGGCTTATCTCTTATAAAGGGTTGGAGATTGCAGGATGACCATCCTACAGGCTGGGAAGTGTAGCCTCAGGCAGAAACCAGAAGGAGGCATTTCAAGGGAGGGAAGAGTGAGACAGGAATTTATGCTGAATGGATTGACAAAGGAAACACATCCAACAGGTTATAGGAGGAGCTACTAATATTCACAAAAGATGCACACTTACATGTATAGTAAGCAAACATGTATGTTACATATGTCCCATGTTCACTTTGTGGTGTAAACTTAACATTTAAATGCATTAAAATTAGAATAGATATAAAGTGAAGCAGAGGACATAGAGGCATCCTGTGTCCTGCGTCTGTAATGAGTCCAGAATGAGTCCATGGTGGATGGTCTCTTATCAAAAAGGAATGCTGGTCAGTTGTTTTGAAACCACAAAAAGGGAGGGGAGGCTGGCTGGGCTGGTTGCTGTTTAACTCTTAGGAAAGAAAGTTCAATATCAGTTAGCAAGTAAGTGGGTATAACAAATAAGGTATATCTAATCTCCCATCTCATCATGGCTGGGAACTCAGTTTTTAAGATTTCTCCAGAGTCCCCTTGGCCTGAGAACTGATTAGTTGATTGGGATGCCTAAGATTTTATTTTTATTCCTCACCCCACCTTTGATGGCCCTCTCTGACTTGATTGTGATAAGAGGATCCCTGATCCAATTTTATGTAAAGAGAAATGTTGCGAGCCTCCCAAGTTGGGATTCTGGATGTATTTTTCTGTGGCAACTTTGAAGCTTTGCAGATGTAACTTCCCCCTGAAATGCCCTTTCCCACTTAATTATCTGGAATATTCCTAAGGCCTCTCTGTGAGCCTTCTCTGCTATGTGTCAGGGTGTCCACCTACCCCTTCCCAGTAGAGACCATCCCTACTGACTTTACAACATCTTCACACCTTGAGAACACTCTGATCAAGGCTTTATTTCTCTTATTGCAAATCTTCATTTATTTCAAGATATGTTTATTGAGTCCCCATAGAGAGATAGTGAGAGTATTACAAGGTTCTGGCTTCGCAGTCAGACTCCCTGAGTTTGGGTCTCAGTTTTGCCTCTTATTACTTGTATGATCTGAAGCAAGTTGCTTAATTTGTCTGTTTCATCCTCTGTAAAATGGATCGAACCCAGAGTATTACTATGTATTAAATGATTTAATATGTGTAAAGTATGTGTGAATTCTTAACATGTAATGCTATTTAATAAATGCTAATTATTTCCCTGTGTCAAATATTTTGTTTGAAATTGTGTGCTTTTTGAAAAACTATGTCTTACTCTTTGTTCACACCACCAATTCCTAATACAGCTACCTATCTATCTATCTATCTATCTATCTATCTATCTATCTATCATCTATCTATCTATCTCTGGTGAATGAATGAATTAGTGACAAACATTTACATGTTATAAGTAAAGTTTTGGTGCCGCAAAAGAAATAGCACTCGAATATAAAATTTTCTTTTTAATTCTCAGCAAGGCAATGTACTTCTATAGAAGGGTGTGCCCTTACAGATGGAGCAATGGTGAGTGCACACTTGGACAAGGGAGGGGAAGGGGTTTTTAATCCCTGATGCACGTGGCCCCTGCTGCTGTGTCATTCCCCTATTGGCTAGGGTTAGACCGCACAGGCTAAACTAACTCCGACAGGCTAATTTAAAGAGAGTGACGGGGTGAGTGGTTTGGGAGGAAAATTGGTTATGGCAGAGTAGGAAATTGGAATGAGTCAGGGTGGAGAATGAGCAGGTAATCGGAATGAGTCAGGGTGGAGCAGGTAATTGGAATGAGCCAGGGTGGAGTAGGTAATCGAAAAAGATTGCTTTACGAGAAAGTTAAGTTTAAAAGTAGAAGGCAAAGAATTGAACATACTGACATATTGATTCTTTGAAGAGAAATTTAGAACTCATATCTAACATACATATCATAATCCCCCATCTCCTAAAACAATCATTTCATGGTTTACACATTCATTCTATGATCACTGCTTTTAAGACAAATGAGATAACTGATTGGAGCTATTTTTTTGCAAAATGCTTGTCTTACAGACCCATCAGTATTAACTATCATAAGTTAGTAGTTTCTTATTAATGCATCAACAATATCATTATTATCATTATCAATGCTATTGAGAACTTACTATAGGAAAGAGGGTGGCTCATGGCCGCCACCCTTATAGCAAAAGACAGATTAACAAGATGAAAGCACAACAAATTTACCTAACCAAATTTTTACATGACATGGGAAACTCCAGAAATGAAGAACCAAAGACCCAGGGAAAGCTGTGTATTTTTATGAAAAGTCATGTAGGGGAGTGACTGGAGGACAAAAGGACGTGATCTAATGGTAATAAACTGGGGAGAAGTCTGCAAGGTTTGTTTGCGCAGATACTTCTTGGCATCTTTGCACCTTCCTTTCTTTCCTCTAGGTGTTTGGCAGGACATCTGCCACATAAGGGTCTAAAAACCTAACTTCAGGGAATAGAGAATTTCTCTATGGCTGTGTTTCAACAGAGAAAGGTGAGAGAGTCAGAGAATGACCCTTCTGCTTTTGTGGTTTTTCTCAGTTTCCTTAGGCTTAAATGCCAGAATGCCAAGATGTCCTACTTTGAAATAGTGTTCCCTGCACCCCATCATTACTATATGCCAAGCACTATGCCAAGCCCTTTATGAAAATTATCTCATTTAATCCCCACAACAACCCCAGGAAGCACTTATACTTCTCAGGCCCACCATACAGATAAAGAAGAGTAGAGTAACTAACTTGACCCCAGTCATACAGCCAGGGAAGGCCAGGTCACAGTTTAGATTCACATGCCTGACTTCCAAGACAGTATTCTTAATTGCTTCACTCAACTAACTGTCTGCAGGTAAATACTATTACATTGTTTGCCCATTTAAGTTGTTGGCAACAAGCCACCAGTGACTGCAGAAAGATAGTGAGGGGACAAAGAGCAGAAAGAGTGAGCTCCTTGAATTGCCTTGAAATTTTCGTGGAGTAGAATATTAAAACGTGTTTCACTACCAGTGGGTAGGTGGCACAGGATTTGCAGGGACAGTTGGGCTCAAGTCCTTATTCTACTATCTCTAAATATGTGGCTTTGAGCCAAGCTATTTAACCTGTTGAGCCTTGACTTTGATGGGACTCAGGACATGCGACCTCAAAATATGGCACATTGGCACTTGAGAAAACAGCAGAAGTCGGAAGGTCACTCCCTGAACTTCTCCTGCCCTTCTTCCTGAAGCAGGTCATAAGACTCTTTTTCAAAGAGTATCTTCCATATGCCTGGAAAAAAACACCAAAATCCCCCCAAAAACCATCCTTATCTGTGAAAACACAAGGACACAGAGAAGAATCTGAACAAACAGGACGTGTTGAGTTCTCCCAGTTTATCACCATTCTCGTACCCCTTTTGTTCAACCATATTTCTCCACAACTATCCATTTCTTCATCTCTACATCTCATCAACCTGCATAAAAATACGCAGGTTTTCCTGTTTTTTTGGGTCTTCATTTTTGAAGGCTCCCATGTCATGTCAAGTTCATTAAATAAATTTGGATGCTCTTCTCTTGTTAATCTGCTGTTGTTGTTGTTTTGTGCTTTTTGTTTTTGCTGCAGGAGCTCAGCCAGGAACCTAGAGATGGAAAAGAATATATTTCTTTTCCCCTACAACTTTTTCATCTGTAAAATGGGAGTGACAAGAAGCTACCCCTCAGGGTTGTATTGAGACATCATTCAAATGAAAGTATGGTAAAGGGCTATCTGCAAAGACTTGTTTGCAGAGCTGTTTTGTATTCTATTTTTACCTTCCATTTCTACTTCATTAAAAATTAACTATTGATAGGAATCACTAGGAGGGAGGACCTTTGAGCATGTTCATCGTTTGTTGCTGCGGACACCTACAGAATCCAACCCAAGGAATTTCCCATATTTGAGGCATCATGGGATCCAAATCACCTTTGACATCATGGAAGCTGCCTCCATAATGCCATTTGGTTTATATTTAATTTTAAAATTAGAGTGCTGTCACTGAGTTTATGGGAAAAGAACAACACTGAACTAAAAGCCAGAAGATCTGTAATCTTATCCTAGCCCAGTCAGTCATTATCTCATTGGCAGACAAATCATTTAGCTACTTTGGGTTTCCATTCTTTAATCCAAAAGTGGAGTCCTATTTCTTTTAGTGAAGCTTCATGGTTGCTGGGGGGAATAAAATGAGATTACATGTGCAAGGGTTTTTGAAGCAGAAAAAAAAGCACTATGTAAATTAATGTAAGGTTGGAAATATTCCTTGCTGTTCAACCAAGATTAAAACCATGTATTCACTTATTCCTGTGACAAGTCTTTCAATATCTACAATGTAAACATCATACTAGACATTAGAAGGGCACAATTCCAATTGCAATTTACTGCGTGGTAAAGAGAAGGGGGGATAGGTACATAAAAACTATGAAATTAGGCAGACTGGTACAATGTCTTCTGAAGGTGTGAGGCACAAGGTATGGAGAGGGAGAAATCAAGGAAGGCCCAAATGGTCTTAGGGCTGAATCTGAAAGGTGAATAAGATTTCTATACTTGGAGGTGAGAGAAGCAGAAGAGAAAGGACTTGAATTAAGGAAGAAATTGCATGGCCAGACCATGGATATAGCAAGGGTAATTTCCCTGGCCTGGAATCACTGGTGAAACAGCTAGTCATAGAAGGGGAGGATGGTTAGAAAATTGATGATGTGAATAATTTCTTTTTCTAGTCCAGAGATTTTGAGCAGTGTTTTGAAATGTACTTATCCCTTCTGCTCTTTTCAGTGGACAGATATGTGCTACTGAAGAGCTAATCAGCTACACCTTTTTGGCTTTGAGGTCCTTATGTGCCATACCTAGGCCATGATGCCCCTAAAAGGAATCTTCATGGGTGATTTTGTCCCCCAGAAATGGTGTTTACTGTTATTAGATGTCAGCATTTATAAACAGTATTAGTGCAAATGGGCTCAAAAGAAATGATTATGAGAGATTTTCTGTTATGAAGGTAAAGAAGGAGAAGCACATCAAAAGGATAGATCCCTTAATATTCTGGGAAGGATTTATTTGCTCATTTCTTTCCCCATCTATTGCCTTAAAAATGAGAACTTAATGGGGGAAAAGAGGAAGTATAAATATGTCCATTTGGCTGGTTATAACAAGAGGGAGATAATAAGGAGTGCCAGGAATCTCAGTGAGCCTAGTCATCTAGGCGAAGTGGCTGTAACTTGGACACAGATGATTATTGCCACTCAGAAATGCAGGCTTAGTTACCAGATGTGGGAGCGTGCTTACAAAAATGGCTGCAATTGCTTATACCTCCCAATATCCACTCCCTTTTGCAATGAGACTTTGTAGCTCCTCTCATCAAGGGGTGAAATCTGCTTCTCCATCTTTTAAACCCAGACTGGCCTTGTGAATTACTTTGAAAATATAATGAAGTGGAAGTGACAAGATTCACTGTGTGAAGTTCATGTATGCTTCCTCTGACTCTCTTGGCACCCTGACCAACTGCCATCTGAACAAGCCCAGGCCAGCCCTACTGAAGGATGAAAGACCATATGGACCAGAGTTGAATGAGCTCAGTTTTAGTCTAGAGATGGGACGGTGCCCAGCCAAGATCATCAAAGCCACCTACCCAACCTGCAGCTGACATAGAAGGAAGCCCAGCCAAGGCTGGAAAAACCACCCAGCTAAGCCCAGCCCAAATTGCCAATCAGAAGAATTTTAAGCTAAATAAATTGTTCAAGCCAAACGAAACATGTCAGCAAACTGAACCCAGCGTTCAGGCTACCCATTTGTATCTGTGGTCTACCCTTGCATATTCTCCCTAAACTGTCTATAGATGTGGTTAGAATCTAGTTAGACTAACAGTTTGCCATTCTTTCTTTCTCTTGGGAAATGATCACTTTCTAGCTATTTCATAATCACCCCTCTTATTCTTCTACTTCCGTTGCACTGGGCTTTCTCTCTTTGTTTCCTAATCTGAGACCATCTCCAGTTATTGAATCCCTAATTCCCACTCTAATGCAGGACTTGTCCTCCAAATCCAGCTCCCTGCGGTTCCTCTTCCCATCCGCCTCTGAGGCTGAGCATTTAGGCGCCATAGATATCATCATCTTATAAATTACAACTGAGATGAAAAGTACGTGGATGAATAGGGTTATCATCATTGGAACGCTCCTCTTAACAAACCCAGGAATCTTTTTGCATGGTGATAGGGCACCAGTAAAATGTGCATCAGTTATGAAATTGTTCTTGATAACCACTTTAGATAAAATGGCTGTTGTCATTCAGACAATTCAGACAATTTAGACATTTCATACTGTATCTTCCTGTATCTTTTCTTCCTTATGCTTTCTCTCCTGTTCTCTTGGCTATCAAGCCCTTATTAGGTGTGTATGAGTTGCATAGACTCGTGTCCCTTTTCCTAGTTTAACATTACATCGTTTTTATGTGTTCTGCTAAAAAAAAAAAAAAAAAAAAAAAAAAAAAAAAAAACCCTTTTTCCGTATAGTCTTTGTTTGGTTTTGTAAAAAATATCCCAGCATCTCTGACAGAATAGTTTCTAAGTAAAGCTGATGTGTGTGTTTATGTGTGTGTGTGTGTGTGTGTGTGTGTGTGTGTGTGAATGTACAGAATAAAATAAAGTCTCAGTTTTAGATGTCCCCTTATTGGCTTTCTGGGCAGTGTTTCTGTGGAAAATTACATTTTATATTGAATTTGAGAGTGAGTGTACTTGTGTTCCAAAGCTCATGCCACTCTTCAAGTAGTGCCTCCTGCTGATTTGTAGGACATACCATTAAATATTTGAATTTCTTTTTAAAGGCACATTACCTCAACATGGCATGACAGTATTCTCTCTTCTTTGGTGACTGACTAAAATAAAATTCAGATTGTAGCTGAAGAAATATTAAGGTTGTGTTAGCTGATTACTTACATATTGAGACATGGCTCAAATTAGAAATTATATGACAGCAGTCCTGATTCTCATTAATGTGGCAGATCTGTTCCCAGGATGCATTTGCAGAGATGTCACGATGGTGGAAGACAACTCACTCTCTGTTACTCATATTTTGATCTTTATTAACAAAGAGTTGGTTTCACATGTTCATGCTAAAAGATTGGTTTATTTACTTCCCCAAACCCAAGTTTTTGTATTTGAGTTTTGTTCTTTTCTCTCTTTCTCTCTTTTTTTTTTTTTTTTTTTTTTTTTGAGACGGAGTCTCGCTCTGTCACCCAGGCTGGAGAGGCTGGAGTGCAGTGGCACAATCTTGGCTCACTGCAACCTCTGCCTCCCGGGTTCAAGCAATTCTCTCGCCTCAGCCTCCTGAGTAGCTGGGATTATAGGCACTCGCCACCACACCCAGCTTATTTTTATATTTTTAGTAGAGACAGGGTTTCACCATGTTGGCCAGGCTGCTCTCGAACTCCTGACCTCTGTTGATCCACCCACCTCGGCCTCCCAAAGTGCTGGGATTACAGGTGCAGCCACCGTGCCCGGCCTCTTTTCTCTTTTTTAAGGCTTTCCTTTCAGTTTTGTGAACCTAAAAAAAAAAAAAAAAAAAAAAAAAAAGCGTTGCCTGCAGTGTGTAAGGCTTTCCACTAGTGCTTTCCAAGGACGATATCACTGTCATCATCTGTGTTTAACTCACTCATCCTCAGCTAAAAAGCTCCTCTCCTCTCCCAGTAGAGGAAAAGTGCCGTGTTCTTGGGCTAGGTCAGAAAGGAGAGGTATAAACATTAGATACTAGAAAAGCTCAGATGAATGTTTGCAATGTGATTTTAAAGAGAGCAGCCCTCTCCTTTTAAGTTAGATCTTAGAGGGAAAAAAATATATCCTGCACTGCATACAGATATAACTGAAAAAGGGCCACAGAAGCAGGTGAATATGCACGGCATGAGGGCTGTGAAATGGAGGCCTGCGATTGTGTTGCAGCTTACGTTGTTTAGGGTGAGGGAGACGATGGCAGGCTGACTTTAGTGTGAGCTGGAACATGGATTTTTCTAGATCTTTTTTCCAAGCCTTTTCCATTAGTGGGATCAGCCCTGTTTCCAACAGTTCTGGGGAAATGGGAGAGTTATTTGGGCTGCGTGCTTTATTGACTAGAGACCAAATGGGGCCACAGATGTCATAATTTCCCTATTATCACTTTGCTGAGTGCTTCCTGGCCTCCCTTCATTATCTTGCTCCACATTCACAGTTGTAAGTGCCTTCTTTATAGGATCCAAATGGTGTTGACTCCCTTTGGCAGTGCTTGTGCTTGTGGGGATCCAGTGGGAGGACGTACAGGAGCACGGCTTCTCTGGGCTTCCAAAGTGGTTAACGTGGAACATTCTGCTCACCTCTCTTCCCAGCTTGAGGAAGATTTCCTTCCTCATAATACTAAGGCAACTATCTCAGTCGTTTGCTTTCCCTAGGCTAGAAGAGAAAGGCATAAACACTGGAAAGTGGAAGGCACCAAGAGGGCTGTGTGTGTCCTACCAGGAAAGGTTATTAGACAACATGTAGCCCTTGGGTGGGAGGGAAATGCAACCCAGGATGGCTTTCCAGGTGCGTGGGGGTGGCAGGGCCGTGTGGCCCGGCAGAGCAGGTCAGGCAATCGGTTTTGCGTTTCTACTCTGAGTTTGAGTCATTACTGGCAGGCTTTTCTTCTCTGAGACTTATTAAACAGGGCCTTAGAAAGTTGTTCTTTCATAAAGGAGGCTTTCCCTGGCACCGGAGGCAGAAAATTCAAAACAGGGATTTCTGACAGAATCCTTGATAACCATGGTACAGATTTCGTTATTTTCTTCATGGCATGTATGGCTAAGTTCTCTGGAAACTAATGAGGGTGATCCCAGCTTTTTTTTTTCCCTCTGTTCATTGCTGGTAATGTGAGCTGTGTGTATCCGTGAGCAATCTTTTGCTCTAAATGGTATAATTTCTGCACTCTTACCACAAAGGCCGCATGAAATTCAGGACCTAGAACAGTGCCAGGCTGACAGTCAAGCCTCAAAAATAAATAGCTCCTGAATGTGTAGACGGGGAAAAGAAGTATATTTTCCTCCTCATCACTAGGTTCATGGCTAAGGCTCCTATAACAAAAAACATATTAAGAAGAGAAAAGCACATACATTTACTTAGGTTTTACATGACACAGAAGCCTTCAGAGTCACAACCCAAACAAATGTCTTTCTCTTGCTAATCTAAATTTGGAAAGGAAGGGACAAAGAGAAATCTTTACCTCCCTCTCTTCAGCAAACACTGCAGACAGAGATCCAGGATATCTGACCTTGGTAAGAATTCTTACCTTTCATCGGCTTTTTGTCAGTTATTTTAGGATTTATCTGCATGCTCCGAAATGAGTGTAGTCTTAGCTGTCTCTTCATGGTTGCCAGAAACTGTAGGGGAGAAAAGATTTTCCTCAACTATTTTGGGGTCCATGCTGGGTCTGGAAATAAAACTGACAAAGACAGATGAACAGGAGAAAGACATACATGTATTTAATAAGCTTTATATGACATGGGGGCCTTCATAAGGAAATGACTCAAAGGAACAGGTAAACTTATGTATTTTTATGCTTAGGTTTGATGAAGAGGTAAACTGTAATGGAGAAATATCCACTGGAGAAAAAATAAGTATGATTTAATGGTAATAAAATTGGGAGAACTTAGCAAGGCCTGTTTGTTCTGCTGCTTCTTTCTGTTCCCGGTGAGGCAGACATTCCTTTCCTCTGGGTATAGGGAGGGCATTTCTCCCATGAGGTTTTATGACCTGCTGTGCGTAGAAGACCAGAAATTCTTTTGAGATTTTACAACCTGTTTCAGAAGAGAAAGGAGAGAGTAAGCCAGAGAGACCTTCCTGCTTCTGCAGTTCTCTCAAATTCCTTCATCTTAAAATACTCAGTATGCCAAGGTGCCGTGTCTTAGCATAGCCTGCGTTGAGCCCTGTCAAATGGATGAGCGAATAAACCTGACTCCACCATGCGCCAGTTGGATAAGTCCCAAATTCCTCATCCTTCTGAGCGTGGATCAGTCTAGCAACTTTGTGAGCATTAAATGAGATCCCGTATTTAGAAGCCCCTAAGGGGCCCTAGCTTGTAGTAGTTAATCATTTAAAGTTGTGTGTGTGAATGCGTGCTTTTCCTTTGCTTTCTTTTCCTTCCTCCTGGGTTTGTTATAAGCTGCTAAGGGAGTAACGGGTGCAAATGTCCTGAAACGTCTATGCAAATACACCGTGGCTTCATTTTCATTATCTGGTGGGCCCAGGTGGAGAAAGGTAGACCCACAACAGCTACTAATATGACCCATTTGAAAGGCTTCCCATCCTCTGACAGGCAAATGAGCGAGAGAAACACAATGAAGTCTGCTTAATGGTACTTTTGTCAAGGCAGTGGGACAAAGAGAAGGGAAGCTCAGCATGTTCAGGGATTTAGCTGGGGATCCTTAGATACTGTGCTACCTGCATTGCTTATGATTTTTCCTTTTTTAAAAAATATTGATTGGCCACAATGAACACTCAGGACAGAAGAGGTGTGACCTGCATCCTCTGTAGAAATTCATAGTCTGTGAGTGATAAACCAGCAAGCAAATAGAGAACAAGCAAGTTTGAACAGAGTTGCATTTTTTTAAAGCTCTTCAGAAGACTATTCGTTTTCATCCACTTTCTGTTGGCATGATCATAGAATATTTAAAGTAGAGAAGTATTTGTATGCATGTGTTTGTATGTGTTTATGGGGAGTAAACAGGAAAATAAGGAAAACACTTCATTCATTCCAGCGGGGGAAGAAGGAGAAAACCTGATCACAGACTGGACAGGCAAGAAAGAGCAGAGGGAAGCTGAGAGTGTGCACAGAGACTGAGAAAAATGAAAAAGCTCCAGCTTTTAGGAAAGAAGTCAAGATGAGGACTTATCAAAAGAGAAAGCGACGGTGGACACATGAACAGCAGGAGAGGAGAGAGAAAGGCATGGTGGATGCACATAGCAGGGGACACGTCATAGCCTCCTGGGGGAGAGCAGGAGTCTGTAACCAAGAACCGAGAACCGTCCTCTGCACAGGGAGGGAGGTGTGAGTGGGAGACAGGCAGCAGATGCACGCAGCAGGGAGCAGAGGGGCATCACAGATCAGGGGAAGCAAATAAATTAGGGAAGAAAAAGACCTGTTGGGTCATTCCTGGGCTCCCCACTACTCCTAATGCCTCTGAGTTCTTTTGCCTAGCATGTATTTTTAAATGTCTCCTGGATTATCGTACCCACTCTTTTCTCTTCTAAATGTTTTGCCAGAGGATGAGGTTTCTTTCCACAAGATCTAGTTTGCTGAATATACATGCAGAATACCTAAAAAAAGACCGGGAGGAAAAAAAGACAGAGAGAATCCTGAACCCAGAAACACACACCTGTGTGGTAGCCATTAAGTGAGTGCAGTGTGCCGGGAGGTGCGTGCTGCCTGAGCCAGGCACTGCTGCTTTCTACTGCAGGCCCTGTCTACAAAGAGAACTATCCCAGATTTCCAAAACGCTATTTAGGGAGCTAGTTTGGTCTTAATTTTGTAGGTAGGGTGGGGGTAAGAGAGAAGGGATGAGAGAGAAAATAATGTGAGAAGGGGAAGAGATGGTGGAAGAGACAGGAAAAGCAGGGTGGGAGGTGGAGGATGCCACTTCTTCAAGGGGTTCAGAGTGAAATAGGGGTAGAGGAGAAGCATGAGGGAATATAAAATCTCATCCCGTCATTTGGTGGCTTTTAAAATTTTGAGGCCATGATCTATTGTCAGAAGCATTTCATAGTTAGCACAGTGGTTGATATTTGGCAATGTCTGGAGACATCTGTAGTTGTGCCAGCTGAAGTTGCGGGGAGATGTTGTGGGCATCTGGTGGAGGCCAGGAATGCTGCTGACAAATAATGATGACAGTACAGCCCCCCACGACAAAGATGTATGCCTAGAGCCTAATGCGGCTGAGATGGAGAAGCCCTGAACTCATAAACACATGTATGCACACATAAATAAATCATAGATTTCAGAAATAATAACCCTTACTCCATGCAATGTCTTTTTTTTTTTTTTTTTTTTTTTTTGACAGAGTCTTGCTCTGTCACCCAGGCTGGAGTGCAGTGGAGCAATCTCAGCTCACTGCAACCTCCATCTCCGAGGTTCAAGTGATTCTCCTGCTTCAGCCTCCAGCGTAGCTGGGATTATAGACATGCACCACCACGCACAGCTAATTTTTGTATTTTTAGCAGAGATGGGGTTTCACTATGTTGGCCAGGCTGGTTTCAAACTCCTGACCTCTCGAACACCTGCCTCAGCCTCCCAGAGTGCTGGGATTTCAGGTGTGAGCCACCACGCCCAGTCGATATTTTCTATTCTAGCTAATTCTGTCATTACACAATGTTGATCACAATTCGTAAATAGATGCCTTGATATACTGTTTGAAAAATACTGTGGAAAGTGATAGAAGAACAGAAAATCCATGGCTCCTTGAGGAGTGACTTGTGTAGCCATAGGTGCTCAATTATATCCCAAGACCCTATTTTTTCCTGCTCCACTCCCTGCCTCACTGGTGGGTTCCAGGAATACTAACTTCTCCTTCTGCCTCTGGCTTTAGTTTTCTGTTTAGGATGTGCCTCTTCTGGCTCTGGGTGTGGCTGGGTCTTTCTCAGCATTTGGATCTTACTTGTAAATTTTATATGTCTCCCCTCCAGAGTGAAGATTCTGGAGAATAAGAATCGTGCCTCTCTTCTTTTACATTTTATTTCAAGTGCTTAGCACAGTAGTTGGAACACAGCAGTCATTCAACAAATGCTTGCTGGAAGCTTCTGGGTGAATGAGTGATAAAATACCCATAGGAAGACACTAAGGAGAGAGTAGAGTCAAACTCTGTAATGCAGTATTCCAAGGGGAATTTGGAGATCAGAAGATTTCTGCCTACATAGAATATGACCAAAGTGGATCCCAGGGGCATGGTTAATATCTCTCGTTTGCTTTTTCACTATCTCTTTGTGAAGCACACACTTTGAGCACTGCTCTTTTAAGGAAAATGCTAGCCCATTCTTTTCTACACGTACCTGAAGGGCAATGGCCTTTGCAGACGTTTGCATCCTACATAGTAGTGTCATGATGTGAGCTTAATTCATGGCTCCATCTGACCCGTTTCTAATTAGTAAAATGAGAAATCCTTTCTTCCTCCATGATGGATTTAGACAAGACATATTTTAGACATTTGCCGTGACTGGTGTCTCCTTCTAAGTAGACAATGGCAAATAATCCCTCGAGTAATACAAGGAGGGCACTGTTATGAGTTTTTATTTCTTCATTTTACTTTTATCGTTGAATTATTGAACTTAAAGTGGAGGAATGGCCTGAATCTTTTGGAAATTTTTCCTTGAAACATTCTTATTTGGAAACTAGGGTGATGCTAAGACATATCTCATATAAGAAAGCCTTTAATTAATGTTGAAAAGTGAAAACAGGGAAGTCATTGCAAAGTGTGAGTGTGTGGACTTGGATTGCACTGAACAAGTAATAAACCTAAGGGCACATAAACAAAACAAAATCCTCTCTTGAGGCACAAGGGCTCTTGAAGTGAACATACAGTTTAGCTTTGCTTTGACCCTTGCCACTCAGCTTGATAATTTTCATATTAGCAACTCTTAATACCAATTTAGAAAAGGTAGAAGGTCCTGGATGGAATTCTTAAAATGGAAACTTCGTGTATTCTTTTTCTCCTCTCTCAATTTTCTCAAAATTATGGGACCATATTTATGTCTTGCTCTCTCCCTAGCTAACCCCAATTTACAGAATGACCTTGCAGATGCCTGGAAAAAAACTAGCACACAACATGCACTAGCCCTGTTTGTTGATGTGATTCAGAACACTGCAACCTTTCCTTCTGCTACCTGGGCAGGTCAGGAAACTTTCTAATCTTTATCTTTTGAGAGGAACATTCCATTTTACAGATTGCATGCTGATCTTTGAAACCAAATAAGGTGAAATGGCTGCACCTCTTTCAAACTAAGAGATGAGTGCCTTGAAACCATATGAGAAGCACGGTGAAGGGGAGGACAACAGGCACCATGCAGAAAGTGAGACATGAGGTTTCAGTTTGTAATTAGGGGACCATAGAATAGCACGGAATGTTTCCGGGCATTTAAGGAAGACGGGGCTGCACTTTGGGAGGCTGAGGCGGGTGGATCATGAGGTCAGGAGATCGAGACCATCCTGGTTAACACGGTGAAACCCTGTCTCTACTAAAAATACAAAAAATTAGCCGGGCGTGGTGGCGGGCGCCTGTAGTCCCAGTTACTCGGGAAGCTGAGGCAGGAGAATGGCGTGAACCCGGGAGGTGGAGCTGCAGTGAGCCGCAATCGCGCCACTGCACTCCAGCCTGGGTGACAGAGTGAGACTCCGTCTCAAAAAAAAAAAAAAAAGGAAGACAGGGCTGGATTTAAATTCTGCACCTCTGCATGCATGAGTAACTTTGGCCTGTCCCTTAACTTCCCTGAGCACTTGCTTCCTCACATGTAAAATGAAAGCTATTGCGCCTTCATAGAGCTGTGAGGGTAAAATGAGGTCACCCATGAACATTACTTACACAGCGCCTAGTATACAAGGAACACTCAACAGATACTAGCTTTTCCATATTCACAATCTACTTTGTACCCTAGATTACTCTGCTTCCCCAGGTCTTTTAGAGTGAACATTGGCGTTAAATAGGTATTTTGTATTTAATACCTATTTAATAAACCTTGTTCAGGTTAATTACTGAATAAGTAATAAACCCAAGGGCACATAAATGAGACAAAATTCCCTCTCAAGGTGCAAGGGCTCGTGAAGTCAGCACACAGTGTAGTTTTCCTTTGACCCTTGCCACTCAGCTTGATAATTTTCACATTAGCAATTGTTAATACTAATTTAGAAAAGGTAGAAGGTCCTGGACGGAATTCTTAAAATGGAAACTTTTTATGTTCCTCCCCTTCTCCTCTCTCAATTCTCTCAAAAGTGTGAGACCATATTTATGTCTTCCTCTCTCAGATGTGATGCTATAGGGTGTGGTCACAAGGACCTGAAATGAGGAAAATTGAAGGAGAATTAGGAGGTGCGGGCAGGCAGTGAGTTTAATTTGGGATGTGTCAATACTGAAATGCCTTTGAGTCTTTCGAGAGGAGAGGTAGCGATCAAAACTTCTGGAGAGATATCAGTTTGGAAGTTGTTAACAACTGGTAACAGGTGGTAACTAGTTAACAGGTGGTAGTAACTGAGAAGAGTAAAAGTAGCTCCTTGAACCCTAAGGAGCGCCTTTTTTAGTAGGGCCAATCTAAAAACGAGGTGCTCTGGGAGACTGAGACAAATGATACAGGAGAACCAGGAGAGATTGTGGGCACAGGTAACAAAGGAAGAGAGAATTTCAAGGAGCGCAGAGTCATCAACACTGCCAGGTACAGCAGAGTAGCCTGGAAAGACAGTAAAAACTATCCCTTAAAATGTTTTACATGTGGAGCTCATTGGTGAACCTGATGGAAGCCTTTCCAATGACACAGCAGCGTCAGAAGCCAGACTGCTGAGGGGAGAAGGGAAGGTGAGGAGGTGGAGGCAGTGAGTACCATTGCTCTTTCAATAAAGAGGGTCACAACTTGAGAGGGAGGCAGGGTCAAGGGCTGATTTTATATTCTGAAGGCAGAGGCTTGAACATGTTGAAAGCCTGCTGGGAAGAGAACCGAGAGAGAGGAAGAGGTTGAAGACATTAGAAAAGGAGAGTAATTTGGGGAGAAATGGAAGGAAAAGGGAAAGAATCGGATTAGGAGAAAGAGAGGAGGAAGGGTTGGCCTTAAACAAGAGGAGGATGCCTCACCCTGTGGGATTGGAGGAAAGGTGGTAAGGGTGGGTGTGCAGGTGGAGAGATTTGAGATGAAAAGGGGTGGTGAGGCAATGGACGCATCACTAATCATTCATTTTATCTTTACTCATCAAGTGTGGTGAAATTGTAGAATAGTCATTGAAAGCTTTTTAACGATTTTTAAGGTTTTTGAGGTTTTTAAGGTGTTGTCTTAGCTCTAGGCCCCTTGCTCATATTGTATTTGTCCTGCAGGTTCTTGGAGGCCTCCACAATGGTTGCATCCTATTGAGGTTACGGCTCATACCTCTAACCTATGGCTTCTGCATCCTTTACCTGTTTTCTGTTTGTTTGTTTTATTTTGTTTTGTTTTTGTAGCCATCTGTAAGCATTTAGGGACGTAAGCTCCACTGCTTTTTCAAGAACAACATTCATTCAGGAGCAACTTTGTGAGCCCTGTTTCTTGGTTAAGTTGGTCACGGAAATTACATAGTCCCAATCCTCCCTGCGCTTCTGTTCTGGTGAGGGTAATAACAAAGCTATAAATTACAAAAGATGGTAAGACTTGTGAAAGTAAAGCACAGGGTATGAAGATAGGGGTCTCTAATGGTCTGCAAAGTCAGAAAAGGTTTCCTTGAGGAAGAGAGATTTGACCAGAGAATTAGAAAGTAACTAGGCAGAGGGTGGGTGGGCAGGCTGTGTGGTGGGGCTGTAGGGAGGCATCCCAGACAGGGGGAACAAGTTGAAAAGTTGTCCAAAGAAACACAGAGCATGGTGCTTTTTTTCAATCGAGCCTAAGCCTTCGAGCAAAAGATGGAGAGGGAAAAGATGGTGAAGTTAATTGAGAGAGGGAGACATAGGCCAGATCATGCCTAGCGTTGTCAGCGGTATTAACCCTGTGGACTTTATGAGAGGTACGATTTGCTTTTTTGTTTGTTTGCTTGTTTGTTTGTTTTTTTGCTTTTTAAAAAAATAATAGGCAGATTTCAACACATTTGCTTTAAAAAAAAAGAAAAAGAAAATTGGCTGGGCGTGGTGGCTCATGCCTGTAATCCCAGCACTTTGGGAGGCCGAGGCGGGCAGATCACGAGGTCAGGAGATCAAGACCATCCTGGCTAACACGGTGAAACCTTGTCTCTACTAAAAATACAAAAAAAAATAGCCAGGCATGGTGGCGGGTGCCTGTAGTCCCAGCTACTTGGGAGGCTGAGGCAGGAGAATGGCATGAACCCAGGAGGCAGAGCTTGCAGTGAGTGGAGATCGTGCCACTGCACTCCAGCCTGGGCGACAGAGCGAGACTCGGTCTCAAAAAAAAAAAAAAAAAAAAAAAAAAAAAAAAATTTGGTAGCTTTGTGCAAGAGTGGAAGGAGAAGTAGGGAGACCAGCTAGAGGCTCTGCGGTTGTCCAAGTGAGAGAAAATAGAAGTTTGGATGAGGGACATGGCAGGGATGAGGCAGAACAGAGCACTGACTTCAGATCTATTTTTGGAGGTAGAGTCAACCAGGCTCGGATGCGGGGATAACAGAGAGGAGAGGGAGCTGTCATGGATGACTCTCAGGATTCTGGCTCTACTGAGTTCAACTGATCTTGAACTAGATAGTATCTTGAGATGACACTGTCTCAAAATTCCCTCCAGCATTGCCAGATGAGAAAGTTGGTTTCTACTTAGGCTTCATGTTATATTAAGAAATACATGGTCTTTAAACACTAGACTCATACTTAGCCTAGGAAGATGCTGACACTAGAAGGGGCCCTTGGGGAAACTGAAAACCAAAGAGCAGCAGGTCTGGGTGTGCCACATCACACTGAGGTAGATGCTGGCGGACTGGAATGGAGGGCAGAAGCACCTGCACTATGCAGATTGCTGATTTCCCTCTTTGTAACTTGTTTTGCATAGCTGATATGGTTGACTATATAGAGCCATAATGTGGTATTCTTGACTTATAAATCTATTGCTGATGAATTTATTTCTGGGTTCAATCGCATTTACCATCTGAATTATTGTATCTTTAATAAAGAAATAGTCATCTCTGTATCTTCCAGTATGTTCTCTCATACTGGAAAGTAAGGCTTCAGGAAAGTACCCATTTGAATTGGGCAAAACTGGCTCGTTTCACCCAGACTTAGACAATTCAAGATCACAAGACCATGCCAACTCTTTGTGATCTTAATTGTTTCCTTTCGTGTGACCTTAAGCAAGTCATTTAGACACTCCAGACTTAGTGTCTTTATCTGTAAAGATAAAAATTCCTGGATAGAAATTTCAGGCCTCTACTGAAATTTAATTGAGGTCTTATAATAAAGTTGCATCTTATAAGGAGGTCATATTCCAAAATCAATACTTGGAATTGCTTATGAAGTATTCATCTGATCAAGCAATAGATTTAATCTCTTGATTACAGGAAAGTCAGTGGGCAATGCAACAAATTCGTATTAAGAAACACTCAGATTGGCTAGGTGCGATGGCTCATGCCTGTAATTCCAGCACTTTGGGAGGCTAAGGCAGGAGGATCACTTGAGCCCAGGAGTTTGAGACCAGCCTGGGTGACATGATGAAACTCCGTCTTTACAAAAAAATACAAAAATTAGCTGGGTAGTTGGTGCACGCCTGTAGTCCTAGCTACTTTGGAGGCTGAGGTGGGAGGATCTTCTGAGCTCAGGAAGTCAAGGCTGCAGAGAGCTGTGATCCTGCCACTGCACTCCAGCCTGGATGACAGAACTAGATTCAGTCTCAAAAAAAAGAAAAAATAAAAAGAGAGAGAGAGGAAGAGAGAGAGAGAGAAGAAAGAGAGAGAGAGAGAAAGAAAGAAGAAAAGAAAGAAAGAAAGAAAAAGAAAGAAAGAGAATCAGATAAATTCAGAATGTGGACTGTCCTGTAAGATATCAAGCCTGGTCCTGGAAACAGTCAATATCATGGAGCTGAAATGGAGTAAAAAGACATTAACTAAATGTAATACACAAAACATGACTAGATCTTGGTTTGGAAAAAACTAGCTCTCAGAGTTATGCTCAAGAAAATTGAAGAAATTTGAATGTGGATTATGTGGACCATATTAGGGAGTTGCTGTTACTTTTGTAAGGCATGATAATGCTGTCACGGTTATGTAGGAGTCTTTTTTATTTTTTTTATTTTTTATTTTTTTTGGAGCTACATTTTGAAGCATTAAGGGTGAAGTGATATGATGTCTGTAACTTTGTAACAGTTTAATAAAAAATGGATATGAGCATAGAGAGATGAAGCAAATATGGCAACATGTGAACACTTGCTCTACATACTTGATAAATGGGTTTTCGTTGTCCTGTTCTTTATATACTTGAACAATCTCACATTGAAAAGTCAGCACAAAAGGAAAAATAGGAATATGAACAAAATTCCCTCTAGCATTGCCAGATTAAAAAAAATGTTTTCTACTTAGGCTTCCTGTTGTATAAAAAATATGTGTCTTTAAACACTAGACTCATACTTAGCCTAGGAAGATGCTGATGCTAGAAGGGGCCCGTGGAGAACTAAGAACCAAAGAGCAGCAGGTCTGGGTGTGCCACATCACACTCAGGTGGATGCTCGTGGACTAGAATGGAGGGCAGAAGCACCTGCACTATGCAAATTGCTGATTTCACTCTTCGTAGTTAGTTTTGCCTGGCTGATATAATTGACTCTACTATGGATTCAAGACATCCATGTTGCAACTATAATATAATTTTTTGGAAACTTTACACCACTATGTATACACAATTTAATAAATATTACTCAAATAGTGTAGCTCTTCATTCTTTCAGATCAATAAGTCCCTGTCTTTGTATTGTTTCCACCTGAATTTTGGAGGAAGGTGGAATTTTAAGCATATGACTGGTTTGTAGGGTAAGTCATTATGAGCCAATGCTTATGAGTTTCTTGAGGCAGGGGTGGATTCAGGTGGGAGTTGAAGCTTATACAGTTTTGAGGGTATCTTTTAAAAAATACAAAATTACAAGTACAAAAATAGATATAAAAGTGAATGTTTAGAATGAGGAAAGAAATCACAACAAATTTTAAAAAATCTGTCAAAGTCTATAAAGATTCAGGAAAAGAAATATTTTTAAAAATAACTTTCTGACACATATAATATTTTTACTTACACTTTTTTTGGTGCATTCTTTAACTCTTCATCTGACAATAAACTTGGAAAATTATTTTCTGTATAGAAAAGAAAAAGATAATCTCATCTTTCGTCTGGCACAGCTGATTTATTCGTTATTGAAAGCTTTGAAAAGCCTCCCATATCTTAAAAGTTTGCTATTGGTCATGTCATAGATATTATTGAAATTATTGTTGAATTTGGGAAAGCTTCTACAAGTGTCTTTTACAGGTGAGTTGTAAGACCTCAGGTCATTGCAAGTTTTCATGTGCAGTGACTAATCACAAATTCTCTTTGAATTGACAACATTTGTTAACCAGTTTTTCACCAACTTATTATTATGAGTTTTTAGTCTGTCCTGAAAATTCATGTCACTAGCCTGAGTTAGGGAAGTGGGTAATATTTCTGCAAACCATTCCTAGCTCAGGACAACTAGCAATCACTTAGGTATGCACAGAAATGACAGTAAATCACATGAATATATTCTATAAACCAAAACCGAATGTATCTTCATTCAACTCCTCCTTTTCTGGAGCCCCCAAATATCCCTGATTACTTGATACCACCAGGTACCAGGGAAACATGTGATTGGAAAGCTAGCAGGGAAAGAGACAGCAGTGGATAAACTATATGATTTTTGCAATTTTTTTCTTTTTGGAGGCAGCGTTTTACTCTTGTCACCCAGGCTGGAGTGCAATGGTGCAATCTCGGCTCACTGTAACCTCCGCCTCCTGGGTTCAAGTGATTCTCCTGCCTCAGCCTCCCGAGTAGCTGGGATTACAGGCACCTGTCACTGTGCCCAGCTAGATTTTCGCAAATTTTATAAAAGCTATGAAAATATCAACACATTGCTAGGGTCCCTCTCAGGGCCTTGGAAGGGGGCTGTGCAAATAAAGGCCCTGGAGTTTAGACTCAGTAGCTTTCTGGTAAATCCTACTGTGCTCGAGGTAAGCATTTCTTCATTTCACATAAACTTATAGTATCTAGCAGAGTGTCTTGTTTACAATGAGCTCTTGCTAGTTGTTAAAATTAACATCAGTTTAAGTTGCTTTCTTTGGTAATATTTTATATAGTATGATATATGTTATTTAAGACCTTCAAATAAAATAAGCCATGAAGAAAATACTTTTCAAATACTATTATTCAAACTTCTCACTTTATAACTCATATATCTCTAAAGAATTTTCTGGTGCTGTAGTTTTTAAGCCTGGCTGCACAAACCCGACGAGTATGACATGTGCACTGGTATTTTTAAAAAACTCTCTAGGTGATTCTAACGTTTAGCCAGAAATTGATATCTACTGTTCTAATGGTTGAAATTCCTCTTATTTTTTACTTTTTAGCTTAAATGTCAAAATATTATTTTAGTTCTCTCTGGGCTCTTTTGAATGAAATATAAGGATATGAGATTCAGGAAATATGATATACATGCATAGCACAATTGGCCCTAGTAAAATATATCTTTGCTAAAAAGCAATCTTCCAGGTAAAAATTCCTATTTATGTGGAATGCAGTACCATGGTGTACTGACAGTACCAGATATGAGCCAGATAATGTGAACAGCTCCTAATTAAACATAAAATTAATTTTCTACCAAGCATCCTCTGTTGTTCTTGAAGGTAAATACAATTTTGTTTGTATAACAAAGGGTGCCTTAAAGGGATCAGCTACGAGAATGTTTCAAACAGGAAAGTGTCCAGCATGATAAATCTATTCCAGTTCATCAAACACCCATGCGTTCTCACTGTGGCTCAGGTAACCTACCGAATTAGGCAGAATAGTCAACTGGCTGCTGCTCTCTCATCTCTCAAAATGGACTGTGCATTACACATGATTAATTTCAGTCTGTACACACTGAGTGTATTGACCTTATTTCTATTACAGTAGCTAAGGTGGAGAATAACTATAGCCATTTTTAAGGTGATGAAAGAAAATTAGAATTAAGAACCTTTTCGTGAGATATTTTAATGTTTCACAAGTTATCTGATATCTGAATACAGGCTTACTCTTGATCTTTACATGGAGATGTTTTATTTTTTTAATTAAGAAAATTCCACATGCCTCTCTTTTAGTTATTTCACCCAAATCTTTATATATACTCAGATATGTCATGTCTCTCTACCTCAATTTACATAGGTCATTTATCAACAATCATGTCCCTTGAGAGGTCATCTGTAACCACTAATCTAAGACAGCAGCCCCCATCACTCTGTCTCTACTGGCCGTGCTTTATTTTAATTCACAGCAATCATCATCATCTGACATTACATTAAACTTCTATCTATCATCTATCTTCTATCTATCCAGCTGTTTCTGTCTTCTATCTATCTACCTTCTATCTATCTAATCTATCATATCTTCTGTCATATCTTCTATCTATCTATCTATCTATCTATCTATCTATCTATCTATCTATCTATCTGTCTATCTATCTATCTCTGTTACTTGCTTATTATCTCTCTTCTCCATTGAAATATAGGCTTCATGCAGAAAGCCTGTATTTATAAGTTTTAAGTTTTATTAACTGCTGAGCTCTCTGTCTAGCATATAATAGACCCTCAATAAATATTAACTGAGAAAAAATAATGTCAACCAACAAATACCTATTCTGTCTGTTGCCTTGTATGTATGGAGTAAGATAGACCCTATTCCTGCATTCATGATTTTGACAGTTTAGCTGGAAAGAAGCAGCTACTATTTTTTTAAGTATTCTGAGGAAAAAACATTTTGCCTCTAGTCTTAACTGCTATCTATTAACTTTAGGAAAACTATATATCTAGAGTTTTATTTGCTGTACTGTGTAGAAGATGGAAAGATCAGAATCTTACCCTTTAGAAAGTTTATTTCAGCTTTCTGTTGTTTCTGTTTCTCCTTTATGGTTTCACCTATCAGGCCATTAGGTAGGCAGAAACAACAAAGTTGTTGGATGGTTTCTGACCCAGTTAATATAAGAAAATTTGATTAATTTTAACTTTTAATTTTAGAGTTATCTTGGCTGATAAAGCAATATTATCAACTAAATAACTGAGTATAAAACAAGTGCAGAAAACAAAACAATATAAACAGCAAGGGGGACTCAGGAAATCTTTAATAATAAATATAAAAATTAACACTGAGTAATTTGTATTCTCAGAACTATAAAATAAATGCATTTAATATACCACAATATTCTTAGGACCTATTATCTTTTTACAGAGGAGGAAACCGAGTTATGGAGGGATTAATAACTTGTAGTTTTTTTAAGTACAGCGGCAGGAGTAGCACCAGTGTCTGGCTCTACTCTTCTCTTTCTTAAGCTGATGTGTTTTGTGGCATCTCTGTCTAACACGGCTTCCTCATCTGGGGGCATACTCCCCTCTTAAGGCAGTCTTTGTTTCCCCTTCCCTTTCAGGAATCTCCAATCCTTCGGACTTTTCTGCTGTTCTGAGCTCTGCAGTGCATTGCTGCATGGCTGCCCTCCTTATGTGATTGCTTTTGGCTCTTGGACTCTATGTGACATTACCTTTCCTCCGTGATAACATTGCGAAGGAGAGAAATCTCTCTGTGAGTCTGTTCCAACCTGATTCTAATCTCACTTTGAATGAGACTCGAAAGTGAGAACTTTATAGCTATGGGGTCTCTCAGTTACAGCAACTACATTTTGCCATATTGACAAGAATTGGCAGGTGATGCAAGTATAATGCTTTCTACAGCATGCCTCCCTCTACCCCCACTCCACACCCTCCTTCTAATTCTGCTGCTTTAGAGTGTGGATCAACCCACAGTTGTCATTTGACTGTTCAACACATCACATGCACAGAACTCTTTACTCCATTTGTTTTCAGTGGGGGACACGGAACAGCTGTCAATCTTGACTGCTTTGGCCAAAAAATGTTTTCTGGGTACATTTTAAAGATTAACATAACAAACTGTTAAACTTTTTTACTTGGCAGTGCTGCTTCTCCTCAGTTGGTTTGAGGGGAAAACCCGCAGTGAAGAAACAGAAAGAATTTTACATCTTCCCCACATTCTAAGATGATCATTTTGTCATCAATTACGAAAATGAAGCTCACTCATTTCTGAAGTGCATGGGTTAGACACCAAAGCAAAAATGTCAAGTAGCTTTTTCTCTCTTTTTATTTTATACACAAGGTGGATTTTAAAAAGCCACATTTGAACAACAATTGAATACACCAGAAGTAGAAAATAGCAAAGTTTGGTAGTATTCTTGGAGGAAGAAAATTACAAAATACCCGAAAGGAAATTAATATAATGATAAACATTGATCATAGTCAGAAGAGTTGTTTTAAACAATCAAACATGTTTCAAAAAATGAAATTATTCAAACATACGTCAAACACATGATTCAAGCAGTTATTTGTTTGTAATCAGACTACGTTATTAAGAATTTGAGTGCTCATATGTTTCAAGACTTCGACTGGTTCTATGCATCTGAATCTAACATAGAATCTTCTGGCAGAAAAGGAATCACTAGGGATTGTTCAATCCGGGCCCTCTGATCCTATGATGAGGAATATTTAAAACACCCAATCGGATAGGTGATTATCTATTGCTTATCCTATTTTAAAGACTCCAGGGATATAGAGTCTCCAGCATATCCTCATTACCTGTTCAAATACTTAACACTTCGGTTGCTGGATAATTCTATAGAGCTCTCTTGAAAAGAAAGGAAAGAAGATTCAGGGATTACTGATGTCTGTAACAATGACATAGCAGGAGGGGGAGTGGGGGTATAATGAAATAGAAGGAAAAAATAAATGATAAGATTAGAAAGAGCTGAACATTTTAAGGAATAAGTCAGACTGAGAATTCATTATCTGAGAAAGGAACAGAAAATACACCTCACCAGAGATAGAGAGAAAAGATCTGCTAGAGTAAATTAATTCCATAATTTAAGGACTCAAAGTAGGAATACTTCTATATTTATATAGACTGAGATGATAAGGGAGCTGAGCAATGAAGTGGAAGTTGAGGAGAAGAGTCTGTGTTGCAGTTATCAATAACCATTTTATTATTTGCACATATTTGTAGGTCAGGAATTTAGGCAGATCTCAGCTGGGTGATTCTTCTGTTCCATATGGCATCAACAAAGGCCACTAGGTAGCATTTATCTGGCCGACAAAGTGCTTTGGTGGGTTGAAGAAGGATACATTCACATGTTGGCCCCTTGGCAGAGTGGTCGGAAGGGTGAGGCTCAAGTGCGGCTGTCAATCAGAACACCTGTATGTGAGCTTTCTAGCATATAGGGTCTCAGGGCCACTGGACTTCTTACATGACAGTTCAGGGTTCTTAGAGTCTCCAAGGAGAGCAGGAAGAAGCTGCAAGGTATGGTCTAGCCTCAGAACCCCAGAATGTCACTTCCTCTGTATTCTAGTGATTAAAAAAAAGTCACTAAGACCAGGCCAGAATATGAAGGCAAAGAATGAGACTCCCACTCTTAATGGAAGGGGTGGCAAAGAATCTGTGGCCTTTTTAAAACCACCACCATCTATGGTAGTCTTGCTGAGCAAGCTTTTGGGGAATAATATGATAAGAGTAAGATGGATAGACCAAATTAGGATTTAGAATCAAGTAACAACTGATGTGGCTATGTTTGTATCCAAGTAGAATTACAAATAAGCTAATGGGCTTGAGAAATGCCTGCTCTTGTGTGATCCTGGGGCTCACCCAGTGTGACAGAATAGAATGAGTGAAGGTGAATGGAAAAAATAAATTTCAGCTCTTTCTCTGTAGTGGAACAAATAATTATTGAGTACCTCCTTATGCTGATTTATAGTATATGCTAGGGACCTCCAAAAAGCAATATAGTCCCTTCCCCTAAGAAGCTCATACTCTGTAGGAGTAAAACAAATGCAGTAGTAGAATAGAATTGTGAACATACAGGAAAATTTATGAAATTTTAGAAATTCAGAAGACTTACTGATATGGATGTGACTAATCTTGCCAGTTCAGGCTCACAGGAAACTTCATGGAGAGACAAAATCCATGCAATGTTTCCATGAAGAGGAGGAGTTTGTCAAATGGACTGGGCAAAGCAAACAGAATATGCAAAGGCAAAGACACCTGGAGAACCATGGTGTGCGTCTGTGTGTAGCTGTGTATGTGTGTGTGTGTGTGTGCACGCACGTGTGCAGGCACTGTAAATAGTTTAATGTGTCGAAGAAGGAGTGGGAGAAAACAAAATTGGAGATGAAGGCAGTGGCTTATGTTTAAAAAACAATCTTGTGTTCCATATATTTGATTCTAAAAGTCAGTAGATGTCATTGTAGTGTTTTAAGCAGAAGTCTAACATGATAAGGTTTCATGTTTCAGGAAGACTTCTCCTGGCCATGATGAAGTTGAGAGCCTGGCTTGAGCAGGCCACCTCCTACTCTCAGTAACTGGCAAGTTAACAGGCACTTAGCAATTATCCAGAAATCCTTTCTTACAACAAACTGAAATTCCTCTTGCTTTAATTCAAACCCATTTTTTCTTGTTGGGTTCTTAGAATATTTGCTGTTGATGCATTAAGTTGTACTTCTAGCTTTTCTTTCTTTCCCTGACTTGAGAAGCCTTTCCCTCTTGATAGTCTAAGAACGTACTTCACAGCCCTATTACCTGCTCCACAGAATATATATCTGATGGGAGATGCTGTCATCACAGTGTTAAGATCTGTCTGCCCAACGAGTTTTGGGAGATCAAAACAGAAAGAAATGCTTCAGTTCTGGCGTAGAGCAGGTTCATATGTTTGGGTTTTTATATTAAGGAATTTATTTCAGTTTGATATTCTTTATGTTATTATTTTCTTCTACCATTTTATAAATCCTTCTTGGGCTACAAACCACTTCCAAGCACCTGAGTACCTAAGCTGCTCAGCAATAGGCCTTTGAAACCAGGCCATCATGAGCTGGTTTCACATTGAAGGTATATAAAAATATGTTCTTTATGTTAGACCAAGATTACTTCTCAGGATTAGAGAAGACTGTGTACATATACTATATACAATTGTCTCTTCTTGGGGGATTCGTTCTAGGACCTCTGAAAATGTCAAAATCCAAGGATGCTTAATTCATTGTCATAAAATGGTGTAGTATTTACATATAACCTATGCACATCCTCTACATACTTGAAATCATCTCTAGATTACTTATAATACCTAACACAGTGTAAATTCTATGTAAATAGTTGTCATACTGTATTGTTTAAGGAATAATGACAAGAACAAGAAGTTTGTACATATTCAGTATAGATACAACTGTTCATTTAAAAAAAATTTTTTTTGATTGATGATTGAATGGTTGAATCCATAAGTGCAGAACCCTTGGATATGGAAAGCCAGCTGTAGTTGTACAGGCATGTGCCATCATGCCCGGCTAATTTTTTGTATTTAGTAGAGAAGGGGTTTCACCATGTTGGTCAGCTCGTCTCGAACTCTTGACCTCAGGTGATCCACCCACCTCCACCTCCCAAAGTGCTGGGATTACAGGTGTGAGCCACCATGCCCGGCCTCATTTGTATAACATTTAAATCAACTTTCTGGTAATCAACTCATTTGCATAACATTTAAATCAATTTTCAGGTAAGATTGCTGGGCTCTAATGTAGAAAAAGTTAAAAATCTGTTTAGTTAAATACTATACTTGCATAAAAGTTGTTACCACTTACCACTCACCTCCTAAAACAATTGTCAAAATTGCTTAATTAGTAGGCAGAGAAATGAACATGATGGAAGAAATTCGAATGCAGTTTAACATTAAAAAGACTGAGATTGCAGGCCAGGCATGGTAAATCATGGCTGTAATCCCAGCACTTTGGGAGGCCAAGGTGGGTGGATCATTTGAGGTTAGGTGTTCGAGACCAGCCTGGCCAACATGATGAAACGCTGTCTCTACTGAAAATACAAAAATTAGCCAGGACTGGTGGTACATGTCTGTAATCCCAGCTACTCTGGAGGCTGAGGCAGGAGAATTGCTTGAACCCAGGAGGAGGCAGAGGTTGCAGTGAGCCGAGATCGCGCCACTGCACTCCAGCCTGGGTGACAGAGCAAGACTCCATCTCAAAACAAAACAAAACAAAACAAAACCTGAGATTGCTTCCCCCTAACTTACTGGATACCTTAGCTACTCTATAGGAGTGTGGAGTATATATTTGGTCTCTAAATTAAGTAGTGAAGGAAATGAATATACAAGACTTCCATGTATCTTCTCTCAGGCCTAGGTCTACTTGTGAACAAGAAACATCCTGAAACAGAAGGATGTATCCAAGTGACTGAAATCATAGTTATTTTATAAGCTGAGTGCATCCTGGTAAAGTGGAAAAACACGGGTTGAATGTATACTAACTTACATGGTATTAATAAATTACTAAGCTCAGTTTTTCTATCTTTAAAATGGAAATAATAATACTTACCCTGTCTACCTCAATCAATACGTGCTGAAGGCTGTTTGTGCACCAAGCACTTTGCTAGACCTGAGGATATCTAGTAAAACAGTTTAGAATCATGTGTCTGTTAAGAAGAAGGTAAGTCAACCCAGAATTAAGTTGCAAAAGTTGCTCTGAGGGTACAGAGACGGTGGCCAGGGATGGGAATAAGAAAACTCTTGGAATGGGTAACATTTGAGATGAGTGTTTAAAGCTGAGATAAGAGAGGTTAGAAATAAGTAGGAGAAAGGCATCCTCAATACATCAGCAAGAAACAAAGGGAAGCACAAGAGTTCTATGATGACAATGAGATAGGAGAAGGAAAGAGAAAGTGAGAGAGAAGACTGAAGACCCAAAATAGCAGAGGCCTAACCAAGATGGAGGTTCTTTTCTTTCTCATGTAAACGTTGGGCCCAGGGCTACTTTGGCACTTCATGGTATAAGGAGCACATGTTTCTTTCATTTTGTTGTGCCACATGTGGCCTCATTCTCAAAGTTCCCTTAAAGTCCAAGATAGCAGCTTTAACCCCAGCCACAAAAGCCACATTCCCATAAATAGGAAGGAGCAAAGGAAGGAAGTCACTCTTCCTAATCCATATGGTATTTACTTATACCACTCATATTCTGGGATCACTTCTAGATGAAAGCAAGATCTAGAAATATAGTCTTTATTCTGGGCAGCCATGTGCCCAGATACATGTGGTGATAGCTCTGACTGAAGCAAGGAGAATGATCGCTGGGAGACACTTCTGGTGTCTGAGAGTATGTGGTGTGTGCATGTGTGTATATGCATTTGTGCCCAGGTGTGTGTATGTGGCTGTGCCCATGTTTCAGAGGCCAGGGGAAACAGCACAGATTGAATGAAAAGACACCTAATCAGAAGTTACATTGTTGTGAAAAGTTACATTGCAAATGGATAAAGCACATTATAAAATTAAGGAATTATTTTAGGACAAATAGATATTTTAGTGGTTACATATTTAACGTTAAAAAACCAGCTCAGGTTTATAACACATTGACTTATATATACAAACTAAATAGAATTGCTTACTTCCTCATTTATGTTCCTATAACACCTTATATCAATATTGTTATATAACATTTTTCTATTAATATTTTATGTCTTTGTTTCTCTAGACCATAAATTTTCTAGATTATAAATAATGATTTTGGTGGGGAAACTGATTCCACTGTGTAATGTTTCCTTCCATGTGGAGAGAAATCCATCAGTGTAATAATTCTGGAATCTCTACCCCTTGGGATAAAGCAGGGGCTGGGGAAATGAATGGCTTAACAGACAGAATTTGGGATGAGAAACTTGGCATGTTGCAGTGAAGCCAACTGGATTAAGAGAATAAACCCCTGGGAGATGTTGTGAGGGAAAGAGGCACTTATGCCCGGCACCCCGACCCCCGCCCAAATATTTCCATCCACGTGAAGAGGCACTGCTGAGTGTGATACTCGCGACCTCGTTCCAGCTCCTCACTCACTTTGGGGAAAGGAGTGATTTGTTCGATTTTGGACTTGGGCATAAGAAACTGGGTGTGTGTGCATAGTTCTGCCCCTTTTTCCTTACTGTCTCTTAGAATCTGGTCTGTGAGTTTATGCTCTTGATTGTCTTTGGCCATATGGTGAGCCTTGCAACTCACAGGAGAGGGCCGTAGTGGTTTAGAGTCCCCTGTGGCTGGATGATAGCACTCCTTATGTTTTGTGTTATGCATTAAGAAGTCCTCTTGTTTGCACAGATAAAACATAGTTTTCTTTACCAGCTTTACCAGAAAAAAATAATAACTTGATCTTTATTTACTATGACTTTGTGTCTCTCTCTCTCTCTTTTTTTTTTTTTTTTTTTTTTGAGGCAGTGTCTCACTCTGTCACCCAGGCCCAGGCTGGAGTGCAAATGGCACAATCTCAGCTCACTGCAACCTCCGCCTCCTGGGTTCAAGCAATTCTCCTGCCTCAACTTCCCAAGTAGCTGGGATTACAGGTGCCTGCCACCTCGCCTGGCTAATTTTTATATTTTTAATAGAGAAAGGGTTTCACTGTGTTGGCCAGGCTGGTCTTGAACTCTTGACCTCAAGTGATCTGCCTGCCTTGGCCTCCCAAAGTGCTGGGATTACAGGCATGAGCCACCATGCCCAGCCTATTATTACTTTTGTCTTATTTCTCAATTGGGTCAGAATTTTGGTAAGGATGGGGAGTGCTATGGATTGGGAACCCTCAAACCCCAAGATTGTATATCTATCTATCTATCTATCTGTCTATCTATCTATCTATCTATCTATCTATCCGTCTAATCTGTTATTCACATAATGAATTGTGAATGAATGGGTAGCTGGGTGACAGTGTTAAAGTGGGTTTGTGCTCTTATGATTGACCTTGATAACTTTTGGAACTCATTCATTTAATAAAAAGGGTAATATATTTTAGGTATAAATAGGCAAAGCTCAAATTGATAGATTTGACACCAAAGGCATAGTAGTATAGAGCCAGATTTTTTTTTTTATTGTAAAGGGTGAGGCTTTATATTCACCAATATACTCACCTGGTGGCATTTAAGTTTGAAAGGGTAGATCTGATTGAAATTGCTGTGAATATATTTTTTACACAACTGCCTAGATTCTCCTAGAGGGAAAAATCACATCCTTGGTCTTCGATGTCTTTGAAAGCTTCATTCTGTCAGACTAGTGCTCTTAAAATGAGAATAATAGGCCACCGCAGTGGCTCACACCTGTAATCCCAGCACTTTGGGAGGCCGAGGCAGGTGGATCACGAGGTCAGGAGTTCAAGACCAGCCTGGCCAAGCTGGTGAAACCCCATGTCTACTAAAAATGCAAAAAAAAAAAAAAAAAAAAAATTAGCTGAGTGTGGTGGCGGGCACCTGTAATCCCAGCTACTCGGGAGGCTGAGGCAGAGAATTGCTTGAACCCAGGAGGCGGAGGTTGCAGTGAGCCGAGATTGTGCCACTGCATTCCAGCCTGGGCGACAGAGTGAGACTCTGTCTCAAACAACAACAACAACAAAAATGAGAATAATAAAAGTGGTCACTGTTTCTGCCTGACACCATCACTTCAGAACTCAGTGTGTCCTAAAACCAGAGATGAGGCTTTGCTTGTACATTAGTTATATCCCTGGGAGGGAGAGAGGGAACAAGTACCTGGACATTGTGAAAAATAGTGGATGTTACGATTAGTAAGAGGCATTTTCTAAGCTAAATAACAATGAGAACATTGGTGAAACTGCAGAGTTTTGAGAGAGTGCTGAAAGGTCTGAATGTCTGAGGAAGGGTGCTGCTGTAAAGACAGCCAGAGATAACCATATCCATGTGTTACCTTAACACCATCCCTGGGCTTTTTCACCTTTGAGTCTGGTGCTAATCATCATCCCAAAAGACACAATGTCAAATGCCATAATCTTCAATGTTGACATCCCAAAAAATCAAAATCCCTAGTCAAATATTCCTAATGTCTAAAATCCCCCAAATCACATTCCTGAAAGATTAAAATCCAGAACCTTGAAATTGTCTAAAGCTGAACTCTGAGAAAGTGATTAGTGCATTTTTGCTGTGTGCAGGATAGTTGCTTCATGTGAGTTATTTCATGTGAGTTGCATCATATTAGGAGGAACTATTGTCTTGTAATTATTTTTATTTGGAAAATAAGTATGGCTTAAGGAGATGCATTTGAGTGCTAAGTTGACAAGGGATGGATTTGTGGACTTTAGTTGTCAACTTGACTGGATCAAGGAATACCTAGAAACCTAGTAAAGTATTGTTTTGGGTGTGTCTGTGAGAGTTTCCAGAGATTAGTGTGTGAGTCTGAGTAGACTAGGTGAGGAAGATCTGCCTTAAATGTTGGTAGGCACCCTCTGATCAGCAGGGGCCACGGAGAGAACAAATACAGGGAGCCAATTAGTTTCTCTCTGAGAGCGGACATTTTTCTTTCACTGCCTTGAACATCAGAACTCCAGGCTCATGGGCCTTTGGATTCCAGGACTAAGAGTCCACTCCCCTGAGTCCTAAGGCTTTCCACTTCAAACTGAGGGTTACACCATTGGCTTCCCTAGTTCTGGGGCCCTCAGGCTTGTCCTGAGCCACTCTATCAGCATCTCAGGGTCTCCAGCTTGCAGACAGCCTGTTGTGGGACTTCTCAGCCACCATAATCCCATGAGCCAATTTCCCTCTCATGTATCTATGTACATATCCTATAGGTTTTGTATCTCTAGAGAATCCTGACTACACTATTTGGTATTGGGGAAGGCAAATATCATTCATTTTTACTGTATTTCTTACCATACAGTGGAAGAGATCTGTGAAATTGTTCCCTTGCAAAAAGACTGTGATAAGTTAAGTGTATGAGTGTACTTAATGGTGAAAGATAAAAGTTTAAAGGCTAATTATTATTGGTGCTTCGAAAGCAGAAAATTGCTTAATTGCAAGAGCCAGGCAATAACTAGACTTTCAAATGAGCAGCATATACTTACAAAATTTGTAGACCATAACAGCTCTCCAAATACAAGTGCAGCAAGTGTTTCAAAGATCATAGAAGTGGAAATGCGGGCAAAAAATATAAGAACTCTCCCCTGTCAAATTATTTAATTGTGAATGACTTCTGTCACTTCACACATTAGCACCAATTCACTGTGCTATGTACTTCATCTTCACATCATTTCCAATACTGGAGATATAAATTGTGCAAAAACCGTTAGAGAGTTCTCATTTGTTTTATACATTTTTTGGAAGTTTGATTCCACAAAGGTGCATTATTACAATGTTGACTTTGTGGCAATGTGTGTGAGCACTGTGCATGTATGTTAAAACACTGAAACTTCTTCAATAAGTGAAGAGCTGTCTTTTTTCTACATTGGCACCTGTGAAAGATAAAAGTTCCCAAGATCTCAGCTCTTTGGGCAAAGGCATGTGTGGTGGTGACCCACAATGGCTTTTGCTCTGTCTCATCAAGACCTAGGTTGTTCATCACCGTATTTCAGACAACTGAAGTTATGCACACAACTATGAGCCATAGTGATATGGTTTATACATTTTGCTTTTTGACTTATTTACTTAGAGTATGGCTCACTTGCCCATAACTGTTATCTGTGCAACTGTTGTTCGTATACTTTAGTGTTTGTGCTTCCAAAAATATGTGTGTTATTATTGCCTATTTTATTGTGTAAAGTGGCCTATAAAGTGTTCAGTCATGGTTTTTTTGTTTGTTTGTTTTTGAGGTGGAGTTTCACTCTTGTTGCCCAGGCTGTAGTGCAGTGGTGTGATCTCGGTACACTGCAACCTCCGCCTCCTGGGTTCAAGCGATTATCCTGCCTCAGCCTCCCGAGTAGCTGGGATTACAGGCAGGTGCCACCATGCCCAGCTAATTTTTTGTATTTAGCAGAGATGATGTTTTACCATGTTAGTCAGGCTGGTCTCGAACTCCTGACCTCAGGTGATCCACACACCTCGGCCTCCCAAAGTGCTGGGATTACAGGCGTGAGCCACTGTGCCCAGCCTCAGTCATGTTTTTATACATTTCTCAAATAAACCCCTCTTTAAAAATGTCAGTAAATCCTTTTAAGAAATTATTTTTGTAATTTTTTTCCAGAATTATATAGTTGGGATTTGGGTCTTTTGGGATTGTTATTTTTGGAATTTTTAGACTTTAGGAACTTTGATCTTTGAGGATTTCAACATTTGGGATTATGGCATTTGGGATTGTGTCTTTTGGGATTATAGCCCAAATCCCTTTGGGTTGCTTAATGAGGATTTAAGGGTTTTTTGTTTGTTTGTTTTTTCTCTTTCTGTGTAGTTACTGATGAGCCTTAGGGCTCAGACAGTGATGAGAAAGTCAAAATAAGAATCATGAAAAAACCAGGTTGCTTTTCTTTTGTATTTGCTGAGCATTAGAATAATGTTTCTGTTTTCAAGTAAAAATGTAGCATAAAGAGATACCATAATCCACATTTTGGTTCATTTGGGTGGTTTAATTTGGGTGTAATGGGATTTGCTTATATTCTACCCGGTGATAAATGTGACACCATAAACCAGCCTGGAGCTTTCTTGTGTAAACAAAAGACCAGAGAAATTAGCATTAGGACGAACAGCATTTATAAAACGCGATTAGCTTTTGAAGTAGATTTAGATCCTATTCTCTAAATTGTAAAAATCCTCCACTTCTGCCTTTTCTCAGCTCTGTTATCTGCTGAATTCAATGCTGTAAACACAAAAGTGCTCCATAAATATACTCTGGTGATGACAGACTTGGATATAAAAGCAAAATGGTACTTAAAATTGCTCAAGTAAGTTGGTTATAGTTAGATTTTTTAAAGGCCATGGTGGTATACTTTGGTAGAATCCCCAGCTTTCTTTAAATGATGACGAAAGGTAGCCAGTGCTGTCTCTGTTATGCCCCTGAGTGTCTAATATAAAAATGAATTAGGAGAAAAGGGCCAGGAGACCTAGCAGAGAGCTTTGTTCTGGCAGGATGCAGGGTGGAATAATTCTGAAAATTCTCCATGAGTAATCATCCATTGATAAGCTATCATACCCTCCTCAAAAAGGGCACAGGTAGGACTGTATTAACTTGCTGTGTGAAATAATAAATTACCATGTCCCATCAGGCACATTATAACTGCATTGGTGGGTTTTAGCAACGTCCCTTCCCTGAGAGCTCAACATGAATGCTCTATGAATGATGGCTGAGCTCTGAGACTCCTCACAACCTTTCTTATATAAAGTTGGTAACCCATAAAACTACCATTCCTTTAAAAAATGACCAATTTTGAACAGATTTGTAAGAAAGGGAACCTTTACTTTTGCAAAATCGTATTAATGTGAGTAGGGAGAAGGTTGGAAGGGAAATCATGCTGAAATATTACTATCTCAATACTGTTTGAAGACTAAAACTAGGAATAATTATACCTAACACATTCTTTAGGGATTCTTTATTTTCATAGAAATTTTGCTTAAACTAAGGTCCCAGATAGGATTTTCCAAGTTGTGTTTAGAGGTTGCTTGGCTATTCTTCAAAAGGCATGAGGCTGGTTTATTGGCAGTTTATGTTTGGATTTTCATAGCAAATATAAAATAGTTGGCACTGCAAATGTGTGAGTGTGTGTGACGGGTGGGAGTGGGGAGGGATATATTGTTCTCTCTAGCAATTTGCAGATTCATCTGCCTGTGCAAAACCACTTCTCTCTGTGAGGGATGACTGTATATATCTATATTTTTAGTATTTTTAGATTTTGGCCCCCTTTATTAATTCACTTTTGTCTCCAATGAGAGTGTTTCTTGCAATCCTTCTGCCTTTATATGTGCTTTGTAAACCAATAGAGAATGAGAGCAAAATGAGCAAATGTCTCGATTGCAAACTGTTCATCAGCTTCCTTTTTTAAGACAAATTTCACTTCTTACTTTCTGTACAGTTTGGAGACCTCTTTTTTAAAATTTTTTTTCTTTCTTTTTTTATTTTATTATTATTATACTTTAAGTTTTAGGGTACATGTGCACAATGTGCAGGTTTGTTACATATGTATACATGTGCCATGCTGGTGTGCTGCACCCATTAACTCGTCATTTAGCATTAGGTATATCTCCTAATGCTATCCCTCCCCCCTCTCCCCACCCCACAACAGTCCCCGGAGTGGGATGTTCCCCTTCCTGTGTCCATGTGTTCTCATTGTTCAATTCCCACCTATGAGTGAGAACATGGGGTGTTTGGTTTTTTTGTCCTTGCGATAGTTTGCTGAGAATGATGGTTTCCAGTTTCACCCATGTCCCTAAAAAGGACATGAACTCTTCATTTTTTATGGCTGCATAGTATTCTATGGTGTACATGTGCCACATTTTCTTAATCCAATCTATCGTTGTTGGACATTTGGGTTGGTTCCAAGTCTTCACTATTGTGAATAGTGCCACGATAAACAGACGTGTGCATGTGTCTTTGTAGCAGCATGATTTATAGTCCTTTGGGTATATACCCAGTAATGGGATGGCTGGGTCAAGTGGTATTTGTAGTTCTAGATCCCTGAGGAATCGCCACACTGACTTCCACAATGGTTGAACTAGTTTACAGTCCCACCAACAGTGTAAAAGTGTTCCTATTTCTCCACATCCTCTCCAGCACCTGTTGTTTCCTGACTTTTTAATGATTGCCATTCTAACTGGTGTGAGATGGTATCTCATTGTGGTTTTGACTTGCATTTCTCTGATGGCCAGTGATGATGAGCATTTTTTCATGTGTTTTTTGGTTGCACAAATGTCTTCTTTTGAGAAGGGTCTGTTCGTATCCTTCACCCACTTTTTGATGGGGTTGTTTGTTTTTTTCTTGTAAATTTGTTTGAGTTCATTGTAGATTCTGGATGTTAGCCCTTTGTCAGATGAGTAGGTTGTGAAAATTTTCTGCCATTTTGTAGGTTGCCTGTTCACTCTGATGGTAGTTTCTTTTGCTGTGCAGAAGCTCTTTAGTTTAATTAGATCCCATTTGTCAATTTTGGCTTTTGTTGCCATTGCTTTTGGTGTTTTAGACATGAAGTCCTTGCCCATGCCTATGTCCTGAATGGTATTGCCTAGGTTTTCTTCTAGGGTTTTTATGGTTTTAGATCTAACATATAAGTCTTTAATCCATCTTGAATTAATTTTTGTATAAGGTCTAAGAAAGGGATCCAGTTTCTGCTTTCTACATATGGCTAGCCAGTTTTCCCAGCACCATTTATTACATAGGGAATCCTTTCCCCATTTCTTGTTTTTGTCAGGTTTGTCAAAGATCAGACGGTTGTAGATATGTGGCATTATTTCTGAGGCCTCTGTTCTGTTCCATTGATTTATATCTCTCTTTTGGTACCAGTACCATGCTGTTTTGGTTACTGTAGCCTTGTAGTATAGTTTGAAGTCAGGTAGTGTGATGCCTCCGGCTTTGTTCTTTTGGCTTATGATTGACTTGGCGATGCAGGCTCTTTTTTGGTTCCATATGAACTTTAAAGTAGTTTTTTCCAATTCTGCGAGGAAAGTCATTGGTAGCTCGATGGGGATGGCATTGAATCTATAAATTACTTTGGGCAGTATGGCATTTTCACGATATTGATTCTTCCTATCCATGAGCATGGAATGTTCTTCCATTTGTTTGTATCCTCTTTTATTTCGTTGAGCAGTGGTCTGTAGTTCTCCTTGAAGAGGTCCTTCACATCCCTTGTAAGTTGGATTCCTAGGTATTTTATTCTCTTTGAAGCAATTGTGCATGGGAGTTCACTCACGATTTGGCTCTCTGTTTGTCTGTTATTGGTGTATAAGAATGCTTGTGATTTTTGTACATTGATTTTGTATCCTGAGACTTTGCTGAAGTTGCTTATCAGCTTAAGGAGATTTTGGGCTGAGACAATGGGGTTTTCTAGATATACAATCATGTCGTCTGCAAACAGGGACAATTTGACTTCCTCTTTTCCTAATTGAATACCCTTTATTTCCTTCTTCTGCCTAATTGCCCTGGCCAGAACTTCCAACACTATGTTGAATAGGAGTGGTGAGAGAGGGCATCCCTGTCTTGTGCCAGTTTTCAAAGGGAATGCTTCCAGTTTTTGCCCATTCAGTATGATATTGGCTGTGGGTTTGTCACAGATAGGTCTTATTATTTTGAGATATGTCCCATCAATAGCTGATTTATTGAGAGTTGTTAGCATGAAGAGTTGTTGAATTTTGTCAAAGGCCTTTTCTGCATCTATTGAGATAATCATGTGGTTTTTGTCTTTGGTTCTGTTTATATGCTGGATTACATTTATTGATTTTCGTATGTTGAACCAGCCTTACATCCCAGGGATGAAGCCTACTTGATTATGGTGGATAAGCTTTTTGATGTGCTGCTGGATTCGGTTTGCCAGTATTTTATTGAGGATTTTTGCATCAATGTTCATCAAGGATATTGGTCTAAAATTCTCTTTTCTTGTTGTGTCTCTGCCCGGCTTTGGTATCAGGATGATGCTGGCCTCATAAAATGAGTTAGAGAGGATTCCCTCTTTTTCTATTGATTGGAATAGTTTCAGAAGGAATGGTACCAGCTCCTCCTTGTACCTCTGGTAGAATTCGGCTGTGAATCCATCTGGTCCTGGACTTTTTTTGGTTGGTAAGCTATTGATTATTGCCACAATTTCAGCTCCTGTTATTGGTCTATTCAGAGATTCAACTTCTTCCTGGTTTAGTCTTGGGAGGGTGTATCTGTCAAGGAATTTATCCATTTCTTCTAGATTTTCTAGTTTATTTACATAGAGGTGTTTGTATTCTCTGATGGTAGTTTGTATTTCTGTGGGATCGGTGGTGATATCCCCTTTATCATTTTTTATTGCATCTATTTGATTCTTCTCTCTTTTCTTCTTTATTAGTCTTGCTAGCATTCTATCAATTTTGTTGATCTTTTCAAAAAATCAGCTCCTGGATTCATTAATTTTTTGAAGGGTTTCTTTGTGTGTATATTTCCTTCAGTTCTGCTCTGATTTTAGTTATTTCTTGCCTTCTGCTAGGTTTTGAATGTGTTTGCTCTTGCTTTTCCAGTTCTTTTAATTGTGACATTAGGGTGTCAATTTTGGATCTTTCCTGCTTTCTCTTGTGGGCATTTAGTGCTATAAATTTCCCTCTACACACTGCTTTGAATGTGTCCCAGAGATTCTGGTATGTTGTGCCTTTGTTCTCATTGTTTTCAAAGAACATCTTTATTTCTGCCTTCATTTCGTTATGTACCCAGTAGTCATTCAGGAGCAGGTTGTCCAGTTCCCATGTAGTTGAGTGGTTTTGAGTGAGTTTCTTAGTCCTGAATTCTAGTTTGTTTGCACTGTGGTCTGAGAGACAGTTTGTTATAATTTGTGTTCTTTTACATTTGCTTGGGAGTGCTTTACTTCCAACTATGTGGTCAATTTTGGAATAGGTGTGGTGTGGTGCTGAAAAAATTGTATATTCTGTTGATTTGGGGTGGAGAGTTCTGTAGATGTCTATTAGGTCCGCTTGGTGCAGAGCAGAGTTCAATTCCTGGGTATCTTTGTTAACTTTCTGTCTCATTGATCTGTCTAATGTTGACAGTGGGGTGTTAAAGTCTCCCATTATGATTGTGTGGGAGTCTAAGTCTTTTTGTAGGTTACTAAAGACTGGCTTTATGAATCTGGGTGCTCCTGTATTGGGTGCATATATATTTAGGATAGTTAGCTCTTCTTGTTGAATTGATCCCTTTACCATTATGTAATGGCCTTCTTTGTCTCTTTTGATCTTTGTTGGTTTAAAATCTGTTTTATCCGAGACTAGGATTGCAATCCCTGCCTTTTTTTGTTTTCCATTTGCTTGGTAGATCTTCCTCCATCCCTTTATTTTGAGCCTATGTGTGTCTCTGCATGTGAGATGGGTTTCCTGAATATAGCACACTGATGGGCCTTGACTGTTTATCCAATTTGCCAGTCTGTGTCTTTTAATTGGAGCATTTAGCCCATTTACATTTAAAGTTAATACTGTTATGTGTGTATTTGGTCCTGTCATTATGATGTTAGCTGGTTATTTTGCTCATTAGTTGATGCAGTTTCTTCCTAGCCTTGATGGTCTTTACATTTTGGCATGTTTTTGCAGTGGCTCGTACCGGTTGTTCCTTTCCATGTTTAGTGCTTCCTTCAGGAGCTCTTTTAGGGCAGGCCTGGTGGTGACAAAATCTCTCAGCATTTGTTTGTCAGTAAAGGATTTCATTTCTCCTTCACTTATGAAGCTTAGTTTGGCTGGATATGAAATTCTGGGTTGCAAATTCTTTTCTTTAAGAATGTTGAATATTGACCCCCACTCCCTTCTGGCTTGTAGAGTTTCTGCCGAGAGATCTGCTGTTAGTCTCATGGGCTTCCCTTTGTGGGTAACCCAACCTTTCTCTCTGGCTGCCCTTAACATTTTTTCCTTCATTTCAACTTTGATGAATCTGACAATTATGTGTCTTGGAGTTGCTCTTCTCGAGGAGTATCTTTGTGGCATTCTCTGTATTTCCTGAATCTGAATGTTGGCCTGCCTTGCTAGATTGGGGAAGTTCTCCTGGATAATATCCTGCAGAGTGTTTTCCAACTTGATTCCATTCTCCCCGTCACTTTCAGGTACACCAATCAGACATAGATTTGGTCTTTTCACATAGTCCCATATTTCTTGGAGGGTTTGTTCATTTCTTTTTATTCTTTTTTCTCTAAACTTCCCTTCTCACTTCATTTCATTCATTTCATCTTCTATCACTGATACCCTTTCTTCCAGTTGATCACATCGGCTCCTGAGGCTTCTGCATTCTTCACGTAGTTCTTGAGCTTTGGCTTTCAGCTCCGTCAGCTCCTTTAAGGACTTCTCTGCGTCAGTTATTCTAGTTATCCATTCGTCTAATTTTTTTCACAGTTTTTAACTTCTTTGCCATTGGTTTGAATTTCCTCCTGTAGCTCAGAGTAGTTTAATCGTCTGAAGCCTTCTTCTCTCAGCTCGTCAAAGTCATTCTCCATCCAGATTTTTTCCATTGCTGGTGAGGAGCTGTGTTCCTTTGGAGGAGGAGAGGTGCTCTGCTTTTTAGTTTCCGGTTTTTCTGTTGTTTTTTCCCCATCTTTGTGGTTTTATCTACTTTTGGTCTTTGATGATGGTGATGTACAGAAGGGTTTTTGGTGTGGATGTCCTTTCTGTTTGTTAGTTTTCCTTCTAACAGACAGGACCCTCAGCTGCAGGTCTGTTGGAGTTTGCTAGAGGTCCACTCCAGACTCTGTTTGCCTGGGTATTAGCAGCGGTGGCTGCAGAACAGTGGTGGCTATAGAACAGTGGATCTTGGTGAACCGCAAATGCTGCTGCCTAATCGTGCCTCTGGAAGTTTTGTCTCAGAGGAGTACCTGGCCGTGTGAGGTGTCAGTCTGCTCCTACTGGGGGGTGCCTCCCAGTTAGGCTGCTTGGGGGTCAAGGACCCACTTGAGGAGGCAGTCTGCCCAGTCTCAGATCTCCAGCTGCGTGCTGGGAGAACCACTACTCTCTTCAAAGCTGTCAGACAGGGACATTAAAGTCTGCAGAGGTTACTGCTGTCTTTTTGTTTGTCTGTGCCCTGCCCCCAGAGGTGGAGCCTACAGAGGCAGGCAGGCCTCCTTGAGCTGTGGTGGGCTCCACCCAGTTCGAGCTTCCCGGCTGCTTTGTTTACCTAATCAAGCCTGGGCAATGGCAGGCACCCCTCCCCCAGTCTCGCTGCTGCCTTGCAGTTTGATCTCAGACTGCTGTGCTAGCAATCAGCGAGACTCTGTGGGCATAGGACCCTCTGAGCCAGGTGCGGGATATAATCTGCTGGTGTGCCGTTTTTTAAGCTCGTTGGAAAAGCGCAGTATTAGGGTGGGAGTGACTCGATTTTCCAGGTGCCGTCTGTCACCCCTTTCTTTGACTAGGAAAGGGAACTCCCTGACCCCTTGCACTTCCTGAGTGAGGCAATGCCTTGCCCTGCTTCGGCTCGCACATGGTGCGCTGCACCCACTGTCCTGCACCCACTGTCTGGCACTCCCTAGTGAGATGAACCCGGTACCTCAGATGGAAATGCAGAAATCACCCGTCTTCTGCGTTGCTCACGCTGGGAGCTGTAGACCGGAGCTGTTCCTATTTGGCCATCTTTCAGTTTGGAGACCTCTTAACACTTGGAGTCAGTCCTAGATCTGCTGCATGCTTTAGCTGTTCCTCTTACCTTTCACAATAATGCCTTGTTGTTCTTTTTATTCATGCAGATTTATGCTAATGATTATTTGCTATGCAAATATTTCAATTTAGTACTTATGGTAGAGAAAGCACTGACCAGCAGACCTGAAATTGAAGCTTAGCTCAGCTTTTAACTGTGAGACTTCATGTGTTTTACTTCAGCTCTTTGGGACATAGTTTTCACATCTGTAGAATGAACATTGTAGTAATTGTCTCTTAGAACTGTGATGATAATTCAGTAATTGAAAAGTTTAATAGTCTGAAACCTAATATAGGAATTAGGCACGTAGCAGAGGCTGCTCTATGTCCACCCCAATTCTCTCTCATCTTCTTCCCTAGTAATGGAGTTCTGTCTGGATCCAGACTGGGACTATATTTTGTGGCCTCTCTTGCAGCTAGATGTGACCTTGTGTTTAGGCTCTTGCCAGAGGAATAATTTAATTTCATTTACCTTGTGAGATATCTCTTACCCAGGACTTCAGCTTGTCTTCTTTCTGATGGACTGACTGGAAGGGCTATTATTAGAGTGACTTTGAAGGCCAAGTATCTTTAGACCAGTTCTCTGAATTGAATTGTGGAGCAGAGCTGTCAGCTGATCTAGAACACCTGTCCTGAGCCATTGGGTGAAAAAAAAAGATTTCTATTTTGTTTGGGCCTTTGCACTTTGAAGTCTACTTGTAACAGCAGTTTAGCTTACCATAGCTAATACCAGCATTGTTCTTGAGTCCATGTTGATAGAGATTCACAAAGTCATAGAACTGGAAGGAGCCCTAGAGGTCATCTTGCAAACAAACAAACAAACAAACAAACAAACAAAAATGCTTGGAAAGAAAATAACTTTTACTTGGCCATAAAACAAATGAATTACACAATTGGAATAAAATCTAATTTTCATTACACAACATTGTCTCTTTGTAGAGTGTGTGATAAACATGGAATCTAATCCCTACGAGATAGTATATGCAGAACATATGAATAGATCCCAAAAGTGCCTCTGTAAACTTTTTGTAACTCCCGTAGGAATGGCAAATTAGAGAAGCACATAGACTCTTACCCAACCTTTTACACGAGATTTGAGTGGATAAGCAGGCCCTTATAGAACACAAACTTTGGGGCTTCTTTTTCATCAGTCCCTGAGCTGGAGGGTCCATGTATCAGATGAAGGGGCACATCCCTTTGGTTCTGTGTGAGAACAGCCTTAGGGAAAAATGACCAACCTAGCAGCAGTGCTGGGTATGTTTTAGTCACAGCTTCTGAAGCTTGTGTGCTCAAAAAGATTGATCTAAAATGGCTTCTCGAAACATAATCCAACAAGAGAGAGACAAGATTATGTTTTTAGCATTTGAACCTGAACATGCTCACTCTGTTTTAAAAGGTCTTATGGGACTGAAAAAGCTCAGGGAAACAGAAGTCGCTGTTCTCATTAAAGGAGAGAGGTATTTTTATTCATTGTTTTTATTCACATCAGTTAATTTAACATGCCTTGAAGGGCCTCTTCCAGGGTAGCGGTATTAAAGTAGCAGCTTACTCACTGATTATAAACAAACATTAGTCAAGTTTACTTACAGAAGTTGGTGCATGGATAAAAAGAAAAAGAATTACCTCCTACCTGACAGATGGAATGAGTCCCAAAGGTCTCTTTTGGTCTTGTGACAATATGCCATTTAAGAAACTTGGAATGAAATCCAAACTGTTTAACCGTGACTTGTAAATGTCTCCATGATCTGGTCTGTACCCACTCTCATCTCAAGACCCTCTTATCCTCGGCTTGCTACTGAGATGCCTCATCCCAGCAGTCTTTTTGTTCTACAACCACAACCTCTTTCATGCTGCAGGGCTTTGCACATGCTATTCATACAGCCAACTACTCCTTCTCTTCTTGGGTCTCAACTTAAATATCACCTCCCTTAGAGATGTCTTTCTTGACCACCTACAAAAGGAAGGCTCACTCTGTTTTTCCTACACTTTAGTTTATTTCCTTCAAACCATTTATAGAAATTAATTTATGTCTGCTTATTTATTTTATGCTAGTATTAATCTCTTCCTCTGAATGGTAACTTAATTGGCTAATTAAGCCATTTTGACCATAAAAGGGGCAAAGTTTAATCCAGGATGGTCTGAAAACTCTATGTTGAAGCAAAGCCAGAGGTTAGGTAAGGAGAAATTGAAACTGAGAGACTAGGAATGCAGAGTGGGATTAGTGACATGAATAGGGTTTTTTTTTTTTTTTTTGGAATGGCAGACAGGCTGAGGTGGACTCCCAAATATAGATCAGTCTAGTAGCGAGGTTGGAAAAGAAGCCTAAAGAGATCCAGAACCTGAGAAGAAGCTAGTAAAGTAAAAGCCAAGGCAAGGAAAGAGGCAAAGTCTCAGACAGACTGACTGAGATTCATGTCTATGTTCAACTCTTTAGCAAGCATCTCAGGACTTGCCTTGATAGCCATGCTCAAGACTATTCTCAGTATCTCTTAGGGCGATCGTAGTGGATGTTGTTCCTCTGGGTAAGTGACTTCACCTCCCTTGGGAGGCGATGTGATTTGTCTTTGGGTCAAACAGCTGGAAAGTGATTCTTTCATCTGTCTAGTATTACCCCAACCAGTTCTTAACTCTGTGCCTGTACCCCAACAATAAGATGTTTTCCTAAATCCTTGCTAGCTGATTTCCTTGACAGCAGTTTTGCACCTTTGGTCTAGAAACAGTTTATAAACCTTGGGCTGCCCTTCACCTTCCTCAAATTCTGAGCACTCTATGCCCCATCCATACACCAAAACCCTGTTCAGGCTTTGCTTCTTTTCACCAAAATTTACCCTTGCCTCCTGGAAGAGGAACCCAGGAATCCTGCTGGTTTGCAGTCTGCCCTCTAGTGCAGATAATTCTCCGTAGACGCTGCCTTTCTGTTGTTATAGTAACGGCAGATGTGCCTTCTGGAATGTTATGTTTCCTGGGAACACTGTTGGGAGGATCAAAAGAGAGATTTACTTGATCCCAGTTCCATTTCAAATTAAAAAAAAAAAATTCTGCACCCACAACTGTATTTGTTTTCCTGCCTTACAGAAGCCAGGAGAAATTGACAGAGTAGTAGAACCAAATCTTGACAAGAAGCAGGACATGGAACATGATGAAATCTGATATCTAGCATGTTCTACTTTACTAAAGAAAACACAATGCTCATAATTTAGCTGTACTTTGGTTATCAGGATAAATTATGCAATAAAATATATGGGTATAATGGAAACTTCAAAAGCGACAAATAGATGATAAATGATATAAAAGTAGATTATTGTGCTTAGCTTCGATTCTAATGCTTGTAAAATGAATGAAACAATGTGTTTATATGCAGAAAGTCATATTATCATAAATATATTTGCTAAAACAGGAAGCATAAATTGTGGTTAAATTTCCTAATGTCTGATGGTATGCTTGAATGTTTCTTTGTGATTAAATGTGAACAATTGCTCCTTTAAGGTAAAGGTCTGTGTATATGTGATTAATCAGATTGAAATGAAAGTGCAGACAGCTCACGGATGCCTAGTTATCAGAATGATTGATTTTAGACTGTACTTGTAGGTGAAGAAATATCTGTTAATAATCTCAAACCCCTGATGTCACTGATAGCTCAATGATTTGTGCACATTCTGCATTATAGAGCTCATTTGCAGGTTTAGGGGCTACACAATGATCCATTGGATCGCAAAATTATAACATGAAAAAAGTGACATCCAGATTTATGCAAACGTTATGACTGCAAAGTGCATTTCATCAGTGAGAAGTTTAAAATTGCTGCTGTTGTAGCTGTCACAGGCATCTTATTTTCTTTGGTTTGTGTGTAGGCAAGACTGTCAAGCTTTTATCACACAAACTGGTGTTTTTGTGTACTATCGCTCTCCTCCTGCTGGTGACAGCCAGTCTCTGAACCGAGTTGTTATTAAGTCTTCAGCTTTAAGATAGTACTTGACTAACTTGTTTGAATTACATTTGATCATAAACACCTTAATGTTTTACTGGGTATAAAAGATTCAGAACAAAATAGGAAAACAGCTCTGTAGTAAGGATTGGTGGATTGCTGGTGTTGCTCTTCATCACTACAGGGAAAATGATGTTGAACTTCGAATTCTCAGTTCTGGGTCTTCTCAAAATAAAGCCCTGGGGTTAGCAGGAGACTTTGCATGTAAGACTTGGGTGTCTACCCCATGCTGTAATCCTGATTTTCTAGACCTGGCCACCGTATCATCAGATTGTGAGACACTCTGCCCTGCATCTTTCTGCCAAGAAACTTGCTCTTCTCACAGCTACTAAGACGTTTGTTTCTGGAGGCATGTTGGTCCAAAATGTCTAGGGGAATGAATTTATTTACTACTGACCTTCTTTCAGATTAAAATAATTTTTTTTCCCTTACAACCAATTGTGTTGGGTTTCTTGCTCTGAAGAAACTGGGAAAAATGGGCAGAGTAATAGAGGCAAGTATTGGCAAGAAGGCTGTGGGCTATTTGTATGATGAAATCTCATACCTAATATGTTCTACCTTTGTGCAAGGGAATGTAATGCTAGTAATTTACCTGTACTTTGATTGCTAGGGTATATTGTGAGGTAAAATATATGGATAGAAGGGAAATGTCAAATGCTGCAAATAGCAGAGCTAAATGGATTCATTTATTTAGCTTCAATTCTAATACTTGTTAAATGAATAAAGCATTGTATTCAGAACCCCTTCCTTAGAAGATCCCATACAATTGTGTCTGGCACAATACCCAGCCTACAACAGGCACTCCATAAATAGGAGTTATTATTGTTATTACTGTTATTATTATTACAGGCAAAAATGAATATAGTTATAATATGCACATTTATCTGGTGAATATAGGCCAGAACAAGATCACCAGAGTAAATGATTGTCCCCAGAGAAACCCACACGTATGGCACAAGTGGACTCCTTCCAGAGCTTGCCTGGCTTGGCTCTTAAATAGCTTTTGTTAAGCCTGACCCAAATCTCCAGGACTATAGTATCCAGTGCAGTAGCTACTAGCCACATATGGCATTTACATTTAATGAAAATTTAATAAAATTAAAAATTCATTTTTTCAGTTGCATGAGCCACATTCCAAGTGCTCAGTAGCCACATGTGGGTAGTGGCTACCAGGTTGGACACACGGAGAATATTTCTATGAGAAAGAGTTGTATTGGGCAGTGCCGCTCTAGGGTAAACCTTGCAAAGAACCTAGAATTTGGAACCTGAAGTCTGCAAAATGTAGGGGGAAAAAAAAAAAAAAGCAACTATGCAATCAAGTAAGTACCAGAGCTGTTGGTGGAAAACAATTAGCAAGGAACTGAAGAAGAACAAATTGAGCCCCGTAGATGCATTTTAAAGTCCTTGGCTTCTCTTGAGTGAATCCCATGGTTGGTAGAAATGGGCAGGCTAACTGGGAGCTTTATCTATTACCATTCAGCATTGCTCTCAGCATCCTGCAGAGAAAGCCATGGGTCCCAGGAAGCTGAAATGGAAGGAAAAACAAAAACAAAAACAAAAACAAAAACAGGGGATCATCCAGGAGAAAAGTAGTTTGTGGCAGAATGAATCTGGAACTATACGTTTTATCTTTAAAAAGTGTCCTTTTCAAACACAATGTGATTTGGGGGTTTCTTTAATGCTTCTGAATTTAATCATGCTTAGAAGGTGAGCAAACTCATTCCTGGTTACTCCTTCTTATGAGTAAGTTCCTAGTTATCCATCACATCATCATCATCATGAATTGTGTTACATTTATTAATGATACTCAATTAATCTCAAGAGTAACAAGAGGTGCATCTGTCTGAGTCTTCACAATGGCTAAAGATGCAACTAATGGCATTGCCTTCAGAATAAGTCACAAGAATTCAATACGTGTGATAGTATGTTGACATTCTGTCACAGAACCAGTGTGAAAATATAGGTGGCTTTTAAAGATAGTTTTCCTCCCTAAAAGTTTCTTAATTTCTTATTTTTTCAAACAATTTAAGTCACTTCAGTTAAGGAACATTGTAGCATTCTTGCCTTGAAAGATTCCTTCATGTGTAACCTCCCAGGGAATTTAAATATAGTAAACTTTGCTGAATTTCACTAAATTGAAAACTGAAATTGTCACTTATTGGAGAATGAAGTAGATTGTATGGTATTGTCAGCATATTAAATCTTGGGTGAACGTTATAAATATTATTGATTGCTTTTAAATTAGCGAAGTGTCTGCACATTCAATATCAATTCTAGCTCAATTTTTAGAAATCAAGAAATATATTAGAATCATAATGCTGACAGGGACCTCAAATGACAATCTTATCTTTCCTCTTAGACTCTAAGTCATGCTGGATAAAAATGATTCTGGAGGCTGGGCGCGGTGTCTCATGCCTGTAATCCCAGCATTTTGGGAGGCTGAGGTGGGTAGATTGCTTGAGCTCAAAAGTTCAAGACCAGCCTGGGCAACATGGTGAAACCCCGTATCTACAAAAAATACAAAAATTAGCTAGGTGTGGTGGCATGTGCCTGTAGTCTCAGTGACTTGGGGAGGCTGAAGTGGGAAGATTGCTTGAGGCTTGAGCCTGGAAGGTCGAGGCTGCAGTGAGCTGTGATCGTGCCACTGTACTCCAGCCTGGACGGCAGAGCAAGACCCTGTCTCAAACAAACAAACAAACAAACAAACAGGTCCTGGGAAGCTTGCTGTGAGCAGGAAGGAGGGATGGTGGAAAGACCACTGATTATGGACCCTATGACCTGTGCTCTCATCCCAGCTTTGCCACAGCTTTCCCCTAAATCCTTCAACGTCCCTGGGTCTCAGTTTCTTTATTGATAAAATGAGGGAAATGGACAACATAGTTTCATGGCACTTTCTAACTCTATCCGTTTTCTACTGCTCCATATAATTTATGTATTATAAATTACCACAAATTAATGGCTTGAAACAATTCCCATGAGGCCCCAGTTGGGTTCTCTGCATAGGGTCCTTTAAGACCAAAATCAAGGTGTTGGCTGGGTTGGCCTCTTACCTGAAGACTCTGGAGAATAATTAGTTTCCATTAAGGATTAGGTTCCTCATTGTTGTAGGATTAAGGTTGCTAACTTCTTGCTGGCTGCGAGTTAGGGGACACTGTTAGCTTCTAGAGGCCACTGACATCTCTTATCCTGTGGTCTTCTCCATCTTCAAGCCAGCAACAGCAGGTGAAATCCTTCTCATGCTTCTAATTCCTCTAGCTTTTTATCCTGTTACTAGCCCAAGAAAACACAGTGTTTTAAAAGGACTCATGTAATTAGGTTGGGCTCACCCAGATAATTTCCTTCTGGATTAAATAAAAGTCAATTGATTAGTAACCTTAATGACATCTGTGAAATGCCTTCTGCCACGTCATGTAACACAGTCAGAGGCATGATGTCTCATCGCCGTCACTGTTGACGGAATTAGGAATATCTTAGGGAACCATTCTGGAATTTTGCCTACCACATTAACTCTAAAAATCTTAGATTCTACATCTTCCAGGCCTGCAGAGAATGCTTTTCTATAAAGTTCTTTGCTTCTCTCTCTTCCATCTGGCAATCCTTTCCTGGTAACCAATGTTAGTTTTTCTTGCTGCAATTTAAACTCACTGCTGTCAGTCCTGCCTGTATTCTTCTGATCTTTTGAAATTTTCTGAAGTCAAGTTTTACCTTAGTCCACTCCTTAGTGCCAGGAGACAGTGGAACATTTCTAGAGCCTGTTGCTCATCGTAGCAGAGAACCAGTGCTTTCTCAGTGACATAGACAAAAGAGGCTGACCTGGCAGGATGGAGAGCAGTGGTTTAAACTGGTAGATGCTTACATGGACTGCTGTCTAAGAAGGGGCAATGTAAGAAGGGGCAATGACATCTTCTCATGTACTTAACAGTGGGCCACAGATGAAAGGCACAGGGACGGTGCAATCCTGCCTTCATGCTTAGTGTCAGCCTTTCTTCTGTTGAGGGCATTTGTAAGGAGCCATTTTAAATGAGGTTGGCCTTTCCTCAGTCCAGCCCCTTTGTGGGATTTCAAGTGACTTAGATGGTTCTGAAAATACTTTTTTATGATGATTTTTATTATATAAATAAATGAAATAAAATCCGAAAGTACAGATGGTCCAGTAGATGAAAATAAAAATCACCTCAATCTCATAATCCAGGGGAAAACACCATTAATATTGGCTTGTGTATCTTTCTAGATATCATTCTATGGCATGTGCACAAATTAAGTTTTAAAATGATATTGTGCAACACTTACAATTTATAGTGAAAACTTTTCATGTGGATGGAGATACTTCTTTTTTAAAAGTTACAAACACAGTTTATTATAACAGCAATACAGTAAAACAAACATTTTAAACATAGGAAAAGAAAGAAAAAAGCATGTATATTCTCACCCTAATACACAGATTTACTTACATTTTGATGATGTTTCAGTTTGCCTAAGCATTTTAAAAAGCCCTACTTGATAAAGATATTTCCATGACATTATTTTTATATGGCTGGCTTCTAATATTTGATCTTATGAATACATTGGTATTTCTTCAATTATTTTTGCTGAACATTTAGGTTGTTTCCATTTCTCACTGTTGTAAAAAATGCCTCAGGGAACATCTGTGTAGCTAGATTTTTTAGCATATTCTTAGTTACTTAGGAGAAGCTTCTAGGCATGAAACTGTTTGGGCAGAGTAAGCATACATATTGAAATCTTTTGAAATATATTGGTGATGCCTTCCAATTGTATGATGCCCATTAACTAATATGGTGTTATGGAAAGAACATGGTTTTATAGTGGGAAGATGGGCTGGAGTTGCTCTTTGATTATATAATTTTGATCAAATCAATTTTCCTGACCATCTCTAGCCTCACCTGTAAAATGGGACTCATAATATTCACTCTATCTACTTCAAAGAATTATTATGCAGGTAAAGCGAGATGGTCTATGGGGAAAGTACTTTGAAAATTATAAAGTGATGAAAAAATAGTCATTCATTTATCACTTGTGCTAAGCGGAGTCAGTGGTCTTCAAGTACATAGTCTGCCAAATCCCACTGAATTACACCTCTTTTGAGAATGTTAGATCATACTAACATCCCCCAAAAGTGCACTGTGGTTTTGATGACACTCCAGTGGGTATGTCACTGGCCCTATTCCTGCTGCTGAAGTGTGCTTCCAAACTTGTGTGCCAGTTTCTTTTCTTGCACAAGAAAGTCTGGAACTTGGGAAGTCTATTCTGTGTGGTTATTGTATTTATTTGTTTTTTTGTCACCTTGTTTTTTCAAGTTGGCTATTCACTCATTCCCCTGCTGATCTATTATGTTCTCTATGAGATTGTCTTTATTGGTACTCATAGGTGGCACTTAGCACTCATATGGCACTTTTCATCTTGAAAGCACTTTACAGACATTAGCTAATTAATTTTCACATCACAGCATGATAGGTAGGTAGGGAGCTAATCTAAGCATTTGAGCTATGGCGATGAAAGTTGTGTTACAAGTACAATAAATTACTTTTTATTATTCTTTGGAGGAGGAAGAGATGGTTATGTAATTTGTCCCAAATCACAAAAGGCATTTATATCAGAGTTGAAATTCAAGCCTAGTCTGATGAAGTTAGTCATATCACAGGCCCCCTTATGGGTTCTGATCAGCTTGCTCACAAAGATGGTATTATGGGAGGGAAACCAACCAGCTGGCTTTCCTTTCTCCTCTGCACAGGGAGCAACATTACTGGCACTTGAGCCCCTTTCTTCTTTCCTTTTGGAATGATGGCACTTATTGAGATGAACCTGCTGAGAAGTTTGAAAATATTTTAGAGAAGTCTCCAAGTTTATGAGGGAGAAGGAGGCTCTACCCCTTGAGAGGGCAAATATGGTTGGATTATAATTTGCTTTTGAAATCTAAGAGTGTTTCTAATTGGTACAATGAAAATATCACCCTTGCTTGGGAAGATGGGAAAATAGAAGGGGTAAAAATCCCTTGGCTTGGCTTTCATGAGTTTTACCATTAGGGACCTTAGAATGGAGAGGGAGGGCAGGAAGCACAGAACCCAAAAGTACTGGCCTTGAAATTTGCTCTTGTCCTAGCTTCCCTAGAGCTAATAGAGATTGCACAACTTCCCTAGATCTTGGGGATGCCAATCAGAGTCTCCAGAACTGATTTTAGAAAGGGGAGAATACTAGAAAATCTGATTATAATGAAGAAAAGGAGCTTGGTCAGGATTCTCCAGAATTCTCCTTCCCAAAGAGTCCATGGATGGAACTCAGGCAGGGATGGGCTCTGAACCCCCAGGCATTCTCTTTTCAATGACATAATTGAAGGTAATTTGAGGATCAAATTATTGTAGGAAAATATTTGATTTCGTTTCCTGTGCCCTGAAATGCGGTCAAGACTTGCAACTTTGAGACTGGAATTTGCTGGTTTTGGTGGTCGTGGTGTGGTGGTAGTGGAGGAAGAAGCCAGCAAGAACAAGTTCTGATGTTTGATCCATTTGGCAATAGCTCTCCTCTGATAGTCAGATTTCCCGGGTCTCTATAATTTCCCATGGCAGTGGGTGTCAGTCTGAACACCTAAGCAGATGGCCTAAATCAGAGGGGAGATTTGACATTTAGCTGTTAATTCATTTTATGATATGGGCTGTCATGTATTATACATGAAGTAAATAAAAGTGATGGACTAATTATGGAAACGTGCACAGCTTTCTAATTACTCTTGGATTATATGTTTAATATTTTGAAGTATTCCAATTACAGGGAGATTTGTCACTGCAGAAAACATTTTTTTATTTATTTGTGGAATTCCAACATCCTCTGCAGGGAATGGAAGCTCAGTTAATTTTTTTCTGTTAAGTTAATGAACATCCTAGATTTTTCAACACAACTGGGATTTTAAAAAAAAGGTTGAATCATATTTTAGACATATATTTTTGACAACCTATTTCACAGTTGAGTGGCCTCCCCCTCCCTATCTGGGATTCTGGCCCACTTTCAAATAGTAGATCCACATTTGTTGTCATAAAAGGGCAATCTTGGCCAGGCACGGTGGCTCCCGTCTGTAATCCCAGCACTTTGGGAGGCCAAGGTGGACTGACTGCTTGAAGTCAGGAGTTCAAGACCAGCCTGGCCAACATGGTGAAACCCTGTCTCTACTAAAAATACAAAAATTAGCTGGGCATGGTGGTGTGCACCTGTAATCTGAGCTACTGAGAAGGCTGAGGCAGGAGAATCTCTTAAATCCGGGAGGCAGAGGTTGCAGTGAGCAGAGATTGTGCCACTGCAATCCAGCCTGCGTGACAGAGTGAGACTCTGTCTCCAAAAAAAGGGCAATCTTGTCATTTTAAAAACATCATTTCTGGTTAATTCAAGATCTGTAACTTGTTTTAGTCTATTAACTTTATCATAGTTCTTTCAAGAGACATTTGATTGGTAGAGGAATGGATCAACACAGCAAAATGGTCTAACATTATCCAAAGGTCTAGTTAAAAATTATCTATTTAAAAGAAAAACAGAAGCAAATAAGTTCTTTAAAGTTTAAATTCACAGTTATGAGGAACACTGGCAATATTTGGAAACTACAGGGTTGTCTTACTTTGTGCCTAAATACAATAAAACTACCTTTTGTTTTGTTTTGAATTAATAAGCTAATTTATGCTAATTACATAAAAAGAGACATTTTTTCTCAATTGTATAAAAATTTGAAGTTTTATAAAGATGGAAATTTTTTGTTTGCTCTTTAGTTTAAGATAATTATTGTCTAATACAGAGCTCACAAATTTTATTTTGATCTTTTGCAAAGAGCCAGCTTCATACAATGGAGCATAGTAGCTTTATTACAAAAGCAAATGCTACGCATTTTATGGTTTGAGCATTATATTCATAAATAGTGACATTTGTTTCATATGCTTATCTCTAACCTCATTCCAAAAAAATCACTTGAGACAGCTTATATGAATAATAAACCAAAATAGGCAAATTACAAATGAGTAATTTTTTCAGAAACAGGGAACCATAGAAATAGAAACTTAAAACTTGGGGAAGAGTTTGAACATAAAGAAGAGTACACAGTGGCCAAAGATAAGCCACAAATTGGCCCTACCTGTCTTGGTGTCCCAATGAAAAAGGGAAGCAAGATTAGTTCTTTAAGACAAATGATCTACAAGGAACAAACATATCTGTTCCTCAGGGCAAATAAAGCTTTGTTTCCTGCTAATTCAATTGTTTATATTAGTATAATATAATATTACTATATTAGTATACTTTTTTTGAAATAACTCTATTTTGTGTGTGTGTGTGTGTGTGACTTTTGTTCTATCACAAAACCCAAGCGTGGTGACTTAAAATAACAAACACTTATTATTTCTCTCTATTCCATGGATTGACTGGGAGGTTCTTTTGGTCTGCGCTGGTTTGGCTGGGGCTGGATGGTCTAGGATGGTCTCACTGGGAATTCTGAAAGTAGTGGACCCTATGTCTGCATGCTCTGTCATCCTCCAGAAGGCTAATCCAGGCTGCTTCACATGGTGGCAGGAAGGTTCTGGGTAGCAAGAGAGAGCAAACTCCAATAAGCAAGCACTTTCCAAGTCTCTGCTTATATCATATTTGCCAATGTCCTCTTGGCCAAAGTAAGGCACATGGCCAACACAGATTCAAGGAATGGAGAAAGACATTGTCCCTCTTGATGGCAAGCATTGCAAAGTCACATTACAAAGGGACATGAATGGAGAGAGGAAAAGAATTTTTGTGGCTGTTTTTGCAAACAATCTGGCATAATTGGGAAGATTGGGAAACAATCTTTCTCTTCAGCATGCCCCATTGATCATTAAGGCTGAGCCTAGGCCTGGAATAGAGAAGAAGGACATTGTGTCAGCTATCAACTTGTTGCCTCTCGCCTGTAAATGCGCTCTTCTGTATATATGTTTTGTGATAACCAGTGAAATTCCTTTAAGCATTTCTTCTGAAAGTGAGCAGGATGGTAAGCTTTCTCAGCAGAGGGCACTGGAAGGACGCTGCATGGGACAGAGGATTCCTGCAATTTCTACCAGGCCTGGAGGTCAGCAGTGTGTGTATAAGGACACTCCATAGATCCTGTACTAACCACAGGTCTAGAACACACTCACTCTGTGACTTTGCCTTCTTGGCCTGGTAATAATTTTTCCTCAGCCCTCTTTATATGGAAACCAGAAACTTAACACAATCCACAAAAAACTGCATAGGGGGCCTAGAGAGTCACAGACTGAGCTGTTATTTCTTCTGCAAGCAACCACTCCTCTCACCACCCTGTGCAGCCAATACACTCTGAAAGCCTCTGCCCCTGTCCCTCCAGCACCCGGACTCCCACTGTGCACCCATGTTTCTGGTTGCTGATAGTCTGCTCCGCTTTCCACAGCATTGCCTGGTGTTTGCCCAGCAACTCTAGACCAGCTCTGGCCTGGCTAAGACAGCAAGCTTTTCTGCCAGGCAAGCACAGAAGCACACGTTCTCCAGTGAAGTCTGAACCCCTTCCAAGTTTGTCGTTCTTTGGGTAGTCTCCCTCAGCACTAGGGTATCATACAGAGTTTTCTTTTATAGTTATTTAATCATAGATACTAATTCTTACATTTAATTTCCTGTTTAACCTACTGTGTGGTTTCCATCTCCTGACTGGACCAGACTGCTATCGACATGATATAGAGAAAACAATAAGAATGACACAATGGATTCTGGGGACTCAGGGGGAAAGGATGGAAAAGGGGTGAGGGATAAATGACCACAAATGGGGTGCAGTGTATACTGCTCGGGTGATGGGTGCAGCAAGGTCTCACAAATCACCGCTAAAGAACTTACTCATGTAACCAAACACTACCTGTTCCCCCAATAATCTATGGAAATAATTTTTTAAAAAGGATTCAATTAGGCTGTGAGTTACAGAAAAAACAAAAATAACAGTGGTTTAAACAAGATGAAAATTTTTTCTCTTTCATATAAAAAGAAGTATAAAGTTGATCCCTCCAGGACTAATAGGACAGCTCTGTCTGTATTGCTAGGCTCTGTCTATGTGGTTGCTCTGCTGTGCTCTACAAGTGGCTTTTACCTTAAAATTGCTGCTTACACATCAGCCATCATATCCACATTCTAGCAAGACACAGGAGGAGAAGGTGAAATGCACATCCTCTTAGTGATTCTTAGTGAATCTCAGGTCTTTTATGAAAACTGTTAAAAAAAAAAAAAAAAGAATCTCTTGTGGTTGGATCTAGGGTTGTGAGGCTAATGAGTGCAACCTCCTTGCCATGATGGGAGAAAGCCTGTCTGAGAATGGAACCAACCCAGAAGAAGCAGTGCTCTTAAACCCAGGGAAAAAAACACGGTTCTTGTGACATCATTTCATCCCCTGCCTCAAACTATAGCCAAAGCCAAGAAGTACTCTTGGATTTTTAAAATTACATGAGTGATTATAAATTTAGGCCTTGACACAGAAAGACAAACATCACATGTTCTCATTTATTTCTGGGATCTAAAAATTGAAACAATTGAAGTCATGCAGATAGAAAATAGAAGGATGGTTACCAGAGGCTCAGAAGGGTAGTAAGGCGGAAGCGATGGTGGGGAGGTGGGGATGGTTAATGGGTACCAAAAAAATAGTTAGAAAGAATGAATACGACCAGTATTTGATAGCACACTAGGAGGACTATAGTCAATAATAATTGTACATTTAAAAATAACTAGAAGAGTATAATTGGATTGTTTGTAACATAAAGGATAAATGCTTGAGGGGATGGTTAGATACCCAATTTTCCATGATGTGATTATTAAGCCTTGCATGCATGTACCAAAATAACGGAGGTACCCTATAAACATATACACCTACTACGTACCCACACAAATTAAAAATAATTTTTTTTTTAAAGAGAGAAAACAGACAAGCTGGAGACTGCCTTCATTCCTCCTGGTGAACAAGTGGGCAAATCAGATACATAGAAAGGCAAGGGAGGAAGAAGGGAAATGGAGGTAAAGGGAGGTGATCATTTCTTTTCTCCTTTTTCCAAGGGCAAAAACCAGGGGACAGGTTTGGGCCATCAATCTGCTTGGTCGATATGAATAATTGGAACTCTCATACAATATTGTCGAGTGTGTCATGGCAAAAACTCCTGGACAAAAGTCTGGCATTTGTCTTTTTTTTTTTAATGAAACTACAAATATGAATATTCTATGACCCAGGAATTCACCCAGAGAGAAATGAAAACATGTCCACAAAAAGGTTTGTCTAGGAACGTTTGGAGGAGCTTTTTCATAATAAGCCTAAACGAGAAATAGCCCAGGTGGCCATCAGTAGGAATATTAACGAAAGGTGGGATGTTCATATACTTAAACGCTCTTTAGTAGTAAAAGGGGATAGATTCTTAATACATGCAACAACATGGAGAAATCTCACACACATCTACCCATCCCCCCTCCATCCTCTCATCTTATTTTTGATGTATTTCAAAGTAAATTACAGATTTACATACACTTCCCCCTAAATAGTTTGGCATACTCATGATTAGTCTGATTTATTCTTCATTATGTGAAAGAAAGCTTATGAAAAAGAACACATAGTGCCAGGCACGGTGGCTCACGCCTGTAATTGTAATCCCAGCACTTTGGGAGGCCAAGGCGGGTGGATCACCTGAGGTCGGGAGTTCGAGACCATCCTGACTAACATGGAGAAACCCCGTCTCTACTAAAAATACAAAAATTAGCTGGGCATGGTGACACGTGCCTGTAATCCCAACTACTTGGGAGGCTGAGGCAGGAGAATCTCTTGAACCCAGGAGGCGGAGGTTGCAGTGAGCCGAGATCGCGCCATTGCACTCCAGCCTGGGCAACAAGAGTGAAACTCCATCTCAAAAAAAGAGGACACATAGAGTATTATTTCAAATGAAGTTCTAGAGAAGGCACAACTAATCTAGGTTGGATAAAAATGAAAAATTTGTTGCCTCTGGGGAGCCGGAGCTGGGGATTGAGTAGGAGGGGACATGAGGGAACCTCCTGGGGTGGTCATAATGTTCTGGTATCTTGATTGATAGAAATTTGGGTAACACAAAGGTATGTACATATGAGCATTTGTCAGCATCCATAAATGTATGCTTTAGATTTGAATATTTAATTGCATATAATTTCTTACATAAAAATGTAAACAAATATAGCTAGTTAATGAAAAGTATGCTGAAGCATTTAGGGAGTGGTATACAGGTATCTGCAATTTACTTTTTGAAATACATCAAAATAAGAGATTGATGGATAGACAATGAGTTGAATAGAAGGATAGATTATATGATAAAAAGAAAGTATTCTTAAATGTCGATGGCAGTAACTGACCGGTAGGTATGTAGATATTCAATGTAAAATTCTTCCAACTTTGATACATGTTTAAAATTGTCATAAGAGAACATCTTTTTTAAATGCTCAGTTAGGTATGGGGTGCTACAGAGCACTCATTCTAAGAGCATGCTTTCCCCTGCTACTTGGGGGAAGGCTGCGGGTCATTAGGACAAGAGACTTGCACAGCGGTTTCGGCATGATATAAGTTTTGGGTGTTCACTAGCCCCAGGAAATGGGTAGATAGAGTGCTCTAAGGCAGTGCTCCTGGAGCATCATGCTTTGAGTGTGATGTTCTTGTCATACAGAATTTTTCAGTGCCCCAGGATGGAGACATGGAGGTGCTGAAGTTGCTTGTGAATGACAGAGATCTGGGGTCAGGCTGAAGAGGCCATCATGAGTGGCAATGAAACTGGGAGCAAAAGGCTAAGGCTTAGAACAAAAGGCCCCAGCAGTGGGTGTTAGCATGATGTTCAAGAGCTAAGGATCAAGCAGTTCTCAGGGGTCACTTGTCCATTCACTCATTCATTCAATAACTATTTCTTGAGCAGCTACTATGTGCTAAACAGTGCTCTAGGTTCTGAGGATACAGTAGTCAACAAAATAGATATTCGAAAAGTCTTGCCTGGACATGGTGGCTCACACCTGTAATCCCAGCACTTTGGGAGGCCGAGGTGGGCAGATCACCTGAAGTCAGGAGTTCGAGACCAGCCTGGCCAACACGGTGAAACCCCATCTCTACCAAACATACAAAAATTAGCCAGGCTTGGTGGTGCACACCTGTAATCCCAGCTACTCAGGAGGCTGAGGGAGGAGAATTGCTTAAACCTGGGAGGCAGAGGTTGCAGTGAGCCGAGATCGGGCCACTGCACTCCAGCCTGGGTGACAAGAGCAAAACTCTGTCTCAAAAAAAAAAAAAAAAAAACACAAAAAGTCCTGATGAGGGAGAGAGGAAACGACAAACAAATAAATAAGTAAATAGGAAATATGTCAGATGATGATAGATACTATAGAAAAAATAAAGCAAGGAAAGGTAAAAGGGAGTATCAGAATAGGAGAATTAGTATTATATGCAGAGTGGTCTGGGAAGAACTCACACATGAGGTGATACTTAAGCAAAGACCTGAAAAATATAAAGGAGTATTTCTTATAGCTATATTAAGGAGCTATCTTACTTTAGGGCTAAAGCAGCAAGTGCAAAGTCCCTGGGACAGAATTTTGCTTGCCATCTTTGTGGAAGAGTTAGGAGATCAGTTTGACCTGAATCAACATAAAGAAAGTAATATGAGATCAGAGAGATTGTAGGGGACCAGAGATGAAAAGGACTTAAAGACTTTTACTTTGAGTAAGATTGAACACCATTGGAGCATTTGAGCAGAGGCATGAACATCAGAAATAACATTATTTGCAATTTTAAAAAATTGTAAATAGACTGAAGGGCAAGAGTCTAGGCAGGAAGGCCAAGTATGAGCCTTTGGTTAATCCAGATAAGGAAGAATGGGGGTTTGGACCAGGTGGAAGAGCAGATAGGAATTAGTCAGGTTCTCAATACATTTGAAGGCAGAGCCAATAGCATTTACTTACCAGTAGAGGTGGGATCAGAGAGAAAGAAAGGGATTGAGAATGATGTCAAGGTTTATGGCCTGGGCTCCCGGAATGAAAGATAAATGCTATGGCAAGGATATAGGAATTTGGGGGGACAATCAATAATTTAGGATTGGACATGTTGAGTCTGAGATGACACTTAGTCATCTAATTAAAATTGTCTAGTAGGATATTGAACAAATGTGCCTGGAATTCAAAGGAGAGGTCTGGTCTGTAGATATAAGTTTGAGAGTGATTGCATGTAGAAGCTGGTAAGATCAGCTAGGGAGCATGTGAGATTAGCAGCAACCGGGCAAAGAGACTGAGGAGGGTAGGCAAGTGAGGAGAACTGCAAAGGATGGCTAGATGCCACATGAGGGAATTTCTCAAAGGACAAGAGGGTCATCAATCATGTCAAATGCTGCCGATGGTCCGGGGAGCAGAGTGCAACCTTGCCCAGCCACTCTGCAACAGATCAAGAAGGATCCATCCTGGGGACACAGTGTGTATCCACGACATTTCATGTAAAATACTCCCTCTCTCAGTTCTCCATATCCAGTCACCCTTTGGAAGGAGCATGACAATGTTGAAAAGATGATATACCAAAACCCAGTGTTTAGTGAAAGGGACTGCTTAAATCATTTTATTAGATTAGCTTTACCTGTCTGATTAAAGTTTCCACCTAGCAAGAGGGAGCTCAGAGGAAAGGATGATGTATTGAAAAAAATAAAATTAAATAAATAAGTAATGGGGCTACATTTTCTTTGCACATGTGCATGTGTGATAAGTAATTAAGTAACCTCACCCCATTAATAGTCACACTCTGAAAAGTCTATAGCTACTTTGACATTCTTTAGAGTTCTTTCTTTCTCTCTTTCTTTTCCTTCCTTCCTTCTTTCCTTCTTTCTTTCCTTCCTTCGTTTCTTTTCTTTTCTTTTTTCTTTCTTTCTTTCTTTCCTTCTTTTCCTTCCTTCCTCCTTTCCTTTCCTTCCCTTCCCTTCCCTTTCCTTCCCTTTGCCTTTCCCTTTCCCTTTCTCTCTCTCTCTCTTTCTTTCTTTTTCTCTGTCTCTCTCTCTCTTTCTCTCTTTCTTTCCTTCCTTCAGTCCTTTCTTTCTTTCTTTCTTTCTTTCTTTCTTTCTTTCTTTCTTTCTTTCTTTCTTTCTTTCTTTCTTTCTTTCTTTCTTTCCTTCTTTCTTTCTTGTCCCACTCCATTGCCCAGGCTGGAGTGCAGTGATGCAATCTCAGTTCACTGCAACCTCCACCTCCCAGGTTCAAGTGATTCTACTGCCTCAGCCTCCCAAGTAGCTGGGATTACAGGCATGCATGCCCGACTAATTTTTTCTATTTAACAGAGACAGGGTTTCACCATGTTGGTCAGGCTGGTCTTGAACTCCTGACCTCAGGTGATCCGCCCACCTCAGCCTCCCAAAATGCAGGGATTGTAGGCGTGAGCCACTGCACCTGGCCTTGAGTTCTCTACTTCTTATTAGCCAATCGCTTCTTACTACAATCCCCTGCTACAGTTAATACTTCTTTTTGTTAACATTTTCCTGTTAAAATTACTGTATAACTTTGATCTCCTGATTGGACCAAGACTCATGTGGTGTCCCCCCAAAACCCTCCAGATTCATAGTGATTTCCCCAGAGGCCATGGCTGAGCTACAGACTGCACTCCTTTTCCTTTCCTTCAATCCAACCACTTGATTTTAGTGGGGGCCATCCACTGTGGTTCCCAACCTCCTCGTGATTAGTTCATAGAGAAAGTATCAGCCCAAAGCTGTCCAGTCTTTCCTGTGTGTTTTTTTTTTTTTTTTTTTTTTTTGAAACGAGCTGGTGTGATGGAAACATTCTACATTAAGGTTGCAAAAAAAAAAGAAGGTTGCAGTAGTGGTTATGCATGGATGTATAAATTTGTCAATGCTGACTGAAATGTATACTTATAATGGGTGCATTTTAAGCGCTCTATATCTCAATATAGTTACTTTAAAAACAGAACAAAACCTTGTGCTCTGGGGTTGAAACTAAGGATACAAACTGCCTGGGGCAGCCAGCCTTGTGGGGAAGGCCAGACTGAGAGAAGGAAGCTGAGATACACAGAGGTAAAGATGAGGGCAAGTTTGTGGGCTCTGGTCTCTGGTTCCTTTTGTATTCCAAGAGTGGATTTACCCCTTTCTTTTCTGCTATTTGTTCTTCTGTTCTAATACATTCTCTTTTTGCATAAACTAGCTCAATTCAAGTTTCCGTTGCTTGTAACAGAAACTAAAAATATCTAATACAGAAAGAAAAGGTCATTGCAGGCTGAGCTAATTAAGGTGAGCAGACTTTATTTCGGAGCTGGATTTTATAGGGTGCACAGAGCAAAGGCAGAAAGGCCCCGTAGGTAACAATGTTAAGAAAGCACAGTGGAGAATAAGGATAAATTTGGCATTTGTGGGGTTAGGCAGATTATAGCAGTTCAGAGGAGGGACTTTGAAATCAGATGGATTTGGGTTTAACTCTTAGCTTTGCTTTTTTGCAAACCAGCATCCTGGTAATTAGAGACAACCCAAGGTCTCTGAGTGTCAGATAGTTGTCGCAAGGTTTAAATGAGATTAAGTATTTAAACCATCAAAATGACTAGCATAGTAATAAAAATGATAGTGAAAATAATAGTGGTACTTATTCATGCTTTTGATGATTGGGAAATAATACTTTAAAAATACAAATATTTAATTACAAAATAATAATTGGTAAAATTGTCCTCAATGCCCTGGGAAAATTCTTAACCAAATTGCAATCACTTAGAAAAGAAGTAGGTGATTCCTGAGATCAGTAAGGGCTCACCAAGAACAGGTCATGCCAAATTCACTTCCTATCCCTTTTGTTAGTTTTATAAAACAGAGGGAATAGGGGGATGCTATTGACATGGTCTGTCCATTTTAGAAAGGCACAGGATAAGGAGATCGTATAGCTTGACTTGGATATTTTCAGTCAGGAGAACCTCCCCTTTTTTACGGAGTATCCCAGGTTTCTTGTCAGCTACATCCAACGTTTAGAAAGCCTTTCCTTATCTGGACCTGAAATTTCTATACTGGTGTTTTAGTTCTACTGTTTGGAAGTGCACAAAAAAAGATTGGTTCTTCTTTCTTTTAGTACTTGAAGTTTAAGTTTCCTCTTCGTCTTCCTTCAGATATTTTCTCCTCTGTTATCTCAATCCTCAGTTCCTCACATTGCTGTTCATTTAAAATAATTTCTAAACATGTCTAGTGTCTTCCCTTCTGTCTTGGTCTGTTCTCATGCTGCTAATAAAGACATACCCCAGACTAGGTAATTTATAAAGGAAAAAGGTTTAATTGACTTACAGTTCCACATGGCTTGGGAGGCTTCACAATCATGGTGAAAGACGAAGGAAGAGCAAAGGGAATGGGATATCTTACACGGTGGTAGGCAAAGAGAGAGCTTGTGCAGGGGAATTTCCGTTTATAAAACCTCAGATCTGGTGAGACTTACTCACTATAACCAGAACAGTGTGGGATAGACCCACCCCCCTGATTCAATTACCTCCCACCGAGTCCCTCCCATGACATGTGGGAATTATGGGAGCTACAATTCAAGATGAGATTTGGGTGGGGACACAGCCAAACCATATTACCTTCAGTGCTTTATTGTACCATGTCCCTCTTAGAATTGATAGTGATATTTCTGATGTTTTTTAGACCTATGCACATTACAGAAGGACTGACACCTGGGATGCAATAATATTTTCATCTTTTGTTTTCAATACTATGAACATTTTAAAGGAGCTATGTGACATTCTTAACTCAGTTTGAACTTGAGAAAAACAAAATTCAGCTACACCCTTTAAAATATACCTATTACTGTGCTATACCTATTGATTTTTTTAAAATCTAAAATGTAGGGTTTTACCATTATCCTTCTTATTAGTTTTAGCACAGTAACCTAACCTGTCAAAATCTTGATCCTGTCCTCTGTCATTTTAGCTATCTCTCCTGGCTTCATTTCATCCCCAAATTGGATTTGCATGATCCTACATTATAAGCCACTGACAGATGTGTTGAATAGGACAGAACCAAGTATGGAGCCCTGAAGCATGTCATGAAGACTTCCTTTTGCATTGACTTCGTTTTACTAATTGGTCCTCTTTCAGTAAAAGGTTTCAACCAGCTAAAAATTTTTCTTATTTGCACTCTGGTCATCTTCTCATGTGGCTGTCAAGAAATACTTTGAAGTTATAAGAAGAACCTAGATTCTAGATGTATTAGTCAGGGTTCTCCAGAGAAACAGAAGCAACAGGATGGGTGTTTTGTGTGTGTGTGTGTGTGTGGTGTGTGTGTGTGTGTGTCTGTGTGTGTAGAGAGAGAGCGAGAGAGAGAGTTTTTTTTGTTTTGTGTTGTTTTGTTTTTATTGGTTTATGTGATTGAGGAGGCTTGGTAAGTCCAAAATCTGGGGTAGATGGGCAGGCTTGAGATTCAGTAAAGAGTTGCAGGTTGAGTCCAAAGGCCACCTACTGGCAGAATTCCTTCTTGCTGGGGGGAGATCAGTCTTTATTCTATTCAGGCTTTCAACTCACTGGATGACTGAGCCCCCCAACTAACCACCTCCCCCATTATGCAGGATAATCTGCTTTACTGAAAGTCCACTGATTTATATGTTTAACACATACCTCCCCCCCGCAAAAAAAACCCCATAAACATCCAGAAGAGTGTTTGATAGAATATCTGGGCACTGAGGCTGTTATGGACTGAATGTATGTGTCCCCCTCAAAATTCGTATGTTAAAATTCTAACCCCCAAGCTAATGGTATTTGGAGGTAGGGCCTTTGGGAAATAATCAGGTTTAGATACGGTCATGAGATAAGGCCCCATGATGGAATTAGTGTCTATATAAGAAGTTTGAAGTGACAAATCTGTACTTCCTCACCTCACTGTATGAGGACACAATGAGAAGGCAGCTGTCTGCAAGCCAGGATGAGAGCCCTCACCAGAGGGAAGCATAGGAGGACTCTGATCTTGGACTTCCCAACCTGTAGAACTGCGAGAAATAAATTTCTGTTGTTTAAGCCACTCAGTGTGTGGTATTTTCTTATGGTGGCCCAGGCTAACTAAGATAGCGGCCCAGCTAAGTTGACACATAGCATTAATCATTGCACTGAGGTTAGACACATCCGGCCTGCCATGAAGAATTGTTCAGGCTGTAATCTTCACAAAGGCACTCTGCTGAGGAGTGGGTGGGCACTGCACAATAGTCAGTGTGCCATGTACCCAGCCATGCACTTTGGACTAGGACAACATCTACTTGCAGGAAAGGGACACTTTGTTTAAATTAGTACATAGACATAGTCTATGCGCCAAGCCACGTACACTCGGCCACATTTGTCTAATTTGCACAAAGCCTTAGTATAGGCAAGTTTTGGTCTCACATCTAGCTTCTAATTCTGACTCAGCTTCTTAGTGGCTATATGACCTTGGGCAAAGTCATTCATTTCTATGAAGCCAATTTTCCTCATCTGTAAAATGGGTATATGTACCTGGTTCTGAGAGTTAGATCAAATGAATTAACATGTATGAAATCCCTGGCTGGCCTAGTGTCTGGCACATAGTAGTGGAAATGGTAGTCAGGGTGATGATGTGGTACGTTTTTCTGATCTACAACCTAGTATTCCCTTCAGAAATAATCCGTTAGCATGTTCTTAATTGCAAATTTTCTTCCTTTCTTGGCTTAACTGTGGATTGCACTTAGAAACCTTGGCTGATCTGGATGACCACAAGGGCTGCTTTCCAAATGTTTAAAAAGCAAGAGATTGAGATATTGAAATTATTTGTCTGGCTTAGGCAAGGACAGTCAGAGTCAGGGGACAGTGAGACAGGCCTATGAGTTCCTATTGCCCGGAGCACACAGCTGGCAAGTCTAATTTTAAGTCCTTGCTGAAGTCCCTTTTGATGCTCATAAATGCAGAATATCCTATTTTATCAAAACAGTGAATTCTAGAGAGACGGTAAACAGATGACATCCATGCAGCCCTCCCAAGCAGAACAGAACACACGGTCACTAATAATGTTTGTAAATAAATGAATAAATTGTACAGAGAAATGCAGGATTGGGAATGGATAAAGCATAGAATTTTTTTTCCTCTTAATTAAAAGGACTTGGCTGACTTAAAACACCAAAGCTTAGTTTGCCTTTGTGAAGGAAGGATTTGGAATCAAGTGTTAAATCTCTGCTGGTAATTCCATGGCTGCTTGAAGTCTCAAATACATCATGTTTTTTAGTTTGACACCTCACTCCAAAAAAGAGAAAATGCTTAGTATAAATCAATTGTAAATGGCTATAAAATGGGAAAACCTCTTACATGGCTTGATTTTTTATAAAAGTCACAGTTTGGAAAGTATCTGAGAATGTGATTCCTTTATAGAGGATGTCCCTATTCCAACAGATTCTGTTCCAGATGAATTTTAAAATTTTCCTAACAGAGCATGTCAGCATCCTTACCATCCTTCTTCTTGTCCCTCTCTTCCTCTTCTCTACAGAAAAGCAGAATTGACAGTGACAGTCGTGTCTGTGTACACCTGGCAGAAAGAAAACCAGAGGCTCATAAAACGATGAAGGCTGTTTTCTTTTCAATAATTCCTCTGTATGCTTAGCTTTCTCCCCCTCCACCTGTAGCCAGGTCTTCCTGGGTATATGAAGGAAGGAAGGATGGTAGGAAAGAGAGAGAGAAAGAGTGGGAAAGAGAAAGGGGAAAAGGAACAGAAGAGAAAGAGATTAGTGGTAGACCTAATGGCAGGATAAAAGGGAAAGAGGAGGATGGGTTCCCTGGCCTTTTGCTGGTGTCTATTGAGCAGGTCTGATTCTGTGATAATGTATCAAGGGGTAGAAAGAACTTTGTGCGTTGGATGAAATTTCTGCTTCTGTTGCTTTAATTGGCCCTTAGCTCCTGAGGCTCTCCATTGAGTCAATTCCTTCTAAGCCATAGATAATAGAATTACAGCCTCAAACCAAACCAAACCAAACCAAACCAAACCAAACCAAACCAAACCAAACCAAACAAAAACCCTTTGATGTTGTCCAGTTCATTTTGTGGAGAAAAGGACAAAGGCCTTGTTAGGGATGACTCAGCCAAGGTCATTCAGCCAGCTGTGGCTGCAGCTGCACTAGACTCCATTTCCAGAAATCAGTGAAGAGCTTTTGCTTTTGTCACTGCTGATGCAAAGGCTCTGCACGCAGCTCACCGTTCCCATGATCTCTAGTTTGATGTCACTTTGAAGTTTCCTGAAAATATGACAAATGCCAATTGGCTTGTACATTAATTTACTTTTCTTATGTCTTTCCAGGAGGCTGAGGAAACAGGCAGTCATATTAATTCTAAATACCTTGGTGTAGCATAAAAAGTTCTCCACTATCATCATCCTCTGCAGTCCTCCCGGGACTCATGCCTCAGTGACGCTGATCCACCCTCTGTTCCTTGCAAACATTCAGTACTAACTTTGCGTCCTTGTACAAACCACATCTACTGCCTGAAAAACTATAACAATGGCAACAATGGGCATTTATTAATTACATACTTATCAGAAAGGATTGATTTGTAAATCACTAGAATTAATCACCGAATGAGTTTGAACATTGGTATACTGACTTACCATGCAGGGATATTAAGAAACCACAGCACAGTTATCCATTGCTTCTGGGACTGAAGGAAATATTTAATTGTGTCACCCAGAGAATATCATCTTATATTAAGCGAGGCTCAGACAGGAAAAAAAAAAAAAAAAACATTCTAGGTATTTCTAGCAGGAAGGGCTTTACAATAGAGGACTGGAGGCATATAAAACCATTGATGAACCAGATGCATTCTGAAAGGTCAGAAAAAAGCTCTGCTAGCTTTCAAGTTCCCTCTGAAGTTCACAGGATGTCATGACTGCCTGGAACACCAAATTACGTGATTTTCAGAGACCACTGCAAAACTTTTCATTCACAGGCTAAAGCTCATACAGTTGTCTGCCTCTTCTGGAAGATCACTAATATCACCTTGTTTCTCTTCTACCTTCTGCATATCATGGGAATTCCTTTTATTGGTGCAATATAATCTGGAAACATGTTGATAAGGACTTCTTGTAAATGTAGTTTCCAGGCCTTTAGCCTATGAGATATAGGGGAGAGTATAGAGTATGGTGCCATATTGTCAACAGACTATCAGGCACAGATGGCATTTATGTTTCTTCATATTGTGGTGAGAGAAATGAGAAGAAAATCCTTTTTTTAGGGCTTCCATTTCCATTCTAAGTAGGCAGTGACTTTTCTTGTCTAAAGAAGTTTAAACTTCCTCCTCTCATCACCATAGCATGCAAATGAATACTGACTGTAAAGAAAATAAAGGTACAACGACATTGTAAACACACACAAAAAACAAATGTTCTAAGGGCTGCAGTCATTTTCAGGTTAATAATCAAGGTCAGAGGTCAAGAAACTTTTCCTATAAAGGGATAGATGGTAAATATTTTAGACTTTGCAGGCCCTATGGTCTCAGTTGTAACTACAGGCATACCTCAGAGATATTGCAGGTTCAATCCAGAGCACAGCAATAAAGTGAATATTGTATTAAAGTGATTCACAAATTTTTCTTTGTGTCTCAATGGATATAAAAGTTATGTTTACACTATACTGTACTGTAATAAGTGTGCAATAGCATTATGTCTAAAAATGTACCTACTTTCATTTAAAAATACTTTATTGCTAAAAATTGCTGACAATCATCTGAGCCTTTGGTGAGTCATAATCTTGTTGCTGGTTGAGGGCCTTGCCTCGATAGTGATGGCTGCTGACTGATCAGGGCATTGGTTGCTGAATGTTGGGGTGGCTGTGGCAATTTTATAAAATAAAACAGCAATGATGTTTTCTCCATTGATTTACTGTTTCTTTCATGAAAGAGTTCTCTGTTGCCTGTCATGCTGTTTAATAGAATTTCACTCTCAGTAGAGTTTCCTTCAAACTTGGAGGGAATCCTCTTAAACCTAGCTGTTGCTTTATCAACTAAATTTATTTAATATTCTAAACCTTTTATTGTCATTTAACAATGTTCACAACATCTTCACCAGGAGGAGATTCCATCTTGAGAACTACTTTCTTTGCTTACCTATAAGAAGCAACTTCTCATCCATTCAAGCTTTACCATGAGAATATAGAAATTCAGTCAAATCTTCAGGCTCCACTTCTAATTCTAGTTCTCTTGCTATTTACATCACATCTGCAGTTACTTCCTCCACAAACGTCTTGAACCCCCTGAAATCATCCATGATGGTTGGAACCAACTTTTTCCAGATTCATGTTAATGTTGATATTTTTACCTCCCATAAATCACGAATGTTCTTAATGGCATCTAAAAGAGCAAATATTTTCCAGAAGGTTTTCAATTTGCTGCACTCCTATCCATCACGAGAATCACAATCTATGGAAGAAGCTATAACCTTACAAAATGTATTTCTTAAATAATATGACTTGAAATTTAAAATCACCCCTTCATCCATGGGCTGCAGAATGCATGTTGTGTTAGCAGGCGTGGAATCATTAATCTCTTTGTACATCTTCATCAGAGCTCTTAGGTACACTGTCAGTGAGCAGTAATATTTTGAAAGAAATCTTTTTTTTCCAAGCAGTAGGTCTTAACAGTGGGCTTAAAATATTCAGTTAAGCATTGTGTTAACATATGTGCAAACATCCAGGCTTTGTTGTTGCACTTATAGAGCACAGACAGAGTTGATTTAGCATAGTTCTTAAGGGCTCTAGGATTTTCAGAATGGCAAATGAGCATTGCCTTAACTTAACATCACCACCTGTGTTAACCCCTAAAAAAAAAGAATCAGCCTTTCTTTGATGCTTTGAAGCCAGGCATTGACTTTTCTCTAGCTATGAAAGTCCTAGATGGCATCTTCTTCCAATATGAAACTGTTTAGTCTAAAAACAGTTAAAAACCTGTTGTTTAGTATAGCCATGTTCATAAATGATCTTAACTAGATCTTCTGCACAGCTTGCTGCAGCTTCCACATCAGCACTTGCTGCTTCAACTTGCAGTTTTATATTATAGAGACAGCTTCTTTCCTTAAACCTCATGAACCAACCTCTGCTAGCTTCAACATTTCTTTTGCAGCTTCCTCAACTCTCTCAGCCCTTACAGGATTGAAGAGAGTTAGGACCTTGCCCTAGATTAGACTTTGACTTAAGGGAACATTGTAGCTGGTTCGGTCTTCTGTCCAGACCACAAAAACTTTCTCTATATCAGTAATAAGGCCATTTCTCTTTCTTATATATTCACTGGAATAGTATTTTAAATTTACTTCAAGTGCTTTTCCTTTGCATTCACAACTTGGCTACCTGTTTGGCACAAGAGACCTAGCTTTTGGCCTATCTTGCCTTTTAATTTAAAATGAGAGGGGTGAAATTCTTCCATTTACTTAAACACTAAGAGGACATTGTGGAGTTATTAATTGGCCTAATTTCAATATCGTTGTGTCTCAGGGAATAAGGAGGCCTGAGGAAAGGGAGAGAGATGTGGGAAAACAGCTGGTCAGGGGAGTAGTCAGACATGTACAGCATTTATGATTAAGTTTGCTGTCTTGTATGGACATGGTTCATGGCACTCCAAAACAATTGCAATATCAACATCAAAGATCATTGATCATAGGTCACCATAACAGATATAATAATAAAAAATTGAAACATTGCAAGAATTACCAAAATGTGGCACAGAGACATGAAGTGAACACAATGTTGGAAAAATGGTGCTCATAGATTTGCTCAGTGCAGGATCAGCACAAACCTTCAATTTGTAAAAAATCACCATATCTGCAAAGTGCAATAAACTGAAGCAAAACATAATGAGTACCTCTGTGTACTCAACTCTGCCCTGGTAGTACTAAAGCAGACGTAGACAATCTATACATTGAAGGTAGCTGTGTTTCAATAAAACTTTATTTACAACAATAAGAAATGGGCCATAGTCTTCTGATCCCTGACATAAATTAATAGTAAGAAGCCAGAAAAAAAAAACTAAAGTAAAAAATTAAACCAACTTCCTCCACCAAAACAAACAAACAAAATTTCAGCTACCTGTTAGAGTTGCCTATGACAATGTCAATGAGGGAGGCAGTGAAGAGGGAGTAAAAATTATTTGCTGAGCTGTTTTGGTTAAGGGGGTGGGAGAAAAGGTAGTAGCTGTTCTTACACTTTGGTGAGAAGGAAGCAGAGACTAATAACAGAATCCATGCACATCTTTGTAGTTGCTTATACATGTGAGTATGTATAGTCCCTGGTACATATAATTCTCATTATACAGTTTGAACCTGGGAATTCTCAACAAAACCTTTTTAACACCATTATCAACAGTCGTTCCAGTGCAAGTAATGAAAACCCAATCCAAATTGGCTTAAGCAAAAAGGCAGGGTGCCTTGGCTCTTGTTCCTGAAAACACCAGGAGTATTACTGACTTGCTGTAAAGTTGGCTATAAGTGTGTGGGCAATATCAATAGAAATCAGTGTCTACATTGCTCAGCTCAGATACTCTCTGACTTTCTTTATTTTTACTCAGGCTTACTTTCCCTTTGGGTGGGGCACATATGATCTTCCAGCCTTGCAAGCCCAGTGGGAAGAGAGTGCCACCTTCCTTATGGTTCTAGAAAAGTTCTAGGGCTGACTCTAGTTGGCCTGAGCTGGGCCTCAGGCACAATGTGGAGTCAACTATTCTGGCAAGAGGGAAGGGAAATGGTAATCACCTAAGCTGAGGTTATGTGCCTCAATGCAGATGGGGGATCAACCTCATCTTAACCACACAGACTGAGAATAAGGGAGGAAGCACACTTTCGAAAAGGAAAATTGAAATGTTGTTATCAGGCTACAGTGAAATGCACACTAGGCTGGTAAAAAACATGAGTCTACTAGTTGGGCTTTATTTCATAAAGTTCCAAATTATGTTACACATAATTAAGCACAGATGTCTGAAAGAGATGGGCTTATCATCATAGAGTTATGGTTCCAATGTCCCTCTAAGTAGTGGTACTATCTCAGCCATGGGCATATAGCTGGTATGAGGCAGATCAATAAATAAGGTTGAACAACCAAAACGAACTTATTTCAGTAGGATAAGTATAGCAAACTTTCCTGGGAGGACCTTTCTGAAGATCCTCAAACAAGATGGAGACCATTTTATAAACCAGAATCATTTGATCATTTGTTCTTGTTTTTCTTTAGTTCTCATGAAAACAGTTAATGAGAGCAGGGGGTGGGGTGGAGGGTGTTACAGATTCCTTTCTAGGATGCTGTGACACTTGACTTTACCTTTCCTTTAGCTTGTTCACTGAACTGGATAAAGACTTTGAAGCTTTTAAAAGCAAAATGCATATAGATTTCATTTTATCAGGTTAAAGAGATGTAAGTTTCATCTTGCCTGAAACAGACTCTACCCTACCAACCGTGGATATGCGATTTCAGCGTGGCCACCAGCACCGCAGTGTGAACAAGCACTGACCTTTTAGATTATTGCCTAAGCCTTCATTAAGAAGAGCATCCAAAATGACAGCCATGCCTCTAAGGAAGCCCAGCATTCCACACTGGTAGCCCAAGCAGTGAAAATTGACTTGGCGTGGGATTCTCCTCTCCCGGGCCCCCATACTGGGAGCCAGGGGCACAAGACAGCATGTTGGCAGATTCCAATCACTTAGGAGCTTTCCTTTATGACTCTGCTTTGTAAGAATGCATCTAGTTAAATCCACAGGGTCATTGACTGTGGCTTTCAAAACAGGAGGTTTTATGAAGGAATGCAGACCTGGAATCCAAGGTTCAGAGCCCAGACCTTCAAACAGATTAATCGCCATGGGGAGCGTCATAAGAGTTTTCCAACTTTGGCTTCATCCTGTGCCCTAGCAACCACAGGGCCCCTATTCAGCAGACCCAGGTTTCCACTATGGTGTCTTGGACAGAGCATTGGGCGGGGAGCCAAGAACTGGGCTGGTCTCATTTCAGCTCTCCAACTGGCTTCTTGTGTGCCCCCTTGAGCAGGTTCTTAACTGCTCTGTCTGCATTTCCAGATTATTAAGTTAAGAGGAGAACAATAATTCCTTAAGACACACGCAGTTCCAGGGTAGGGGGTAGAGGTAAGACAGGTGGATGAGTGTGTGTGTGTGTTGGGAGGGTTGGTGTCTGGAGGGCAAGTAAATCATTTGTCATGGAGAAAGCATCCTGCTCTGTCTCGTGGGTAAAACAAGTAACTATCTGCTGCTTTTACATTTGCCTTCTGATAGGATAAAGAAGAGAGATGGGAAGACAAAAGAAACAAATAGGACTGAGATACAGATGAAGAACTGACAGTCTATCCTGTGAGTTTAATGTAACCTTCCTTAAGAATTTCTGGAACCCTGTATTTAAATTTAAAACCATATATTTTTTCCAAATTTGAATTTTAAATTACATTTTTCCCCAAAAAAGGGGACATATGAGAAATGCTAAATAAATATTTGTCATGTCAGTAAGATAATTTTAAATGTTTTCTAGAAAGCCATCCTAATTAGCAGGTAGATTGCCTTCTGTACCAGACAAGGCAACCTATGGGATGTCCCTTCGGCTTAATCATGGTAGCTAGCATTTACTGAGTGCCTACAGTGTGCCAGACATGGTGCCCTCACACTTAGATATGGGTTGTCCCATTTCTTCTTAGCACTAGCTGCATACAATAAGGTGTTTACTATCATCCTGATTTTGTAGATTGGGAAACTAACATAGATGTATAGGAATTAACCACGTTTCCATGAGGTTGTAAAGCTGGGTTTTGAACCCAAGCAGTTGAGCTGATTCTAGAGTCCAGGTACTACCCCCTTCCACTACTCTGCCAGTGACTTCCCTGTCTACCCATTACTGTCATGTGAGACGAGAGGACCTGGAACTGAAGGCACCCCCCAAGGAAGTGCTGGTCCCAGGCAGGATTGCCAGATTTAGCAAATAAAAATACAGGATGCCTACTTCATTTTGAATTTCAGATAAACAAAGACCGTTTACTATAAGTATAACCCATGCAATATTTGGGACATACTTATACTAACAAATTATGTGTTGTTTATCTACAGCACATAAATTCAGATGTAACACGGTGTCTTATATTTTATCTTGCAATCCTCTCCCTGGGAGACATGGCTGCTATAGAAGAGTTCATTCCATAAATCTTGGCCAGTCTGGGATCTCGAAGGAAAGAGTTCCTTTTTATAACTTAACACTTAGTTTCTATCTCCCACCTAAACTGGGGTCAAAGTTACTTGCTTTTCCAAACTGGTTGAAATCGAAGTGCCTTAGGTGTTTGTAGTGGATATAGATGACTTAGCATAAGGGAAGGATGGGTACCTGATGAATAAACGGGCCACTGTGTTTGTGGGAGGAGTTCAGAAGCAATTTCTGCTCAGATAGCTATAAGAGCTGTAGACCTGTACCCTCTAGCTGCCTGTCACTCAGAGATATATTTTCTTTGGCTCAGTAATTATTGCTAAGGCCCTGTCCTTGTCCACTACAGTCTCCACCCATCTTATTTTTTTCACACTTGGTTTCTGGCCTGTTCCACTCCTTTATGTTATCTGTCTGTATCCTCTCCCCAGTCATTTGAGTTGATAACCCCTTTTAGGAATATAGCACCCCAGGAGATAACCAGAATTCAATTTCAATTTTAAAACTGCATTTGATTAGATATCATGATTTAGGCAAATGCATGCAGGTTTTAATACAGTTTATGCAAATTCCCAACGATCCTTCTATTCCATTCAAATGGCAATGGCCACTGGTAAAATCCTAGTGGAGCCCACAGGTAAAGAATGCATGTGTGTAATTGAGCATTGGATTGAGTTGAGATTCTCTGAGCCTTGAAAGGGCAAATGGTATAAACATTAATAGAGGCTAACATGTAGAGGGAGGCCTAAAAGGCTGGACTGGAATGTGTTTAGTTTAGAGACAAGGAGGGACTTAAATGCTGATTTATAAACAACCCAGAACCAGATGCAAGAATATCTGTTTTCTGTGAATATGATGTATCCTTCTTATAAGAGTCTCTTCCTCCAAAGAAATAAAAAGATCTGCCAACTATTTAAATGAAGAAAAATGGTTCTTGTACTTTAATTTTTGCCTGCTCTGTTATAAGGCAGATTTTGAATTAGGAAGATTTCAACCTTAATCATGGCACCATGTTCTGAAGAGAATCATGTTGCAAATTACTAATTGAGATCAGCTCAATTGTAGAAAAACGTTGTTTAGGATTTTAAGAAGTGATGTTAATAAATTATGCTCAAAATGTCATCAACCACCTTTTTTTTTTTGCTTTTGATCTTGTTAACCCCTTTTATTGAGCATCAGTGGATTAAAGAAAGTATTGATCATGGAAGTTATTTGAAAATTTTACAGTGTGAAAGGGTATTGGTGAAACTATTAAGTGGTTCTTCAACTTCCTTTGTCTTTGCTCAAAACAACTTCTGATTTATAAATGGTCTGGCCCATGTGTGAAGAGACTGGCTTCTACAAATGAAAACTAACGTTTGGACCAGGGAGAAAAATGCATCTCAGATTACTTTCCTCTTTCTAACCTTGAGAAAGATAGGTGGTGAGAGGACATTGTAGGCGTTGGATATGGGAGTGTAAATGCCAAGGCCTGTTATGTATTTAAATCTGGCTAGTAACAATTTATCTTCATGTTCCTTTTATCCTCACACAAACCATTAGGTAATCAAGTTTAGACTATTCGCATACGTGTTTTCAATATTTATCTTCAGGCCATTTAAACCAAGGTGCATTTCCATGATTAAAAGTGCACAATAAGGAGAGTTATGAAAAATGACTATAAAAGAAGAAAATTGGAGAGATAAGCTAAATAAACGAAACCAATTAGAAAACAGGCTTCACAAAGAGATGAAAATACATGTAATTTTGTGGAAGAAATAGATAATGTTAGTTAAAGCTTTATAAAGTGCTTGTGGGGAAATTAGAATCAGCCATTTAAATGTGAGCAAGAGATGAACTGGTAATCAGTGGGGTTGATGGAGTGGGGGAATAAATTATTTGAAATTCAAGGTTTTAAATAGTGTTTCAATAGTGTTTTGAGAAAGGATGTCAGAAGACCAACATGGGCAAATTACAGAGATCAAGATGGGAGGTAGTGAATTAACTTGAGGAGCCTGGTGGAGGAAAGAAAAAGAGTGAATTTTAGAAAGATGTAAGTGTGTTTAGGTGGGAATGAATAACATACTGAGACTAAAATATGAATATGTAGCAGTAATAGATCATAAGATTCAATAGTTAAAATGATACAACTATAATAGGAAATAGAAAAGACAAAGCAGATGGAAAATAAGGTATTTTTTATTTCTCTTTTAAGGTTAAGATTTCTGATTGCAAATGGAGGGGAATAAATGTCAGGATAAATAAAATTAATGTGCATTTGACAAATAAAGGAAACAAATACCAATGAGAGATGCAATTACACCTCCCCCACAAAATACCCTAAACTAAAACATATTTAGCAATTCTTGATTTTTCTAGGAAGCAGTCCTTGAATATTTTTATATAGCCTCTTCATGTATTATTGTATTCAAATCCATCAAAGTCGTACAATTTCTAGCATTTTTCTCTCTTAATTTGCAGTCATATTTGTGTCTTAGACCAACATTATTTCTCATTTCTATCACACATGGTGAGTTTCATGTCTCTTTCAGTATTTCCCAAGGGCAAGGAGCAGATTTGTTATTTCATTTTCTTTCTCTTTTGGGGGAAAAGCACCTGCTCCAAGTGATTTCTCAATATTTTACTATTACACAAAAAAATTAGGAAGGGAAGAGAGTCATATTTTAAGGATTACAGACTAAAATTTAGAATGAAAGTTAAATTCAGAAATAAGTAACCTGGATAGAAAAATATTAACTGATGAGAGCCAATTCGAGCCAATGTCTAACCATAGGGAGGTCACTATGACCTTGAAGGAACTAAGATGTTTCAAGTCAGAAATGGTAAGTTAACTCCAGCATTATTTCACCTGAAAAGGCATATCCACATATACTTACACAAATGGATGTTTTTCTTTTCTTTGGGCAGGCCAAACCCATTACATAATTTTTCTAAAAAGGGTTGTCCTTTTGCTCTGCTGATAACTATAGAGTGGTTTGTACCTTGGCAAGATGAATGTCCTTAAGCCCTTGTCTCTTACCTTGAATTTGACCAGATTTGCTCCCAAGCATTTTCAAAGGCATTTGAATTCATTCAAAGGCAGAATGTCGCATCTCTGCACAGTAAAATGAATTTAACAACCAAAGCCATGGAGAAGATCATCTGGTAGGCCTCAATGGCAGAAGGGTGGTCTACTGACATGCTTTTTTTTTTTTTTTTTTTTCATATGAACGATAACCTGGTCTTTGAGGAGAATCACAACTATAAGGCATAAAATTAACAGTGATTGTTAATTTAGAGGCAGAAGCAAAAGACAGGCAACACTTTACGGAGGTGTTTTCATGTAACTTATAGTAGGAGCCGATAGATTCAGGTGCTGTTTCATTAACTCTTCTGCCTTCAACTCACTAATAGGCTTGTTGGCAGAATGCAGAGATCACACTATTCCTTATTATCAAAGGACCACTTGAATTGGGTCCCTCATATTAGGTCTCAATAAGGCCATCTCCCTGTTCTGAAGTGACTTCCCCCAACTGCATGATTAGGGGTATCCATTTGCAGTTTTCCAGTACAAAACAAATGAAAAATTTTTCTGTGAAGCAGAAGTCTGTATTATAAGGCACTAAGTATTCTTTATGTCACCAGCAAGATTTAAGGAGAGTGTGGATCTTTTCTTTCCTGAAGTGCTAATGTGGCACTTCCTGGAGTCAGAACATGGCACAGGGAGCTGACGATGTCATTATGCACTTTGAAACTCTGAAAATTACTTTCAGCTGAGCTTCTACATGATTTTGGCTCTTGACTCTATCAGGTGGGGGCAGAAATTGTTTCAATGGAATGAGACTGAGAAGAGGTGAATTTGTAAGCATGGCTTCCAAAAAAAAGAAAGCACATTTCATGGCGCCTGGTTAAGGCTTTGGATTGTGGGGTAGGGATTTGAATGGTCTGTTGCTTCATATAAATTGAAATTCTTTCTGGATTTACCTCTAGTCTAGGTTTGAAAGGGTTTGGAAATTTTTTTTCCTCCTCCTCAGCCTTCTTTATTTTTAAACCTCTCCCCACTGGCATTGCAATTTTCTTTCCAATTTTTGTTATTTCATATTATAATAGAAGCTAGGATTTCTTTTCCCCCTATTCAGATCCTTTTTTTAAAAAATTTTTCCTCCAACTTTCCTTTCTTCATTTCTTCCTCAAGTCTTACTAGTGGCCAGGAACAGTGTTGGAAGTGAGGCTGTGAAGCAAACAGATGATAGAACTGCAAGGAGAAATAGACACATGAACTATATGAGACTGTATCAGTAATTGGCAGAGAAAATAAGTGACTTCAAAGCTTACAGTCAGAGACAGGCAGGATGATGAAACAGATGATAAGTCCTCTGTCATTAGAGATCTTCTCCCTGGGTCATGCAGAGAGGACAAACGAGAGGGTCTGGGAAGGAGTTTTGAGCTAGATTGTATGTTCCATGAGGGCTCCTGACATTCCTAGCACTGAGTAGCTAGTATCACTTAGGCATTGAAGGAGCTTCAGTACTGGATGGTTGCATAGGGGATGAGAGGAGAAAGAAAGAAGGAAGAACTGAGACAATTTAATCTTAAAAAATAAGTGAGTAGATAGCTAAGCACACGAGAATACTATACCTGGTCCGAGAGTTCAGCTGCTTGAGAGAGTAATGCAAGGGCACAGTTTGAAAACTTTGGGGACTTGTATATATTGTTTATACATTTATATATATTATGCTCTGTTGGGGCACGAATTATGTATTTTTATCTTTTTAACCCTCAGTTATTTCAATGTGGTCCTGTGGCTTCTCAATGGAAAAGTATTATTGTAATGAATGGAGGTGGAGGGGGCCATGGGAGGATTTTAATTAAGGGAAAGAAACGATGGATGTGTATTTTAGAAAGGTGACCATGGCATCAGTATGGATGCAGCCTGACAGCTTTAGAGTATGGATTATAGCAGTTTGGGACATGGCCCATACTTTAAGAGAGAGAGAGACAGAGAATGAAAGTGAATTTTAAAAGGCAGCATGCATTGCTCTCTCTATTTTTATATATTTGTGCACTGCCACATGATGTATTTCTTACAGTGTCATGGACAAAAACAGTTTAAGATACCATTTAAGAAGCATTGGATTAGTTTGGAGAAATAGAGACAGCAAGACAGGCTATATCTATAATCAAGGCAGAAAATTATGACGGCCTGGACTAGGCAGCTGCTTTATGTTGCAAGGTGCTATATTAGGCTAATTTTCTGCCTTATTGTATCTATTCCTGTGTTGAATTTTACAGGACACTGAATATAGGAAGCAACTGGTAAATTTGAAGGAAACTCTGAAGTTGGGAAACTTTTATTTTGTCTTTCATTTGATACAAAGCTGGAACATTCATCCTCATCTTAATAAGCTTAATTTGTTTAAGAAAAAGAAATCTTTAAAAAAACATATTAAAAGTATTGCTGCTGATTTCCATGGTGTCTGAGTCCTGTCCCAGTGTTGAAGTGACCAGATTCATAGACATTTCAGAGAAGGAGAAATGGATGTGGTAGAGGGATCAGGACGTGTCATTGGAGGCTGTACTTGTTTCCATGGCTGCAGCAACACATCACTACAAATTGGTGGCTTAGAAGAAGAGAAATTTATTCTCTCTGAATTCTGAAGGCTGAAAGTTTGAAATCAAGTTGCAGACAGGGCCGTGTTCCTTCAAAAGGCTTGAGCAGAACCTGTTCCTTGCCTCTTCCATCCTTCTTTGACTTGTGGCTGCATCACTCCAATCACTGCCTCTGTGTTCACGTTGCCTTCTTCGATCTACTGTATCTGTCTTCCCCTCTGTGTGTGTCTTATAAGGACACTTGCTATTGTGTTTAGGGCTCACCCAGATAATCCAGGATAGTTTCCCCAACTTTCCCTATCTCAAGATCCTTAATGATGTCTGCAAAGATCCTTTCTCCAAATAAAGTCACATCCACAGGTTCTAGGAATTAGAACATGGACATATCTTTTAGGGGACCACCATTCAGCCCACTGTAGCGGGGAGTACTCCTGGGTCAATAGTCATATATGACACTTCAGCAGAGGAAGACCTGGTCTGTGCATTCGAGCTAACACAAAGGGGAGAAGGTTTCCTTTTGTGAGTGGCAGACACTTGGGCTTTGGTGCTGGGGCAGCCGGGTGGCAGGGTGAAAGAGAAGGCCCAGATTCAGTTGGGGTTCTATTTCTTTGTTATTGTGAAAAAGCATTTAGGAATTGTTAATAGACATATATGGTACTCTTCTGAAAAAATAACCTCAAATATGTAAGGCAAATGTTTGTTAAGAAAGGGGCACCTACATATATAATTTGGGACAATTGCCCAACCTCTCAGGTTCTCAAAAACCTTGTCTGTAGAATAAGTGAGTTAAATAAACTGAATGAATCTAAGCTCCCACCCACTTTTAAGTTTAGTTTCTTCTATACGAACTCTACAGCAGGTGCATACCTCCCCCAGCCCACTCTCTTCCCTTCTGTATTATTAAGTGCTTGCAGTTTGCTCACATTATCACAAGATGGCTTGCCAGCATCCATGGAAGCTTAACCCCAGAGCAGCCTGTTTCTCTTTTAGTGAATGGGTCTCTGGAGAACTCCAGAATGGAAGCTACCTCCTTAAGCCAATTAAAAGTTTTATTGGCAAAATATAACTCAATAATATACATATACCTTGTCACTATATCTTAGCAAGGAAGAATATTCAATTTGGAGCACCAACAGAAGAGCAGATGTATGTTTGTCTGTGAAGCGCGTAACACAGTCCCGTGGAATTTTTAGATGTTCAGTAATTGCTTGTTGAATTTCAATGCGAAGGTCTAGGAAAAGAATTTATTGCACAGTCTCTACTTTTGAAGGAAACCTCTGGAGTCTAAGTGTTGTCACCAGCTTACCCATTTTTCCTTCCACTTCAGAGTTGGGAACCTGGCATTTTACTCGCCCTAGGGTTCAAACAGCCCCTTCAGCCTCAAAACCTCCAGCCTTGTTATGATATGGCTGTGTTCCCTTCCCTTCCGTGTCTGGAGCCCCTGGTGTTGTATTCACTCCAGGACTCCAGGATTCAAACAGCCCTGCAGCCACTAGCAGCTTTGGCTCTAAATGGCCTCAAGCAGTTTGAACGCTTTGAGTCTCTGAAGCCTGGCACCTCTGGGCTTGTGGCTTCATTCCTGAAAACCCCCTACTTTACTGCCCCTTCCCTCTAGGCATCAAAACTTCAATGTGAAGCTGATCCCAATACCTAGCAAACACCCTTCTATGGGACTGCCTTCCAATCTGTGAGAGTCACCTCTCTCCCTGGCAGGCACTAGCCTTGACTTTTCCTTCTTCCAAAATAGAAGGGGAAAAAAGGAGAGAAAAGCAGAGCCAACTCATATGTGCTAATTTCTGAGATCTGGCCCAACTCTGGGGTATCCTACTCCCAGGCAGCTCAGAGGCTGCCTCAATTACTGTGACAACCCTGCATTCACAGGGGCTCCTAGCCTTCATTAATATTAATAGGGATTCCGCGTTCTCTACTTCAGTCTTGCAGGGTTAAACTTCAGTCTACCTTCCTGACTAGTTAAACCTGTTTATTTGTGTAGGAAGCTAACATTTTGGACACAGAAGTTTCCAGTAAACTTTAGATGAATGAATGACTCACTGAATGAATGGTTTAAAATGCCTTGTGTCTGTAACAACACAAGATCATTTTAAATAAACAAAATAGAATAGATTCTTCTAGAGCAGTGATCCCCAATCTTTTTGGCACCAGGGACCAGTTTCATGGAAGACAATTTTTGCATGAACTGGGGATGGTTGTGGGGTAGTTTTGGGATGTATTACATTTATTGCATACTTTATTTATATTGTTAACACATTGTAATATATAATGAAATGATTATACAACTCACCATAATGTAGAATCAGTGGGAGCCCTGAGCTTGTTTTCCTGCAACTAGATAGTCCCATCTGGGGGTGATGGGAGACAATGACAGATCATCAGGCATTAGATTCTTATAAGGAGCATGCAACCTAGATCCCTCGCATGCACAGTTCACAACAGGGTTCACACTCCTATCAGAATCTAATGCTGCCACTGATCTGACAGAAGGAGGAGCTCACACAGTAATTTGAGCAATGGGGAGTGGCTATAAATACAGATGAAGCTTTGCTCACTTGTCCTCTACTCACCTCCTGGTGTGCAGCCTGGTTCCTAACAGGCCATGGACCGCTACAGGTCTGTGACCCAGGGTAGGGGACCCCTGCTCTGGAGAGTGAGGTAAAGATTCAAGAAAATCTATATGAGATTGGAAGCTGGGCATGGCGGCTCATGCCTGTAATCCCAGCACTTTGAGAAGCTGAGGTGGGTGGATCACTTGATCCCAGGAGTTTCAGACCAGCCTGGGTAACCTAGCCAGACCTCATCTCTATTAAAAAAAAATACAAGAATTAGCTGGGTGTGGGAGGATCACTTGAGCTCAAGAGGCGGAGTTACAATGAGCCAGGATGGTGCCACTGCATTCCAGCCTGGGCGACAGAGTGGGACTCTGTACCAAAGAAAATCTATGAGATTGTGACAGTTCATCATTCCTCATGCAAGATCTACCTTTTTCACTAAATAGGTCTGTACTTTTATTGTACAATTCCACATTATATTTGGCTATAGATATTTCACCATAAAACAGCAGGCTCCAGTTTTGTACTGATCTTTGGTTAAGTAAACATTTTCACATGACCTAGAAATGTTAAAGTGTAATAACCGCCCCACCCCCCCAAAAAAAAACAGTGCCTTCCACTCCGATGTTTGCGAGAATTTTTTTTTTTTTTTGAGACAAAGTCTCGCTTTGTCATCCAGGCTGGAGTGCAGTGGCACGATCTTGGCTTACTGCAACCTCTGCCCCCCAGGTTCAAGCAATTCTTCTGCCTCAGCCTCCCCAGTAGCTGGGACTACAGGCACTCGCCACCACGCCCGGCTAATTTTTGTATTTTTAGTAGAGACGAGGAGGTTTTACCATATTAGCCAGGCTGGTCTCAAACTCCTGACGTGATCCTCCCGCCTAGGCCTCCCAAAGTGCTGGGATTAAAGGTGTGAGCCACCACATCAGGCCTGCATGCATTTTTATGTGGCTTCCACTTCACTCTAGAAACTTCCCCTGCACCTGTCTCAATTCCTCTCTTCTCACCCCTTGTTAATTGCAGAGTCTCTGTAATAAAACATGTGATGTTATATTAAATCTGAGTGTGAATTTGCCCTCCCTCCCTAAATTGTAGACTCCTTCAGTTCTGGGACTCATTATGCCGAGTATTGTCCCTGGCATGTTGATCACTCTCAGAGAGTGGTTCTTGAACTGAATTTCTTCTCACTGTGATTTCCCCCTCCCCTTCCTATGCAGGGCATTCCTCCTTTTATTCTTCTGCATCTGCAGTGGCCCTTTGGGCTGCTGTTTAGCTGTGTGCTTGCATTTGCCTTGGAGACTGAATGTCAGCATGGGGCTTGGGATAGAAAGCGGAGTCAAATGACCGGTCTGTTTAAGAAAGAGTTAAGCCTCCAGCATTAGCTGTAAATATCCAGCTAAGAGAGAATTCCCAGAGTTCACAATCTCATCTTAATGAAGATTTCTCCTGATAAGAGCAGCAGGTAAACGTCCCCCCAACCTGAAGAAGCAGCATTCACCCTCCAAATTACAAGCATTTTCTGGAGTGTGATATTTGTTTGTTTGTTTAGTTGACAAGTATTTATAGTGCCTACATGTGGTGGACACTTCCTTGCCTGATGGGCTAGAAACCAGCCAGCTGAATTAATCTCTGCGTAGCAGAAAAATATTACAAAAGGAGCTTAAAATCCTAAAAAAACCACAAAATACAGGGGTGGGGCTTTTAATATTTCACCATTTTAAAACAGATTTTTGGATGGGAACAGTAGGCACTGGGGAATATATGAGGGAGGAGGAAGTGAGAGGGGCAAGGGTGGAAACACTGGGTACCATGCTCACTACGTGGGTGACAGGTTTAATCATACCCCGAACCTCAACATCACACAGTATGCCTTAGTAACACACCTGCACATGTATACCCTGAATCTAAAATAAAAGCTGAAGTTTTAAGAATAAAGATAAATAAAATAAAATAAATGGCTTTTTTTGTTGTTGTAAGCTAAAACCGAAATGTTTTGACTTCTTCAAAAGCCACATATCTCCCCCTCCCCCAAAGACATTCTTTTTCTCAGTTCCAAAGGATGATTTTAAAAGTTCGAAGTGGAAAGGCTGGGCACAGTGGCTCATGCCTGTAATCCCAGCACTTTGGGAGGTTGAGGTGGGAGAATTGCTTGAGCCCAGGAGTTCAAGACCAGCCTGGGCAACATAGAGAGACCCTGTCTCTAAAAAAAATAAATAAATAAAATAAATAAAAAAATTAGCCTAACATGGTGGTTCATACCTATAGTCTCAGCCACTCTGGAGGCTGAGGTGGAAGGATAGCTTGAACCTGGGAGGTCGAGGCTGCAGTGAGTCATGATCGTGCCTTTGCACTCAACCTGGGCAACAGAGTAAGATCCTGTCTCAAAAAACAAACAAACAAACAAACAAAAAAAAGTCAAAGTGAAAACTAGCTTTTTATGGGTTTTATCATAATTTCCCCTGTTATATTTGTTGAACTATAGTTTAAAAGAAAAAAAGCGATTTCATCCCTCCACTCCCCGTATAAATGTTTGAGTTTCTGGACTTTGGGAAAACTGTTCAACTCTTTTAAATATCCTATTTCTTATTTCTTTAAATATCTTTGATATTTTATCTTTTATGAGTTGTTTAAGGTTTACAACTGTGTTGCAGAAATATTTACAACAAATGAAAGTGATGTTGACTATTTTGTGGAGGATTTCTTTTTTATTTAATTGATTTCTAAAGCTTTCTAAATATATATTTTTGAACAAGTGGCATTTGTATGTTTGTTTAAGATGCTAGAACTCTGATACAGAGATCAGGAGACCTGAGCTGAGTCCGACCTTTGCTGCTTTCTAGTGAGAGAGAGAGGGCATATCACAGTCATCGGGGCAATGTGGCAAGCAGACATACCTAAGTTGGAAACCCCATTCTGGCCTCTCTCATTTTCCCATCCTTTTCTGCCACATAGCCCACTTCAGCTCCCATCAGTCATTCTCATTGCCAAAGAACTTTTATTTATAGAATTTGACCCACTTTTTTTCAGAAGGTAATTGGAGTTGATGTCGCCAAAATGACTTACTGTTGCTTTGGTTTTATCTTAATGACTAGCTGTGTCACGCTGAGCCAATCTGTTAACTCATTTTTAAAATGAAATGGGCTAAACTCTAATGACCTCTCTGGCTGTAAAATTTAATAACATTATATATACTTTCCTGGGGAAAAAAGTATTAGACAGTCGAATATACTTTAGATAGTCAAAGTAGGATCAAATGGACTTTCTTTAGTGATGATTCTATACCTTCTCAATTTCTGACCCTCTTTGAATCTTTAGGAGACATTCCAGTTCAGTCTTTTGTGCATTTATTTATTTAACAAATATTGAGTCAATAAAGTGGGTTATAAAGATAACTAAAATATTGTGTGCACTGCTGAGATGTTTCCTGAAGAGGTAGCAAGGTAAACTTTTTTTTTCTTTTTTTTTTTTCAGACAGGGTCTCACTCTGTTGCACAGGCTGGAGTGCAGTGGCTCGATCTCAGCTCACTGCAGCCTTGCCTCCCAGTTTCAAGTGATTCTCACACCTCAGCCATCCAAGTATGTGGGACTATAGGCGCATGCCACGACACCCAGCTAATTTTTGTATTTTTAATAGAGACGATTTTGCCATGTTGGCCAGGCTGGTCTGAAACTCCTGGCCTCAACTGATCCACCTACCTCGGCCTCCCAAAGTGCTGTGGTTACAGGTATAAGCCACTGTTCCCGGCTTTAAACATTGTAATATAACAACATATAGAGAAATATGAAAAGAAATGACTGGGAACTTCTGGGATTTTTTTTAATCTCACATCAGGATGGGCATTTATGAACAAGGAATAAGGTTAAGTGTTTTCCCTCTATTTCCCCTGCCTCCTGCCTCACCACATACAGACACACAAATGCACACACACACACACACACACACACACACACACTCATTGCAATTTAACATATACAAAGTCCCATTATGTGCAAAGCACATTGACTTTGCAAAGTATGTGAGAAAGGCATAGTCTATTGGATCAAGTAATATCATATATACCCCATAAAAGAGGTAAGATCAATTTATAAATGTCTGCACTGACAGTAAGATGAAATACGTACCATAAATGAGGTCTAAAAACATTGCTTAGGGGTCTCCTAATGAGAGGGCACTGCCGGTTAGAACATCAAGGAAGAGGCTGGCACTTCAAATAGACTTCCAAAGTAACTGAGAAGTTTCAACCAAGTATTAGGTCTCTTGTAACTATTGACTTTCAAAGTGAAATTTTTAACTCAGAGTAAAGTTATATATAATAAGTAATAAACTTACTTATTATTTCTCTTTTTGAAATGGTGCATTTCTTCTTCTACTTAAACGTGTTTCAGATATTTGATGTGAATGAGCAGTTCTGGCCAATGGAAGCCCTCTTAATGGACTCCCCAGTTTGCCTGGGTCCTTCCATTCGCACTGGTCAGTCCCTATGTTTACCAAGAGTCACAGGAGTTTTTATTTATATAAAAATTAAATTGTAGGCCTGTCACAGTGGCTGACACCTGTAATCCTAGTACTTTGGGAGGCCAAGGCAGGTGGATCACTTGAGGTCAGGAGTCCCAGACCAGCCTCACCAATATGGTGATACCCCATCTCTACTAAAAATGCAAAATCAGCTGGGCATGGTGGTGGGTGCCTGTAATCCCAGCTACTCAGGAGGCTGAGGCAGGAGAATTGCTTGAATCCTGAATCCAGGAGGTGGAGGGTGCAGTGAGCTGAGATCATGCCACTGCACTCCAGCTTGGGTGACAGAATGAGACTCTGTTTCAAAAAAAAAAATTATTTTAGAAAGGCTAAAGATGGGTCATTGTATTAGTCCATTTTCACACTATTATAAAGAACTGCCTGAAACTGGGTAATTTATAAAGGAAAGAGGTTTAATTGACACAATTCCACATGGCTGGGGAAGCCTCAGGGAACTTACAATCATGATGGAAGGAGAAGAGGCATGTCTTACATGGCAGGAGGCTAGAGAGACTAAGTGTGTGTAGGAGGAACTGTCAGACACTTATAAAACCATCAGATCTTGTGAGAACTCACTATCTCAAAAACAGCATGGGGGAACCACCCCTATCATCCAATTACCTCCACCTGGTCTCTCCCTTGACACATGGGGATTACGGGGATTATGATGATTATAATTGAAGATGAGATTTGGGTGGGGACACAAAGCCTAACCATATCAGTCATTTAAAAACTGCTGTTAAATTGGAAGTAGATGAAAAAAGAAGATAACAATCTTGGGAAGGCTGGGTGCGATGGCTCACACCTGTAGTCTCAACACTTTGGGAGGCTGAAGTGGGAGGATTGCTTGAGCCCAGGAGTTTGAGACCAGCCTGGGAAACATAGCAAGACTTCTTGTCTATAAAAAATTAAAAAATTAGCTGGGTGTGATGGCATGTACCTGTGATCTCAGCTACTCACAAGGCTAAGGTGGGAGGATCTCTTGAGCTTAGGAGTTCAAGGCTGCAGCGAGCTGTGATTGTGCCACTGTATTCCAGCCTGGGATATACAGCAAGACCCTGTCTCAAAAAATATTTTTTGGGAGAAAAAGTAAAGGAAAAAAAAACAACCCTCCATTCAGCAGAACCACACTTAACAAAAAAGCTTTGACTTTACATAAAAAGTTTGGTTAAAATAAAACATTGAGTTTAGATATATATCATTTTTACAATCCTTTGTATCAATTGACCTTTTCAAATGAAATTTCCAAATTGTTTTGTATAAGAGGGCCTCTATCCTAATTTTATCTTAACTTTAAGTCCTTTTACATTAGTGCAGACTTTATCAGAGCCTATAGTGCAGGCGTTCTGCAATAGTTCATTGGTTTGATTGATTGCTCTGGGATGTACATTTATCGTTAAGATTAAACTCCAGTTCTCACAAGGCCAAAACAGCCATGAGACCAGCATTATGAATTCTGATAAAAGAGAAGGAGGAAAGAGAGACTCTTTAAATCACCTGTCCTGAATATTTTCTTCTCATTCTACATTTTCTCTAAGGGCAATCCCTTCTCTCTTCCACTTCTACTTTTCTCTTGTATGCTAACTTGCAAATCTGTATTTTCTGCTCCCAATTCTCCATGTATTTCTTACTGACAATTGTATATCTTTCACCTGATTTCACACAACCATTGACTATTAATTATGACACTTCTCAACTATATTATAATAGTTGGCTAATACCATAATTGCTAGTTTATATTAATGTTCATCTCCAGCTCCCCAAACAGCCTTTCCAAATATCAGCTTAGCCAATAAGCATGCATTACCCAGTGGAAAATGTACATTGTGGGAAGTGAGCCAAAACAAAGCATTTAACAAAGATTAAGCTTTCATGTCCTACTGGAAGTTTTCTTAATGAAGATGATAAGGCACAGATTACAAAACTGATCAGATTTTCTGTCATTCTCCAATCATTTGAGATTTAAATTTATTATCTCTACCACCCTGCTTGGTGCCAGTGTTTATTAATGTTAGTATTTTTCTATTTTATCTATGAAAATTTTTTTTTCAGCTAGCAGACTAATAATGGATATCCATTAATTATCTCACTAGATTTTAGTATGCAGCATATTTTATGTTTAAAAATGTATTTTCCATATATTACTCTCTAAAAATCACTGTCAAAATATATCTGATGAAAATACCAACATGGTTTATTTTTTTCCCCCAAAAGTTTTTCTTGATAAAGTTAAAACATAATGTTGACATCTGTGTGACTTAAACATCAGCAAACATGGTCCCCATCTCTCCCATCTCTTCTCTAGCATGTGAGGCATTTGAGTTCAGGCCTCTGTCTAATCTGTCCCCGCCCCTAGCACAAAGCTTGGCACATACAAGTGCTCAATAAATGTTTATTAAGATAGACTATGGTGGCCAGGCATGGTAGCTCACGCCTCATGCCTATAATCCCAGCACTTTGGGAAGCCAAGGTGAGTGGATTGCTTGAGTCCTGGAGTTCAAGACCAGCCTAGGCAACATGGCAAAACCCTGTCTCTGCAAAAAATACAAAAATTAGCCGGGTGTGATGGCATGTGCCTATAGTCTCAGCTACTTGGGAGGCTGAGGTGAGAGGATCTCTTGAGCCCAGGAGGTCGAGGCTGCAGTGAGCCATCATCATGCCACTGCACTCCAGCTTGGGTGACAGAGCAAGACCCTGTCTCAAAAAAAAAAAAAAAAAAAAAAAAGAGAGAGAGAGAGACTGGGACATCCTCCATAATGATGGTTATTTTATTTAGTCAGGCAATTCATACCTAAGTTCTATTTTAGATAATGGCCTATCCAATTTAGACTAGCTAAAATTCTAAGCTTTTAGTAATATACCTAGTATTCTTAGACATTAAAAGAGATAAAGACATATTTGTACATTTTATGTGGCTGACTTTATAAACTAATCCAGACAGTGGAAAAGAATGCAGTCATTGGTTCTAAGAGTCAGTGTACCCAAACATTCAGGATTGAAATCCTGACTTTTGGGGCCGGGCATGATGGCTCACACCTATAATCCCAGCATTTTGGGAGGCCGAGGTGGGTGGATCACCTAAGGTCAGGAGTTTGAGACTAGCCTTGCCTACATGGTAAAACTCTGTCTCTACTAAAAATACAAAAATTAGCTCAGTGTGGGTGGCGTGCTGCTGATGCAGCAGGAGGCTGAGGCAGGAGAATCGCTTGAACCCGGGAGGTGGAGGTTGCAGTGAGCCAAGACTGCACCACTGCACTCCAGCCTGGGCGACAGAGTGAGACTGTCTTAAAAAAAAATCCTGACTTTTTTGTTTACTTGCCACTCTGGCAAATGCTACTTACCTTTGGGATCAGTCACTTAATTTCTTTGTATCTAAATTCTTTATTAATAAAGTGTGGATGATAATAATAGGATCTAGCTCACAGGTTGCTATGAAGACTGTTATGAAGATATATTTCAATATAGTCATTTTGTATGTACACTCATATTTACATTCATATTATTTAGCACTGTGCCTGGCATATGTGTTTGGCACTGTATACGTGTCGGCTATTGTTATTAGACATGAAATGGTTCTCATTGGTAATTTAGCACTTTGCTCAAATCCTCTTATTGTCTCATTTGACAAATCAGGACCCAGAGAAGTTAAATGCCTTATATAATTCATAGATAAGCTCATAGTGAACAAGGTGTTAGATGCTGTGATATTTTGGTTTTACTAAATTCAATAATTAATTTCATAAGACCAGATTGACCTTCTACTATATAAAAAGTCCTATGCTGCATATGAAGCCAGTGAAAGTCCTTGATAGGATGAGCCAATGGTTCACTGGGGGTATTTAGGTTAGATTCATTCGAGGAAGTTACTTTGAAAGCAACTTCATGTGCCCAGGAAGCTATTTTTGTTACAGTTTTGCATTGTGTGGTTTACCAATTCCTACACATTTCTTGAAGAGTTTAGTCTAGATTACTATTTGAAATAATACACTAGTTTTATTTAGTTTGCTTTTCAAAATGTATTTCTTAATGTTTATCTCTAACTTTGAAGTTATTAATATTTTCTGAGGAAGTCAGATCTGTAAAGCTGTGGTCAATATCGGTGATTCCCTCGATTGGCTGCAGGTCAGGATTCCCTGGGGGAAGAGTTTTTAAAAACATATGAATATTGGGCTCCAACTCTAACCTATTTAGTCCTATGGAATCAGTATGTTTTAAGGTGGGGCCCAGAATATCTGCTTTTAAACTCTCCCTTCCACCTCCAACCTCCAGGATTTGCAGCTAAGTGTGAGCCCTGCTGCACGAATCCATCACCATCTGGTGGAAGTTAACTGAAGTGCAGGCCCAAGTTCCTGGGTAAATAGCCTTTTGGATAATGGCCATTTTGACCAGGCTTCACAGATGTCAAAGTCATCCGGTGATAACTATTCTATTACATTTTGCTGCCTGACAAATAAAAGAGAAGCAGTTAAATCAGAGAGCTGAATTTGGGGATGTTCTGTGTATTTAATTTATTCATAATAGTTCAGGTTCCTACTAACAGAAAGAATGGGCTTGGCAGGAGGAGCATGCGGCTACCCATGTCTCGAATTGGAGGTGAATTTCTGCCAGAATCCAAGCTCACTGCTTTCCTTAGCTTGCACTTTGTCCATCTGAATTGGCTTCAATCACAGTAATACTTTTAACCTACAATTGGTTATATAGAACATTGTCTTTTGTAAAAACTAACTGGCAAGAAGGTTAGTGACTTTCAAAGTATTATTTTTCTTGGTTAAATGCAGTGTTTTGGTTTTCTCAGCTGGCTGACTTTTGTCACTTACATTACAGTTCTATATTCTTGGTTCTCTTGCCCCAGAATGAGGTTCTTGATGATTCAGCTGCCATTTGCCTTTTCCTCTCCATTGCTGCTTCTTCCCTTGCCTCTCTAAGTGTGCCAGTTTCTGATTTGCATATGGGAAATTTTTCTTTCCATTTCAATTTGTTTTTTTCCCCTAGATTTCTTGTTTTCTTGTTGAGACAGTGTCTCATTCTGTTGCCCAGGCTGGAGTACAGTGGTGCGATCTCAGCTCGTTGCAGACTCACCTCCTGGGTTCAAGTGATTCTGGTGCCTCAGCCTCCCTAGCAGCTGGGACTACAGACATGCACCACCATGCTCGGCTAATTTTTGTATTTTTAGTAGAGACTGGGTTTTGCCATGTTGGCCAGGCTGGTCTCAAACTCCTAGACTCAAGTGATCTGCCTGCCTCAGCTTCTCAAAGTGCTAGGATTACAGGGGTGAGCCACTGTGCCAGGCTGAGCTTTCTTGTTTAATACTTTTCTGTAGGAGTACTAAGGCAAAACAATCAATCTATGTTTCACATAGAGAAGAATTACTAACCCAAGTCCCTCCAAGGACCAGAAGAACACAAATGATCAGGCAAGCAGGTCATGGCTGGGACAAAGGCGCAAGAAAAATACATCTGGCTGGATGTTGTCTTGCTAGGATATAGGCTGAGGGGTACCAGACCACCCAGTATTTCAACAGAAGATAGTAACCCAAAATTTTAAGTGCAATATCCTGGTTTTAAAATTTTGGCATCAAATTCAATTACTTCTTAAAACTCTTTGAAGGAAAAAAAATAGAGTAGTGAGTAGAAAGGGCCTACAGTGCCTTCTTGCACACCCATAGAAATGATGCTGCCCTTCCTGTTCTTATCTCCAACCCCCCGCCCCCCGCCTGCTTCCCTGGGGGATTGGTTCTCACTGTTGCTTGAGTTTTAGTCACCTCCTCTAAGGAGGGCCACCAAAACAATAGGGTTCAGGGCTTTCCTGGGTCAACTTCAGGGCAGTCGAGATTGTACTCAGAGTTGAGTGGTGGGGAATTCAGGTGGAAATTTTTCCCTCAGCTTCATGTTTCCATGGGAAGGGACGTGAAAGAAAGAGTGTCATCTTCTCCTTTCTGCTTCTTCACTCATTTCTTCCCAGAGGTGAAGGAGTGAATTTTCTGAGTGGAAACATGGAAACAGGAATAGGACATGTAGCTGAGTGCCATCTTTTCTCTCTCCTTTTCAAGCCAAGAACCCATTCTGCTCTGCTTCTCCATGTTTTAAGTGGGATGTCTGCAGTAGCAGTGCTGTCTGTGACCCAGTGAGTAGGTCTTTGTAATCACTGGCTTTGAAATTAGGAAACCCATTGTTGTCGCATGTCTAAGCTAGGTTTTCCAAAAGTCTAATAAAGCTGACACTTTAGTCTCCACTGCGTGACTCTTTTGTCTCTTAATTCATTCAAAACTCCAGCAGTGAATGAGGTATACTTTCCAATCTCAAATATCAATGTTTAGAATCTTTGAAATTAAATATACCCGAATCCCAAACCTGTTCTGTAATAATCTATTTTTCTGTGCTTCACAGGAGGGATATGTAGGATTCTGGTTCCATCTTTTCTCCTGTGTCCCAAGGATGGGTCGACTGAATTGTATCCTAGAGAGCTGGATATCAGAGTTTTCTTCAGCCGTCAGGGCTTACAATCAGTATGTTTTTAAGGTACCCTTCTAAGATCTTTTCTATGTAGGCATCAAACTTGGGTTTGTGTCCTCTTATTACTCTGTGATTGTTAACTGTCTTGTTATTTTCTTCCTCCTGGTAAATTCATAGGCTTGTGTTATCATATTTATCTCTTTGATGTTAGGCCAGAAAGTGGGACCAACACTTTTCGTCTTATCATCAAACGTCATCAATCATCAAATGTTTGTATCAGAAACATTTGTTTTCTTTCAAATCTTTTATACACGCACATATGCAAAGGGTAGCAGAAAGAGAGAAGGGAGGCCAGTGTATAGTGTACCTCAGATTCTATTTATGTTAATCAAAGCAAGTTCCATTCAACTGGACTCATTACGAACTGTGAAGATCATTGCCAGGGCTTAAAAAGAAAAGCCAGCAATGGAAATAAAGCATCACCAGCAATGAAAAGAAAAAAAATGTAGGATTTTATGAAGAGGACCATAAACTTGCAACCAGAGAGAAAAAATTACATTATTCTTATGTTGTCATTATTTACCAAAGCTTAGCATGTGGTACTCATCACTGCCCACTAACCATATGTTAAGTTCAGGATATAAGATTTCACTGATGGCCTTATAATCCTCATACTTCTGTGGAAGAGGGTCTTCCCAGGAATGTGGTAGGGATCCTTACCAACCTCACTCTGCAGCTCCTGCCCCTCTGCTAGCCCCTTCCATTATAATCTATGGAATACTTATTTATTCAGAAAGAAATTTCACCCCCACCTTTGCTTCAAAGGCTTCTTCCACTTTCCCCTAATTAAAATGTCTATTTTCTGTGACAGCATCATTTCCTTAGAAATTGCCTCCATTGAAAGAAATCCTGTTGTTCACTTTATCTTGAGTCAGTTGTTTAGGAAGAAGGATGAGCCAACTCTCTTACTTTCAACTGATACTCCTATATCTTTGTTTTGCCACTATCTCTTAGCAAAATGCTTCCCCTTGAAAATGGACACAGTCTTTTGGAGAAGACCCAACCATCTAGGACATACCAATCTTGCCCAGAAACTTCAGTACCTAAGTTCCTTCTTCACTCTGTTCCATGTTAGCACCCTCGTGATGGCAACATCTGTGTTGATGGCTTCTAACATCCTGGTTTTGTTTGTTTTCAACTATGATAACCTGCCTATCTACTATTCCTTTTTCTTTTGCGTTCTTAGTCTACTTCTCCTTCCCCAACTTCTAATCATTCTTTCTCTTCTGAATCACCCAAAGCTTTTCTCAGCTTTAGGTGCTTTGATTTGTTCACAGTATTCGACGTTATTGACCAACCTCTAGGTTGTGAAATTGTCTCTTTCTTGACATTTCCATGCCCTGCTCCTTTCACTGTCTCTTTCATTATCCATTAGTTTTCTCTTCCTCCTTTTCATCCATATTAATTCAATAACAAATATTTGTTGATGTTTCCTGCATGCCAGGAATTGTGTGAGTTAATGAGAATTTAATTGTGTTTTCTTTCCTGTCCCCTCTTTATCTCTCCACTCTTTTCCATGGTGGTCTTGTTTATAATAATGGCTTCAACAATTGAATTAATGCATTTTACTTTGTAATTAGTATCATTAATTCTAATCTGTTCCATCTCCAAATTCTACTTTTCCAAATGCCTTGTCAGCATTTCTAACTTTGGGGCCTTTCAAAAGCCAGCTTATCTTCTTGATTTCCCTGTTTCGGGTAATAGCATTGCTTCCACGCCGACCACACTAAAACATCATGGTCTTCTCACTTATCAAGCTCTATCTATATTCCTCCCTAGTCAACTTTTCTAGTTTCTCTGCTGCATTTTTAGATCTCTCATTCTGGTTTAATCTGACTACCTCTTGACTATTATGATGATCCCCTAAATGGTTCTTTTTTTTTTTTTTTTTTTTTTTGAGACGGAGTCTCGCTCTGTCGCCCAGGCTGGAGTGCAGTGGCGGGATCTCGGCTCACTGCAAGCTCCGCCTCCCGGGTTCACGCCATTCTCCTGCCTCAGCCTCCCAAGTAGCTGGGACTACAGGCGCCCGCCACCACGCCCGGCTAATTTTTTTGTATTTTTAGTAGAGACGGGGCCCTAAATGGTTCTTTACTTCCATATGCATCCCAATCAATCTTCCTAAAGAAATCCTGTGCTTAAATTATTTTACTGTCTTCCTGTTTCCTACCAAATAAATCCAAGTGCATTGCATAAAAACTCTTCATATCTGGTCTTAGCATATTATTCTAGACTCTTGAAGATTTATTCCATGTTCCTGAAAAAAAATCTATAATGGGGGAAGCCTCTAGGTTTCTATTATTTTCTAAATCTAAAATATTTTTCTCTGCCTTTGCAAATCCTGTCCAGCATTGTCTATTTCAAAGGTAAACTCCTCCATTTAAGTTTTATCTGATTTACCCAATCATCATATGTTCCTTCCCTGAACACCAATAGTGCTTTGCTTCTTTCTTCTTTCTGCCATTTTCCCTCTGTACACGTTTGTCTCTTGTGTCCAAATTTCCCCCTTTTAATAAGGATATGATAATATTGGATTATCATCTTAACTTGGCCCTATCACCTGCAGAGACCCTATTTCCAAATAAGGTGATACCCACAGGTAGTTGGGGTTAGGACGTCAACATCCCCTTGGGAAACACAGTTCCACTCATAACAGCTTCCTATTTATAGAAACCATAATCTAGATGCAGACATGAGACTAACATAAAAAACTGATGAATAATATAAAAGAGTATATATTTAATCATTACACTGAGTGACATAAACCCTTAGGTATGCTAAGGCAATACAAATTATGGCTTGCAGGGTCAAGAAAAACTTCATGGACAAAGGGTGATTTGAAGGTGAGCTTTTTCCTTAAGTATATATTATTCCTAAATAAGCATATTTTCTATATATTGTTACTGGTTAACGTTTTGAAATAGCTTCAGATTACTCAAGCTAATGAGACAGCTCGAACAATAGGATCAGGCTGTTAATGCAGCATGCAGTAAATGTGTGTTTCAAGGAAGAAGTTTCCAGGGAACAAGAATTGCTATGGTAACCTGATATATCATTAAAAATGTAATGAATAAATATCATCAGGGTCTCAGATTCATCACACAGAAAAACTTCAAGACTGGGATAACGAAGTAGTTCTCACACTGATTGCTCAATGTTTTGTAAGCTAAATCAGAGTGATTGTCCATTAGCAAAAAAAGTAGTAATATTCAAATAATCCAGGACTCCATAAGGTGTATAAAAACTCCTTCAGCATAGGCTTTTCATTTAAATCACTGCCATTTTTCAGAAAATATTAATTTTAGCTGTAAGAAATAGTTATAATAATAGACCTGATTATATGCTTTCCAAAAGAACTAATGTTTTGCCAACTCTTAAGAACACAATAGACACTGTAGTATCTTGGTGTTCAAGTATAGTATTAAGAAAGGGAATCTTTTTCTTACTACTCTTTCTTGCTGTTATAGAATCCATGTTCCATACCCCACCTTTTCTCTTTCTCTCCTCTCATCTTTATAACTCACATACTCTTTAAGATGTATCTTGTCATTTGTTCATTTCTTGAACCTCATTGTACCTGTCTCTGGAGAAATGAGGCAGCCACTATACTGTTCTCAATGTTAAATAAAACCAGCCTCTTGGGCTGCAGATATGGAAGGGCCAGTTTGGGAAGAGGTGATAGAGAAAACATTGTGGAAAAGCCACCCCTATTACTGCTTCCATCAGATTTCATTCCAGCAGCCACTTTCTGGATCTCCCATGTGGTATTTACACTTTCTGTTCTAAGTTTTTCTACATCCATTTCCCATGGGAAGAATGTGGAGGCAACACCAGCAACCTTTATGCCCTTGCCATGCTCCTCCTACCACATGGCCTTTGCATGGGTCATTCCATCTCTCTGGAGCACTGTTACCTCCCATTTTTCCTGGTTAATTACCCATTAGTTCTTCAGATTGCAGCTCCAGTTTTACTTTCTCAGGTAAGTCTTCACCTCCGTAGTCACATTCCCCTCCAACAGGCTCTCACAGCACATACACCTTTTGTTCATTATGGTGGCACCTATATGACAATTTGATTAATGGAAGCTCTATCATGGCACTGACTATGTCTATTTTTACTCACCATTGAGTTTCTAATTCTGGCACATGGTATGGTCTTAATAAATATTTATTAAATAAATGAATGAATAGCTTGTGTTTCCTGGATTACACTTAAGAATTTCTGAGGCCAGGCACAGTGGCACATGCCTATATCCTAGCACCTCAGGAGGCCGAGGCAGGAGGACCACCTGAGGTCAGGAATTCGAGACCAGCCTGGCCAACATGGTGAAACCCCGTCTCTACTAAAAATACAAAAAGAATTAGCCAGGTTTAGTGGCAGGTGCCTGTAATCCCAGCAACTTGGGAGGCTGAGGCAGAAGAATCACCTGAACCTGGGAGGCGGAGGTTGCAGTGAGCAGAGATTGCACCACTGCACTCCAGTCTGGGTGACAGAGCGACACTCTGTCTCAACAAAAAAGAATTTCTGATTTAGATGCTTGTATCCAGGATGCATTTTGTTTCATGCTTGCACTGGCACAGTGTGTTGGCAATTAGTGTGATGTGTTCTCACACTCTATAGTCATACCATTAGTGGCTGTTGAAAAATGAAACATTATATTGCTCTCTTATTTCTGGTAGTACGTTTTGTAAATTGCATCACACAATTGCAATGTCACCATCCTTGTTGATATGTGTTTCTTATAATATAATGCACACAGTTGTTGATAAAATGTAGCTAGAAATATTCTATGGAGAAGAATACTAGGCTTTAATGGTTTCTGATGTAGGTATGAATGATTACCACTGTGAATGCAGCTGAAAAGTGGTAATAGATAAGCAGAAACATTTTGAAGTGTAATTAGTTTTTGAGAATTCTGAGGCCATGCCAGTATTTGGCAGAAAATATTGATGCCATGAACTGTATGGATGTAAGAGGTGGGAAGCGATAGTATATTTGCTTTCTTTGGTATGGTATTTTGGAATCTCAGAGAAATAACGAAGAAATATAACAAGTGTTCTGTGTTCTCAAGAAGCTCATAGTTGGGAAATGGTCCATATAAATATTTCTAAAAATCTGGATTTCTAACAATATAGCCCCCCACACAGAGAGTGCATTCTTCTGTAGTCACAATTAAAGGTAGAGACAAAATCATCCCAGTAATCTACACAGCCGTGTGTAACCTGGACGCCAACCTCCACTCCCACCCCCCGTGCCTCTGACTTCACTTCCTATTGCTCTTTCCTTCTCTCACCCCTGTCACCCCATGCCAGCCACATTGGCCAACTGACTGTTTCTCCCTCAGGACTTTTGCCTGTGCTGTTCCCTCCTCATGGCATGCTATTCCCATAAATAACCATATGGCTGGCCCTCTCCTATCCTTCCCAGTGAGGCCTATTTTGGCCACTCTGTTTAAAACTGTAACATCTGCCAATCTCAATGCCTGAACTTCTCTCCCTTTAATTTTCTCCAACACATCAAACACTATCTGATAATACTATATATTTTACTTACTTATCCTGTATTTTTGCTGCCTTCTCTCACAAAAATATAAGTTCTTGGAGAACAGAGATTTCTTCACTGTTTTTAGTGTGTCTTCTTCACTGTTGCATCTCCAGTGCATAGTGTAGCATTGATAGGACCTGACCTGACCCATAGTAAGAGCTCAATAAATATGTGTTGAATAAATAAATGAAAGCACTGCAATAAATGAAAGAAAAGGGGGAGATGCATAGGCTTTGGACTCTATCTCTGCCATTTACTTTTTGTGTAATCCCAGGCACAATATCTTCTGTGAAACTTATCTGTCAAATAAGGAATATCTCTTTTCATTACTGTCTTGAATTTTTCTTGTATGTGTCACCTCTTCCTGAATTGTAGAAGTGAGACTAGTAATCACTTCCATTCTTCTCCAGGTGACCTTGTAGGCTGGTGCTCAATAAGTGACAGACGTTGTTATCAGAAAGGCTTTCTGGAGGAGCCAGTTTTGAGTAGATAGAGATTTGATACATGTAGGGTGGTGTTTGCTATTGTTATCATGCTTAAGCACAGGGTCTGCTCTGCGCAGAATGAAATGAGAGTGTTGGAGCAGGCTAAGAATCACTGAGCTATTTGGAAGACAGCAAGATGAAGAAGGACTTGTGGAAAACCAAGAGAATCTTAGGAGGCCATGATATGACTAAATATCAGGTGGAGAAGATGCTTTCTTTCTATACATGTGGATGTTTGGAATTAGGAAAATTGAGTCACAGGGCTGGGAGGTAATTTTAGGAACCCTTCTGGGGTACTAGAATTGTTCTCTGTATTGAACTGGGTGGTGGTTACATTGGTGAATCCATATGCTCATTTATGAGTCTCTGCACTTTACAGTATATTAGTTAAAATTCATCAAGCCATGTACTTTACCATATGGAAGTACTACTTCAATAAAAAAGCAAAAGTATGTCTATGTTTATGTGTGTGTGTGTCGGGGGGGGTTCTAAAGAAACTTACTTAGCAATGATGAGGTGATGATATCAATAGCTATGAAATCACATTCAAGCAAGACATTTATCATTGATTAATGGCATAGAGAAAAGAACTGGGACTCAAGAGACCAGAAAGATGATGGCACCTCTGCTTGGGCTAAGGAAGTGGGGTAGCAGTGCTTTTTGGGCAGTGTGGGGAAGAAGAGGAGGATCAAGGGAGCTTCGTTGGGGCCCTTTAGTGACAAGTCTCGGCAAGGTGGACTGTGAAGCAACTTCCAGTAGGAGAGTTCTCTTTAAAGTTAAAAGGACAACTGATAGTGCTGCAGACTGTGCAACTTTCTGCTCTGGGCCCATGAAGAGAGTTTTAAAATCTCCTTGTGGAAGTTGGAGGCATTTTTTTTTTTTTTTTAAGCACTGGAAAAGAATGTGGGAGAGCTCTAGAAATTCTGGCTTTCTAAAGTAAAACTTATAGTACCAAATATCTATAAAAAAACTTTTGTGAGTAGTTTGAGACTGATTTTATTGCAAAAAATCATAGAATGCAGAACTAAAAAAGATTTCAGATGCCGTCTGATTGAATAACTTCATTTTCTAGAAGCTGAGTTTCAGGAAGTTATGGTGCAGCCACAGTGACACAGCTGGGTCACATAAAGCTGAAGAGAACTTAGAACTCAGTAGCAACACTAGGCACAGTGGCTCATGCCTATAATCCCAGTACTTTGGGAGGCCAAGGAGGGCGGATCACCTGAGGTCAGGAGTTCGAGACCAGCCTGGCAACATGGTGAAACCGTCTCTACTAAAATACAAAAATTAGCTGGGCATTGTGGTGGGTGCCTGTAATCCCAGCTACTCGGGAGGCTGAGACAGGAGAATCACTTGAACCCAGGAGGTGGAGGTTGCAGTGAGCTGAGATCGTGCCATTGCACTCCAGCCTGGGTGATGAGAATGACACTCCATCTCAAAACAAACAAACAAACAAACAAACAGAACTCCGTAGCAATTTGCTTTTTAAGATTCCCTCCCTTTCTCCTTTCCTTCTTTCCTTCCTTACCTCCCTCTCTCCCTCTCTCCCTCCCTCCCTCCCTCTCTCCCTCCCTCCATTCTTCCCTTTCTTCCTCCCTCCTTTCCTTCCTTCCTCCCTTCCTCCCTCCAATACCTCAGTCCTTCTCTCCCTCCCTCCCTTCCTTTCTTTGTCAAATTGGGAAGTGTATTTAGCAACCCTTTTAATAACAGGGTGAATAATTACTTTTTAGATATGAAGAAATTATATTTATTTTAGTTCACTATAGTCAATAAATTGTTATTGGACTCAAATTATTTACTGTATTGAAATGTATTCTGAATTGTTTATCTAATTGGAACTGTGAAATAAAATGCTGATTTGTATTCTGTATAGGCACTTGCTTTAAAATGTGTAATAAGATTGTTTTAGGGTCAATAGCACCTTCACAAAAGGAAAGCAAAATGATTAATATTATAATCTTAAATAAGCTATTCAAACAAATACAGCAGCACACTTTAATTTCTTAATTCACACTAAGTTGTTAGAAAAATTACTCATGTTCACAGCATGGGTTCTTACTTCTGGGTCTGCAAAACTAAAACAAAAAGAGATGACATGACAATATTGAAAGAAAAGTCAACAATTATAATTTTCAAACTTAACCTAGTCATCATCAGTTAAATAATCAAAGAAGTGAGTCAGTTTTGAGATGTGTCTTAGAACATTTTCAGTTAAAAGGGGCAAGTTCATTTTCATCTCTTAGTTATAGCTAAGGTAAAATTGATAGCCTAAATATTATTTTTTAAATTATGCATTGTGACTAAAATTTAATAGACCATTACACACTATATTAAGGCTCACAATGATTCTTCTTATTTCAAATATCAAAGCATAAAACTGGTTATCATCTTTTAGTAAAATAGAATATATCTGGTAAAAGAATTAAGACATTTTTCCATCCCTATAAGTGCATGTGGAGAAAGAATTTGAAAATACTTATAGCTTGAGCTTATATGGGGTTCTACCCCTAAACAGACTTGGCATCGCTTGTTCTATTCCCACATGTGGTCTGCTCGACCTCTAAATTAGGAATAAAAAGAATAACAGGAATGTGGAGATGTGTTTTCTCTTTGATCCATTCTCTGATCATAAAGGAAACTGGGAATATGGAAATGTGTTTTCTCTTTGATGCAGGTTTTAATCAGCATATTTATAAGCAGTGTAGGGAGTTCTTGCAGAGAAATAGAGATGAGAGGAATCTCCCACCCTGGCACTTCTTTGGTTCTGATGTATCCAATGTAGAAAATACAGAGGTGCTCAGCTTTCATGGCAGGGTTCAATCAGATAGTTAACAAGTATTTATCAAGGATCCACGGGGCACATAACTTTGAACGGCACTCCAGGCATAAACAGTAACTTCTCACAACTCAGCTGTATGGGTAGGAGATTTAAGTGTGGTTAAGAGCTTCGTACTGACAAACGTGGCTTTACCCTTAATCCAGAAACTGGCATTAAATTGGATATTATACCATTGTTGCTGTGGAAGTATTCACCAGGTTGGTATGGAAATTCGCCCATATCCTGGGAAGCCCACATCTGTGATGTCTCCTGGTCCTAGTGTGTGTATTGAATTATCTGTCATTTTTGAGTTCTTCAATTCCCGACATTAAGTGGAAATCTCGCTCTCTTAGTGATCAGGATTGTGCCTCTAGAAACTCAAAGGCGGCCGTGTGTCAGAGACATCATAGGTTTCTAACTGGACTTAGTGTCTACACTTCTACCTCCTCCTCCTTTTCCTTCTTTTATTCCTAATGCCACCCTCCGCCTCAAAATAGAGCTCAAAATGCTCACCCAACTTTTCCATGTGGTGATTGACTCCCACACTCAGGTCAGGAATCCTCCTGTGGCTTTGCCTCCATGTTGTCTGTGCCTGTGCTGCCTAATTCTGGAATTGCATTCTCTCCTCCTTGTTTCCATAATGTGAAAATCCAATCAAAAAGCAGTGGGATATGGAGCAGTGGTTCTCACACCTCAATGATAATCTTAATCACCTAGGGACTTTTTTTTTTTTTTAAGTTTCTGGGCCCAGTTGGTAGAAATTTTGTTTTCAGTCAGTCTGATGATGGGTCAGCTTTGAGAAGCACCATTTTTCTTTAAAGACCCTGCATGGAATGTGGCTACAGAGCAGCAGCGCTGGCCTCACCTAGGGTGTGTTACAGGCAGAACCTCAGGCCCCAGCCACCAATCGGAGTCGACATTTTAACCTTCTCCATGCATAAACGTATGAAAGCTGGAGATGGGCTTCTGTGAAGAATATTGACCCTGAATCAGAAAATCTAGGTTGTGCTTTAAAAATTGCTATTAGCAAAATGCCACCTAGGACATGTGCTTTAAACTCTCTCTACTCATTACTTCACAGGAAAGAGTGAGCGCAAGAGCTGGGGGGTGGGGGGTGTGGGGGGAGGGGGGGAGAGGAAGAAAAAGAGAGGGAATTGGTCTAATCTTATTTTTGAGGATTCTATTTCATTTTAAAGAGATCTTTTAGTAACAAAAGTGAAGAGAAAGATAATTAAGAAAAATGAAAATGTCAGGGTGCGTGTGTGTGTGTTATATGCAGTGTATGCAGTGTGTGTACGTATGTGGTTGCATTATACATGTAGTATGTATTTGTAGGGTGTGTGTGTATGTGGTATGTGTATTTCTGTGCATGATAATGGGAAAGGAATAATTCCATTTTCCGCTGTATTAGTTTGCTAGTGTTGCCATAACAAAGTACCCAAGCTAGGTGGCTTAAAACAAAGACATTTATTCTCTCGCAATTCCAGAGGCTGGACGTCCAAAGTCAGGGTGTTGGCAGGGCCACGCTGTCTCAGAAGGTGCCAAGGGAAGACCTGTTTCAGGCCTCTCAGCTCATGGCAGTTCCTCGGCTCGCAGCAGCATAGCTCAGTCCTCCCATGGTGTTCTTCCTGTGGGCTTCTGTACCTCCAAATTTTCCCACTTTTATAAAGACGTCAGTCATGTTGGATTAGGGCCCACCCTAATGCTTCATGTTAACTTGATTACCTCTGTAAAGACCCTATCTCCAAAAAAGGTCACACTCTGAGGTATTGGGGGTTAGGGCTCCAAAATATGAATTTGTGGGGAATGCAATTCAACCCAGAACACCCACAATGAGAGTGCAAAAGAGAAGAAGAATCTGGGGGGCCCTGAATGCCCCTCACTGTCATCCCGTGCCCACCTGGGGTTAGATCAGAACTACTGTGGAGAGACAGCTCGTGAGCCTCCCTGTTCCCTGGCCTTGAGGTCCCACCAGCCTGGGCTGATTATGCTCAGTGTAATTCGAAAAACACAAATCCTTCCATTTCACTGACTTTTACTTCCTGACCTAGGTGAATGGAAGACCAAGACAAATGATCTTTGATGGACTACTGGCAAGGTTTATTACCACTAAAAATCAAACCCACCATAATTTATTTCTAATGGCCCAATGGATCCCTGATGAAGGCCTACAAATCTACCAGGCCCTGAGTTCTTACGGCTTCAGGAAGACTAAAACGTCAGCTATTTTCTTTACTAGGCACTCCGTCAGGGTCCCCCGGGTCTGATTTTATTATTGCTGTGTCCATGAGGTGTGGTCTGTGCATAATCTGAAAAAGTCAGCTGCATGCTGAACAACGTTGATTTAAAGCAAAACACCGTGGATGGACTGACTTCCCCAAATAGTATCGGGCTCAGAGAAAGGCAGTGAAATGAAGCTCAAAGTGAGAAATGGCTTGGATTTGAGCACCTCCTATATTCACAGAGCCTGAGGGGACAGAGATGAATGCTGCTACCCAGTAGGAGAAACTTCCACCTTAAGAGTATTTCTCTGAGAGCCCACACAATTACAGTGAGCGACTCACATCATGGGGTAAAATATATTCATACTAAATTTGTCAATGACACTTGCTTTAGTGCACTTAAGTTCAAGGTGACGTTGAAAATTTGGAGAAGTGGATACATACAAACAAGCAGAGGTTTCAGTGGTAATTCATGTAGGAGAATTCAAACTTTGTAAATATGAATTATTGATGGGATTGATTTTGCAAAAGAGTGATAACTAAGTATCAGGCTAGGTGGAGTGAGCAGGTGAAAGCAGAGTGTGGAAATGTCCTATTGTGGAGTAATATGTGCAAATAGGATGGACCAGGACTAGCATATGTGTTTTCAAACTTTTTTGACCATGACTCATAGTAAAAAATAATTTTACATTGTGACCTAGAATATGTACCCTCACATATATATAAATATGAAACAAAAGTTTGCAGAATAATACTTATCTTTACATGTGAGACTCTATTTCTAATTCTATTCTATTCTATTCTATTCTATTCTATTCTATTCTACTCTACTCTACTCTACTCTACTCTACTCTACTCTACTCTACTCCATCCCATCCCATCCCATCCCATCCCATCCCATCCCATCCCATCCCATCCCATCCCATTCCATCCTATTCTGTCCTATCCTACCCTATCGTATTTGCCTTCATTCTTTTTTATTTTCTTTCAATGTTGGCATGCCCTGCTGCATTGGTTTTATGACCTGCCTAGTAGGTTGCAACCTGGAAAGATGAGATAATTATCAGTCTATACCAGTGGTTCTCAAGAGGACAGGGGTTAAGGAGATTTGATAATATCCAGAAATGTTTGAAGGATGTCACAATTGGGGGCTGTCCTTGGAAACTGGTAGGTAGAGGCCAGAGATTTTATAAAACATCCTACAATACATAGGACAGCTATGAAGAATTATCCCACAACGAAGAATTATCCTGCCTGAAAAAGCGATAGTGCGCCTGCTAGAAAACTCTGCAATATACTTAGCAGTCTTCCAAATATTACTTAGAGCATGATTTTCAGTCTGGGTTCCTTAGAGACTTAGGAGCTCTGTAAAGTGGTTCAGGAACCACTCCAGGTGGCAAGAAGTGGGCCTCTCACCACTCTCACCACCAGTCAGAGGAAGCTGGACTTTAATTCATAGGGTGACCAACTCATTCCGGTTAGCTTGGGACTTTTCTGGTTTTAGCACTGAAAGCCCTGTGTCCCAGGAGCTCCCTCAGTCCCTAGCAAATTGAGACGTTTGGTCACTCTATAGTACATAGGACAAGAAGAATAGTGCTTTAAAAATAAAGATTTTGCTTAAAATAGGAAGAGAAGGATGTTAAAAGCAACTGCTTGCAGATGCATAAATCTTATAATGGAAGGGTGTTGAGAACTTGGAGGAGACCGCTAAAACATTCCTTTTAAAATGTTTTTAATAATTTGGGGAACAGTCTTGAGAAGAAATGTTAAAGACCTAGGTTTCTCTCCCTGAGCTTAGAACCCTGGGGAGAGGAAGACCTTAATCACCATCTTCATGGGAATGAAGCAAGGCTGTTTGAAAGATGTTAAGCAGCTGTTGTCTGCTCTTGCGTTTGACAGGTTAAGGGCAATTCTAAAATATTAAGCAAAACTTCTTGCCTTAATAAAATTTTTGAAATATCTTGTTCAGGATCCTTCTGAGGAAAAATAAGACAAGAGTATCCCTTTTAAAAATTACAACTTTTTTTGAATCAAGTTTTTCCTATAGGCAGGGAACTTGTGGCCTCTTGAGCTTCCTTCAATTCCTAATTCTATGAATGACTTAAATCTTTATCTGGAAAGTGCCCTAGGCTAGTTGCATTCTGGAATTAATGAAACAAGACATGAACTCTGTCCTATAGGAGATGACATTCCCTAAATAGTCAATCAAAAATCAACCTCATCCTTTTTTAGGTCATGTCTTCTTGAAAGTGTCCCTGGAAGGATTTTTTTTTTCTATTCCCTACAAGCCAATTTATTGTGGTTACTCAGGTAGTTTCTTTCAGATCTCAGAGCTACAACTAATTAAACTTCAACATGTTAGTACCTGACCTCACTGCCTGACCTCTCCTTTCAGTGCCTTTTGCTGTATTTTGGTTTAGTGTTCTCATATACCCTTAGCAGAAGGTCAACAAAATATTTCAGAACTATAATTAATAATATAGCTTTTGTTCTTTAGAAAATTTTTGAAGCAATAGTAATCTCCCCTCAGTAACTATTTGCTGCCCACAGTTAAAATTGTTATGTATTAGGATTACTTCATTTTGTTACAGGAAAGGGGTCCCAATCCAGACCCCAAGAGAGGGTTCTTGGCTCTTGCGCAAGAAAGAATTCCAGGTGAGTCCATAGAGTAAAGTGAAAGCAAGTTGATTAGGAAAGTAAAGGAACAAAAGAATGGCTACTCCATAGATAGAGCAGCCCTGAGGGCAGCAGTTTGCCCATTTTTGTGATTATTTCTTGATTATATGCTTTAAACAAGGGGTGGATTATTCATGCCTCCCCTTTTTAGACCATATAGGGTAACTTCCTGACATTACCATGGCATTTGTAAACTATCATGGTACTGATGGGATTACAGCATTGAGGACAATCAGAGGTCATGCTCATTGCCATCTTGATTTTGGTGGGTTTTGGCTGGCTTCTTGACCATATGCTGTTTTATCAGCAAGGTCTTTATGACCTGTATCTTGTGCCAGCCTATCTCATCCTGTGACTTAGAATGCCTTAACTGTCTGGGAATGTAGCCCAGGTCTCAGCTTCATTTTACCCAGCCCCTATTCAAGATGGAGTTGCTCTGGTTCAAACGCTTCTAACAATTTGACACTTCCTTTCCCCAGAAGAGATTGTAATAACATTTTCTCTGGTCAAAATGGAATATTTGCAAAAGGATGAGGAGAAGGAAGGCATTCCTATAGGTAGAGTGTCTCCAATCATTTTAAAAACAGAAACTACGATTTATTTCCCTGATGCATTGAGTTCTTGTGTAGAGAGTGATATGTTGGTGAAATCTGACTCAGGAAGGGTGAAGGCTGCTCATCGAGATGGAAAGCGCCAGAAAAGCTCATTAGAGAGTGCTCAGCTGCTGTGGCTTTTGCTGCCCCCATCACAGACACTTCTGGGGAACTGCAGAGGTGGGTAGCTGGGGGCTGGGGGTTCCCAAATGAGGCTCTTCCCCCAGCTTGTCAAGATGTTTCTAGATGTAAATAAACAGTGCATTCCTAACAAGGCTACACCTTATTTCCTTCCCTTGGGAATAAAGAGGATCTCCCTGAAAACTCAGGAACTGTGGCACTGTGTTTATAGTATTTTAATTATTATAGACGCATTTGCTCAGTTGAAGAGGACTTGGATAATACTTAAATACCTGAATGATCTAGCCTTCATTCAAAGAGTCGCTGAGCTATAAAATACTCATTTGCCAAACCCTGTTTTTTAGACCATTAGTTACTACCGAGATCCATAATGATTTGGCCATTTCCAGTAATAAGCAAAAGAGAGGCGGTTCATTATCTTTAGCACCCGTGACTAAAATTACTTGTTACAACTCTTAACGAATGGTTCTATTTGCTAATGGTTCTTCCTAAAATGAAACTTGTTTTGTAAAAGAAAAGTCATTTTTCTTCAGATAACAGCAAATATATTTTGTTCTACAATACATATTGTGTCCTTGGCAAAAATTGAATGTGAAATCTTTCTTACATTTCACATAAAATATCAGCAAGCAAAGTTTTTGCTGCTTGAGTGAAAAAAAAGTCACTGTGCAAATAGTACCACACAAAGTAATGGCTTTGTTGCAGCTTGCTTTCCAGGTAGAATACAATGGCTCAGCACAGACACTTAGAACCAGGTTGGAAAGAGGGTGAATACAAAGAGAATATAGATGAGTTGTAGATTCAGGATGATTGGTAATTTACTATACATGTCTTGGCTGGGAAAAAATAACTTGATATTTACCATGGGGTGGAAGGTAAATTTTGAGAGCCTAGGTTGGTAGGAGAGTGAAAATGAAAGAGAACTCAACTAGTTTGACTACATAATAAATAGGAATTGGATGTCTGCAAAAGAAACAAATAAAGGGGAGGAGAACAGGAGGAAAGGAAAGCTAAGACACTGGTGAGGAGGTGGGCTCTGAACAGCAGAAATTATGATCATTTTAAGAACAGAAAGCTGAATGTTGAATTTTGTGTGTTTTTCTGTAATATAAGCTCCCTCACTCTCTCAAAACCTTTCATAAAGTCTAAAGTGGCTCGTTCACCCTTCCCTTTTTAGAGCACTTATACTTTCAGAAACTTTTATATAATTTATGTTTGTTTATGGTCTGGCTTTTCTTACCAAATGAGGAGATTTTGCCCATTTTGTTTCATGATCCAAGGATCTAGGGTAGTGTGTGACTCAGAATGGACGCTGATAAATATTTTTGAAAGAATGAATAAATGATTGAATGAGAGCTACCACTATCCTTAAGGCTTTCAGCAAAATTGGGACAGACCCAAAGGAGCTTGTTAGCCTGCCTAATGTGACCTTATTTAAATCCAGTGGCTGGTACCATCCAAAGGTTCCAGTTACTTTAAAGTTCTAACAGGCCTCCCTTTTCCCAATTTTCTGTTTCCCAGTAACCTAGCTTTTACTTACATAAACCCAAGGTCTCTCTCCCTAGTCCAGGTGCATGAACTACATTGCATACTGTTCTGTTTTATGAGGATGAGAAATAGAAATGAAATCCTAAAGTCTCTCAACTGACTGAGCAGATCCCCTCTTGGCCAAGGGGACCTCAGTATAACCTTGAAAACTGAGCTCTGGGCCATGACAGGATGGGGAGGTCAGAACCCCTCCCTTGCTAACCACCATTAGGCTTTCTTCCTTAAGGGCTAAATAGAAACCAGCCCTTTAAAGAGGCTCCCATGCTGATATCAGCCAACTGCCTGATGCTGACCCTTCTTTCTTGCCTGATAAGAGATCACCAATCATGGAGTGGTTCTGGCCATTCTACAGAGAATGCACAGTAAGAGTCTTTGTGTCTTCTGCTTCACCTTTTGATATCAAAGGGCCAAAAACTCTACCTTTTGATCATGCTAATGCTGCCAATTTTTGTACATGGGACCCGTGAAGGGGCATGAAACTCAATTGCACATGCATACATTTCTCCTTTCATAAATATTCAGGACTCCTCCTATCACTTATTGAATATGTATATTTCACCACCCAGTTCAGCATAAATTCCTGTCTTATTCTACCAACCCTCAAAGTATCTGTTTCTGGCTTCTGACAGGAGGCTATATTTCCCAGCCTGACAGAATGGCCACCCTACCAGCTGCAACCCTTTATGAGTAATAAAGCTCTCCTTTCAAAATTCATGAACCTCATCATTCTTCAGTTGACAAAAGGCTTATGGATTTGTAGATACTGCTAATTTAATTCAGAATACATTTTTTCTGTTCTTATTTATTAATATTATTATTTAGCCTCACTTGAGCAGTGATATTTTTTCCAGCTCTAGAATATGGAGGAGATTCACACTAGACTCTCAATACATCAAATCCCACATCCTGCCTCCTGGTTTTTAACTTTGGACTCTGAAAGCTGACAGACAACCTATGCATCGAACTTTCTTGGTGCATGTAAGTTGTTATCAGGATGGCAAATAAAAACGCTTTCACAGTCCAGGATAATAATGTAAATTAATGAAGCTGGTCGGCCTGAAACAGTACGGAGAGGTAGGGTTTGGGTTGAATTAAAGAGTGCTTGACCATTCTAAAGGTATTCAAATTTATGTTTTTGAAAGCTATGCTAGCTAAACATAATACATGTTTATTACCAGATTGGTAATGCTGTTTTGTAATTATAATTCCTAATCTCAAGCATAATGAGATTGAAAAACTAATTTTTTTCATAAATCTAATTTTTGTCTTATAATTCCTTCAAAATTGTTCTGCTAATTCTGGGACTCATATGAATATTGTGAGTGAATATATATATATATATATTATATATATGTATATGGAAAATTTTTTTCAATGGAGCTGTATAGCACATCTGTGTGTTGTGATATAGAACAAGGAATATATGTAGGGGATTATAAGACAATCTACGAACTGAAATCATTCAGCAAAAGCATGAAATTGGAGCTAGAGGTGATGAGGAAATATATAAGCTGCCACTCTGTCTCCAAAATTTCTGGAGAGATCAGTAGGGATGAGGCTGTCCCACCACACGTGACATGTGATTTAACCCAATATTGTTTGTGATTGGTTCAAATACCAGTTCCCCCCTTACAAGTTGTGTGACCTCGGACAAGTTACTTAACTGCTGTGTGTCATGTGTCCTTATCTGTCCAGTCGGATTCATAATGGTAGCTGCTTAATAGTTCATCATTCAAAGGGACGTTGTGAGGATTAAATGAGTCAAGGCACACAGAGCACTGAGAACAGGCACTGACACTGTAAGCCTATATAAAAAGCATCCACTGAATGATTCATTATTGTTATTACATTTTTATTGTTATTCAAAAGGCAGGGGAGCTCTGCTGACAGATTGTCCTTACTAATCCCTCTGTTTTCCCTGTTCCATATACTTGTTTGTTTAGAGCAATTATAATGGGTGGTACTGATCACCGTAGCTCCAATTATATCTAAATATCACTTATGGTTATGCCTTTTTCCTACAGAGAATTTCAAGGGTGTTGTTAGTGTCTTCTTTTTAAGTGACTGAAGTATGGGAACAATGCCTAACCCTAGACCCAGAGCACTGATATTCCCAAGTCTAGCATTTTTTGAAAACCTAATGCCAAACCCAGCTGGCAGTGTCTCACACCTTGGTGTAACGTGGTAGGTCCTCAACAAACCTGTTGAATACATCATCATGGATCCACACTTCCTAGTCAATAGAATCCTTTCTCTTGGAGATTTGATTAGAACAGTATGCTCAGTATATATCTCCTAAAAGCAGCATTGCTGGTGCCTTTAGTTTTGCTGTCTCTGGCTCTGTAGCCTCTAGACCTGATTACACCTTCTGTCAGGAAAACTTAAAAGTGCTCCCTTCAGCTAGTAACCCTTAGATGTCATGCCAACCTCTCTGCCATCTGCTTCATTTATCTCTCTTGGATACCCCAAACCACCCCCTCCCACACACATACATGCACATACGCACACTTAGGCACAACACAAACATGAAACAACAATCCAGTCCTCTTCCTTCAACCAAAACAAAACAATCCCCTTCCCTCCTGAAAACACCCTCCAATCCCCTCTGCATATCTACATGCGATAGCAGATACACGCTGACGTCATTGGCAAACCAGTTCTGCAAATGGAGAGACTCACCTGTCTCTTCAAACCCTTGGAAAAGACAGAACTCACATCCTATAGTTAGAGATAAGGTTGCCCTCCACTGGCTGCGTGCCTCTTTCTGAAACTGCTCAATCCTTTCAAATCCATTTTTAGGAGTTTAATGAAATTAGTAAAGTTCTACATGGGGTGGGAGTATATTTGAAGAGGCTGTGTGGAATTTGTGTCTGACTTAGCCACTCACGGCTTTGAGATTTCAGGCTGGCGGTCTAGGCTTCCTGAGCTTTGGATTTTCTCATGGTTGAAATGGGAATAATGCACTCATTGAGCTGTGGGTGGGAAAAGAGACACAGAAATGTGCTAAGCAAATCGCTAGTGTTATTGCTGCATCCTTAGATGAAGAGTGTCCCTGCCCAGCCAGAGGCCAAGGACCACAGCAGGGCTATTGGTCAGTGGCTCACAGTTCATAAGAGTAGTTCATGAGTTGGTAACAGGGGTTAACCTTTTTATTTCTGAAGGATTTTTCCCTAACACGCTCTCTTTCTTTCTCTCTCTCTCTCTCTCAGCCCTCAAGAGCATCATTCCCACTAGACCCAAACTCAATTACAAAAAAAGGAGACTTGACATTTTTGAAAAAGTATCAGCAACATGATATAAACGCAATTTTCAAATGTTACATAACCCTCGGGCATTAAGGAGTGATGCAACCTTACCTAATCTCTCAAATAACAAAGATAAAGCAATCACAGAATCACACAATGTTACCACCGGCAGGAATTTAAAAACCTGCCAAATTTTAAATAACAAGGAACTTTTAGAAGATTCTTAGCAAACAGACCAACGCAGCTAAGATCTTAAAGAAATTTTCTAAAATCTAAGTTATTTCTTCACACATATTTAAATGCACAGAATTCCAGGCAGCACCAAAGCATTGTTTTGAGAATAAACTAACATTAGAAAATAAACTGTCACTAATTAGCATATCTTGAATATTTACTGTGTGCCAGGCACCATTCCAAGTGCTTTACATGTGTTAATTCACGTAAGCCTTATAACAACTGAACACAGAATCTTGAGCAAGGTCACAGGGCTCATAAGGGGCTGAGCCAGGATTTCATCAGAGACAATCTGGATCCAGCTTGCTGTTTTCTAGTGCAGACAACACTACTGCTAACTAAAGAATTTGCAGTGTGGTGGAAACAGCTGCTCAGTTTCCCCCTTTTTGTATAGTAACAGTATCCCGAAGTCCACTGGGGTACTGCTCAATTTTGGACTACATCCCCAGCCTGCTTTATAGTGTGCCTTTAGAGCCCTGTGTGCCTTTGACTATGTGCTGGCCAATGGGATACAAGAGAAAGTGTTGCATGAGAATCCCAGGAAAACAGTTTAAAGGGAGCTGATCCACTAGGAGTTACCTCCTCCCTGTCCTGCTTTTCCTCCTGCAGGCTTACAACTTGTATGTGATTGTTGGGACAACCAAAAGATGACACAATCTTGCTGTTGAAGCCATGTGCTGGGATGGTGGAGTAGAAAGCTAAGAGCCCCCATATCAACTCTGGTCTGTCTACCTCCAGACTTTTAAAAAATGTCCAATAGAAGCCTTTTTTAGCCTTTTTTTGGAGATCTCCCTTGCCTATTGTTTCCTCGTGGTCTCTCTTCTTTCTACTCAATCTCTTCATTTTTCCTTCTCTCCCATCTCCTTCCTTCTGTATCTCATCTCTCTTTCATCATCTGTGGCTCCTTTTTCATTCTTTCTTCCCCTTATTATCCACCCCAACTCTTTCTGCTCTGTCTCTGGGTTTCTCTTCCAAAAAGAGAGCAAGTATAAGAATTAAGAATGCACATGGAAGATTATGCAATTTATTTTATTTATTTACTTTAATTTTTTTTTTTTTTTTTTTTTTTGAGATAGAGGCTCACTTTGTGCCCAGGCTGGAGTGCAGTAGCGTGATCCTAGCTCCCTGCAGCCTCAAACTCCTGGGCTCTAGCAATTCTGACTCAGCCTCTCAAAGAGCTAGGACTACAGGCACGTGCCATCACTCCCAGCTAATGTTTTTATTTTTATTTTTATTTTTGTAGAGACAGGGATCTCGTTATACTTCCCAGGCTGGTATTAAACTCCTGTCCTCAAGTAATCCTCCTTCCTTGGCCTCCCAAAGTGCTGGGATTACAGGCATGAGCTACTGTACCCAGCCTGATCTGTAATTTTGAATGCAAATATAGTAATTATATTTGCATGGCCGGATTATGGATGATTTCATTACTACTCTATCACTAATCATGCATTTTAATGTTATATGTGTTTTCAATAAAATGTAATGGTAGGTTGCACATTTATAATTCTCTCTAAAAATCAGTATTAGCCAGTTTGTATCTATTTATAACATTTATTATTATTTTTTAAATACCAGGTTACCATTGATGTGTGGCCTGGAAAAGCAAACTCATTTTAGTATTAGGGCAGAGTAAATACAATTAGAAAGTTAAATCTATTCTTTTAAATCATATAAAGCATTTTAATCCCCCTAAACAAGGATTTGGGGATTGTCTTCATGTTTGTGTTCTCCATGCTGGTGAATGCCTCAACGAGGGACTTGTTTTATTGAAAATTAGCAGTTGATTTATTTAATCCTATGAATACATTACCTAAAACCACTTTTGGTTATAAGAAAAAAAAACATATACTGAGATTGAATAGCGTGACATACAATATAACTACCTGCTCTGGTAGTTCATGCAGCATGAGGAACCATTGACAAGCTAATTAAAAATTTCTAAGCATCTTCTTTCATTTACTCCATGGACACCTCTCTTCACAGAGCCTCAAAGTATTTTTGTAGTTTGAGAAAGAGAAGTCACTTCTATGTCCTCCAGTTCTTAAAAAAATATTGTTGACCAAGGAAATATATTGCTAAAACACAGCTGAGAGTCTTGACATAGTCTTTCCTTAATGCATATTTTCATTTTTAAGGCAGTATTTAGTTCCAAATACAAAAAAAAGATATGCTTTTTCTTTTTTTTTTTTTCAGTATCAGAACAAGGATCTGAGATATGATTTTTCTTTTAATGTTGACATTATGAAGGTTCCAGTAGAGACTTTGACTGAAGCAACAGAGAAAAGGAGAATCTAATTTAAATTTCTTAAAGGGGGAACATTCCTGGCAACCAAATTAAAGTCTATCTTCATTTCTAAAATTTCTGAAGTTTGGGCATATAGTACTCCAGCACTGAATACCTTGGGAAATTTGCATGAATTCCGGTAGTCTTGTGCATGTGTATGTATTAAATCATTCTTCAATGTGAACTTGCTAGTTTAACAGGTAAATGAAACATTTTCCTTGGTATTTAGCGTTCTTCAAGCTACCTGTGCTCTCAGGAGTGGCCTGTCAGGTGTTGCAGCTTCATTAGGTCTCAAGATTTCAGCTGTTCTCTTTTAACCTTTTCATGCCACCCGAGTTTTCTCAGAATGTTTTGTTTTGCTATCAATGGCAAGGCTGGCCATTTTGCTTTGGGAGAAAGCATAACCTGTGGTTTAAAGTCAGCTATCAAGAAATGTGATAATTAAGTTATGTTCTGTGAATTATAAATTGTGTCGTGTCATCTAGGTAGTTCGGATTTTTGTTGTTTGCTCCTGTAGTAAATCTCTCTCTTTTCCTTTTTCTCTCCCTTTCTCTTACAACATTAAAAGCCAGTTCAATGATTTCCTTATCTAAGGAGAACAGCTGTTTCCTGGGGGTTGAATCTAGTCTTTCCTTTCTAAATCAATGTCTGTCAGAGGGAGACAGAGATATGTGTATGACTTACAGGATTTGTCTTCATAATGATGAATGCTTAGTTAGAACATTGATTATAAAAATAGAATCTAGACTTTGAAAAGCAATTTAAAGCTCCGGTATCGGTCTGTTACAATCATTAAAAGCTAATAAGTGTATTTCTTTGGTTTCCTTAATCTTTCTGCAGTATAACAACAGTGTTAATGTGGAAAAGATTACATTTAGTGTATGACAAACATTTTGTTTATTAGTCCCCAACTACTTAGCTTACTATTTAAATGCAGTCTATGGTAAGTCTTCTTCTTAACTAACAAACGTGGAAAATAATCCAGGCTCAGGCAGAATCGAAAGAATATTTATGTGTTCTATACTTGAAGATATGTTAAGTGTGATTAAAGTTTTAAATTGTTACAGGAACATTTGTTTTCCAAAGAGATCAAAGTTGGGCTTTATGCACACATCTTACCGCAGTTGCAGTTTATAATTATTTATCAAATGTCTGACAAGGCTAATGAGCTTTGTTTACATTTTCCAGCCCTCTTGCTAGAATTACAGTTTATTTTTTCCACTTTTGAAGGCTACAAATATGCATAAAATCACAACTGGCAGAATTTTCTCAAATAGGGGGAGTTTGTCATACAGCAAATAGCTTCACAAAACACCTGAAGCTTAAGTTTGAAGTATCTAAAATTCAAAAATCTCCTGTAATTATAGTTTGAATTTTCAAAGAAGCATAAGTTTTTAGATCTGGGAGGTTGTTATAGAGATTATCTCATCCAATCCCTATTTATTTTGTCAAAAGACAATATTGCAGAAAAAATTCCACTGGGAATTTACTCCTAATAGAGCATTGACTTACAAACGGGAGGTACTAATGAAGGGGGGCCTCTCACTATATAGTCATATAGATGTTATATACCCAAATGTCTGACCCCAAGAAACAGAAAATGTAAACTAGTTTCAATGACGGCTTCTGTGATTGGAAAGTCTAAGAGTGTGTCAGTCAGTTTCAGGGTTAGTTTGATTTGACTTCATTCATGTCATAAAGGTCTTTCTTTCTTTTCCATCTTTCTATATTGTTAGCTTCTTCTTAAGGCTTATTTCTCATATGGTCGCAGGATGCATTGGCAGTATTAGGAGTTTATGTATCATATCTGATTGAAGAGAAAATCCTGGCTCTCTCAGAAGGATAGATCACCTTCTTCCCCAGAAGCTTCCAGAAAACTGTCTCCCATGCTTCATTTGGACCAATACCTCTGGCTGGAATCACTGCATAGGTTGAATTCCTCAAGCGTGAGTTTATCTGACAAGTAGGCAGGGAGATGGGTTAAACCATAAGCTTAACAATGGGTTCAATGGTGAGTCCATGTCCTAGGGATCTGTGAAAGTTTAAATTTAAGAGTGATGACTTAGGATATCTGGCATAAGAAATTTCTAAGCAGCAAAGCATTCAAATTGTGGCCTGGCTGCTTCTAACAACCTCTGCTCTGGTTAGTAAACCATCGGGGCCTGTGCTGGAGTTGGAGGAAGAACTCCAACTCCAGGACTCCAACTCTAACTCCACCCTCTCTCCACCCACTCTCAACACTGTGCGGTAGTTTCAAGGTAAACAACTGCAACTTCCCTGGCTATCTATACACCTCCAACTTTTAATGACCATAAAAGTAATTCACGCTCATGGTAGAAAATTTGAAAAATGTCTTCAAGAGTAATTTTTGCCAGGTACAGTGGCTCATGCCTGTAATCCCAGCATTTTGGGAGGCCGAGGTGGGTGGATCACTTGAAGTCAGGAGTTTGAGACCAGCCTGGCCAACATGGTGAAACCCTGTCTCTACTAAAAATACAAAAATTAGCCAAGTGTGGTGGCATATGCCTGTAATCCCAGCAATTCAGAGGCTGAGGCACGAGAATCGCTTGAGCTTGGGAGGCGGATCGCAGTGAGCCGAGATTGCGCCTCTGCACTCCAACCTGGGTGATACAGTGAGACTTTATCTCAAAAAGAAAAAAAAAAGGTAATTTTTAAAATCACTCATAATCTCACTTTCTGGAAATTATGACTAGCCAAAGTCAACTAACCATGAACATTTGGGGTATCTTCTTTTAATCAAAGGTAAAATATTGAGATTTCACTGTGTCTATGTCTTTCACTCTATCTACCTATTTATTTTTCTATCTTCAGTTTTATATCCCATTTTACTTTTGAACCTATATTAGAAGTCTCTCTCTATAACAGTTAGAACTTTGATATTTCAAAGAACATTGAGGAGTAGAGTTACCAGGGAAACAATAAACAGTTATAGGCAATGCCTTGTTTCTCACCACGTTCTCTAAACCTTTTCAGTTTGTCTTTTAGCATTGTTGAACTGAAAAGGTCATTGAGACTTTACTTCATGTCTAAATGGTTCTAAAAATTCCCCAGGGTTCCAAGACTTGCTGTGGACTAGAACTGCAATCAGTAGAGGTATAGAAACTGTCAGTTGCTGGAACAGGATCCGTTTGGAATAAGGCAGATAAATGCACTAAGAGACTGCTGAGAACTGATTGGGCATCAAGACACTGAACTGTAGGTTAGTCTTGACCACTACACAATGTGTGAGTTGATAAACTATTGCAAATGCTCTGTGCCTTCATTTTCTTATTTCTCAAGTGGGGTAAGAATTCTTTTTTACCTTATCAGAATAAAATAATTTAAAATGTAATAATAAGAGTCATAATTATGTTTTCCCAATATCTGTCTCAATGCCAATCTCATTACTTCACTGTAATATTTCATATTATTTTATTGTTTTACAAAGTGTTGGTATTGGTGGAGCAGATATTATTAGCCCCATGCGATAGATGAGGAAATTGAGTATAAACACATATAATTAATATTGGAATTGCCTTGCTTACCTGAGGTATCAACACCAGTAAAAGGATTTGGTGTTAAGGATGATGATAATGATGCTCACAATCACAGTGACAATAGCTAACAGTCAAGAGAGGTTAAGTAACTAAGAATTAAGTTACCATGAATACATTCTAACATTTATTTCTAGAATCTGGGCTTGAACATTCAATTTTCTGTCATCTAGTTGAGCTGGTAAAAACTGTTTAAAAATAAATTAATATTTTTTTCTGATATTTAAAAAATAACACATTCAGTAAAGACAATTTAGAAAACACAGGAAATCAAAAGGAAAAAAGAAAAATATCACTCTAATTGGTTTTCTAATGTAGGAAACCATTGGTAACTAGCTCTTTGAGGCTTTTTCTTATGTTCATTTATGTTTATCTGCTGGTAGTATCTTCAAATATTTATCTTGAAACTAAAAAAGAAATCTTAGAGAAACTTGAAAGTAACTTTATAATACAATAATTAATAACATTTATTAAGTGCTAACTCTGGCAGCACTGTCTTAAGTGCTTTAAAGATATTAAATAATGGCTGGGCATGGTTGTAATCCCAGAATTTTGGGAGGCCAAAATTCTGTATTTGTATTTGTTAAATTTGAAATACTAAGCACATATTATTTTTTGTAATCAGAAAACAAAATCTAGGGCTCTAGCCCTTGGGAGGAGGTATAGCAGACACTAAACTATCTATTTTTATATTCAGATACTTATCTTTTGTCATTTACTATCTTATAGCCTTGGATAAGTTTCTCAACACATCTGTGTTATTGGCTCCACATTTATAAAATGGGGATGAAAACTTTACATATGTTAAAATAAGAATATGAGAATTCTATGAATGACACATTAACAATTGTACTGTCACACAGTAAACATGTTGTTAAAGTGTCTACAAAAACGTGTGTCATATATGAACAAAGATGTCTTTAGAAGCATTGAAAAATGCTTAAGAGTGAAAAACTGGGAACAACTAAAACACCCATCCATAGATGCATGACTAAGTAAATATTTAGTGCATTACATTATGGAATATTAGTTCATTACAATATGGAATATTGTGCATTCATTAACATCAATCTGATGTATCTAAATTCTACCATTAGATTGTAAGCTCAATGAAGCCAAAGCTATTGCTCACAATTTTATCCTCAGGGCATAGGACTGACCCATAGACAGGGATTCCAGTGATTATTAATTAAAAGAAATAATAGACTTTTATGAATTAACAGAAATATATCTATTATATATTAAGTGAAAAAAAAGTGTTACAGAATTTTCCTCTCCCTTCTACACTTGCCTTTTCTTATCCTTGAGGGTTTAGCTTCTCTAGAGCACTTTCTGAGCCCTTTAGCTAGTGTGTGGGCCCCACACAATATTCTGTTTCAGCCTTGTGTTTATTTCCTTCCTTGGGCAGATCACAATTCTTAATTGTTTTATTTGTATGTTAATCTGAAATTATTTTTCTCTATTTCCTTTCTTCACTAAATTATGAGGTGCCTAAAGGCAGGAATCGTGTCTGTTCTGTCCACTATTATAAACCCAGAACCACATACATAGTAGGTACTCCACAAACATTTGCTGAGTGAAAGACTATGAAATTGATATGGATATGGGAGGATTCACAATAGACTATTAACTTGATTCCTTTTAATGAAGGCAGAAACTACAGAAGCTGGGTAAAGGAAGCTGTTATTTTTTTTACTCTGTTCTTCTGAATTGTTAATTTTTTAAAACAGTAAATCTGAATCACATTTATCACTAAACTATCTCACTAAGCCAAAACATTCAGACTTGACTAGGAAGTAATGAATATTCATTAATTTATTTTCAGAATGATCTTTTCCCTCAGTGGAGTCTCCGTGGGGGACAGAAACTATGAGAAATTTTCTCACCATTACCCTCCAATTATGTAGGAAGGAACTTTCAGGTTTGTGAGAAAGGGGGAAAGTTTCGCTAGTGGACCCACTCTTTATTTAGCATTTCTGTTTCCTTTAAGCATGTTATTTGATTATATGCATTTCTCTAATGAGTTTATTTAAAATGCATTTTCTAAGAGCCTCTCAAGGTGTGTTGAAGTGTGGCCACAGGTGTTTTGGAAGATTTCTTACCTATTAATGGTGATGAGTGGAGACATAATGTATGAGAGAGATAGACAGTCTTAGGAAATTAGTACATAGCAATGTAGTCTTAAAGAGAGTAATTTTCATTCTTGTCAGATAAACAGGTGCTGAAATTGGGGATAGGACAAAAACATATCCTAGAGATGTGACAATACTTCCAAAATGATGAAAAGAGGTTGCCCCAAACTGCAGCAACCAAAAAGACCACCTGGAGATATTTTAATGACTCGGATTTGAGGCTAATCTTATATATGCTACTGAAACCATCTTTTCTGCATGAACATCTGGTTTTCCTTCTGTAGGGGCATCTTGAAATTGCCATAGGGTGATAATGACTTGATTGGCAAAATGGTGACCTCAGATATGCTGATGAGTTCAGCCTCAAAAACCTGAATTCCCAGTAGGTGCCTGAGGAGATATACTAAATCCACAAATCCCCCTTCCCCTGCACACACACACACGCACGCACGCACGCACAATGACATCATATCACTGTGGCAACACGAAAACAAATGCTGCACTCCCTCTAAACCAGGGTTTTTCAGCCTTGTCATTATTAACATTTTGGGCCATAAATTCTTGGATGTGGGAGGTTGTCTTGTGTATTTCAGCTTTGTTTAGATATTTTTGCCCCTTTAGTTACTTGTCTTTTCTCATATGCGATGTTGTTGTCCAATGATATGTTCTGTCTCTCTCTCTCTCAATGATATCTCAATGGTATCAAGGTATTGTAGAAAGAATGAGGATTTTGGAGTCCAGTAGTCTTAAATTCAAATCCTGGTTTCAATAATTATAGGGGACCCTTCCACAACAGCATTCTTGGTCTCTATCCACCAGATGCCAGTATCCCCACAGCCCCCCATCCTGCAATTGTGACAACCAAAAATGTCTCCAGACATTACCAGGTGTCTGTTGGAGGGCAAAAATTACCCTTACTTGAGACTTATTTCTCTAAATAGCATTTTTCTCATAATGAGAGCAACTATGAGTATTATACCTTTTGTTTGTCTGGCACTTCTTAGTGTACAAAGCTCTAAGAATATGTTTCAGAAAATCAATTCTTTGGTCACCAGGGAAAACAGTATGAAAAAGTGGATGACCGTGTCTTACAGTGATCTTCCACAGGCTCTTATCAGAAGAAATTGTTGGCCAGCGGGAAGCTGATGAATGGAACTTTCTCTTGGTTTTAGTTCCTTTGATGCCACCTGCAGTTTAGAATCCTGGGGCAAGTTTTTTGTTCACTTCTTTTTCTTTTTAGAAAATGTTGAAAGAAATACTGGCTGTAAAGAATAAGTCCTAACTTAAATTATTAACTATATTTCGTTAGCTTATCTCTTATGTTCCTATTCTTCAGGGGCTTAGGGAAAGCATGAAGGAAACGTCAATGAATTTCACCCTTTTTCTCATATACAAAAGTCTTTGGTCACATTCTATAAGAGAAACCCCAAAAGATGGCTTCAACCATTCTATAAGATTATTTAAATGCATTCAGCAGTTAGAGTGCTGCCGGGCATATGAAATAACCCTTAGGTCTTTAACACTGTGTAACTATTCTATCTTATGGTTTTATCAACTTCGTTCAGGGATTTTTCCCTTCTTAGTTATTGATCTCTTCTCATATGTGATGTTGTTAACCAATAATACACTCGCTCTCACGAGCGGGCTCTCTCTCTCTCTTTTTCTCAAGGTGTTGCCAGAAGAATGAGAGCTTTGGAGCCAGATAATTCTAAATTCAAATCCTGGTTTCAACAATTCTAGCTTTGTAACACTGGGCAAGATTTCTAACTTGTCAATATTTTGCTATTCTAGAGTTTACAGGGCAGGAGAATAATGGCTACTATATCTATCAAGACTCTTCAGTTAAAGGTATTATAACATATAACCTTACTCAAGATGGCATAAGGGAAAAAAAATTGTTAGCTACTGTGAGCTGAAAAATCCATGAGTAGAACTGTCTACCTTCAGGTATGGTTTGATCCAGGGCTTCAATGTTGTCACAAAGATCCCTCTCTTAGTTGTGCTTTCAATGATTGAGTATATCCTCAGTTCCCATTAGTGACCACTGTCTACTTTGGACTTTCATACAATATCTGACCAGTATAAAAGAGAGTCATTTTCAACATATGAACCAAAAGTGGTGGGCTTAAATGTTGTTGTCATTGATTGGTTTTTGTCCGAATCAGTAACTGTGGTAAGGGGGTTGGAATGCACTAATTGGTTACACTTGTATCATGCACACCATCACTCACACTCAGCATGAAAAAGATGGGAAGGCTGGTTCCTCCAAGTAAAAATTAAAGATATACTATGGAAGAGGAATGGACACTGAGCAGAGAAATTAAACGAAATACCAAAATAACCAAAAACTCTTAAGTCCACTAAAGCTAACTTGAAGTACTGTTTCAGGGATTTTAAACTCATAAATCCACTAAAGCTATCTCAAAATACTGAAATATATATTAAATTATATAACATACAAATATCTTCTGGAGTCATTTTCTCCAATTCCAGAAATTAGAAAAGAAGACAAGATGTTATTTTACTCAATTTAATCTATTTTTGTATGTTTGTGTGTGTGTATATGTGTGTGAGTTTAATTGATATTAAACTATCTCCCCCTATAAAGTTTTGTTTGGTCATGTGAATTATTTTTATTTTTGAAGAAGGTGTCATTGAAATAGTCTCATACTTAACATCCAAAAGAAACAAAAGGTTGCATTATAAAGAGTCTCCCTCCTGTCTCTGCTCCTCACCCCCTTACTTGTCCTACCCAAAGGCATCAAGTCTTAGCTGTTCCTTATACAGACTTCTAGGAATAATTTATGCCTCTACCAATAGGTGTTTATTTTCCCTCCCTGTCTTCCTCTTCACTATTCTGCTCCTCTTTCTGCTCCTCTCCTCTGTCTCATTTTTCTACACAAAATAGTAGCATGTTTTACATATTCTACTGTATCATACATTTTTTTGCTTAGAAATATATCTTAGAAATTCACCCATAACTATATATAAAGAGCATTTTCATACTTTTGCATAATACCTCATTAATTTATCCATTCATTCATTTGCCCAACATATATATATAGTAGGTGTTTATTATACACCAGGCCATCAGTGAACAGAACAGAAAGCAAAATGAACAAAAATATCTAACCTTATGAAACTTACATTTCAATGGGAGCAGACAATGCAAAATAAATAAATAAGAACATTATATAGAATGATTGAAAGTTATTGGTGCAATGGAGAAAAAGCAAGCAACCAAGAGGGATATGATGCGAAAGTTCAAATGTTAAAAAGATCTGTAAGACCTCACTAATGTGACATTTGAAAAAAAGGTGAAAACAAAGAGGCCATATATTTTTTCATATCTTTTTAGTTTATTAAGAGTATCTCTTGAAAATGGATATTGAATTTTATCATATGCTTATTTTAACATGTTTGATAATGATTGTGATTTCCCTTCTTTTTTTTCCGAGACGAAGTCTTGCTCTGTCAGCCAGGCTGGAGTGCAGTGGCGCCACCTTGGCTCACTGCAGCCTCCACCTCCTGGTTGCAAGGGATTCTCCTGTCTCAGCCTCCTGAGTAGCTGGGATTACAGGCACCCGCCACCACGCCTGGCTAATTTTTTTTTAATGCATTTTTAGTAGAGACGGGGTTTCACCATGTTGGCCAAGCTGGTCTCAAACTCCTGACCTCGTGATCTGCTCACTTTAGCCTGGTGCTGGGATTACAGGCGTGAGCCACCGCGCCCAGGCTTTATTGCTAGTTTTTAGATATTCTGCAATTTTGATTTATGAATAACCCCTTTGACCTAATAGCTGTTTGACAGAGAGCTTGTAAATTTTCAGTAGCTGGTGATTTTTGTTTTCTGGTTTAATTTTACTGCATTATTATCAGGTAATATGTTCAGTACTACTTTTACTGTTTGGAGTGTTCTCCTTTTATGTTTTCTTTGTGGCCTAAAGTATTTCTCTTTTTGTGTATGTGTGACCATTACTTGGCTATCTGAAAATAGAGACTTCCTATGTATCCATTAGAGCCATCATATTATGTTTAGGCCTGCTATATCCATATATATATACACATATATATAATATATATACATATATATAATATACACTATATATAATATATATATACGTATATATAATACACACACACACACATATATATACACACACACATATATATATATATAATTTGAGGGGTACATTTGATATGTTATAGACTAAAGTAAGTTCCATACAACTAATGTGGCTCTCTATTTTTTAATTGTATTACTTGTGTTTTTGCCTCAGGAATATTGGTATAGTATTTATAGATATTGAGAACTTCTTTGTGGATTGTACCCTTTAGTACTATGAATTCCTTTGTTTTTTTTTTAGTTTATATTTTGTGTTGAACTAACCTTTGTCTGAGATTAAGATCACCATCCCAGATTTCTTTTTGTTCAGACTTGCTTGCTATGTATTTTCCCACCTTTTTATTCTCAACCATTCTTAATCTCTTTACTTTATGTGTCTTTTACATAGCCCACAATGGAATTTTCTCTGTAATACTATTGACAAATATTTTTCTTTTAATCGATGAGATTAGGTCATTTGCACTTAATGATATGATAGATATGTTTGGTCTTAGGTTTGTTGCTTTATATTTGAATTCTGTCTTTATTATTTTTAAATACTCTCACCAAGCAGCTTGTTTTTATGATTTTATGTGTATATATGTTTCTCCTGATATGTTTGAAAGTTGATACATTTTTTGCACGTGCTTATCATTATAACAGCTTTTCACAGTTTCCTCCATTTCTTTTGGCATTATCTATTAATTCCTTACCATGAGTAATAATGAAATGTTTTAATTTTTCTTCTCCCTCCCTTCTTTCTTCCTTCTTACTACCTGGTTTTAGATGAGCCTCTTATTTTATAATCTTACCTTTGTAACATTTAACAAACTTTTATGCCTTTTCCATAATTTGCCAGTTTAAATGGATTTTCTTTGACCTCCATCTATTAAATATAAGAAAATCAGTATACTTAAATGTTTCATCTTCTATCCAAGTGTTTGTTATAATATGTCTGCTTTCTCATGTTAATATTATTATATTCTCTTCTGTCATACAATCTTCCTTCTTGTTTTAATTTTAATCCTACAGTTAAACAGATTCAATGTTCACTGGTAGTCTTTTACCATGGTTTTATGATTTTATGTGTGTATATGTTTCACTTATTTCTTTTTAAGTTTCATTCTATTATTTCTTAGTTGGCTTAGGTATATTTTCTAGTATATTCTTCATGAATTGTTTGTATAAAATATTCTCTGCATTCTTTAATGTTTAAAACTTGATTTTCTTTGTACTCAAAGGGCATTTTGGCTAGTTTTAGATTAGAGGGGTGACACTGTTGATCGTTTAGGATTTTATAGGTTCCTATTTAGTTCCTATTTTTTTTCTAAAATAAAGGCTGAAATATAAATTTTAAGGTAAAAACTGATTTTATTTAATCTTTATTGAAGATAATAATCAATAATGTATTGATCATTAAAAATTGGTTGAAAGAAAAATGACCAGAATAAATTATTAGGTAAATGAAAACATTTATGTTAACTCACATCATGAGAGATGTGGTCATTTCTGATCAAGCCTAAAAAGCATTATTGAAATACCTTTACATAAGTGTTTGGGTTAAACTATTAAACTATAAATACTTCTGATTCTAATATGGTGGTGTAAAGTTAGAATTTTCTTTTTATCCTGTTGGAAATCTCCTCCTCTTCCAAGGAATTAGGCAAATGTAAATAAGAAATTTAAGCTCTATTTCTGATTAGATTAGGAGACAGCTGAGACCCTAAATCAGCTGAGCTCAGGTGTGTTCAGGGTGGTATGGCCATAGACTGAAACCCTGAATCAGAAAAGAGATGGCATGACTGCCAATAGTAGTGAGATCATGTGGAGGTACATAGAAGAGGAAGAATAACTCAAAAAAGTAATTAAATTATTTGTCCACAAACATAATATAAAACCCTAAATACTGGGTCTATTACTAAAGCAGAGATATGCACCAGCTAGAAACAGTTTTCCTGGAATTGATTTTGTTCTGAAAACCAAAAGAGTTCCGGCCAAAGGAGAAAAACACAGAAAAGCCAAATTGTACAGGAAGCAGCCTGTGGCAGTATGGAGAAGAGCTTGCATCATGAACCACTTCACTCTCGGCTCCCTCTTATTAGCTGGGAGGTGTCTAAAGGCCAGAGTCCCACACAATCCACTGGATCAAAAAGAAAATTCCTACTCAACTAAAACATAGTCATGGGTCTTCTCCATACACAGACCCCCTCCTGCAAATAGTGAGTTCAGAAAAAGAAAATTTTCTACTTGAAGATGAACTATCAACATGGAACAGATAAAGATATGAGATGGGAGGATCACGAGGTCAAGAGATTGAGACCATCCTGGCCAACATGATGAAACCCTGTCTCTACTAAAAATACAAAAATTAGCCGGGCGTGATGGTGGGCGCCTGTAGTCCCAGCTACTTGGGAGGCTGAGGCAGGAGAATCACTTGAACCCAGGAGGCAGAGTTTGCAGTGAGCCAAGATCATGCCACTGCACTCCAGCCTGGCAACAGAGTGACACTCCGTCTCAAAATAAACAAATAAACAAATAAACATGAAAATGAATCACAAATATTAATATAATGGTAGATGAAGAATACTCAACAGAAATTTCTTTTGAAGTTTCAATTCGGTGGGTGAAAACTTAAAAATATATTTAACTGTAAATTAAATAATAATAATGATATGTTAATTGCCTCTAAGAAGCAAGAACACAACCTAGAATACAGAACTTCAGAGAAGAGATGGTTAAAAACAGTAGCAGGTGAAACATGAGCACCTAGAGATCTAGGGGAAAAAAGTGAAAAAAAAAAAAAAAAAACTGGAGATGAAGGTGAATGAGGAGTACACAGAGTACAGGCATTGCTGAAAACACAGTAAGAGATGCAAAGACCAGGAATGAGAAAACTGAGCAAATCGGCCAGGCACAGTGGCTCATGCCTGTTACCCAGCACTTTGGGAGGCCAAGGCGGGTGGATCATCTGAGGTCAGGAGTTCGAGACCAGCCTGAACAACATGGGTGAAACCCTGTCTCTACTAAAAATAAAAAATCAGCTGGGCGTGGTGGCACATGCCTGTTATCCCAGCTACTTGGGAGGTTGAGCAGGAGAATTGCTTGATGGAAGAGGAGGAAGATGTTGCAGTGAGCTGAGATCGCGCCATTGCACCCCAGCCTGGGGAACAAGAGCAAAAGTCCATCTCAAAAAGAAAAAAAGGAAAACTGAGCAAATCAAATTAAAGGGAATAAAGAAAGGAAGAGAATAATGGAGGAGAGGAGAGAGGGAGGGGATAAAAAGGAAGGAGGAAGGATAGAAAAAAACACTGAAGTGGCTGGTGCAGTGCGGTACAGTGGCTCATGCCTGTAATCCTAGCACTTTGGGAGGCCAAGGCAGGAGGATCACTTGAGGCCAGGAGTTCGAGACCAGCCTGGCCCATCTCTACTAAAAATACAAAAATTAGCTGGGTGTGGTGGTGCATGCCTATAGTCCAGCTGCTGGGGAGGCTGAGGCAGGAGAATCGCTTGAACCTGGGAGGTGGAGGTTGAAGCGAGCTGAGATTGCGCTACTGCACTCCAGCCTGGGAGACAGAGTGAGACTCTGCCTCAAAAAAAAAAAAAAAAAAAAAAAAAAAAGACAAAGACAAAAAAAGACATGGAGAGTAGTTATGAACAGGCACAGGAAATCCAACATACACATAATTAGAGTGTCAGAAAAGGAAACTCAAATTAGTAAAATAGAACAAATATTAAAACATATAAGGAAAATTTTCCCAAAGTTACAAAATATTTTAATCTCCCTATTGGGAAGGTGCACCATTTCCAGAAACAGAAAAAATGACTCCAAACACTCAGTAAAACTTAGTAAGAAGTTACTAAAGTACAAAGAGCAAAATTTTTTTTGGAGGGGGGGAGTCTCCAGGCAAAATGTTAGAGTAACTTATAGTGATTAAAATGAAGAAAAAAAAAAAAAACCAGCAGAAAATCTTCCTGACTTCTTTTATACTTGGCATGTGCACTCCCATCTCAAGTGCTTTGTGCTTGCTTCTTCTGCCTGCACAAACTTGCACCTCCTCTTTGCATAGCTAAATAATACTCATCCTTCAGAGCTCAGCCCAACTGTTCCTCTTCCAGGAAGCCTTCACTGAACTCCTGGACTTGCTGTCCTTTATATCTCCTCAAAGAATCTATCTCTTCCCTTGTATTTCATTTCTCCTCCACCAGCTCTAGACTCTATGAACATGTCTATTTTCACACAGTGTTTTATTCCCGGTGCTTATTGCAGTGCCTAGTATGTAGCAGGCACTTCATAAATATTTGTTGAATGAATAAATGAATGAAAGAATTAATAATACTGCTTATCATTTATTATCGAGTGCTAACTTGTGATAACATCTGTGTTATTTTACCACAAAAGCAGATCTTCCTTTCAGAGAATATGAAGCAAAACAAAGAAAAAAGAAAAAGAAAAAGAGAAAGAAAAGAAATGAATCTAATTAAGTGTCCTTGAGGAAGAATTTTTGATCTTGTAAAATTTTGCATATTTACTTCTTATGTTGGTTGAATATGAAATGTACCCAGGAGTCCAGAATTTGCATCAAAACTATCTAAACTCTTAAGCTTATAAAAATGAGCAAGGAATTTAATGATGGGTTTTTAGAAGATATATTTGGCATTTTCTGCTTATAATTGGATTAGAATTACAAGAAGCAGATCAAATTTTCCCACACATTTCTTACTTCTACCCTTGATCCTATACTAAATCAGAAAGCCTGAGGTAGCAAGGGGGAAATATATTTTTTAAATGTATTGTAATCTAGGCCTTTGTCTTCTGGAACCAAAGAAGAAGCTTGCTTCAGGTTTTGATTTTTAATTTCTCATATTTATTCCACTTTGCAGTGCCTTCTGGATATGTTCCCATATGGAGCTACTTTGAGTTTTTGAGAGAAAAAAGTGAAGAAACTAAGAATTATGGAAGGTCAGAGATAGAAGGGGCTGCATAAATAATCTACTCAGTGTCTGTCATTTTGCATACAAAGAAAGTGGTACCCAGAAAGTACATATGCTGAAACAGTGATAAGAATTCTGGTTCCCACACCTCCTTCCCCAAATCCTTTCCTAACCACACCAACTCATAAAGAAAGACAAAGGCTAGACTGAGTTATGCACCTTATCTGTATATCAAAACTAGTTTTCTCATTGACTTGGCTTAAAGATAGAATGATTAAAAAGTCTGTCTTGAAAATATATAAATTTTGGCCGGTCGTGGTGGCTCACACCTGTGATCCCAGCATTTCGGGAGGCCGAGGCGGGTGGATCACGAGGTCAGAAGATCCAGACCATCCTGGCTAACACGGTGAAACCCCGTCTCTAGTAAAAACACAAAAGAATTAGCCAGGTGTGGTGGTGGGCACCTGTAGTCACAGCTACTTGGGAGGCTGAGGTGGGAGGATGGCGTAAACTGGGGAGGTGGAGCTTGCAGTGAGCCAAGATTGTGCCACTGCACTCCAGCCTGGGCGACAGAGCAAGACTCCGTCTCAAAAAAAAAAAAAAGAAAATATATAAATTTTATAGAAACACCATAATAATGACATAAAGGCATATCAACTTTCAAGCCTATTTTTCTTAAACTTGGCACTTTTCTATCATCTAGAAGGTAGCACTTTTGATCCACGTACTGTACCTGTACAGCAGAAAGGAGCCACAAAACTTTGGTGTAAACATGTTCAATTCCAGGTCCCTTTACTTATTAGCTGAAACCTTAGGCAAACTAACTACATTTAGAACCTTAGTTTCTTTATCTGCAAAATTAGAATATTAGTTCCTGCTTCATAGACAAACTGAAATTATTTTTATAAATCAATATGCAGATAAATATGCATTTATTAAATAAAATCATTCACAGATGGCTATGAGGAATACATGATCTGACAGTGCCTGGTATACAAAAGACGTATGCTGAATCCTAACTTCCTTCCTTTTCTAAATCAGTGGAGCCACTTAGCTCTGCTTGGTTCAGTGAAGTCTTTGCGTTTCATTTTACAGAGACAGGCTATTTGAGGGCTCTTAGGAAGGGCCTCATTGAAAATATTTCTTGTCAGAGTTACCTGACATGGAACATGTACTGAGTATTTTTTTTGTTTTGTACTAAGTATTTAAGTGGTTTATAAAATGACCCCTACAGTGGTTGCTGCAGTAAATGGCAAGAAAACATGCACATACTCGTGATTGAAAATTGCTGCTTACTGGCACACCAAACTTTTGTTAATGTATTGATAGAGAGTATTTGCATACTTGGTTTAAAGTTCTGTCAGTTTAATAGATTTGACTATCAACCAGAAAATAACAGAATTTTAGTACAAACCAGCAAGTCAAATTCAGTCCGCCTCACGAAGCAGATTAAATTCTTCGAAAAGAGGAAATTGCTACATGACACTTAAAAGAACATACCACTGAAATATTGTCAGGCTGAATATTGTTTTGAACTTGCAGATTCTAGCTTCTTCCACTTAGGACCCTATAGCTTTGGGGAAAGGCAGTAGAGTTTAGTGGGATAATTAACATTATCTTCCTCTAGGTTCCAGTACCATGTGAAGGAGGAGGCAAATTAGCTTCCAACTGCCATAGAATTTTTGACACAACATTGAACTAGAAAGTGAGAATCTTGAGTTTCCTCCGAGCACTATATGGCACTGGACAAAATCCTCTTTCTCCTTCAGTTATCCGTTTTCTTATGAATAAAGTTACAGGACTGGTTGGGAGTCTTACCTAAAGACTAAGTCTGAGTTTGCCCCACTTACTAGAAAGACATTTTCCCAACAGCCATGGGGGTCCAGCAACTGGAATCTCATTGTCTTACGAAACAGTCTATTATATGTTACTATACACTTTATTCTTCCTCCATGTAGCATACTCTAAAACCTTCAAAGAGAGCATTTTGTTCCCCTCTTTCTACTCTTATCTTTCTCTAGGTCGAATATCTTTGTTACTCTATGTAATGAGGTAGTTTCAAGTTACTGGTCCAACCTGGTTGCATTCTCTAGATGAACTTCCACTGCTTATGGTCTCCTTGTATCCTTGATTCCAACCTAATACTCTTTACAGAATCTCATCAGGATAGATGACACAGAATCTCATCAGGATAGATGACAGAGACCAAGGTTTCTTAACCACAGATCCATCCCAGGGTCCTCCATCTTGTCCACCAGAGGTCTTTAAAGACAGTGATCTACTAGCCTGGAAAGCTCTTATCAAAGAAATAACTAAGCTTAGCTTAACTCATTTTTTAATAATCCAAGAGTCCTTCCAATTATTTCTGACTTCTCTGCTAATTGCTCATAACTTATCAATTGAATCATCTCTACTAGAGTCTTCCCCAGAAATCATTGTCAGACTCATTGACTTGTAGACTCAGGAATCAAACTATTCTCCTTTGTCTTGGTATGGGTACATCCAAGACATAACATGTTCTATATTCTGGATTCTTCCTCAATCTATTTACACAAAGAATACCAAAAATGGTTCTATCAGCCATCATTTTTTCTGAGTGTTATTTTTTTCCCCCAAAACCCCTAAATGCTTTAAAAAAAATCATCTCCCTTTAAGTCCCTCTAAGCCAAAGGATATAAAAGAAGTGCTTCAGAGAGTCTGAACTTGAATGCCTATGGGCAGGACATTCACTCCCTGGTTCCTCCAGTCCTTACTAAGCTTTCTATTTTCTTCACTTAGCATTTTCACACATTTATGCTACTGGACTGCCCCATGAAGTGTTTTGAGTTTGCAACCCCTGTTGGTTCCACCTCTTTCAATTTGAAGATTATTTCCTTTCATAGTGAAAATGGAATCACAATGGGAGTTGCTGCCAAAGGCTTCCATGCCTCTGCTCACACTGTGCTCCCCATCTAAGACTTTTTCCTTCAGTTCTTCTCCTAACTGTTTAGTATCTTTTGGGCATCATTTCATAAAATAACAGTAATCACAACAACTATTTACTCTGTATTTATTATGGCCTAGGCATTGTGCAGAGGATGTGGAAATGAATGACACCTGGTCTCAGGCTCCGATTCTTGGTGCAGGGTAAGGGACTGTTGTGTAACGCTGAATTTACAATACAGTATCTAGTGTGGTGATTTTGTGCATAGACACAGAAGCCAGACTGCCTAAGTTCAAGTCCTGGCTCTTCCACCTAGCAACTATTTAGCCTGGAGAAAGTTTTTAACTGCTCTGTACCTCAGTTTTCTCATCTGAAAACTGGGGATAATAGCAGCACCCTCCTACAGAGCTATTATGAAGATTCAATAAGTATTTTTAAGGTATAAAGTATTTAGAATATAAAGTATTTAGAAGAGTACCTGGTACATATGAGATCTCAGTGTTTGCTATCATTTTTATTATTATTGAAGTATAAGAGCAGTGAGAAAAAATCCTCTGACTCCCTTCCTCCATGCCCCCATCCACGCCTATGTATAGATGTTTCTCCTTTTCGCTCTACCACTCTGTATATATATATTTTTATAACAGTATTGTAATGGTGTTGTGTAGTGATCTCTCTCCAAGGTACTGACTGGTAATATATTAAAATATTTCCTATTGTTTGTTTTTGGAAGTTGTTACCTCAAAGCTACCTCTCTACCCAGTGTTCTCACTCACTGTCTCCCTGGCAGTCCCAAGCCACATCTTTGTCATTCTTTGGACTTTCTTAAAAAACAGCAACTAAAAGGTCAACTATCAACATGGCATGTGGTCTTTAGGATTCCTCCCCAAGACTAGTTTCCAGTCTCTCCTTCTAGTTGGCCAGTGCCCTAGTTATACTGTTCAATATTTTGAATTTCACTTGTTTTATCACTCTGTGATCTATGTAGAATATAGGCCCAAATCCTTTATCTGCAATTCCAGAATTAGAGAGGAACCGAAAACCAAGATTTCCTTGCTTTTTTTTTCTTTTTCCCCTTTTTTTCCATTCTTCCCTCCCTCCCTTCCTTCCTCTCTTCTTCCCTTCTTTTCTTTCTCTCTTCCTTTCTTCTCTTGATAGTAAAACTCATTTGACCTCAAAATTTAACCTGGCCTGATATGTAAAGTTTATAATCTTTAGTTATTATTGCATTTAGTATTAAACTAATATATTTCACTACAAAAACATTTAGTAAGTTCATCATAATCACTTGGACTATCCTAGAGACATTCTGAAATAAAAGTAGTGAGCCTTCCACACCTGTGAATTCTACCAACCATGGGTTTCACCAAATGCAAATAAAAAATACCTGGGAAAAAAAACAATAAAAAATAATGCAATAGTAAGAAATAATACAAATTTTAAAATACAGTGTAACAACTATTTACATAGCATTTATACTATATTAGGAATTCCAAGTAACCCAGAGATAATTTAAAGTATACCGTCTGTATGAGCATAGGTTGTATGCAAATACTGCAACATTTCACATGAGAGACTTGAGCATTTGGGGATTTTGTTATCCATGGGGGTCCTGGGACCAATTCCCATGGATACGAAGGGATGACTGTATATGCATTATTTTATATTTCTGAAGTCCAAAAGATTTCTGAATTCTAAAACACATCTTGCTTCAAGAGTTTCTGATAGATTTACAGATTTTACAGGCTGATACATGAGACTCAAACACTGCCTCTTCTAAATAAATTGTGTGTTATAAAACGATTTAGTTAACTTCTCTCTGCCTCCAAACTGTCGTCTGTAAAATGGGTATAATATTAGTACTTACCCATAAGGCTGCTATTAAGATTTAATAGCTAATATATGGAAATTGCTTAAAACAGTGCCTATCTCATGGTAGTCACTCATTTATTAGTAATTGTCATTTTAAAATTTGTGTCTGTTTTTATTTGTGGGTAAGGTTTGTACTTTTCCATCTCATGCTGTTTAATTCTCAGCACACAGTAGGGACTTTGTAAAAGCTCATTTGAATAACTGCATGAATGAATGACTCCATTTGCCCCAAGTAGTCGATCTCTTTCTTCTTCATCAGAATATAGGTTTAAAATCTGTTTCATTTATTACATTTTTTTACACAAGTCAGCTTGTTCTGGTCTTTTCCTGCCTGATAGTCTTTGCTTTCCTGTTTTCTTATTTCTGGATATGTGCTTGCCTTCCTTCCTTCCTTTCTTTCTTTTTTTTTTTTTTTTTTTGACAGAGTCTCACTTCATTACCCAAGCTGGAGTACAGTGGCGTGATCTCAGTTCACTGCAACCTCTGCTTCCCAGGTTCAAGTGATTCTCTTGCCTCAGCCTCCCGAGTAGCTAGAACTACAAGCATGCACCACCACACCCAGCTAACTTTTGTATTTTTAGTAGACATGGGGTTTCACCATGTTGGCCAGGCTGGTCTCAAACTCCTGACCTCAAGTGATCTGCCCACCTTGGCCTCCCAAAGTGCTGGTATTACAGGCGTGAGCCACTGTGCCCAGCCCTTTTCTTTTATATATGCCTTCATTTAATCGAGCTCTCTTAAAGTGCACCCTGTCAAACATTACTACTATCTTCAAATTTTTATTGATTTTTTCTTCTTCATCACTTGTATTTTTTCCAAAGTCGAGATTCTGATAAGTTCTCAACATCCTTGGGCATCTTTCCACTTGATATTCCCTTTGGAATACACAGACTCCCATCTATATTTCCTTGGAGCTTTCTAATATCTGCATCCATAGAGTACCCACTTCTCCTTTGTGGCTACTACAAACCACAAGAAATAGAAATGCCATGTGTTCCCATGGCCATAACCCTTGGCCTTGATGGAGACTTTACTACTTCTGCTATCTGCATTTCAAATATCTCATTCTGAGATCACTGTCTCCCATCCTTTCATCTTGACTCTTCATTTATACAACCTTCAGCCTTATCAAGACCTACAATCCATAGACCACCAACCATTTTCATTCCTGAGAAGAGAGGAAGGCTTCCCTTTCCTCCTCCCCAAGACAGGATTCCATAGTCCATCAATATAACCATTCTTCAGCAAATGCTCCTACTTTATTTTATCCAATTCCCTCTGTTGTTTTACTTGGCACAGCCCCAGCCTGGTACCTTTGAGTCAAGCAGTTAAACTTTATTGGAAAAAAAAATCAAACATGCATTTAGAATTTTGTTTCACATTAAATTTAAGGTCATAAACCTTAAATGAGCACTTAAACCTGCCTGTCTGAGAGTCCTTCTATATTTATCTAGTAAGCTCATATTTCTACTCTATAAGTGACAATGTCTCTCTTTGACCAGACTCTAGACAGCTTCCTCTGAGCTCTTTTGTAATGAGGACCTGACCTTGGGCTTTGTCCTTACCCTCCTTAGTCAAATTTAAGCAAGAATCCTGCTGGATCCATTTAGTGAAAATCCTCCATCCTGGGTATTTGAGCACTCTTAATATCTGATCAAATTCCTCATCCCCTATGCATGGTATCTTATCACTCTGACCTGTCTTCAGCAAGAATCCTATCAGGTCATTCTAGCCAGAATCTCCCCTATCCTGATGTTTCTTCTAATAGTTTTCCATCCACTGACCCCTACTCTGCTTCTTGGCTATAAATCCCCACTCATCCTTGTTATATTTGGAGCTGAGCTGATCATTCCTACTGTAAAACCTCTCATTTCAGTAGTCTATTTTTTTTTTAGATTTTCTGTTATTTTATTTATTTGTGTTATGTAATAATCACACATATTTTGGAAGTACATGTGATATTTTGATACCTGCATACAGTGTGTAGTGATGAAATCAGGATAATTGAGATATCCATTACCTCAAATATTTATTTTTTTCTTTGCACTGGGAACATTACAAATCTTCTCTTCTAGCTATTTTGAAAGACACAGTAAATTATTGTTAACTATAATTTTCTTACTGTACTATTAAATCTTGGAATTCATTTCTTCTATCTAACTATATTTTAATACCCACTAACTAACTTCTCTTCATTTATTTCCTCCTTTCTCCCCTTCTCACTCTCTGGTAACCATCATTCTACTCTCATCTCCATGAGATACACTTTTTTAGCTCCCACATATGAGTGGGAACATGTGATATTTGTCTTTCTGTGCCTGGCTTATTTTACCTAACACAATGACTTCCAGTTCTATCTGTATTGCTGCAAAGGACAGAATTTTCTTCTTTTTATGGCTGAATAATATTCTACTGCACATATGTACCACATTTTAAAAAATTCATTCATCCACTGATGGGCACATAGGTTGATTTCATTTTTTGGTTAGTAGGAGTAGTGCTGCAATAAACACAGGAGGGCAGATATCTCTTTGATATACCAATTTCCTTTTTTTGGGCTATATATCCAGCGGTGAGATGGCTGGATTATATGGTAGTTCTATTTTAAGTTTTCTGAGGAATCTCCATAGTGTTTTCCATAGTGGCTGTAGTACTTAACATTCCCACCAACATCCTTGTTAGCATTGTATTTTTTGTCTTTTTTGTAACAGCCATTCTAACTGGGGTGAGCTAATATCTCATTTTTGTTTTGATTTACATTTCCCTGATAATTAATGATGTTGAGCATTTTTTTATATACCTGTTGGCCATTTGTATGTCCTCTTTTGAGAAATGTCTATTTAGGTCTTTTGCCCATTCTTAATCAGATTTTTTTTTTTTTTTTTTGCTATTGAATTGTCTGAGTTTCTTATATATTCTGATCATTAATTTCTTGTCAGATAGTCAGATGGATAGTTTGCAAATATTTTCTCCCATTCTAGGTTGTCTTTTCACTTCGTTGATTGTTTCCTTTCTATGCAGAAGCTTTTCAGTTTTATTTAATCCCATTTGTCTATTTTTTGCTTTTGTTTCCTGTCCTTTCAATATCTTACCCCCCAAAAAAATCTTTCCCCAGACCAATGTCCTTACCATTTCCCCAATGTTTTATCTAGTACTTGCATAGCTTCAGGTCTTACATTTAAGTTTTTAATCCATTTTGAGTTGATTTTTGTATATTGTGAAAAATGGAGATCTCATGCCATTCTTCTGCATATGGAGATCCAGCTTGCCCAGCACCATTTATTAAAGAGACTGTTCTTTCCCCAATGTTCTTGCCACCTTTGTTAAAATGGCACCTTTGTCAAAAATAAGTTGGATGTAAGTATGTGGACTTATTTCTGGGTTCTCTATTCTGTTCCATTGGTCTATATGTCTGTTTTTATGCCAGTACATTGCTATTTTGGTTACTATACCTTCATTGTCTAATTTGACATCAGATAATGTGATGCCTTCAGCTTTGCTGTTTTTGGTCAGGATTGCTTTAGCTATCCGGGGTCTTTTGTGATTTCATACAAATTTTAGGATTTTTTTCTATTTCTGTGAAAACTGCCATTGGTATTTTAATAGGGATTGTATTGAATCTGTAAATCACTTTGGGTAGACATTTTAACAATATTAATCCTTCCAATCCATGAGCATGGAATATTTTTCCATTTATTATATCCATCTCAAGTTTTTTTCTTCAGTATTTTATGGTTTTCCTTGTAGAGATTTTTCACTTCTTTGGTTAAATTTATTCCTAGGTTTTGTTTGTTTGTTTGTTTGTTGTTTTTTTTTTTTGGTAGCTGTTACAAATTGGGTTGTTTTCTTGATTTCCTTTTCAGATTGATTGCTGTTAAGAAATAGAAATGCTACTGATTTTTGCATGCTGATTTTGTATCCTACAACTTTAGTGAATTTGTTTATCAGTTCTAAGAGGTTTCTTTTTGGTGGAGTCTTTAGGTTTTCTAAATATAAGATCATGTCATCCCCAAACAAGGATAATTTGATTTCTTCCTTTCCAATTTGGATGCTTTCTTAAATAAAGTCTTTCTTATTGTCTTTAACAAGTGTCTTGAATAATCTTTCTTTAACTCAAGATGACACATTTTATACTTTCTCTTTAAACTTCCACATCCTCTCTCCTCCCCTTGCTCTTAGCTGATCACTGTGGCTCACACTTCATTTAGAAAATGAAAGCCCGTTGTCAGTCAAGAACTCACTCTCCTCTTACACCAAATCTACACACCTAGTTGGCTCTTTATTCATCTTCTCTCCTAGTAACAGTGGGAGAAATGTCTCTTCTCCTAGCAAAACTCAATCCTCCCACTTGTGCTCTAAATCCCTTCCTTTCTTGCCTTGTCAAAGAGTTCAGTGCTTTCCTCATTTTCTCTTTCCTTAGTCCTTTATTGATGGATTAATCTCGTTGTTAACACATTCCAGAATCTTCAATATTGACAAAAATTAAGAAAACCACCCTTGAGCCAGTCACCTCTCCAATAGCTTTTAGACTATCTGCTTCCTTTTATTACTAAACTTCTCAACGATTTGTCCAAACGTGAGAGCTCTACTTTCTTACTTCCCAATCATCCCTCAATCCCTTATGATGTAGTTTGTACCTCTAGCATTTCATAATGCCACCAGTGAACTACATGTAAATTAATTCAAAATATTTTTTCCATTCTTGTCTTACTTGACCTTGTTGTAATATTTTGCATGGTTGGCCATTTCCCCCTTTCTGAAATAGCCTCTTTTCTGAGCTTCTGAGGCACTCTAGTTTCTCTGTTTTCTTCCTACCTTTTTGGTTGTTTCTCAGTTCCTCCTTCTATCAGACCTTTAAATGTTGACATTTCTCAGATCTCCAGCTTAGGATTCATTGTCTTCTTTTTGCATAGGATTTTCCTAGATGGTTTATTTTTCCTGGAAAACAAATATCTTTAAATGCTATCCATATACTGACAACTCACAAATTTATGTCTCTAACCCACACCATATCTCTGAGACATCCATAGATGTATAAAATCTAATAAGTCTAGAACTAAAGTTTTGCTCTTTCTACCCTGATAAATATTTTTTTCCTTTGTATTTCTCATCCCACTATTTCCTCTTCCCTCCCTGCGCCCCCTCCACCCCCAGCCACTGCGTCACAACAACCTGGGAGTCCTTGGCTCCTTATTCTGACTCCCCACCCACAGACTATCCATCTCTACAGGTTGACAATTCTACCTCCATTATCTACTCAAATCCATTGTCTCCTCTTGACAACATTCCCCTGGTCCAGTCCATCGGCATCTCTTTATTGAGTCTCTACAGTAATTTATCTCCTTATTTCTACATTCATCTTATTCCAAGCTATTTTACACATGCCAACCAGAATGATCCTTAAAAATAAAACTTGATCATATTCTTTCTTTGCTTGCAACCCTTCAATGATATTCCCTTATGCTTAGAACTTAATTGACCTGAACCACAGTCTATGCCTTCTGTAATCAAATCTGGGGCTGCCATCACCCTTGCTCCCTTGCTGCATCTACACTGGCCTCCCTCCATTTCTTCAAACATAGAATTATCTCACTGTGTCTGAAATACTCCTCCCACATGGTTCATGTGTGGCAGCCATCTCTTCATTCCTCAAGTGCCAGATTATAAATGACTGTCTTGAAGACACTGCTATTTTCTTTAATAAAATTACATCTTATTTGCTTGCTGCTTCTTTATCCCCCTACTTCCTCTCCAGACTGCAAGGCTCATGAAGGCAAGGATGCTGTCTCTTGTTAACAAATGGAGATACACCCAACATATACCAAAGTGTCTGGCATGTGATGTGTTTAAGAATTTGTTCAATGACTGAATCCATAAATTCTAGCAGACCAGGTCTCCAGTACTTTTTTGACTCCTATTTCAGTGTCTATGCAGTTCAGAAGTATGATTATATAGATTAGAGTGACAGTTCCATGTTAATTATTACTTTGTGTTTTCTTTCTTTTTTCTTTTTTTTTTTTTATGATACAAAATCTTGCTCTGTTGCCCAAGCTGGAGTGCAGTGGTGAGATCATGGTTCACTGCAGCCTCAATTTCCTGGGCTGTAGTGATTCTCTCACCTCAGCCTCCCAAGTAGTTGGGACTATAGATATGCCCCACCATGCCCAGCTCATTTAAAGAATTGTTTTTTTATAGAGGTGGGATCTCACTATGTTGCGCAGGCTGGTGTTGAACTCTTGAGCTCAAGCAATCCTTGTGCCCCAGCCTTGGAAAGTACAGAGATTACAGGCATGGGCCACTGCACCCGGCCTACTTTGTGTTTTCTTACACATAACTATACCATTTGTCAAGGTGAGTAAAAAAAAAAAAACAAAACTCTATTCCTTGACCCTCAAAGAGCTTAACTAAAATAGGTTCCTCATACTATGCCTACCTGTCCCACGAACTCTTGAAATTCTTAGCATATCAATCAATTTGTATCTTTTCTTTCAAAATCCATTTTATTTCTTGTTTCCCCTGCTGAAAGTGGGATGAAAAGGAAAAGAATAAATCTTACTATGGTGCATAATTTTGTTAACACTGAGTAAAAATTCAGAAATAACTAGCCTATTTAGGCTATATGTACTTTGGAAATTAGAGAAAAGAAAATATGAGCTGGAAAAAAGGGTATGTTGCAATAACCATGCAGTAGAGACCATAGATACCTATATCTTTTTAGAAATTGAAATATTTTAATATAATATATAAGGATATATTAGTTAACCATTGAACAACTTGGGTTTGAGCTGCATAAGTCCATTCGTATGCAGATTTTCATCTACTTCTGCCACTCCTGAGATAGCATGACCAACCCTTCTTCTACCTCCGTGGCCTACTCAGTGTGAAGACAAGTATGAAGACCTTTATGGTGATCCACTTCCACTTAATAAACAGTAAATACATTTTCTCTTCATTATGATTTTCTTAATAATATTTTCTTTCTTCTTGCTTACTTTATTATAAAAACTCAGTATATTATATATACATAAAACATACAAAATATATGTTAATCAATTATTTGTGTTATTGGTAAGTCTTTTGGTCAATAGTGGGCTATTGATAGTTAAGTTTTGGTGACTTAAAAGTTACACCTGGATTTTTGACTTCATGGGGGGTTGGCACTCCCAACCCCCACATTATTTAAAGGTCAAGTGTCTATCTTAACTACTTTCATAGAACTACTATTTTTTTCTAAAATGACAATTATTTTTATATTTATTGTCATTTAATACAGTATTCCCTTAGTGTCCACAGAGTATTAGTTACAAGACTATTGATAAATACCTCAATTCAAGGATACTCAAGTCCCTTAAATAAAATAGTATAATATTTTAATGTAATATACTTGTCATATACTTGTACCTCCCATATACTTTAAATCATCTCTAGATTACTTATAATACCTAATACAATGTAAATGCCATGTACGTAGTTGTCATACTGTATTGCTTTTGTTTGTATTATTTTCTCTCATTGTATTCTTTATTTTTATTTTTCAATATTTTTGATCTAGTTGATTGAATCCGCAGGTGTGGAACCCTCAGATATGGAAGGCTGACTCTATTAGAAATAACATAAACTGTAGTAGAAATTAGCAATGATGTTGTTTTCTCCACAGTCTTAAAACAGCATATTGAGCTAAAAGTTTATTTGTAATACATATATAGCATCATGACAAGAATTCAATATATTTAATAAGTAGTTAGAGAGCAGACATTTCTCTCAGGATCATAGCAACCCATGACTAGGATTATTCAGGTACCAACATTATTAAATAATATGAGAATTGAAAGAAAAATCAGTATAACATTTAAAATTCATTTAAATGCTCAATTTTAATAGGTAGAAGAACTATATAAAACAAGGTAGAACTAAATTAATAACTGAGCCCTCACTTTCTTATGTGCTAGCTAGAAATGCACTGGTTCTTTCCACAAGTTTTCACTGTTATGCTATGGAAAGTCTGCATTAATTTTTAAAATGCAGTGCACTTTTCCTTAACAGAAAAAATAAAGTTGAATAAGCTGAGAGATGAGAAAAGAAGAACAAACGTTGGAGTAAACATTGCAGCCGAAACTAAAGTAACTGAAGTGAAAATGTTTTCGTAATGAACTTTGATGTTTAACAAGCCCAGACACTTGGAACAGCATAAGCTATATTAAAGCCTTTTATGAAAGGATTATGTTTTGTATGATGAGCGTTTTAATATAAGTATGGTACACAGCTTAAAATATAACTACATTCAACTCAAAGTAATTATGAGAATTCAGGCAAAATTATTTTCTCCTGTACTATCACATTGATACAGAAACAAAAATCTTCTGGAACCTTTCACCGACATGTCTCTCTCTATTTCAATTATTTTTGGCAGTATATATTGCGTCTTTGCCTCAGCTACCTTTTATATCGACAGTTGGTAGCACAAGCCTTTTAACTCACAAAGGGTAGCAGCTCTTCAGCCAATCTGTGATAAAAGGGAAAAAATGAAATCACTATGGAAACTGCAGGAAGGATCTAAAAGCTCTCTTTATAAAGTAAACGTCTGATGTTTGTGACTGCAGGGGTAAAAAATTCATAAATCTCTATGATGCTATCATTTCTGATTTGTTATCACTGCAAATGCCAACTCAATATAGCCTGACCTTAGCTTCATTGAGTGCTGTCGGTTCAGAAACAGTGACTATTCAACAGGAGGAAAAGCCTGGTCGGCAGTCAGGTCTCGGGACTCAGGGGATGTGGTGGGACTGAGAGAAGAAACTAATTTTCTTGGAATGTTTCCTTTCTTTTCTCATTTGACTGGCTTTTTCTTTTAAGTCACAGTGACTTGATGGAATCAAACACACCAAAATGTTATGAACTGAGTTTTGTTGTTTTGTTTTATTTTGTGTCATTCACAAATGGAGCAAATATCAGACCCAAATTCAAACAGAAAACTGTGTTTTGTCCCATGGACATGTCTATCTTTGATCTTGAATTGAAAAATGCTAACTCTCTCCCTCCAATCAGAAAGCAAATAAATATTACGGAGAAGCCATTCCCACTTCACCACCTTGGGCTCCAGGAGGAAAAAATGAAAACAATTTTGACTACATAAGTCCGATAAATCAAATCTGACAATAGCCAGCAACAGACACCTGTGTCAGGAAGGCATTTCAGAATATCAGTCAGTTCTCAGAAGTTAAGTGACTTTTATAAAAGAGTTGTAGTATTATTCAGATGGGGCTCTTTTTATTTGATAAGAGTTCACCTATGGAAGAGAGACTGTGGGATCAAGAGGACACTGACAATTTCTCCAATGTGAAATTCTTCACATTGGAGGATAGAGTCTAAATTTAGAGCAGATGAATATTCAAGTAAGTAGACCAGTTTCAACATTACATATGCTGCTATGCTTATTTCTCCAACGTTTACAATCAAATACTACTTCATTCGATTTTCAGGCAATAGAAACTCTGGCTTTGTACAAAAGTTTGTGGCAACTGTACGACAGTTGTAATGCATTAAAATGTCAAAGATTGATGTGCATAGTAATTGATTTCATATGGTCATGCTATATTTGGACAATTATAAACATTGCTAATCTGATGTTTCAAGGTACTTATGAACAATTAGCAATTCTGCACTAGCATCTCAAACACACTTTTGATGACAATAATATACTGAGATAAGTTGTATAAATCCCAAAAGGGCTGTTGTGTAAATGATATTAGAAAAAAATCAGAAAATAAAACTAGAGTATTCTAGTAGTAAGCATGCAAAAATTCAGTAAAATTAGCAAGGAGACTCTATTGCTTTTCAATAAGGTGCTTGTTTAAAATAAAAAAAAATGCCATCTGCAATACTGACTTATTTGGACTTCTACTACTATTAATGACTAACTTGGCTGTGTAGCCTTTAACATTTCCACAGTGCTTTCTCATATGTTATGAGTGCTTTCTCATACGTTATAAGATCAGTTATACAGAATCAAGTGGAAGTGTGTGTTTGGGTACCCTAACATAAATACAGGCATACTTTAATTTGAAAATATTTAAATGCCTCATACATACTGACTTCACTGATTTTTTGTGTGTGTGCTTATAATGAAAGCCAATTATCTGTGGAGAAAAACTTGACTGGGTGGAAGGAAATTAAATTGTCTTTAAAAGAATTCCTTAAATAGCAATAGCTAGGGAAAGGTCCAGTAACATTTTAGGTCAGGAGTATAATGACTTTACCATGTAAATAAATCATGCTTTATCCTGACTTTTATCAGAAGATTTGGATGGAGAAGACCCCACATGACAGAAGGAAGGGTGATGAGCACTTTCATGTGATGCTCTGTCTCAGAATAATACTCTACCAATCGCTGTGCAGATCTGCCATCAGCTGTTGGAGAAGCTGGGTAGTCCTGTGTTACTTAAAGAATGGGATGTAGAATAATAACATATGTCTAGTAAGAAAAATTTCTAGAATGGCAATTCTTGAAGAAAATATGCATGTTCTAGAATTTCTGAGATTTTTCAAAAATGCTGTACAAAATAAATGTAGGAAAATCTTCACCACTTTTTTTCTGCCCAATTCCTTGGGGGAGTTTCCCAACTTCTATGAAATGCTTATGTGTTAAATATCAACTCTCATCAATCAGCTACATGGACATTTATTTTCACTGTGCTGTAAGCCCCAGACTACTTAAGAGTGCATTCATAGAAACATTTATGGAAAACATATTGTTTCATTTTCATATGCAGCAATACATGTCCTTTCCCTTTGTTACCATTCAAAATGTTCACATTCTGGTCTCCGTGTGCATGTTCTTAGAGTTGACTTCCAGCAGCTACCTTTGAATAAAGAAGGCAAAATACTCCATTGTTACTTCTAAATATCTGATTGCTTACTAATTAATGAGTAAAATACTTCATTGAGCTTTTCTGAAATGAATTTATCTAATTTAAACTGTAGGTCAGGAAGTTGATGAGGTGGACTTTGTAAAATGTGTTATTACTTTGCAGTGAGAGGATTGTTAGGGAAAACGCGTATCTTTCCTTCTGCTAATTGCCAAATGGTCATACTATAAAATGTTGTAAGCATGTAGATGGTATGAAGTAACTCCTAATATTTTCCATTAAATGTTCCATCACTTTTTAGAACATCACTCTCAGAAATACTGTTTTCACTTAGTTATGGATTAAGTGGAAATCTAATGTTTCTTCTAACCTGGATCTTAAATACTGAAAAGCCTTAGTTTATGTTGCATAATACGTTTTCTAGTCAGTCAAAATTACATGATCATATTTTTCAATATTTCAATTTCGAATGTAATAATGGGCATAATTTCCTCTCACACCTGCAGAAATTTCATCTCTCATGTCGTTCTCCAACTCTCAAGCAAGTACATTCCTATGGAATAGAAGTTACCAGGGAATCTCTTCATGTCACTGTATACTCACCATCTAAGGAGGGTCTCAGAAGTTGTTCATAGTTTTGCGTTATTTTATTTCTATTAGCAATACTCTGTAACACTGCTACTAATTTCTAAGTTGCGATCATCAGAAATCTTGATTCCACATGAGCTTTCATGCCAAACCCGTATTCGCTCTCTAATCTCAAATCGGCCAACTGAGATAAGATGAAGACTTTTAATTAGAATTTTAATATGTAATCTAAGCCATTTGTAGATTATGCACAGAGGTGATCTTCTACGTATTTAATAACTGCATGGAGAACTTAGATTGTGGAGAGATGATTTTTAACTTTGGTAGAGTTGGGTTACTTTTAGCATTCCCAGGGAGACTCTCAGAAGTTATGTCACCATGAAGTTTATTGTGTGAATGAATAACTGAATGTAGCTGGAGCATGTCTTGGGGAATATTATAAA